>NC_000011.10:11310000-11935000 GCF_000001405.40 Homo sapiens
CAAATCCAAATGCACACCTCCTTTCAACCCCACATCCCTTCTGATGGCCAGGGCCCCCATCCCTTCACAGAAAACTCTGAGCAAGAGAAGTCTACACTTGCTGACTCCACTTCCTCATTTGCTTCCTCAGATAGAGGTTTTCTCACTGCCATGTCCTCCCAGACATTCCACAACCAAGGCACGCATTATGAGGGATGAAATGCTCCCTTGGATTCAACTGTCCTCAGGTCCCAAGGACAGGGTGAACTTTGCCACCCAAGAAGCCCCCAGAGGGTGCGAGAAGGGGAACACTGGCTCATTCCATTTTGTAATCACCACTTAAAAAGCTTTAGTTAATTTTCCATTAATTTAGTTGTTCCTTTGTTCAACATGTATTTGTTAAACACCTGGAGTGCCCCAAGAAAATATGATTAGGTGACTTCTGAATGACCCAGCATATTCCAAGGATGCTAAAAATGCTGCGGAGATGTAAATCTATTCCGTAGCCCAGTTGTACAAGAAGCAAGACCAGCAAGTCCTTTTTCCTGCAGAAAAAATTGTTATAAAATTTTTCTTTTAAAAAGTGTCCTTCACCCAAGCCAACCTCCACTCCCATACGTGTTTCTGCATTTAATAGTGCACTTTTGAGCAAGAAAAAAACTAAAGCTGTTCTGGTGATTGATTTAGAGGGCCCAGCTCTGCTTAAATTCCCAGTATATTAAGACAGTGCTAACCTCAAGGACTCCACCAAAGCTCTACCCGGGCAGGGCTAATGCAGAGCAACAAACCGATTTCAGAAAAAGCATCTGGGACAAAGGCAATGTGGTAACAATTGGGTTACTTGGGAAAATCAAATATAAGAATCCATTTATGCCCGTGATATATTCTGAACACATCTCCTTAGGAACTGTCTTGCAATAGACAAGCATTTCCTTAAGTTGCCCTGATATAAACATTATTCAGATACCCACGCTCAATGCCGCCAGCCATTCCCAAATCCCAGAGCTTCTTTATTTACTCTCCCGTCTCAGATTCTCAGCCAGGAGTGGTACCACCTCCTCCAGAGGCCTTTTGGAGGTGTATGGGGATGTTTTGGTCTTGTAGGGACACTGCTGGTGTCAGGGTCAAAGAATGGTAAGCATCCTACATTGAATAGGACAGTCCCACGCAGTAAAGAACTGCCCCACCTAAAAAGTTGGTGATACCCTACTAAGAAACGGGACCAAAGAGCAGCAACTCAAGTACCCAACTTCTTGAAGGTCTACTTCTACACTTGGTGCAAGGGACATCATAGGAAAACCTCCCCACTTCCTGCTTCAAATGAAAGAGGAAGTGCCTTCGGGGAGGGCACGGTATACATGCCATTAGGGAGATGGAACTCTTGCAACTTATACTCTGTCACTGGCTTGCTGTTCATATCCTGGACTCTCCTGGGTGTGGTTTTGCAAGACCATTTTGAATGGGGGAATGAATTATAGAAAGCTGCAAGGGGAAGTGTTAGTGAAAGCAGCCCTGCCAAATCCTTGGGGTCTGAGGAGTTTACATGTTTCCTGCCTGGGGGTTGAGTCAAATGGAAAGGCAGGTCAGCTTCATGTGCTAGCATGACTTGGTGGCAGGAGAGACACTGATAGAAGGAGGTGTCCCCTGCTCCTTTCCAACCTATGCTCATAGCAACTGGCCCATCATTAAGAAAGATAACCAGGGGCTGGCTTCTATCCCAGTAGGGGAGGGCACATCTCTCAAGCTCCCATCCCAGGTCGCCATAAAAATATACTGAATGTGATAAACAGATACAGATTCTGCCAGCTCTTATCTTGACTAATAACAACTAATACTAATATTAGCAATAACAGTGATTACCTGGTTGATTGAGGGTTTCATGTTTGCCAGCCATGGTGCCAAGCATCCTATTTACTGCTGATCCTGAACAATGCAGGGGTTAGGGGTGCTGACTCCCCATGCCGTTGGAAATCCATGTGTAAGTTTCCTTTTTTTGAGACGGAGTCTCGCTCTGTTGCCCAGGCTGGAGTGCAGTGGCGCAATCTCGGCTCACTGCAAGCTCTACCTCCCGGGTTCACGCCGTTCTCCTGTCTCAGCCTCCTGAGTAGCTGGGACTACAGGTGCCTGCCACCATGCCTGGCTAATTTTTTGTATTTTTAGTAGAGACGGGGTCTCACTGTGTTAGCCAGAATGGTCTCCTGACTTCATGATCTGCCACCTCGGCCTCCCAAAGTGCTGGGATTACAGTCGTGAGCCACCACGCCCGGCCCATGTATAACTTTTGATTCCCCCAAAACTTAACTGCTAACAGCCTACTGTTGACCAGAAGCCTTATGGATAACATAAACAGTTAACACATATTTTGTGTTTTATGTGTATTATATACTGAATTCTTACAATAAAGTAAGCTAGAGAAAAGAAAATAGAAATAAGAAATCACAAAGATGAGAAAAATTTACTAAGCAGAAATGGACCATCATAAAGTTCTTCACTTTCCAAAGAATGGTGGGTGGAGGGCATCTTTGTGTTCAGCAGGCTGAGGAGGAGGAAGAGGAGGGGTTGTCTTGCTGTGGCAGAGGCAGAAGAAAATTTGTATCTAAGTGGATCCATGCAGTTCAAACCCATGTTGTTCAAGGGTCAATTGTATCCCTCCTCTTAATCTTCACAAAGCCTCTGTAAGGTAGATGGCCTTAACCCCATTTTACAGAAGAAAAAACAGGCTTCAGATTAAGGCTGGGAATTTTCAAAGGCTGCGTGTCTGCAGGCTGCTAGGAGGGCTCTGTGAGGAAGACTGGCTAAGCCTTCATTTACATAAAAAATCAACAACTTTCTTAACATTCATTTAGGAAACAGAGGTGCATTGAGTGGCTTCCCTGTGCCAGGCGGTGCACTAGGAACAAGGGGATACCTGGAGAATAAAACAAAGGCCTCTCCCTGGAGGAACTCACCATCTAGTGGTGGAGAAAGACCATCAGGTGTAACAATTCACAAAGAATCACCAAATCCAAGAGCTGTGAAAAAATCAGACAAGGTACAGAGATCTAAGAATAACAAGTAAGGACACCTTAGATAGGATGGTCAGGAAAGACTGCCCTAAAGAAGCAGGCTTTTGGCTGAGGCTTGAGGGATAAGAAAGGGGAGAAGGGAAGTGGGGGGCTTTGGCTCTAATGCTCGGGCCCTGGAATGCTGAGATTAGATATCTCCCAGTGGGGAGATGAGTACCCCAATTCCTCAGAGAAAGTGGAGAACCTTAAAGGCAGGAGGCATGTGCAGACAGCCCTCACAAGCCAGGAGGGAGCTGATGAGCCTGTGGCCTGTGTTCAAGCCCAGGGTGGATGGGGAAGGGTAGCGCTGATTGAGAGATATTTTCAAATCTCCTCCAACCATATCTTAGAAACCTGCCATCAGTACTGTCAGGGAGAAAACTGCAAATTAGATTCAGTTTTCCTTTAGATCCTAAGGAGAAGAGTATGCCTGGGTAGTTGACTAATCAGGAAGTCCATCCCATATTCTCATTGCAACCTTCACTCATGAGCAAGTGTGCACTGCATGTTGCCTGTGTGCCAAGCTGGCATTACACCACCCTGTGATGGCTTATTGTTCTGTCTCTGTCTAGAGAACTTCCTGAGAGCAGGGGCCACATGTTTAACTAAACTAGGGAGACAGTGCTGAGTCATGGCTCTGAGCATGGGGTCTGAAGTTAGGCAACCTGGGTTCCAAACCAGGTTCTACCACTCGGTAATTGTGTAACCTTGAGCAAGTTACATACCTGCCTTAAGCCCCAGTTTTCTCACCTGTAAAGAATAGCAGTGCCTACTTCAAAGGGCCATTGAGAGTTTTAACTGAGCTTAGATATACAAAGCACTTAGAAAGATGCCTAGAAACAGTAAGCAACAAATGCAAGCTACCTTTAATAATCATGAATGTTTGTTGAGAGATTACTCCAGTTTGAACGAGAGACCAATATTACTGAGCCCAGTTCTGTGCCCGATTTGGTGCTAGGCACATGCAGGTTTGTTACTTTATTTAATAGCACCCGCCCCCATTTTACTGATCAGGGAGGCTCAGTGAGGTAATGTGACTTGGCAGAGAGCACAGAGCCAAGGCGGGATCTAAAATTAGCTCCTCTGTCACTGGGTTTGGTGACCTGTCCCCAAGGCCAGAGAGGCCTGGGAAGCAAGACTGTCCAAAGAACGGTGGGTGGAGGGCAAGAGACTCAGCCCCTCTCTGGTTAGTGAGTCTGAACATTGGTCCACTGTGGAGCTGCTAATGACTGCTTCTCCCCAGCCTGCAGGAGTTTAATAAAAGTCATGCAAAACTCACTGTTTACAACTCTAATTGTGGAGTTTGGACATGAAGTGAAGAACATATCATGTGGAATGAATAACAAATCAAGCAGCTCCTTTTTTTTTTTTTAGCATGGAAGCTGCAGGAGCAGCCCAGAGTTCACCATCACTTGGTGCACAGAAGGTTAACACTGCAGCACTAACATCTGTGTGCCTATAACATCCGTTGGCTCCCTCCCTGTCTGCCTGCTCCCCTGACCCTGAGCTGATGTGTCCAGGCAGGAGATGGCTGGTCTGCCTCTCTTTTGCAACTACCAAAAGAGAAATGGAAATAAGGTTCTTTCTAAAAGCAGGGTGGGAAGCTGGCTGGGTGCTCACCTCACCCAGAGAATGGGCACCAGCTCTGGGTGGCCTGAGAATCAGGGATAACTGCAGGCAGGTTCCAGGGGGCAGCTGTGAAAGTCCTTTGGGCTATGCCCTGTGGAGGCTGTGGATTCTAAGGAGTCAGTGCTGGTAGAGAAAGCAGCGCTGCTGGGTGGTAGCCCTCCTCTTCCCAGCCTTCGCCGTGGGAGCAGTTGCTCCTGGCTGTGACATAGTAAAACCTACAATCATGTTCTAGGACTTATGGCCTACACACTCAACTATTGGTGGTGGGGCCTAGGGATATCTTTACATGTTTGAGCCAAATGAGGATAAGCTGGCAAGGTGGTTTTAAGATTACATCAACTGACATACTGAAAGTGTCTAGCAGAGATGGACACATACTAATTATATGTGTGTGTGTGTGTGTGTGTGTGTATGTGTGTATATATGTGTACATACAGAAGTAAATGCATAAACAGATATATAAATATTATATATTAAGACATAAAAACAATATAACCCACAGTTAAATGGTATTTCCTATGAACTAAGCTTTAAGTTACAGATACTTGAGGTCAAGAGAAATTATGTGTTCAGTTCCAGGTCACAAGCTAACCAGTGGTGGAGCTGAGATTCACAGCCAGGTGGACCTAGCAAGGTCCATTCACTTCCTTTCAGTGGTGCCATCAGGAAAGAGTGAGACTGCAGGCTGGATTAATGAAACAACTCACTCCATCATCACTTACCAATGAGGAGACAGACAGAATAGCACGTTCCTGAGCTCTGGAACACAGGCAAGGATACGTTAGGCATGGGTCTTCATGGATTCTCAAAGGGCTGCTGGAATGAAGGGAGCCACCCCAGCCCAGAGACTCTGGAGTGGGGATAACCGCAGGTTTTCAGCCCAACTCTTAGCCTCCGATGTCCCCTTTCTTCACCCGTGTAGAGTTTGCTCTTGGGTGAGGCATAGTAACACCTACCATCACCATCACATGTGGGGCACCGGGTCAGGCATCATGGCATACAGGCCATCACATCCCTCACAATCATTCAGTGATGTGCAAGTTACATCCCAACTTTACAGATTATGAACCTAACAGGTTAGAAAGATCAGATCACTTGCCCCCGTCATACATGTGGTACGGGCAGAACTGGGCCTGGACCCCCAGCCCTTATCTGACCTCATGTCCACACTCTTTCTACCACATTGCACATCCACCACTACCCTGCACCCCCTCAAACAACCATCCTGCACCGAGAAACTGAACGTGTGACAAACAGAAGCTGAGGGTGGCTGCCGAGAGTGAGCCTCACAGGGCCAGTCCCCGCATCACTCTGTACTGACATGAATGGTGGCCCCTGGAACCGTGCGAGGTGACAGCTCAGAGGACAATAAATACAGAGACCCAATTAACCCTAACTGGATTAGTCCCTAAATAATGCAGAGCTGGAGGTGACCAGAAAAAGCTGCAGGAGTGTACGAGGCTCCCCTGAACATTACCTGGTTGGGGTTCCCCAATACCATTCACTAGCAGACACCTGAGCAATGAAACCACACGCCACGGAGTCATGGAGGGCACAAGAAATCAACTCAGGGGTTTTTCCAAACTGCACAGCCACCCAGCGCCTGGTATTCTTATTTATTTATAGACAAAAATCATAGAAAACTGGAGAAATTTGCCAAAGGCCACAGAGAAGTGGCTAGACATTTAAATTCTTGGCACACAAAGGAAAACTTCTGCAATTGTCTCTGAGATGTGACGTGAAAGATATGGGGGTGCAAGCACGATCCATGAGAGGTCTTTAATGCCCCTGCGGACACTGGGGCCAATACCACACAGGGGAGAGGTGATGGCTTCGTGGAATTCATCTCCAGGTTAAAATAGAGTACTTCTTTCATCTCAACTCTAATCTTTAAACCTTGAGTCAAAGCACTTCCTGGAGCATAAATGTGGCAGCTTTAGTATTTCAAAAACGTCAGAAGGAATTAAAGTCGCTTTCATCTTTCTTCTCCTATAACCAACAATTTACCTTTCCATAGAAAAAGCACTCCCCCAAAAACCCTGTGTCTTTTACAGTCTAGTAAATTTAGGCAGAAAGAATGGGAGAAATCCCCAGACCTGGTTTTATTCCTGCTCTCTCTTTTTGTGGGCTAGTGGGAAAGGAGTGTGGAGCAGTAGGTTGTAAGATTTCATTGTATAAACTGTGATCATCTAAGTTCCTGCCTCCCTCTCCAGACAGGAAGTCCTCCAGGGCAGGGACTTGGGCAAAGCTGCCTTTTTGTCTTGTAATGCTTGACGTAAAATAATACTCAACGCATGTTTGTTGAATGAGCAAATGAATGAGTGATTGATTGAATAAAGACCTGGTGGGGAGACCCCACTATTGTATGTTTCCCACCAGAAGAAATTTTCCGGGCTGTTACACTAATCAGGGCTAATATTCTCAGTTATTTTGAGGATTGCTTGAAATTTGCTGCTAATTTAAACAAAATGGTTATGTTTATGCATTAATCAATTAGCATGGTTCTCAGCAGCTTCACCTCACTAATTTGATTAGTTACCCTCTGCTTTCTCCTATCCAAGGCCTTCTCTGAGACCTGGGAATATCACAACGACAACAGAGTGAACTTTTTAAATGGCACTGAAGCACAGTCTCTCAAAAGGTTTAAACACAGATGTGAAATGTGTCCCTTTGTCCAGCCCAAGCTGTCTTTGGGTCTCCAATATTTCTGGGCCCCACTGGGTCCCGTTATAAGTTGCTCTACAAAACTATTCCTATCGCTTTTTAATAACAGCCATTTTGACTGGTGTGAGATGGTATCTCATGGTGGTTTTGATTTGCATTTCTCTGATGATTAGTAATGATGAGCATTTTTTCATTGTTTGTTGGCTGCTTGTATGTCTTCCTTTGAGGAGTGTCTGTTCATGTCCTTTGCCCATTCTTAATGGGTTATTTGTTTTTGCTTGTTGAGTTGTTTAAGTTCCTTATAGATTCTGGATAGCAGATCTTTATCAGATGCATAGTTTGTGAATATTTTCTCCCATTCCGTAGGTTGTCTGTTTACTCTGTTAATAATTCCTTTTGCTATGCAGAAACTCTTTAGGTTCCACTTGTCAATTTTTGTTTTTTATTGCCAGACCAAGCTTCTTCTTCAAGGAAAATGAAACTTTCCAAAATATGAGGACTTCATAAAAGACAATCTATCATATGTTTGATGAATGAATGAAAGAAACAATGAAGGAGAAACTGGAAGTCAAAATACTGGCATCCTTCCTAGTCCCATCTTTGCCAGTAACTTGCAGTGTGACTTCAGGCAAGTCAATTCACATCCCAGATGCCATTTTCTTATTTTTTCTTATTTGTCAGAGATGACATTGACTTAGAAAATATCTAAGTTTTTGTGACAAAGACAAGATCTCCCGGACACACAGAAAACCACAACTTGCTACCCCTCTGAGTCAGGCAGGGCCATGTTACCATGTCTGGCCAGTGAAATGAGAGAGGAAGTGATGGGAGACCCTTTTTGGCCTAGAAAGTGAGAGTCAGGTTTCCATTTCCACTCTTCCCATTTGGAGGTGAACTGGGTTGGATTGTGTCACCCCAAAATTCATATGTTAAAGTCCTAACCCCCAGTACCTCATAATGTAATCTTATTTGGAAATAGAGTCATTGCAGATATAATTAAATTTGCATGAGGTCACACAGAAGTAGAATGGACCCTTAATCCAACATGAGTAGTGTCCTTATAAAAAGGGGCAATTTGGACACAGACGCACATACTGATAATGCCATGTGAAGGGTGATGTTAAGCTGCTACAAGCCAAGGGACCAGCAGAAGTTAGGAGAGTGCCTGGAGTAGAATCTTTCCTAGGCCTTCAGAGGGAGCTTGGCCCTGCTGAGACCGATCTCGAACTTCTAGGCTTCAGAATTGTGAGACAGTAATTTTCTGTCGTTTAAGTCTCGCAGCTTGTGGTACTTTGTTACGGAAGCCCTGGGAAACTTCTGCAGGGGAAAAGGTCAGATGGTCAGGCTGTGACCCATAAGAGTCACTGAGTCACTAGTGGCCTGGAGTGTCCCTCGACCTTCAACAAACTTTGTGAAAAGAGTAAGAAAAATACCTGAAACCTAGAAATAAGGCAAAAACAAAGAGGGGAAGTGGCCTGTCCTTTTAATATTATCCTGGGACATTAACGGGCCCATCCAAGAGTATGTAATTTTCCAAGAGAATGTACTCATGCTTGACTTTGCTATTTACCTTTTGATTCTCTCTCAGACACTATGAAGTTGTATGCTAACTCCTAGATTTCTGTCTGTGTAGAAAAGATCACATGAAAGGCTATAATTTTATTTCCCCATAGGACATGAACCACTTTTGCATTTAATCTCTCCATTTTATTTTGACGTTTTTCTTTAGAAAATGTCTACAGATACTCAGTTCCTCAAATGCACTCAGTACTTGCTTAACCGTCTTACTTAGAAAATGCCTACAGATACTCAGTTCCTCAAATGCACTCAGTACTTGCTTAACCGTCTTACAAAGTCAGCAAGATGAACGGGGCCAGCCTGCAGTCCTGCCTTCTTGCCCTTCTTACACCTTCACCATTCTTGGCCATTGCTGGCTGAAATCCAAGTCATGAAGCTCAAATGTTGCCCCATATGCAATGCTCAAGAGAGAAACAAGTTCAAATCTTGGCTGTGGTGAAGATTTGAAGATTAGAAAATAGAGAATAGTCTGTTGCTAGCACCAGAATATAGCTTCACAAGGACAGTCACTTTTTTTCTGGTTCATCCATTTCCCAGGGCCAAGAACAGTATCTGGCACATGAATGCTGTTCATAAAAAAGGAGCAATTTGGACACAGACACACACATGGAGAATGTCATGTGAAGGGTGGAGTTATGCTGCTACAAGCCGTTACCTTGATTTGGACAAGGTAATGAATTAAAAAGTCATAGAATTCCAGGGTGCAAGAGCCCTTAGGAATTTCTTAGCTTAAGAGCCTACATGGTATAAAAATCCTTCAGAATGTCCCTGGAGCCTGCCAAACATGGCTCAGTGCTGATGACGGAGATGTCAAAATAACCTGAGCCAATGATTGGGAAGAGTTTCCTCATGCTCAGCCAAAAATCTGCATCCTTATACTTTGGAAGGAGTTTTAACGTCCCCCTTAAATCTGTTCTCTTTTTAAGCTAAACAATTCCTACTCTATTAACTCAAGGACATGGTCTAGAGTGTCTTTACCAATCTGGTAATAGTAATAATAGCCAACATTTAGTAAGCGATGACTGTGTACCAGATTTTGTTCTCTAAACGCTTTATGTGCATTGATTTATTTAATCCTTATAACAACTCCACAAAGTTAGTACTACTATATTCTCTCTTATGCTGCTACAAGCCAAGGGACCACCAACCACCAGCCAATTTCATTACAGGCAATAAAATTGAGGCATGAGGAGACACTCACCTAAGAGACTCAGTTAGTAAGTGGCATGGCTGGGATTTGAACCCATATAGTCTGGTTCTTAATCACTATATATTGCCTCAGAAATTGTCTTTCAGCATTTTCAGGCTTCCTATCAAGTGTGATGCTTAGGGAGGAATATGTAAGTTTTCATAGAAGAGGTCAGAAATACCGTTACCCTGGCTTGGTCTATATTCCCTAGGCAACAATGTAAAGTGCCACCTCCATCTCCTGCAGTTGTACAGTGCACAACCTGCACAATGGCATGTGACAGTTCCATCCGTGCATACACGACCTTCCCAAAGCTCTCCTTGTCCTATGTGGCCATGGTAACAATAAAGATCTTGCTGAGAACTGCCAGTAGGAGGGGGTGACATCCCTGGAAATGCATGTTGAATGTTTGATTTGGACCAAGTCTGTAGGATTCAGAGGATCTTTGGGGTCCTCACCTGTCCACAGTCTCCTTCTGAGATGTACCCTGACTTCATTCTCAGGTAACACGTCCTAGAGTACCCCTTTTCTTACTCTTCCATGAGCAGTGAACTTCTTGCGGGCTGGAAGATGACTTTGGGAAGCCTTGCCAGACAGCAGCCCCTTACCTTTCACTCATCCCCTGCCCCTGCGTTCATCATGGGTGGATGTAGGAGCTCAGGCTGGGAATACCCAGCCCGTCCCCAGGATAACCTTGTCCTTTCCAGCTCTCCCAGCTCACTGGGCAGGCCACAGCCTCAACAGAGTCCTGCCACAGCAGCATCCCTACCCCTTCCTGGGAAATGTGTGTAATCTGAGGCTGGTCCCAAACCTCCCTACACAGCACTGCTAGTTGTGCATCTGAGCATGGCCTGGCGTGAAAGGTCACCAGGACACCAAGGGCTCCCTGTACAGCCCAGCTGCATGAGTGTTCTGTGGCTTTGGGGGATGAGGAAGGGAGACCCAACCCTTTGAGACTTGCTGCAGCTTCACATCAAGAAGCTTATTTACAAAGGCAGCTCCCAGCATTCCTGGCAAGCACAAATTCACAGTTTCCCACGCCAACTGAATTTCAAAACAAAGGAATTAGAGATAAGCAGATTGTCAGAGCTAGGAGTGTTGAGCCTAAAGAAGCCCAATCCAGCTTTATCATCTGCAGACAGAAATACAGGCTCAGATGAAACTCATCAATGGTGAGAGTGGTCAGAACCATCCTTACCTTTGGGTGGAGGTATGACCAAGAGGACAAATGAGGAAGCCTTCTGGAATGATGGGTTTGAACTTAATGGTGACTGTACAGTGTATACAAAGTTAAGAACTGTGCAGTTAAGATTCGTGTATTTTAGTATAAAATTCTACCTCAATAAAATAGTAAAACAAAATAAAGGCCCAGAGAAGATTAAGGTGATGTTGCAATTGTGTAGCAAGACAAACCCTTGAACTCAGGCATCCCAATGCCCACTTCACTGTCCTTTCCTAACTCCCTTACATTTTTGGTGCCATAGTAACTCAGTGATGCTCCAACAGTTTATGAGTAGGTTTTCTGTTTTGTTTTTTTGAGATGGAGTCTCACTCTGTCGCTCAGGCTGGAGGGCAGTGGCGCAGTCTCAGCTCACTGCAACCTCTGCCTCCCAGGTTCAAGTGATTCTCCAGCCTCAGCCTTCCGAGTAGCTGGAATTACAGGTGTGTGCCAACATGCCTGGCTAATTTTTTTATATTTTTAGTAGAGACAGGGTTTTGCCATGTTGGCTAGGCTGGTCTCGAACTCCTGACCTCAGGTGAACTGCCTGCCTCGGCCTCCCAAAGTGCTAGGATTACAGGCGTGAGCCACCACACCTGGCCTATGGGTAGGTTTTGACCAGGGCAGGCCCCCATGGCAGATGGCACCATGGGGTCAAGGAGAGTCAGTCCAGGGTTGGTTGCAGCTAGAACCTTGAGGGTATTTACACTGAACAGGAGTCAGGGTTAAAGTGGAGTAATAATGGTAACACCATCCTTATAGAAATACTAATAGATAACATTTATTGAGGACTTACTACATACCAGGTATGGTTTTAAATATTTTACATGTGTTAAATCCTCACAACAACCTTTTTGGTGTATCTACCATTGTTAGTCCACATTTTACAAACTAAAAAAATAGGCTTAGATTTTAAAACCTTGCCAAGATTTTACAACTAGAAAGGCTCAAAGCTGGTATTTAGATTCAGGCAATCTGGCTCCAGAATCCACACTGTAAGTATAACAGATACTGTCCCATATTGTATCATCTGCAGTTGGTAGAGAACTGGCAGCCTCTGCTCAGGCCAACATCTACCATCACACAGACAAAACATTCAACATTTGTCCAATGGTCCAGATAAGATCACAGGTGTCAGAAAGCAGAGCAAGAATTTACAGAAAGACCAACTACTTGTGACCTGGCTACCTTGGCCCACATTCAAGGATAACATGAAGACATTCTGTGCTGAAAACCCAGGTGCCCGACTTCATTAATAATCAGAGAACTGCAAATTAAAACCACAGAGTGATAGTACTATACACCCACTACAATGGCTATAATTAAAAATATGGGTAATACCAAATGTTGGCAAGGATGTAGAGCAACTAGAACTCTAATATAAAGCTGGGAGAAGTAAAAATTGGTACAACAATTTTGGAAAATTGTTTGGCAGTTTATTAGTTGGCTCAGGCTGTCACAAAGTGCCACAGACTAGGTGGCATAAATAACAAATTTATTTTCTCACAGTTCTGGAGGCTGGGAAGTCCAAGATCAAGATGCTGGTCAATTTAGTTTCTGCTTAGGAACTACTTCCTGGCTTGCAGACAGCTGCTGTATCACTGTGTCTTTCATGGCAGAGAGAAAAGAAAGCTAGTGATCAGGCTCTTTGATGTCTGCTCTTATAAGGACACTAATCCTATCAGATTAGGGCACCACCCTTATGACCTGACTTGACTTTAATTACTTCCTCACTTGAAATACTACCAGGGTCAGGGTTTCAACATATGATTTTCAAGGAGGGGCACAATGCAGTCCATAACATTCTGCCCCTGGCTTCCTCAAATGCATGTTTTTAAGGCATGCAAAATACATCATTCCATCCCAACAGCCCCAAAGGTCTTAACTCATTCTAACATCAACTCTAAAGTCCAAAGTCTCATCTAAATATCCTCTACAGCAGGTAAATGAGACTCCAAGTACAATTCATCCCAAGGCAAAATTTCTCTTCGAATGTGAGCCTGTGGAATTAGATAAGTCATGTGGTTCCAAAACACAACTGTGGGAAAGGCATAGAATAGATATTCTCATTCCAGAAGGAGAAATCAGAATGAAGGAGAGTGATGAGTCCCAAGCAAGTTCAAAATCTCAGCAAGTCAAATTCCATTAGCTCTTAAGGCTCAAGAATAACCCTCTTTGGCTCAATGCTCTGCCCTCCAGGTCCACTGGGGTGCCAGCATCACTACCGTGGCTGTGTGGGGTGGCCCTGGCCCTTAGGCTAGACAGGGCACCAGCCCTTCTCCTGGTCTTGTGGTGGGAGTGGCAGCCCTGATGATCCCTAAAAATGCCTTTTGCATCATTCTTCCTTTTCTTGAGGAATAGAGCACATTCACAGCCAAATAGCTCTATGGTCCCTATGGTCCTATGTACTCCAAGTCCAATAGCATTCTTTCATTCTATCCCACTTTCTCTGTCCCCTTTAGTTCAAACTGGCAGTCTCTCTACAGGTGTAATTTCATCTGTATTCCTGGCTTCTGTTGAAATGACTGGCAAAGTCCACCTAAGTCAAACTCATGTTCTCTTTATCATGAGCCACACCTTAGTGTTTTTTTCAGAAAGAGCTTTCTCAGTTTTTTGCAACATGGATAGGCTGATAATTCTTCAGATCTTTAAGTTAAGGTTAAGTGAGGTCACAGGGATACAGCCCTGACCTGATAGGATTAGCATCCTTATAAGAATAGACACCAGAGAGCTCATTGTTGTGTGCTGTCTGTCTTTCCCATGTGAGGACACAGCAAGAAGGTGGCCATCTTCAAGACAAGAAAGGAGCCCTCACCAGAAACTGAATAGGCCAGCACTCTGATCTTGGGCTTCCCAGCCTCCAGAACTGTGAGAAAATAAGTTTATGTGGTTTAAGGCCTGTGATATTTTGTTTTGGCAACCTGAGCAGACTAATGCAGGCAATGTCTACTAAACTGAACATATTTCAACCCTATGACTCAGGAATTCTGCTCCTGGGCATAAAACCAAAAGAAGTGAGCATATATGTACACCAAACGACATGATCAAGGTTGTTCATAGCAGCAGTATTCATGATACTTCCAAACTGGCCATAGTCCAAGTGTCCATCAGCAGTTGAATAGATCATGAATTATAGTATATTTGTAAAATGGAATACTACATAGTAGTAAAAATGAACAAATTACAACTACAGGTAATAGCAGGGATGTATCTCAGAAATGTAATGATGAAAGTGTTCCCTTTTCACCACATCCATGCCAACATCTATTGGTTTTTGACTTTTTAATTAGGCCATTCTTGAAGGAGTAAGGTGGTATCTCATTGTTGTTTTAATTTGCATTTCCCTGATGATTAGTGATGTAGAGCATTTTTTCATATGTTTGTTAGCTGTTTGTATATTTCTTTTGAGAATTGTCTATTCATGTCCTTTGGCTTTTTGATGAGAGTATGTGTTTTTTTTTTCTTGCTGATCTGTTGAGTTCCTTGTAGATTCTGGATATTTATCCTTTGTTGGATGCATAGTTTGTGAATATTTTCTCCCACACTGTGGGTTGTCTGTTTAATGATTTCTTTTGCTGTGTGGAACACTTTTACACTGCTGGTGGGAATATAAATTAGTACAACCACTATGGAAAACAGTATGGATATTCCTTCAAGAACTGAAAGTAGAACTACCATTTGATCCAGCAATCCCACTACTGGGTATCTACCCAAAGGAAAAGAAGTCATTATATGAAAAAGATGCATGCACATGCATGTTTATAGCAGCACAATTCACAATTGTAAAAATAGGGAACCAACCTGAGTGCCCATCAGCCAACGAGTGGATAAAGAAAATGTGGTATATATTCATCATGGAATACTAATCAGCCACAAAAAGAAATAAAATAATGTCTTTTGCAGTAACTTGGATGAAGCTGGAGGCCATTATTCTAAGTGAAGTAATCCAGGAATGAAAAACCAAATATCGTACGTTTTCACTTTCATATAAGTGGGAGCTAAGCTATGAGGATGCAAAGGCATAAGAATGACATAATGGATTTTGGGGACTTAGCAGGGAAGGTTGGGAGGAGGGGTGAGGAATAAAAGAGTACATACTGGGTACAGTGTACACGGCTTGGGTGACGGGTGTACTAAAATTTCAGCAATCACCACTAAAGAACTTATCCAAGTATCCATGTAACCAAAAACCACCTGAATCTCAAAAACCATTGAAATAAAAATAAAAATTAAAAAAATATAATTATGAAAGAAGTCAACATAAGAAAATATATATTATATAGTCCTATTTATGTAGAATTCAAAATCAGGCAGCAATACTCTTATTTTTGATCTGGGTGTATTCACTCTGGAAATTGATTAAGCTGTACACTTACAATTCATTTATTCCCTCTATATATGTTTTACTTCAATACAATGTTTAAAAAGATAGTCACTCATTAAAAATGCCACACCATTGTTAACAATGAGGAACGTGTTGCCATACTGGGTTGTGTGAGCACAACCTGATTTGCTGGCCTGCAATTAACCAGCCAGTAATGTCACAGCAACTCAGTCCCCAAAAAGGACAAGATGGTAGAGGTCGCAATGGACAATCCCTGGGAAGGCTCAGCATTCACACACAGAGTGACATACACGTCATGATGTCCTTCAGTTGTGTGTTTCGGTAGGCAATAGCTCTTTTAAACCCTCTTTTAATTGTAATTGCACACATAGGCATATCTTACATGCTAAATATCTTTTTTTTTTTTTTTTTTTTTGAGACGGAATCTCGCTCTGTCGCCCAGGCCGGACTGCAGTAGTGCGATCTCAGCTCACTGCAAGCTCTGCCTCCCGGGTTCACGCCATTCTCCTGCGTCAGCCTCCTGAGTAGCTGGGACTACAGGCGCCCGCCACCACACCTGGCTAATTTTTTGTATTTTTAGTAGAGATGGGGTTTCACCGTGTTAGCCAAGATGGTCTCGATCTCCTGAACTCGTGATCCACCCACCTTGGCCTCCCAAACTGCTGAGATTACAGGTGTGAGCCACCGTGCCTGGCCTAAAACATCTTTTTAAATCATTGTGTACTTCTGGAGATAAGTAAACTCTGGGAATGTTATCAATTCAGAACAGGTCAGCCTATGACATTCTTGGTCAAGGGTTGTCTGCTGTACTTTGTTCAACGAACCATTTATCTTGCCTGTGTCTTGGCATCCTCTTTGAGTATCTGAAGCTTAGACTATGAATGGGGAATTTGTAAGAATAACTTATTTTCCTGGTAGCTGCCCTTCATTCTCCACCAGAAGAAGGTCAGAAGAAGAGCTGGAAAGAAGGACCATGGCTATAAATTTTGGCCCCAGCTATGATCTACTAAAGGGCCGAGCTGAAGACCATGCCATGGTACTCTGAAGGGACTCTGACATTTCAGGGAGCTTGGGAGAACCTCCCACTCTTGCTAGGGAGCAGCTTGGTTGTCAGAGCCAGAACTGTGATGTACCCATAGTTTCCACAAAGGAAGCAGGTGTTTCTCTTTAGAAGTGTAACCCCTTTCCTCCTCATCATCCTGGAGGATCCTGGAGTCATAGCATCCACTCCCTCAGCTTCCTTCCAGGCAAGGCAGGTGTGACCCATCCTCTTCAGCTCATGAGGATGTGCCCTAATGAAAAGCCCCAGAGGCCCCTGGTCCCAGAGCTGCCATGACAGAGCCTAGCTCTCCTTCCCCATGACAGAGCCTAGCTCTCCTTCCCCATGCCAGGCACTCATATGCACACTCCTGGCACAGGAATCTCTTAGAGGACTCACCTGAGGCGTCATCCCATGGCAGATGTACATGATGGGGACATTCTCTGTATCTGGCCCCTGGTCAAGACACAAATCAGTCTTCAGAGAATTCTGCAGCTGAACATCAGAGAACAGATGGCCACACCAAAGAGAGAGGAACAGAGAGAGCAAATGAATTAACTCTGGAGAAACAAGTATTCTGCTGAGACAGATTTCATGTCCATAATCAGCCCAAGGCCCTTGAACACTATAGAACCAACAAGCACCAGCTTTTGCCTTGCGTAAAGGTGCTGAGGGGAGACCAGCCTCCTTTGCAGGAGAAACACTTACATGTCATTAAACAGTGAGCTGGGTTACAGGAGATGTGCATGCGTGTGCACACACAAGATGGTGCTTGTTCTTCAGCCCCTCCACTTCCTCAGGGGTGGGACAACAGCCTTCAAGTGTCCCTGAGAGAAATCTTTGCTCTTTAGTGTTGGGGGAAATGGGCAACATCTTAGCTATTTTCAGGCCTCAGAGGTCCCCTGGGACCAGACGCTCTCTGCCTCCTGCAGACCCAGCAGTGGCTTGGCCAGCCCCTTGGTGGCCCACTGCTTAGGGTCTTCCAGAGTGGGAGGTCGGATGGGAGAATAAGAGAGGAGGGGGCCAGGGTGGGAGCAGGAGAAGAGAGCAGCATCTCTTATCCTCACCTACAGGTGGATGGATCCAGTCTTGGCAATTAACACATGTCTGGGTAAGACAGCTTATATTCAATGTTACTTTCTTGCTTACAGCCACTCTCAGCCCTTGGAAGGGCAGCCCATAGACCTCATGGCCCTGCTCACCGGCCACAACTGAGTGGACCATGGTGGGCACCAACCCACGCTTCAGAATTAATCACTCTCTTTCTCTGCCTCTCTCTCCTCCCCATCTCATTACTCTCTTATCCTGTCTTAGGAACCTAAACAGAACCCAGAGACTGTGATCAGTGGGTGGTGGCCACTAGAATTGTAAGGCTGTTTAAACTGGGCATGGGGGGTTCTGTTGGCCATGGCCATGTGCAAGCAGAGAAAGTCAGTTGTGATCAAGGATATGATGATGCACGAGGCAGACAGAATGAGAGACAAAAGAGACCATCTTGCCCCTGCAGCGGCTTCAGTGGCTTCCCTGCTGGAGTACCCATGTCCAGCTGCATTTCACTTCCTACTCCTGTAAGAGTCTGTGGTACCTTTACCCCCCTCACCTTAACTTGAGCTGGCTTGACTAGGTTCTCTCCTTAGCAATCAAAACACTCTGCCTAGAACAGGGGACTGGAGATCAGAATCCAGGGAAGACAAGGAAAGAGGCCACAGGGAGGCTATCTATCTGCGGGGAGGCCAGAGACAGCAGCAGGGCCTTTGTACTCCTGATGGTTTGTGGCAGGAGCAAAATGAAGCCAATGAAGAGGCATGAGATGGAGCCGATAACCAGAGGCCCACGTGTGCTCCATGCATACCCTGTTCCTAACAGGGGACAAGGAACAGAGTTGAATTCTTTTCTTTTGAGCTTCCTTTCCTCTACTGGATGGTAGCACCTTAATCCCAAACTTGCAGTTCAGGGATTCTGAAGAAATATTGCATGAATGTGTGTCTCAGGCAGAGCCCCCAGTAGCATTTCTGCAGCAAATCCTCCATTATAAACCAATTCCTTGGTTTACCTTAGTGGGAAGAGCATATGTAAACACACTTTGTTCTTGTCCTACAGCCCATGAAGAGGTGGGTGTCATATCTAAAGCCAAGCACTGTAACCCACTAGGAAAATCTGCTAACTGCTGTTGCAAAGAGGAAGGCCTGGAGAGCCCTGATATTAGACTTGGCTTTCCCCTGGGTTCTTAATGCCAGTGCTTGGGTGAGAGGGTGGGTGTCTTTTGATAAAGTCCTCCCTGGCTCTGTGCCATTCCTTCCCCCACCCCCCACCATCCCTTAGGCAGGTAGTCCACTGAAGGAGCTAGAAGCAACAGGCTGGGATGGAAACCTGGCTCCAGCTGAGGGGTCTTGAATAAAGCAATGTAACTCCTTGTTTGTTTTCTTCCCTCTAAAATAGGAATAATAATAGTGCCTACCTCATAAGGCTGTTATGAGGATTAAGTGAAACAATGTCTACAAGTGCTTAGCATAAGGCCTGGCAAATAACAAATGTTGCAATAATTGTTGGCTGCTATTATTATTGCTGTAACCTTCCTCAAAGCCATTCAGGGAAACCAGCTTTTAGGAATGCATCTATGTGTCAGGTACCATGTGAAGTGCTTTCCACATATGTCTCACCTAATTCTCATAATGACTAGCCAGCCCAGAGATATTATCTCTTTTAAGGATGAAGGAACTGTGGTGTAGTAACAAGCTCCACTCTCCTCCCTGTCTATAGTGCTATTCAGCCTGTGTGGACACTTCCCCATATCGCCCTTGGTCTTGGCCTCCTCTTTGCCTCTTCCCTTGGCTCTCAGCTTATCTGCCACTCTGGAAGCCTTTCCCGACCCAAGTCTGGTATGAGACCACATTCCTGTGCTTCACTAGCACCCCATTTCTCAGGGTAGCACTTAGCAGGTTGCATTCTTGTTCCTTCTTCACTTGTCTGCCCTGTTAGTCATCAGACTGGGTCTCAGTCTCACTGTATATCATACAGGCCAGGCACAAAGGAGACAGTCAACACTCGTGGAGTGGGTGAGTGAGTGGGTACATGAAAAACATGCGTAAATGACTGGCATTCCCAAATGAATGGAATCATAGTCGGACAAGTGAAAGAGCTGGTCTGTCAGACTCCAAAACCCAAGCTCTTTCCGTAGTGCAAATGGCTATAATCCTGAGGCTGTAACATATGCCCTATGAAATGGCATTACTGTGACCACTAAGGTTTTGCACATTGTCAAGTTTACATAGCCTAGCCATTAAGGGGCAAAGCTAACATTCAGAAGCCAGGCATGTCTGTTTCCAGATGCCCCTCCATCTCTACTCTCAGCACCAGAGCTGTGATTAATCCAATGCTACCCCATCTCCTGGACATGAAGCTCAATGATCCAGGGGAAACTTATGCCCACACGATGGGGCCCACAGGTCCTTAGGCCTGCAGGAGTCATTAATGGGACCTATTAGTGGATTAATGGGCTGGGCTATAGACTTGATACTGGCTCGACTCAGAGTCCCAGAAGTCATTTGTCCTGAACAATGTCATTTGGGCATGAGTTGGAACAGAAAAAGGAAAAAGAAATTATGCCCCTGAAAAGACATCTGGTCTCTTCATTTTAGGATAAAAATAATTACCAGGAAGAATGATTCAGACCCAGCAAATACTCTTGCTATTGTGGCTGCATCCCACTTTGCCCATCTTCAGCCAGTTGCCCCCATTAAGAGTTCATTATGCTCTTTGACAAGCAGACGTGTCTCTGCTTATGTAGGGGCTTGTCCCGTGGAGAAGGCAGGAGGGAGGGGAGGCTGGCTGGGCCCTGAGCAGTGGTGGGCTGATGAATGTGTAGGGGGTCAGAGCCCTCTGCCAGCTGCAGGGATGGCTAACACAGCTCAGCCCTTTGGGATGGCAAGTGAATGGTTTTCAGTATGACAGTAAACACAGGCCCAGCTCTGGACTCAGACAGATCTAGATCACAACCCTGTATTTGCCACTTAGTATTTGACAAACCAAATGTTTCTGGGGATGGCATGGAGGGCCTACATGTTAAACCTGTTGCACACATGTATAAGATGAGATGCTTTTGCTTGGAGGATGAGAATGCCTTTGGCCAAGACCCAGAATTGCAGTGGCCACATGTACACACCTCTACTGTTACTGCTTCTCCTGCCTCTCTGGGTGAGTTTGGCTAATCCTGCTCAGCCACAGCTGACAGCCTGCTGAGAACATGAATCCAGAAGCTTGCCCTGGCTCACAGAGGCTTGGGGCCAATAGTTTCTCTGGAGCCACAGCAGCGTAACTCTCCTTTTAGGATTGGGTTCACCCATGGCCAAGCAGCATACATAGCTTGCTATGGGTGGAGTGTGGGGCATCAAAGGCAGCTGTGTCCTCAGGATGGTTCTGGGGAGGTGAATGGGACAGATAGGCACCTTACAGTGCAATGTGTTTCCATGGGGACAACAGGATCTGGAGACTCAGGTACTACCTGAGCAGCACTGGCTGAGGTGTTTGCAGAGATGTGAATTGCACCAGCCTGAGAGGTGGAGAGGTGAGAGGTCACTGCATGGTTCTCTTGGGATATGTCAACCATGCCATGGGGACACTCATGGGAGGATAACACTGTCTCCTACAATCTGGCCTTCTGGCTAACAGAGACCCTGGGGGTAGAGGGCATGGGTCTAGGATTCCAATTCTGTCTGCTTTGGAATCCTAGGATGTATATGATATAAGAGTTGGGGGGCACATAGGGAGCACTGAGCCCAATTTCTCAGCAGATTCTTCCCGCTTATAGGCAATTGTCCTGTTCACTACATTCCCATCTGGGGCAGGCTTTGAACTCAGCTTTAACCACAGCTAATCAAAAGAAGAGACTTCAGTTCTTCCTTCAAGTTTTCATCTTGAGATATCAAAAAAGGTCTGAGGGGACACTCTCCAAAGGGAGGAATCAGAGTGACACCAGAAGCTGGTTTTTTAGACTTGGTTTCACTGCTGATTATGTGAGCTTGTGAAAAATCACTCTTTGACTCTGTTTCCCCACCTGTGACATGGAGATAATATAGCTAATCCTACACAGAGTAGTCTTGGGGGTTTGTCATGGCAAAAGTTTATGTGTTTAGACTGTAAGTCAGCAAAAGCCAGGCGAGATAGCCAAAAATCAATCAAAATACCATTTAAAATACCTTACGGCATTTGACCTGTACGGTCCAGGGAATATTGAGAAAATGGGAGAGTTTATCATATTCGAAGTATTTTAACCTTAGACAGAAAATACATTTTCTGTCTAAGGTTACATATCTACAAATCTTAGATTTTCTTTTACTCTACGGGGATAGTATTGAATTACCCCCATTTAACAGGTGAAGAAACTGAGGCCCATGACATTAAGACACTTACCTGGGAAGCAGCCTGGTTAAGATTTGAACCAGGTCTGTCTAACTCCAAACCCTATGCTCTGCCCCCTCCATCTTTCTCCCTCCCATCAGGGAGAACTTCTCTGTGCCCATCAACAAGCAGTACTAAAAATACAGCAAATAAAATAAATTCAAGATGGCTCTGTCTCTAGAACTCTTCTCAGGGAGGCTCTGCATGCGAGTGGGAGGCATTAGCTCCTTGGTCAGGGAGGCACACAGGGTGACTCATAGACCCTCAGGCACCCCAGCTGGGAGAACAGCAGGTGTTTGTTACCTTACCTTTTAATCTTAAGCTAACTGCTTTATTATGTGTTTTATTAAGCGGAATATGCAGGTGTGGGGCCAGAGCTGAATTGCTTAGGACTATAAAGGAGAGACAAGTACCTCTCTCAAGGGACTGGAGGGGTTTGGGCTGTAAAAGTAAAGGCTGTCTTGCAGGTGCAGAACCCAGCGCCCGGTCCCCAGGCCTACTGCAGTTCTTCATGTGAGCAGCTGAGAGGCTCTTTCCCTCCTCTCCCTTTCTTCACTATGTTTCTTTCTGTCTGTGTCTGAATGAAACCCGGAGGAGGCCAGCTCCTTACCACTCCATAGGCAATGATGTCGGAGTACATCCTCATCTCTGGGTACACGCTGACCAGGTACCACCGGAAGGTCTTGCACTGCAGCTGTTTCCTGAGAGCCTTCCTTGCAGTGATGTCCCCAATGTCAATTCCTGAGTCCTGCACAGGGACGCAGAAGCAGAGATGAAGCCACTCCCAGGTTGCAGCTTCTCCCCAAACTCTACTTTGGCATGACCTTGTGCCCCCAACAAGATTCCTAGAGACTGGGGAAGGGACCATGTGGCACGTTAACTCTTGCATTTTCCCACGGGTACCTTAACCCCGTAACCATCCTCATTTAGACTACGAAACACGAGGTCAGCATTGCCGGGCCTTGTCATCAAGGGCCATTGAAAAAAAAGATGCCAAATCCTTAAAGAAAAAAAAAAAAAGCTATAGTCTGGGTGTAGATGAAAGAAATGGGAAGAATCCATCTGAATAAAGCTTTTCCCTACCTCAAGAGGCAAGATGAGAGATTCTGAGCTTTAAGGTGAGAGAGAGGGGGGAAGGAAAAAGCATTGAGATGAAATGATGCTAATTCTATAGTATTAATAATACTATTCCTAAGAATCGTAACAGCTAAGGTTTAAACATTTCCAAAGTGCTAGGCTGTATTCTGAATGAGACATGCAATATATATATTTATTTACTTCTATTTATACGTATGTATTTTGTCCCACTCATACTTATAAAGTAGCACTACATAATCCTCCTTTACGGATGATGAGTTGAGACAAAGAGAGGTTCAGTAACCTCCTTGGTAACTTGCCCAAGACTCCACAACTAATAAACGGTGGAGCTGAGATTTGAACCCAATTAACCTGGGTCTAGAGTTTCTGCTTTTAACGTTACTCTACGTGTTTGGAAGATCCCACCCTTCTGCCTCCTCGGACCAAGTCCTTGCAGGAGAAGCAGACTCTCTTTAAGCCTGGGAGTCTTGGCATCTAGAGTACTTGTTTCCCTCCTTTCTCAGGAGCATCAGAGAGGTGGCTCCTGAGCCACCACGGTGCAGCAGCCAGGGAGCAGAAGTGACACATGATTGTGTCCAGGAGTGAGAAGGCTAGAGAAGCCCCCTTCCTCATATTTCTTGTAGAGCAGAGTTGGGCAGCACTAAGAATTCCTTGGCCTGCATACCCGCTGTTGAATGGGGCACAGAATTGGCTGAGAAAAAGCTGATGCAAAAGCAGAGGCTGCCGAGGGGTCCATCCTCTGGGGATCTGAAGAAGACCCAGTGCATCTCAGAGGATGACACCATGGCAGGGATGAAGGCCAGCAAGCAGATGGGGCATGTGGCATCCCATAAGATGCCAGCCCAGAGTGGAGGGCAGATGAAGAAGTGGAACTCTCTCTCACCGACACTGTGGTCCATATGCTCTCTTTGTGAATCCCTGGTTCAAACATCAACTCCAGGGATTGAGTTACTGAGGTTGGGCAGATTTTGTCTAAAATATCTGAGAAAGATCACAAAAATGGCTGCATTTATCTGGACACAAACAGGGCAAATTTTTGACATCAGACAATGTGGGCTTGAGTGAAAACACAATTTAGGGGCCAGGCGCAGTGGCTCACACCTGTAATCCCAGCACTTTGGGAGGCCAAGTCAGGCGGATCACAAGGTCAGGAGTTTGAGACCATCCTGCCGAACATGGTGAAACCCCGTCTCTACTAAAAATACAAAAAAATTAGCCGGGCATGGTGGCGGGCGCCTGTAGTCCCAGCTACATGGGAGGCTGAGGCAGGAGAATGGTGTGAACCCAGGAGGTGGAGCTTGCAGTGAGCCGAGATCGCACCATTGCACTCCAGCCTGGGCGACAGAGCAAGACTCCGTCTCCAAAAAAAAAAAACCAAAAAACACAATTTAGATATAAAAGAGATAGATTCCTTTTTGCCCACAAGAGTTCAGGCAATATAAAAATTTGAACCTGCTACAGCCTGAAGGTTAAAGTTCTAGAACGACAAGGAGCTATTTCAGCTTCCTAGTACTTCTTAATGACCTCATCCGTGACTTGTCTGCTGCACACTCCTGCCCAGAGCCTTCTCTGCAACTGTTATCCTAGCCTTTCTCTGCTGGACTCCGGCTCCTTAAGGTCAGGAAACTTCCATCAGACTCACCTCTGTGCCCCCAGGCCTAGCACTGAGCATGAGCTACTCTGCTGGGTGAAGAAAATATTTATGAAGTGGTGAACACAGGAACTGGCAGTAGATGTAATCTACCTTCCACTCCGACCCTAAAGCATTCATTAAGTATTAACCCTTCACACTCCATGGTACTTTATCCTTATATCAGAAAACTGTGTCCCAGGACCCATTCATTCCTTCTCCCTTCATGTTATAATTGTCTTTATGTGACTAAATTTAACACTGTGTCTGTTTTATAGGGAGCCAGTAGAAGAACCTGTCTCACAAAGGCCTCTGTGTTTTCCTAAACTTCTGGGTTCCCACAGGAAAAGTTTCTTTCTGCACTTAGGAACAGGGCAAAGTTTGCCTCCCTCCATACGATCGAGTAAAAGATGAGAGAGGTACAATCCACCAGGTGGCCATCTCCTGCTAGGAAGCTCAAGAACTAGCCCTTTGTTCAGCTTATCTTTCTGAATATCAAGTCCCCTTCCCCTTCCTGTGTATTAATTGACTTTTGCCTTTCCATTTTAATAGTTCAGCATATCTGCCCTGTGTGTTTACTATAAATTTCATCAAACCCATCTTCAAAGCAGGAGGCATATATTGAGAAGAAAGTAAACCTTCTCTGAGAAGGTCACCTTGGCCCTTATTAGAAAACAATAAATGCATCTTCCTCTTTTGCCAAATACTTGGTGTAGTGAGTTGAATTGTGGCCTCCTCTAAAATTCATGTCTACCCAGAACCTCTAAATGGGACTTAATTTGGAACCAGGGTCTTTGCAGATATAATTAATTCAGGATCTCAAAATGAAATCATCCTGCGTTTGGGGCTTGCCTAAATTATGACTGTATGTGACTATATATGACTAAAATGACTGATATCTTTATAAGAGGAAAAAGAATGGTCTGGACACACATAGAGACAAAGAGGAGAAGGCCATGTGAAGACAGAGGCTGAGACTAAGGTGATACATCCACAACCAGGGACCCCCTCAGGGCCACCAGAAGCTGGCTGAGGCAAGGAAGGACTCTCCCCTCGAGATGCTGGAGGGAGCACAGCTCTGCTGGCACCTGAATGTTAGACTTCTGGCTTCCAGAACTGGGAGAGAATAAATTTCTGTTGTTTGAAGCCACCAAATTCATGGTAATTTGTTACCATAGCCCTAGGAAACAAATATATTAACTTAGCCACATAAAAAGTGCCCAGTATTGCAGCCACATAGTCACAAAATTCCTTGTAGCCAGACTTAAAGGAGGGCTATCACTGAAGCACATGACAAGCCATCCCTGGCACTCAGCCTGTCTTTGGGCAAGAGAAGCAGTCTAGAGCTCCTGAACCCTGCTTAAGAAAATATTGATGTTTTGCTGCAGACTGACTTTCTGTTTATTGATAAACAAACTGATTTTCAATTAAAGTAGCAGGATGCAAGAGGTGGAGGCTCTTCGACCTTTCAAAAGTTGGGGACTGGACCTGCTAAGGGAGCAGGTGAGAGGGCCAGTTCTGCTCAGTTCACAGTTCCGAGGAGGCCTCAGCTTAGAAGGCAACAAGCAGAGGATGTCTGTCCAGCATGAACATTTGAAAACTGTGGAAGGAAAGTACAGGGCATAAACGATCACATCACCGACAAGAGTTAACACTTACCTAGCGCTGTGTGCCAAGCACTGATCAAAGTCTTTACATGTATTAACTTATTTAATTCTCAAGGCAGCCACCTGGGAAGGGTTGAAGGGCTCCAGCTCCATATTTGCAGCTGGGATGCTGTAGACCAAAGGTTAAATTGGGAACAGATGTGCTTGCAGCTGAGGAAAAGGGATTGGGGCATAGCTATCTCAGAGGCAGGGGGTAAACCTCCTAGGGAAACTGTGTGAAGCATATAGCATCCATGCATCCTCCTTCTTTTCCAACTGACCTTTACCAAGCACCTGTTTATTATGTGTCAGACACTATCGTAAACACTGTGTATACAAATAGGAATATGTCACACTCTCGGCCTGAAACGAGAGTCTGGGAGTTTCAGACAAGTAAACATACTCTTTGTGAACAAGTGTGAGGCACGGAAAGAAGAGAAAGTGAAAGAGAGAATAGAAGAGGGGCCTCATTCTTCTTACATTGTGTGGAGGCCAGGATTGGGGGCAAAGGAGGAGGTAAACAGTCAAAGAGGGCTTCCTGGAGTAAGCAACACTTGTGGGTTTGAAAAAATGAGAAGGACTAGCTAAATGGGTGTTACACAAACCTGGCCACCCTAAACTCTCATCTGGAGGGCTTTTTGTAGATTCTGGCACCTACCGCTCAAAATCCTCTCTGAGGATGAGACCCAGATGAGTATTTTTTTAAAAGTTCTTCAAGCGATTCTGATGCAGTTGGTCTGAAGATCTGCTTTTAGGAGTCACTAACCAAGGGAGAGAGGGATTACTCACACTGCCAGCAAACTCACTCATTAATAAGCGTTAGCAAGGCGTCACCAAGCTCTTACCATGCGCCCTGCCTTGTGCTAGATATAATGACACAAAAATGAATAAAGCAGTCTGTCCTCAGAGAGCCCATGGTGTATTGTGGTGGTTCTCAGTGGTTCTGAAGAACTTTCCCAAAAAACAGATCCCAGAGGCCCCTTCCAAACCAGTTAAGTGGTAATCTGTGGGGGTGGAACCCAACTGATTTTGAAGTTCAGCCAGATTTGAAAGCCACTGTTCTAATGAGAGGGAGACTTTTAGATAACAGAACACTCTTTCACAGGCTGGTCATGCAATGACAGAGAGATATTTAGGAGGGGGAGCTCTTCCCCCAGTTGGAGCTGGCTTTCTAGAGGAGGGACCCCTGGAGCTGAGTCTCAAAGGATGGGGAAGATTTAGTAGGGGTGGTCATACAGGAAGAGGTAGAGGGTAGGGAATTCCAAGCAGGATGAACAAGCACCGAGGTGTGAGAAACAGCATGGCATGGACGGTATGTAATGGGCAGTTCCCATAGTCCACGCAACGTATGCAGACTTCAAAACAGGGAGTGGTAGGCAGTGGGATTAAAATACAGGCAGTGGGGTTAAAATACAGGCAGAGGAGAAAGCATGGGAACTTTTGATGCCATGCCAAACACTGGGCTTTGTGCTTGATTTTGTACATAGCAGGAGTCATTTAAAGATTTTTTTTTTTTTTTTTTTTTTGAGACAGTCTCGCTCTGTCACCCAGGCTGGAGTGAGTGCAGTGGCACGATCTCAGCTCACTGGGACCTCCGCCTCCCAGGTTAAAATGATTCTCTTGCCTCAGCCTCCTGAGTAGCTGGGATTACAGGCATGTGCCACCAAGCCTGGCTAATTTTTGTATTTTTAGTAGAGATGGGGTTTCACCATGTTGGCCAGGCTGTTCTTGAACTCCTGACCCCAAGTGATTCACCCACCTCAGCCTCCCAAAGTGCTGGCATTACAGGCATGAGCCACTGCGCCTGGCCTCATTTAAAGATTTTAAGCAGGGCGATGGCATGGTTGTTGTGAGTGTTTTAAAGATAACTTTGGGTATTGTAGAGGATAGATTTGAAGGAGATAAAGACTTGAGCCAGGAAAACCAGCTGAAGCTTGTGGCAGAGAAAAAAACAGGGCCTGAATGCAGACATGAGGGGAGGTCGGGGTGGGAAGGAGGGCTTGTGATTGACTGGGACAGGGCATTGAGAGAGAGGAAGATTGAAGGATGATGTCATTTTCAAACTCATATGTCTGGAAGATGGTGGCACCATGAACTGAGACAGGATGAGAACAGGAGCAGATCTGGAGGAAGAAGATGGGTTTGGCTGGTCAGAGTCATTCTGAGTGCCTGTGGGAATGGCCAAGAGGAGATGTCCAGCTGGCAGTTGGAGATGTGAGTCTGAAAGTGAAGGCAGAAATCAGGGGTAGAGATATTAATTAGGAAGGCAGCATATGGGTGGGAGTCCAATGCAAGAGTAGATGATATTACCCAGGGAGATGCGGAATAATGAGAGCAGTCTGCCAAGGATGGATCCCCCATGGAGCATGTAAGCACCCAGTGAAGGTAAGAGGAGCCCTTGAAGAGTTAGGAATAAATGGAGAGAGATAAGATTCCAGGGTGTGGAATCATGGACCCAAGGAGCTACAGAGATTCAAGGAAAAGGTGAAATCCTATAGGTTAAAGACCTTAAAATGTCCATTAAATTAAGCATTTGGGAGGCCTATGTTGACCTTGACAAAGCAGTCTTGATGAAGTATCAGGATATAGCTTGGGAGAAGGATTGGGAGATGAAGAAATATTGACTCTGTACAAGTTTGATAAGAGGAAGGAGAGGACATTTGGACACAGGGAACAGGAGAGGAAAGAGAATTATTTTCGGAAACACACTGATCCTTTCCTTCTCCACCTAAGGCTTTATCCTGGGCAATTCCACCTCTTACCTGTCTTGTGTTCACTTCCCCCTACCCATTTGATTTGAACTACCACCTTGAGGAGTCGCAGACAGACACTGAATTTCATCATTTTTCAATTATTTTCACTCACTCAGTTCTCTACCATTCATTGGGTTGCTGGGCATTTCAACACCTGTCAGCTGCAAGGGGGAGAGGGCTAGAAGTTTTGCAGCTCTGGGGTACAGAGAGAAGGCAGTAAGAGTATGCTCACTCACCAGTCCTAAGCAGAACCTGGGGACCTGCTATGCCTCACTGGTGAGCTCCTGGGGAGTTTCCAAGTGTTCTTAATATTTTGCCATCACAGGACACCTACCACAGGGCTTGGCACCCCGTGCAGAATACCGTGATTCAATCCTGACCATGAGTCCAGAAGGTAATGCAGTTCCCCAGAAACACTCTTACTGTCAGGAATGCAATCCCGGGCTGGTACATTAGAGTTGGCTGCACTCTGGCTGATATTTCTCCGCTCCTCATTCTTGCTCCCAACTGCTGAAACCTCACTGATTGTGGGAGTATGCAACCCAACTCAAGTTCCCCTCTCCTACGGTGGTGGTGTGGCTGGGAGGTGGGCTAAAAGCTCCCACCCATGAACCAGTCAACTTCCTCAATCATTTAACCAGAGCAACATTAGCTTGGTGTAGAGTTTAGGTAACAGGGCTTTCATATGATCACTTTGAGCGAAGATCAATCACTTCCCCATTAGAAGCTTCCTAAAGGACTCCAAAAGGGATTGCCATGGCCTTGGGAGGAAAGAATGAGGTCATGTAGTCAATAGCTCTGATAGCTCTGTCTCACACAGAATGCAACATAAGCAATGAACTCTAGGCAGACAGGCTGGTAAGTGGGTTGGAATCATGTGGCTGGCATCTCTCAGTAGTAGAGCTGGGTTCTCTCAACTCAGTAGTCCAAGGTCATTTCCACATGTTTCACCTTGACACATGGCAGGGCTAAACAAAACTACCAGAGAAGCATTGCTTTTCCTCTGGCATTTCTTAAGTACAGGTGACCAGAGGGATAGAGGACAGTGGCAGGCAATGATGAGGCTCTGTGAAGGTTAACTCCATCTCCTAGTGAAGGTCCCTGTAGGTGTGCCCCCATCCCCATACACGTGGCTCAAGAAACCTGAAAGGCATGTGGATCTTTATAACTCTGGTCAAAGGTTCAATGGAGAAGTTTGAACCTAATCTGTAGGAAGATTAAGATGCTTTTTGTAAATTTTTGTAGTTACTGGTATATTTGTAATCCAGGACCATGAAACATCTAATGTCAGAGAAGCTGAGGACCTGGGAGCATGAAGGAAACTTGAGCTACCTGTCCAACTTTCTCATTTAAAATTAGGACACTAAGATCCAGAGAGAAGTCCTCATCAAGCATGCTGACCAGGGATTAGGGTAGCAGGATAAGAAATGGCTTAGAGCCTCATGGCCCCTTTTCTTCAGCAAATAATATGTTTTGGGGTTGAGAGTCCATTCTTGCATGGCAAACAGGACTCTGGCTGACCCATAGGAAGAAGGGTTCGGTCCCATATCTTGTTTTGTTTGTTTTCCACCAATCCCCGAGAAACTCATCCCTACCGGAGATCCCTACCTCCTGCGGTATGTTCCATGCCATGTAGACGTGGCTTTTAAATTCATCCATCCAGACTTCAGCCACCCTGAGAGCGTTCCTGCGGACATGGGCGGTGAGGTCCTCTGTGTAGGGCTTGTGGGCTCGCTCAATGTGGGCAATCCGTGAGCAGGGCAGGACCTCCACACTCCCGCCACACTGCCACACCTGCAGAAGACATGGAGCCACTTGTCAGAGCCTGCCTGGCTCTGCCTTTCTACACCAGGCCTCAGGCAGCCACTTGACATGAGCAGGAAGAAAGTCAGCCCCTTCACCTTGACTCCCCAGATCACTCTCTGTGAAGGAGTAGGCCATACCTGATTTCTGCTCCTATAGCAGCAGGATGGCTATGGAGTCATTAATTCATATATTGGCTCTTATTGCTGTGGATTTACCAACAAAAAAAATGAATGCACTTTTTCCCTCCACCTGTGAGCCCTACCCCACCAAAAAAAGAGACCAGACATTTTGTTCCAAAGATCTGAATTCTCCTTGCACTTGGGGGAGAAGTTAACAAAACCCTTGATGATAGTCTGCAGCAGTGGTTGACATAAAGGAGAACCAGCAAGACTCCCAGCAGAGACTTCCTCTTCAAATGGACCACATGGGCCTGGACAAGAATTAGTGATCACCACAGAGAAGGGTGTCACCAGACACCCTTCTTCTAGTGCATCTTTCCGAGGCTCTGGGTTCTGACTGAATCTGAGGGAGAGCGCTGCAAAGAAGGAAATGATATTAAACTTCTTAGCAACCTTGGTGAATAGGAGATTGATCCGAATGCAATTAGATTTTGAAAGATAAACCTTTGCATTCTAAGTGTTAATGGGCAGCATCTCAAAGCTCTCGCTACAATCTTTCCAGCCATCCTGACCTTTCAATGTTCCTGAACTTGCACTCTTTTGTGCTTCTAGGCTTTGCTCCATTCTGCTGGTAATTTTAGAATGCCCCACTGCCCCCAACTCCTTCTTCAGCTGAAAAAATTCACCTCTCAAGACCTTGATCAGGCTGGGCACAGTGGCTCACACCTGTAATCTCAGCACTTTGGGAGGCTAAGGTGGGAGAATCGCTTGAGCCCAGGAGTGTGAGACAAGCCTGGGCAACATAGTGAGATCCTGTCTCTAAAACATTAAAATTTTTTTTTTTTTAAAAAGACCTTGACTATATGGCCCCAACATTGTGGAGTCTTTGCTCGATATTCAGAGTAGAGCCAATTTCTCCCTCCTCTGGCCCCCACAGCCCTTGATATCACAACTTACCTGCTTATAGGTCAGCCTCACTCACTGATCGTGTATTCCTGGAGGGCAAAACCTATATCTCACTCACTCACCTAACAAAAGGCCAAGTACGTAGAAGTACTTTATAAGTACTTGCTGAATAAATAAATGATAGATGCTTCATCAGTCAATCAATCAATGTATAAATGGCTGACATTTACTGAATTTCAGGTGAATCTGAAATACCTGGTTAGAGCTGATGAATGTGGCTTCTGAGGGAAAGTAATCAAGATCTCCTGGTGGACAGTAGATATTACTTGCCAGATACTGTCAACATCACCATGAACTTGGTAGATGAAGTTCAGATATATAACATGTACCCATCAACAACAATAAGTCTGGGATAAAGCCAGATTTGGATTTAGCTTGTTTTCCCTGTGTTAGTTAGGAAGGGAATGCCTTCCCTTTCACCCATCCATGTCACACCAGTTGGCCCCTATAGGCTCTAGGCTGTTGGAGTTGGAAGGTGGCTTACTGATTTATCACTCACTTAAGCTTGTTTTGCCTTGAGTTTATAACTTAGGACCAATAGAAAGGAAACTAACATCCTCATTGAGCGTCTCCTATGTGCCAGGCACTGGACTGTACATTCAGGAAGGCAGCAAAACATGGTGGGTGGGTTATGAACAGGGCTGGCCATGAGACTACTCAGGTTCACATCCTGGCTCTGCTCCATGCCTACTATGTGACCTTGGGCAAGCCACTTGATCTCACTGTGCTTCTGTTTCCTCCTCTCCATGGGGATCATGAGTACCTATCTATCTCAGAAGGTCACTGAGAAAATTAAAGCAATTACATGCAACGTGCTTAAAAAATGCCTGGTGCATAATAAGCATGTGGTCATTCTTAGCTATTACTATCAAGCTGAACAGCAGAATCTTTAGAATCACCCTGTGAGGCAGTTATTATGCCCAATTCCAAGTGAGGAAGTGGAAACTAAAGAACGTCCCTTGCCAGTTGCGGTGGCTCACGCATGTAATCCCAGCACTTTGGGAGGCTGAGGTGGGTGGATCACTTGAGCTTGGGAGTTTGAGACCAGCTTGGGTAACATGGTGAGACCTCATCTCTGCTGAAAATTTCAAAAAAAGTTACCCGGGCGTGGTGGCACGTGCCTGTAGTCCCAGCAACTTGGAGGGTTGAGGCAGGAGGATCGCTTGAGCCCAGGAGGTGGAAGCTGCAGTGAGCCCTGATGGTGTCACACTGCACTCCAGCCTAGGCAACAGAGTGAGACCCTGTCTCAAAAAATAAAAAAAATAAAAAATAATAATAAAAAAAAGGAAGGTCCCTTGCTCAAGAACACACAGCTGATACTTAAGACAAAAGGATCTGTCTGATCCCAAAGAAACTCAACGAAGAGCCAACACTTCCCCCACGATGATCAAGCTTTGAAAGGAGTTCCCACATCCAGGAATGGTTCTGAGGATCATGAGAAGGTGGCGGTGAAGGCCCCAGGCTGTGCACCTCCATTCCCAAGACCTGTACATTCTGGGGACAGTCCTGATTTCCAATTCACTTTGCTCAGGTTCTCTATGAAAGCCTGTGAATCCCATGAAGAAGTTATTGACAACACAAAGAGTCAGGGTAATGATTCTTTTTGCCACTGGAACAGTGGCTATTGCTTGACATATTTCAACAATACAACACAGAGCATGAGTCGTAGCAAAACTCTTTTATTACAAGACCTGCTTCTTAAAGAGTAGGTTCACCATTTCACCTTAGAGTGGGCACATCTGCCGTCATTCTAATCAGAATGGTGGTGCGGCTCCTCCCATCGTGCCTTTAGACACGGTACAAGGAGCGGCATGACTGTCCAGCACCTGAATTCACTCCCCTCTTCCCATCCCTGCAGCCACCTCCCTTGTCTAGGCCGTCGTCATCATCTCTCATTTGGACTCTGCCACAGACTCCAAACACCTGACCTCCCTCTTCCCATATTCCTTCTCCAAGCTCTTCTCCACTCAGCAACTGGAGTGATTGAAGGTGTAAGCTGGACCACTGCCTCTCCTGCACCATGCCCCTGGCACAGCCCCTGATCTGGGCTTGCCCCCCACCACCCCTCCAGCCCTGACCTTGTGCTCCCCAATACACTCTCTGCTACAGCCTCTATGCTGTAGCCACGCTATTTTTTTTACTTCCTCTCACATGGGTCTTTTTCCCCTCACCTCAGACTTCTGCACATGCAATGACGTACCCAACCCTGCCTGCCTCCCTGACTCATCCTCCAAGCCTCAGTTCACTGTCACTTTGCTGCACCCCCTTCCGCTAGGTTTACCTGGTGTGCTGTGTGGTCCTGCCTTGTTCCCTGAACTAACACCATTGCAATTGCTTGTTTAATCACCTCCTTCCCTCTTGCAAAATGTTCTCAAACTTGTCACCAAATTGTCCCTTAGACACGTGCTAAATGGTGCTCAAAAGAGATCCTGGGTTCCAGGGGAGGTGGGGCATCTGGGCCAGGTGGGAGTAGCATGTCGCACTTGAAAGCACAGCTTTGGAGTCTGTGGGAACTGGATTCACATTTGTCCTCTGTCACCTGCTGCTGTGTCACCTTTGGCAGGTTACTTCCCTCCCAAGCCTCATTTCCGCCCTGTGGGTGAGGGGATGCAGTGTGGGTAAGTGTTTAACACTGAGCCTACCTCAGTGTGAGCACTATGTGGATGGCGGTCAAGGAAGCAAAGACACCCTGAACATGGGGACAGGCCATCTGGGCCAGATCTGGCCTCACCGAGTGCTTGTGGAGTGGTGTCGGGCTATGTAACCTCTTGGCTAACAAACACCCATGACAATGGATACCACACCAGGCTGTGGGCTCAGGGAGCCCCTGCTGAAGTGCTCAGGATACTGGAAGCCCTCAGTCTGTGTGTGTGCCTATTATTATTTCATAATAATTTAATAATTATTACGTTGCTGCTATTTGGACGGTCCTGTACACCCACCTTTGGGGAGCAAACAGGCCACAGAAGACAGGGTTCTTCCCAAATGCCCAGCCCAGCAGAGGGGTACACAACGCTCCCTTCTCAGAGACAGGGAGCACTGGTCAACATTTCCAGTCTCCTCCCTTCTATGAAAGGGCACTCATCTATAGAGAAGGTAACAGCTTCTGCCTTGGCCATGGCATTTGGGTTCTTGGCAGCATCTGGGCTTTGCAGCCAGAAGATGTGGACTCAGCATGTTTACCCTGCCACTTCTGGACCCTGCCCAGTGGCACTGAAGCAAACAAGAGAAAGCCTGTGCTGGCTGACTCCTGGGAGATAAGTGGCTCCACTGACCAGTGGCTTGACCCAAGAGAGAATTTCAAAAGTCATACCCACAGCTCATCTCAGAGGCCCTCTGGGATGGTAGACAAAGGATAAGAAAGGAAGTCACTGGCATTTGGACCTCATGGTGAATGACATCATGGAGCTTCTGTGGAGGATTGGGAGGGGCAGGGGATAAGGAAGGGAGAGAAAGGGAGCTGGGCCTGGCACATTAAATGTCCAATTTGCAAATGGCACGATAGAGCAAGCCCCAAACCAGAGGGAGGATATACACAGGAAGGCCTGTGCTGGGGAAGCAGGGCAGCTGGACAGGGGATGAAGTGTGGGTACAGGGATGGCTTGGCATCCTGAGCTCTCGTAGACAGAGATGCCTAGGGAGAGACGGCAGGTAGCTGGGTACCAAAGGGGTGCCTGAGAAATGAACACCAAGGGTTGGAAACAGAGAAGGCAGGTGTGGTCGCAGGGAACAGGGCACAGGAAGAAACCACCAAGATGTAGACCCTAATTTACACATACGATGGTGAGGGCATGTGCTGAGTCCTGCAGGCACTGGGCATACTTGACGGCACATCAGCACAAGGCTGGGTCCTGAGGCTTCTGACGGGCACTGAGCAACACGTTCCTTGACTACACTAAGTTCTTTCTTCTCTCTGTGCCTTTGCACCTGCTATCGCACGTCCTGAATAATTTATCCCCCACTTACGACCCAGCTCAAATACGACCTCTTTTGATTTGCCCAGTGTAAATTAGATCCCCTCTGAATATCTTTAGTGCCCTGCCTTTTTCTTCATAACACTTACTCAAAATACTTTTACTTCTGTACTTATTCTTTAAATGTCTGTCTCCCTTCACTGGACTATAAGTGCCATGGAAACAGGATCGTGTCTGTGTGTTTACCACTGTATACATCAGCACCTGCCACTTAGTCTATATTCAATAACTATTATTTGAATGAGTGAATCTAGGAATCTGAGAGTCCTGGGCTTTCACTGACTATACAGGCATGGTTTTAACTAGCTCAGCGGGATGCCCTAATAAAGGTCATAAACATAAAATGTGGCTAGATTTTACTGAACACAATGACTTTCTTCAAACTCAAGTGGTTTTTCAGCAAAGCTCTGACATTTAAGCGCATACTGCTGCAATCAAAGAGAGTTACTTGGGCTGCAGAGCTTAAATTAATGTCGTAAAACCTAGGAAGTCATCAAATGAGCACAGGCGATAGCAGGCAGCTTCCTCTTGTGGAACCATGAACTCACTGGAGAGAAAGGCTCCAACCTCACAAAATGCTCAGATATGCCTACAGAGGAGCTGCTGGGACCACCTCCCACATGTGGCCAAGACCCTAAAGTGGATTGTAGAGAACAGTTACCTGGGGCAGAGCAAAATCACACTCACCACCGGCCCTTCCCAGAAAACCCTAGTACTGTTATCGCTTCTGAAGAGGCTTGAAACACCCACCCAGAAATACAAGAAAGCATGGAGGTCTTAGGGGCTGGTGGAAAGGGTTTAAATCCTGGCTCTGTCATATATTAGTCTTTGACTTGGACCTGTCTTTGGATGTCAGCTTTTTCTTGGGAATAATGATTCCCCAGGTTTAAAAGAGATGCTGTATATGACAAGCTCCCACGAGCAAAGGCGGGCATGTAGTGGGTTCTCAGGGAGGCTCAGATCACTTTCTTATCCCAGGCTGAGGAGCCACTGGTACAAGGTCAGGGTTACATCTTGTATTGGCCACTCACACAAACAAGCCTCCTGCTCCCAAGCCTCAATTTCCCCCAGCTGCCAAATGGGGGAGCTGGACTCAATGTTGTCTTAGGTCCCCTCTACTTTTTGTATTCTGTGATTTTGCATTTTCTAGCCAGTGCCTCAAATGATGCCCAGTACTTGAGACACAACTGAGAGTTGTAAATTGGGTTAAAATAGGGACACATAGTAGACAAAGCAATGGGATGTAGTTTGATAATCTCTTCTACTCCAAGACTCATGACTGCTCCATAGTCTATGACAGGGATGGCAAATGAGTTTACACTCCTGTGTGAAATCCATTTGCTTGTTAATATCCTTCTGAAGCACTGTGTTGGGAAGAATTCTGAGGCTCTGTCCAGTCTCAGTGGAGAAGTATGCCACAATTTATTCATTACGGTTACCATGGGTAAGGGACTGGGGTTGGTGGCACTTCAGCCTTGTACTTCATAGCCACATCCACAAGATCAGATCTCAGATACTGTGCAGCTTTCATCTTCTTATGACTTTTAATGAGCTCTTTGCTCTTGGCAAACTGTTCCCACTGTTCTCTTAGCCCAGAAAGCCTCCTTCCTGCTCTCCACATCCATCCAAAGCCGGCCTGGCCCAGCTCCTCCAAACTCTTGGAACTAATGACTTGTACGACTCATGTGGTCCTTATTTCTTGGCTCATGTGGTTAATTATCTTTTTACGTGTAACTGTCTCGCCTAACTTGGCTGCAAAAGCAGAGACAAGAGTGAAAAGCCAAAACCAGCAGGCTATGGGGAGGAAGACGAGGTGGATGCAGGCTGAGGCTGAGGGCTGGGGAGAGCTGGCAGAAGACCAGAAAGTCACTCGCAGAGTGGCTGAACGGTCAGAGATGTAGGCAAATAATAGGGGTGGGCAGGACACTGACACTCCAGGCATCCTCCAATTTTGTACCCTGGGCATTTCACTCACCTCATTCTATCCTGGCTCTGCATGGGAATAAGAAAGAGAAGAGAGGGCCGGGCATGGTGGCTAACGCCTGTAATCCCAGCACTTTGGGAGGCTGAGGCAGGTGGATTACCTGAGGTCAGGAGTTCGACACCAGCCTGGCCAACATGGTGAAACCCCATCTCTGCTAAAAATACAAAAATTAGCTGGGCATGGTGGCGGGTGCCTGTAATCCCAGCTACTCAGGAGGCTCAGGCAGGAGAATCGCTTGAACCCAGGAGGCGGAGATTGCAGTGAGCCAAGATCGCGCCATTGCACTCCAGCCTGGGTGGCAAGAGCAAGACTTCGTCTCAGGAAAAAAAAAAAAAAAAAAAAAAGGAAGAGAGGTCAAATCTGGACAAGGCCAACACAAAAGCCAGAGGCCATCAGCAAGTCAGGTTCAGGGCGTGCAACAGAGCAGCCAGGATGAAGACAATGTCAGTGTGGAGATAACCTCCCTCCAAAATATCTCACTCCCACACTGGTAACCTTTAGTCTCCAGATAACAGCACATTCCTTAACATGGTTTGCAAGACCTCTGAGAACTGGCCCTGTCTCTTTCCTGCAGCCTCATCTCTCATGCCATCTAGTTATGTCCAGTTATGCCATGGACATAGGTGGATCACATTCTTGGGTTTCTGTCCCCTCTTTCTGCCACTCTCTTTACTGGAAATTCCCATGCCCCTACCACGTATACACTTATTTCCCTTGCTAATTCCCACCTACCTTCCCTGGCTGCCCTAGTTTTGGCTCATGCCTTGGCTATGCATTCCTATATCACCTGTAAGTCCTCTTGCACAGTATGTGTGATAACTCTGTGTGTGTGTGCAGCTTAAAGACACATAGTACAAAGAACAACTGTTGATCTTCCACCCCCCTTAAGAAGCAATGCTTTGGCAGTACCTTAGAAACCTCTGAGTGCTTTTCCTTACCCCCAGAGGTAACCCATTATCCTGAATTTTTTTAATAATTTCCTTGCCATAAACCTACACTGCACATTGTTTAGTTTTGCCTGTTTGTGAACGCTATATAAATAGAACCAGATTGTACACATCCTGCAACTTGCTTCTTGCTTCATTTATTTTCATCACCATAGTGTTCCATTGTATAAATATGCAGTAATTTATTTATGCTCTCTTTAGTTGGTCGACAGTCTTGTTTCCGGTATTACGGATGGTGCTCCTCGGAACGCGCTTGTATGTGTCTCCTGGTGCACGAGAGTGGGCAGGCCTCCATGTATTTATCTCACTGAAATTTCTGGAGCATAGGTTATATACACATGTTCAACTTTCCTAGGAAAAGTGACACTGTTCCAAATAATGTGGATCACATTATACTCCCACCAGCATGGATGAGGCTCATATTGCTTCCTATCCTTGCCAACATTTGACATTGTCCAACTTTAAAATTTTTGCCAATCTGATGGGCAAGAAATTCTCCCTCACCGCAGTTTTAATTTGCAACCTCCCCTGATTACTAGTGAGAGAGAGGTTTTTTGTTGTTTATGTGCCCACAATACCGAACTCTGAGAGAAGGCTCATGTCAACTTTGTCCTCACCAAGACACTAAACAGGGCTGGCACATGAGCGGTGCTCAAAAAAATATAAATTGCACGAATGAAGGAACCAGAGCTAGGCTTTAGTTCTGCGTTATCCTCAGTGCACTTTACTTGGTGTTCTCCCAGGTTTCCTGGGGTACATATTTAGTTATTTTAATGTATTTTAGTGTAAGAGAACATTTAAAAAATCTGACAATGCTTATTCCTTTCATCAGAGCCTGCAGAAAAACACTCCCTGAGGATATGGTTTCCCAAGCCCTCTTCTTGCAATCAACACTTCCGAAGAGTCCTCTGTGTGGAATTGCTGCTTGGAAAAAAAAATGATGCTTTTTCTTGGAAGGTGTCCCTGAAGGGGTCTGAACATTTGGGTTAGCCCTAACAAACAGTTGAAGCAGTTCCTCTGTTTGAAAGGGATCCCTCATAACTATCAGAGGCAGCAGGATTCATTGGGCAGAATTCCAAGGAGAGACAAGCTGGGCTGGAATGTCTGGAAGCTTTCCATGAAGAAAAACTTAAAAGGCTGTTTTGCAGGAATCTGGGATTTGCTGAAACAGCTGCTTACCCACAGGAAACCCAGGGTCAAGTTAGAGGGGCAACAGTAATGTGTCATTCTCAGCAAACTGGCCCATCCCATACAGGGGGCCTGGCTTTTCCTTGGACCCAGTGCTCTGCCTATAATGACTGGGCCACAGGAGTTCAGGGAAGGACATTCCAGGAGGACTGCTTTGCAAATGTGTGGTCATTGAGACTAGAAGTTATCTTTAATGGTTCTGACCAAGAAGGGCTTATTCGTGGTTACCTCAAATCTCATATCAGCCAACAGGCCTGATTACTATTGTTCAAACTCAGGCCAGATGGGACTCAAGACAAGTTGGAAAAAGGAAGACGTCAGGCTCTGACATACAGGGGTTGGGAAACTGAGCCAGGAGTAGAGTGGTCTCCAAAGGTGTGGCAGAGACCCCTATTGCTCACTGACACCTGGGTGCTCCTCCATATTTCCCTGCACCCCTTGCAGTCAGGAGGGTGCAAATCGATGAGATGAGAGAGGACATGGCCTCTGCCACTTCCCGGGGAAGGCAGGTGACTATCCAGTGTGTCTCCTTAGGTGCACTTCTACTCCCCACCCCACCATCTGCTGGATGTTTAAGCCAGGGTGAACTTGAAGTTCAAAGATGCTGAACCCACAAGAGAAGCAATCAGAGTCCCCAAGTCACTACTTGGAGAAAAGCTGCACAGGAGAGCCTCCCAGCCAGCCTTCAGGGGACTGTGTGAGCAAAATAGGACATTTCCTGGGTAACCTCTATTTCCAGCAGTTCTGAGAGCTGCTGTTTCAGTCTGTGATGCTGCCAGTATGTAAAGAGGCAAGGTGACCAAAGAGGCATGGTCCCTGCAGGCACCAGTTTCCAGAGGTTCAATCTATTGTGTGGGGCTCATATGAGAAAGCTCCAGGTATAGGGACAGATGGAGTGTCTGGAAGGTGACCGCTTCCCAATTCCAGCTGATGAGTTCATTCAAAGCAGTACCCCACTAGAGGCTGAGGATGCAGGGAGCAGATCTAGCCCCAAGGGGTGAGAGAGGGAGCTGCAAGGGGCAGGCAGGACATTTGGACTCCTGCACATCGGGCTGCTGTGAGAGTTTGGTTCAAACTCAGAACCAGAGCAGAGGGCAGGAAACCAAGGGTGAAGCTAGCCAGGGTGGTAGAGGAAAGGTCCAGGTTTGAAGATGACATACAGCTCCAGGTTCCTTGGAAAGCCACAGACAGAAGCCCTGTGGCAACTCCACTTACGCAAGAGGGAGCCAGCTGGTGAGGCCAGGGCTGCAGCCAGACTCTTCCAACCCTTGTAAGGGGACACAAAATCTAGAAGGATCTGACCCTCACAGCTTCCCGATGCACAAGGCTGGGAAGGTAAGCTAGTTCAAGTCCAGGCATATCTATGGAACCAAAACCCTATAGAAGCCCCAAACTCAGAGACAGAAGTATTAGCAAGTTCCAAATCAGGGTCCCATTGACACCTGCGCTATCTACTGTAATCACTTCTTTGTTTTGAAATAGGATCTCTGGCCCCCATTACTGTCACTGGTGCTGCCAGAGAATGACAATGAGCTTAAATGTCATAGGGATTTGGGGAGCAATTTTCTTTTTTTTTTTTTTCAGCCTATTATAATTTTTTTTTATGACTGAACTACTATAAATCCACAAGCAACGGTTCAGACACGTTGCTTCTGAAGTGTTTCACCCCTCCCCGCCAGGCGCAAGCTGCATCAAGGAGGGGGTGGACTCCCCCACCTCTGCTCAGGCATCAGGAGACAGATAGGGCCGTTACTGCTGAGCGCCAGTGGCAGCTGGAACAGGCATCCCAAGGGGGTTGGCAGCAGCAATCACTGGTGAGCCTGCCAGAGGTCCAAGGGGTGAAGGAGTTGGCACTGAAGAAATCCCTGACATCACATTGGCGCTGCTGACGGGCGTACTGCCCCCTGGCATGCTAGATGAACCCATTCGAGCCTGGTCCTTCACAACAGTGTAGAAATAGGGGTGCTCCATGGCCTCTCTTGCAGTAAGCCGTGACTGGTGGTCATATCGCAGCAGTTTGTCCAGGAAATCCAAGGCCTCAGGGCTGACAAGGTGCTGATTTTCACTGTGGACAAAGCGTTCCCATCGCTTTCGAGAGTGTCTGCCCAAGATATCATTGAAACGTGGATCTAATTCAATGTTGTATTTGTCAATATAGCCATATAAATCTTCTGTCCCCAGAAACTTGGCTATCCTCACCAACTGATCATAATTGTCACGTCCATGGAAAAATGGCTCCTTCCGAAAGATCATACTTGCCAGCATACAACCCAATCTCCACATATCCAAACTATAATCGTACATCTGATAGTCTACAAGTAGCTCAGGACCTTTGAAGTATCGGGAAGCAACTCGGACATTATATTCTTGGCCAGGATGATAAAACTCAGCCAAACCCCAGTCTATTAGTCGTAGCTTTCTGTGCTCATGATCAATCATGACATTATGGGGCTTGACATCTCTGTGCATAATTCCCATGCTGTGACAATAATCCAGGGCCTTCAGAATCTCATACATGTAAAATCGAATATCATAGTCTGTTAACGTCTGGTACAATTGCTTGAAGTCTGTGTTGTTTACGTGTTCAAAAACCAAGGCGGGGGTTCGTGACACAGGGTCTTTTACAATGTCTGCCAGTGTGATGATGTTGGGACCTCCTCTCAAATTCTCCAAAATCTTTATTTCACGCTTAATTTTCTTCTTTTTTACTGGCTTGAGAATTTTAACAACAACTTTTTCATTATTTGTGATGTTGATGGCTTCAAATACTTCACTGTATTTACCTCGGCCTAATTTTCGAACCAGCTGGTAGTCATCTTGATTTCCCCATTCCACCACATGTGACTCGTAATCCCAGTATTCTCGAGGTCTGTGTGTATTAACATCTGTGTAAACTCTGGCCCTGCTTGGCACGGGTCCCGACATGTCAGACAGGTTGGCGGACAAAGCTGGACTTGATGTTTGGAGATCTGGCAGTCACTGTGTTCAGAAGCAGCTTGGGGGTAAGACCTTGTTTCAGACCTGTTTTCTTCACACTGTGGTGGAAGCGGCAGCGGCTGTGGCCGCTCTCCCTTCTGCTCACACAGACAATATGGCGGCGATGGAGTGGGGAGCAATTTTCTAAAATCCAAATAAAAACCTTCCCATCTCTAATCTGAGAGTCATTTTTATCAGCTAACTGGGCTCATCTATTTACTCAGCATATTCAGAGCCCTTTTTGGGGGTTAAGTCCCTTTCAATTGCTGTGAGGCACCGTCTCCTTGTGGACATGCTTGTGCTATCCAGCTGCTATTCAAAGCACATCTCCTGGACCATGTTTAATTTATACTTTCCTATATGAAGATGAACCACTTACTCACTTAAAGTATTTCTTTTTTTATGTCTCTAATCAGTGGCTGTTTCTTTCCTCTCTCTGAAGCTTAATCGAATCAGAAACAAATCCCACACATATGAATGGCTCATTAGCATGTCCCAGTCAGATTCAAATTGGCCGTCCATACCAGATGCCCCCAAAAGGATAACACTGGCCCAAAGAAGGACTCTTTAAACGAGTGTCCAAAGGGTGTTGCCATGATAAGCCAGGAGGGTTCTTTCTGAAATCCAGGGTAGATACACTCTGTCATTCCCAGCACCATAGAGCCAACTGATGGCAGGTAATGGATGTGTCATTGAGATGGGGTTGGTGGGAGGCAATGTGGCCAAGCCTGGGGAGCAGACATCAGAGGAATGTCTGGTGTCTATGTGTCTGGCTCAAGCATCATCCTCACACTTGGCTCAGTGGGGCCCTTTTATCAAATGATACAAATGAGGCTGAGATGCTGAACATTCTCTCGCTCAGAAATGATATTTGTTCTAAAGAGCTTCCCCTCTTAATCAAATGAAACTCAGATTATAAACACTGGTATGCTACATCTTCTCTTAAAGGATTTGCTCTTTTCATAGACATCAGAATGAATCGTCAGCATGGGCATCATCACTGGTGTCATCTCTGAAAGTCACCGATAGCAAACTCTCATTTAATACAGATTTACAAAAGAGATCAGCATACTGCAATAGAGTAGAACTGAAGGGAACCTAACCAGGACCTCCCTTCATTTCCCAGGTGAGCAAACTAAGGTTCAGGGTCACAGGATAATTTAGAAGCACAGTAAGATATGGATCCAAGAGCCTGCCTTTTGGAAGACAGGAAGTCATTATGGTTCAGAGCATAGCCTCTGGGGCCAAACAGTCTTGGTGTCAAGTCCTACATTTCCCATTTGCTGAACTGGTGACTTTAGGCAATTCACTTCACCTTCCAACACTCAGTTTCCTTGTCTATGAAATGGAGATAAAAGTGATAAATTCCAAAGATAGTTGCTGTGAGAATTAAATGAAGTAATACACAGAGACAGTTTATTTCATCACCTGGAAGAAGTTTAGAGGCCCCTAAGTATCAGCTATAATTATTATCACTATAATATTCCACTGATGATAAGATTCACTATTGCTATACCACAGCTTTTCGGGACAGGGGAAAACACACTACATTCCTCTGAGCTCAAGATTTATATACCCAAGTGCCTACGTCTCACCTTCACTCTCATGTGTCTCAGGCATCTCAACCTTACCATGTCCAAAACGAAGTTCCCGATTTTCTTCCCTGCCTCCCCATCTGTCCCTTAGTCTGCCCCTCATCCATCTAATAGCCGAAGCCTGTAACCTGTAATTCATCTGTAGCAATGTCTTCTTCCTCCCTCTCCACATCCAATACATCGGCAAAAGCAGACAGTTCTACCTCCTAAATATAGCTTGAATTTAATCACTTCTCTCCATCTGCACAGCCAACATCCTGGTCCAAGTCCCTATTATTTTTGTGTGGGCATCTCCATCCAGAGCCTCTTCCCTGGTCTTTCTGCGTTGTCGTGTTGCCCTTCAATCCGTATTGCCCTCCAATCCACTTTTTAAAATTATACATCAGAGCATGTCCCTCCTCTGCTTTAATGCAGTTCAGCAATTATTTACTGAGCACTTACTATGTGCCAGTCTTTGTTGTAGGAGATGGGAATCTTACCACAGAACAAAATATAAAAAATCCCTGACTTTCTGATACTTACACTGTGTTTTTTCTGTTACAGCACTCCCTATGGACTGAATTGTCTCCCCCTTCCTCAAATTCATATGCTGAGGCTGTAACTCCCCATGTGACTATATTGGAGATGGGGCATTTAAGGAGGTGATTAAACATGCACAAAAAATTCTCAGTAGAATGACCATATGTTCTGGTTTGCTGGGGACTATTCTGGTTTATACCTAGTGTTCCACTGTTATTAGTAGCACCCCCTTTCACTCGCAAAAGCTTCTAGTTTGGACAGTAAATTAAAATTTATTTACATATTTATTATTTATTTATATATGCCAAATGTATAAGGTCCAACCTGATTTTAGAAACACTGAAATCCCAAATAAGTATCTGTCTTAAAATCATGGTCTTACTAATCTTTTCCCTCCCCTAGTCCATGATTTCTCTATATTACTACAATCCTAGTGTGGTGAAAATTAAGCAAGTCATCAAGACCCTCACCTCCTGATGTGCAGCATTTGAAGCAGGCCTGAGGAATAAAACAGAGCACCCCACCATTCAGTGCTCCAGAGACCAGAGCCCTGTCTCTTGAACTTTCCCAAACTAGACAGACAGAAAGAGAGAGAGGCAAGACCTAAAGGAGTGAATGGTGTTCCTGGGCCATTTACACCAGGGGTTAACTCTTTATTTTCAGGACTGACTTTGTATACAGGTAGGCTTTGTTTTATAGAAAAACTTGTGTGCAGGGGTAATTTCTGGATACCAAACTTTATAGAAAAACTTGTGTGTAAGGGTAATTTCTGGATACCAGCACCTACAGCACTAGAAAAAAATGTGCTCACAGGTACCCTGCCCTTTGCATTGCTTTACAAAGCCAAGAACATTTGTATTTGGAGATGCCCCTGACCCCTCCTTCTGCAACTTCAGATTTATGAATATCGGATCTTGTCCAAGGAAAACCACAGCAGTGTCAGAGGAGGAGGAGAAGGAACCCTTGCTCAGTTTGTGGCAGTTCTTCTGAGGAAATGATTCTGGCCTTGCTTGGTGGTCTCTTCCAGGAAAACTAGAATAACAATGTAATGGTGGCCAAGAAGCTACCTTCCAGGGTCTGATACCGACCAGCATGCAGACTCAGCTAAAGAAGAACAAAGAACAAAAATGGAAACAAAAGGGAGACAGAAAATGACTCTGGGGAGCTTTAACATACATTGTGAGCTTCCAGGTTTCTTTGGCTTTTGTTTTTGCTTTTTTCCAAAATTCAGGAAATTAAACATTGATACATGACTATTATCAAATCCCCAGTCTATAATCAAAGTTCACCAATTGTCCCAATCAAAGCCTTTATAGCTATTTTTCCCCTTCATCCAAACTTTTTAAGAAGGTAAAAATTTCCTTCAGGTTGACTCCCCAAATCCTTCATCAATTGTTACCTCGTTTGTGCATGTTATTAATCTCTCTTTTATACAGCTCCCTCATTGAATGCAATTGAAAAAACCAAAGTGTGAAGACCATTCCTGAGTAAAATTGTTCTTGGGCACTCTCCTTCTGCTCCCCACCATTTCTAGCTAATCACTTCATTATGTACTTTTTAAATTGCTTTGTTCTGTAGGGATTAATTTTGCACTTATCTTCACTAACCATAAAACTTTTACAACGTACTTTTAAACTGCGTCTACTCAGCTGCTGGTTTGTAATTGCAAAGAGTCACTCCACGGCTGGCTGGTGTGCTAGGGGATAACACGCAATAGCCACGGAGCTTCCTGCTCCATGTTTTCAGATGCCTTCCTGGAGCCGCTGGGTATGGGGCAGACCAATTGGTTCTAGACTGGCTGCTTGGGGTACCGAAATGTCCTTGTATATGGAAATCACCAGCTAGGGAACACCCTCAAATCGCAGATGCTTTGGCCTCAGAGGCCTCAGGTTGCTCCGACCTCAAAGACCTTGGGAATTTCAGGCCCTACAGTTCCCAGGAGAAGGTCTGTCTACAGCTGACCACCTAGAAGGCAACAAAATTTCAACTACTCTCTCAAGGTCAAGTCTGTACTTTCTCAAGGCTCAGGCACTTGCCCTCTGCCTGCAAGCAGGCACTAGATTCCCAGTCTTCAAGGAGTCCCTCTGCCTCCCTTTCTGGTCAAATACAATCTCCAAGGAGTCCCTCTGCCTCCCTTTCTGGTCAAATACAATCTCTAAACTCTCCGCCTTCCATCAATCTCCACCCACTCCCTCCTTAGACCTTTGAAATCTGTCTTCTATCACTTCCCCTTGACTCCAACTATTCCCCCCAAAGCCTTCTTATGGCTGTGTCTAATGCCTTTTCTCCACTTGCTTTCTCAGAGCACAGGCTGTTGGTTCACAGGCTTTGGACAGAACTGTGTTTAAATCCAGGCTCCTCCACTTTTTCTCTTGGGACCAGGGCAAGTTCCTTAACTTCTCTGAGCCTCAGTGGCCTCATCTGTAAACCGGTGACAGTAATTCTGGTTTCCTGTGATTCTTGGGAGGGGTAAATGACATACAGCATAAAACTCACTAGAATATAAGTTCTATGAGGGCAAACCTAAGTTATCTCATTCATCACTGCATATCCAGTGCTTGGCCCAGCATCTAGAATGGTAGGTGCTTTATAAATATTTATTGAATAAATGCACTAAATACAAAATAAATGTTCAACAAATGGTAGCTATTATCATTAGTATTCATGTTTGCCTGCCTGTTTGAGTTCTGAAATGCTGCCTTTCCCTAACATCTGTGATTTTCCACCAATACAGCTCCTATCTTTCTGGCTGATTCTTCTCTGAGACTGTGGGATCACACTGTCCCTGCCTCCATCTCCTATGCCCATGTCCAATTTTAAAATCTCTTCTGTTTTCAGAAATGGTCACATAGAGGGCACCTGATCCCATTGTCTTACCTCAAAGTTTTTTCTTTCTTTTTACCTTAGTTTTATAGTTTTGGCTTTCTGTTGAATCCAGGTATTATATTTCTCTCTATCTTAACACCAACTACATGTTACAAGGAATATAATACATCTTCACTGTATGAATGAATAGACAGATGAATAATGCAAGCTTTTTGGTTATTTCCACTGTTATTTCTAATGCCAAACTTGCCACATTTTCCCCCTCAAACTATCTCAAATTCTTCTCTAGCCAATGGCACCCTGAAACCTTCCATCATCTGAGTTTGAAATATCAATGCCATCTTTGTTGGACATTTAATAACTCATTTATAAGAACTAGGAAAGACTAAGTCTTGACTTCTAATAATCATTGAAATTATTAAAATCCAAAACAATTCTAAGGGAACAGATGGACAATGACTCAGCTAAGGCTTTGGGTCATTGGGAAAATTCCCTTTGGAAGCACAAAGGCCTGCAAGCTTGAAATCTGTTTGGTGTCTTTTGAAATTCTTGGTCTCAGAAGACCACATAGAAAAACACTTACACCACCATACAACTGTCAGCCTTCTCTAGGTGTTACCCCACCACAGCAGCTGAAGGATAATGCTAAAGGGATTCCAATTCATGACACAATGATACAAAACAGTGGCAAAGCTAACAGCCCCAATCCACACAAAACACACACACACACACACACACACACACACACACACGCACAGACATGTTATCCCAAGCTCTCGGGTTATTCTGAACTCCAGCTGGCTTGAGCCAACCATAACATTTAGAAGCAACTAGAAACTACAATCCAATTTAAGGTGTTTAATTTTCTCTGTGTCCAGGGATGGGAAATAAAAGAATCTGCTTGCAGCTTTTCTGTGAGATGTTGCATCTGGTGGTTTTCTGAGACCTTTTCAGCAGAGGAAAAATGCTGGTCCCCAGACCCCCTTCTCCTCACATCTCTCTAACTGTGTGGGCAAAGACGAGGTTGCTTTACCCAAAACTGTGGTGTCCAATGTTTTTAATTAATTTCCTTATGGCTAGCTGAGAACGGCCATGATACTAACAGTGAGCTGAGATTACTCAGACCTCTAGGTCCAAGGCCTTTGGGGAGAACCACATACCCAGTCTATCATGTGCTTCAATAACACACATTAACCTGTACACATTAACCTGCCTGGACTGCCTTCACTGGTAATTTTAGCAAAGTTTCCAGCCCTTTAACCGTGGATACATATTTTTTAAAGTCTCAAATAGCAGTGATGCCTGTTCTAGGCAATTGCTAGGGACCCTTCCTTGCTTTCTCTTCCTCCTCTTTGTCTCTGCTCCCCTGAGCCCAGATTTCTGACTTCCTCTCTTTTCTGGCTCCTCTCATTTAGTAATCCCCCATCTGTCTCCTTCCTGACTCTGTGGACTCTGGCTCAGCCCTCCACTGTTACCCCTCCAGTTCTGAAGTCTCCTGCCATGTCCAGTGAGGACATTGTGTAGTATCATCTGATTTAGGCCCCAGCACTCCTGAGAGATGTGGCTGAATCACTGAGCACTGAAATGGTACGGTGGTCATTTTCCAAAGCAATGCTGGCTGGAGTTAACCCTTGAAATTAACCTTTATCCATCAGTGATTTTAAACCCCGAAGGTAGAGATGGAAAAACAACACAACCTAGTGATTAAGGCATTCATTTTAAAACCAGTCAGGCTGGTTCTAATCTTGAGTGGTCCTGGGTAAGGAGGGAGTTATTTATTCTAATTTCCTCCAGGTTTCTAATTTACAAAATGGGGATAACAGCATGGACCTCACAGGGATCGTACAACAATTAATAATACACACAAGTGATTGCCAAATAGCATACAATAAATGGAAGTTCCTTTTGGATGAAATTCTTGGCCTCAGAAGACCACCTAGATAAACATATATATTAAGACCACATAAACACTTACTCCACCGTACAACAATGGGTCTGCTTTATGGAATAAAGCACCTGCTTCTGTTGCCCAAGAGTGTACATCATTACACCAAATCTCAGACGTCCCAGACCTTGACAGGTCAATGTTGACAGGTCAAATCCCCATCTTCAGGATGCTCACTCCTTCCTCAGGAGTCTGCCTCAACGGCACCTCCTGTGTGAAGCCCCACCTAACTTCCGCAGGTGGAGTGGTTGCTCCCTTCTGCTGCTCTCGCAATGCATCAGGATCTTTCAGCCTTGCGTTTTGACCCTGAGCAGGTTGTGCCGTTTAGCACATTAACCTGAATTATGCTCAGTGATGAATTTTCACTCAGAAACTCTTTTTTGAGTAAATGTCACTAAGCCAATTTGATTCTCTTCATCGATTTTCTATAGACCAAATTAAAATATTTCCGTCTATACTAATTTTCTAGTTTTATTTTAGCAGAATTATTTTCACTGGGGTTAACACTTTTTTGCATTGATTTTACAACTAAGATAGGGTTCTTCTATCAGTATGCTTTTATCCATAACACATTTTATAATTATGGCCTCCATCACAGGGTTTTTCTTGGTGGTAATGATTTCCACCAAGTTTAGTTTTCCTGAATCAAATTTTGCAAATGTAAATCATGTTAATATTCATTTCTTCAGGAAACTTTTTAGCTTTTATAGTTTTTGCTATGCTCATTTTTATTTGTTGCTTTAGCTTGAGTTGATTGTCTTTACCATTACTCATTGATTGGAGAAAAAAAAGTAATTGTTTGCATTTTTTGATTTGTAAATAACAATTTCTAAAAAAATACCACATAAAAGGTGTAGCAGGTTGAGTTGTGTACTTGTTACTGTTGCCATTGGTAGATCAAAGAACACAGAAAGTCCTCAAAGTCAAAATGGAGGGAGGGGTCAAACATTCTGTTTAAGCTCATGACTTTTTCTACAATCTGAGATGAGTACTCAGAACATGGTAAGGTGGTTGTCTCTCCAGCTAGGCTGAGAGCCACTCAAAGGCAGGGGCTGTCATTCATCTCCAATTTCCCAGCAGGGGGAAAGTGAATGTTTGAAGGATGAATGAATGAATAAATAATGAACCCACCTGGAAGTGATGAGAAATTTTGTCAGATTTCTTACTGAAGACCACAACGCTATGCCTTCTTAGACCAGGCATAAATGGCTTCTGAAGCCACCTTTCTTGGGTTCAAATCGCATCTTTACCACTTACCAGTCATGTAACCTTGAGCAAGTTATATCACCTCTCTCTGTGCTTCAGTATATCCATCTGTAAGTGGAGATAGTAGTAGTACCTACATTTCAAGGTACTGCAAGGATTAAGTGAATTAATACATGTAAAGCACTTAGGACAGTATCTCACATATAATACCTGTCATATTACTATTAATCATTAGTATTACAGTCATAAAGTTTATCTATCTTTCTATCTATCTTTCTAGTGATATTTGAAGATGTCCTAACACAGGGAGCTCACTGTATCATTAGCATCTTTTTTATGGTTCTAATTTATGTTTCTGATATTGAGTAACTACATCTCTTACAGCTTATACTCACTGTTTATAGCTCTGACTTTCTGAGGCATACAGAATATATTTTCTTATATGTGACTGGTCTGTAAATTCAAAGCCTGCTCTTTCAGCACATACTAGGCTCCAAGCACATTATGAAAATTAAACAGCCATAAATCCTGACATCACGTGTTTTAAAGTCCAGCACGAAAGAAGAGGGAAAGATGATACTTGTGTCTTGCCTAGATCTTCCCCTCCTTTGAATCCAAGACCTTTATGCATTAGTTTGCTAGGCTAAATTCACCCTGTGGACTTACAAACATAAAGCCTATAAAAATGAAATTGTGTGATATTAGTACATAAATAGACCAACAGATCAATGAAACCAAAATAGAAAATCCAGAAACAGACCCAAAAGTATGTGGCAATTTATTGTACAATAAAGGTAGTTTTGCAAAACAGTGAGGAAAGATATTATTTTGAATAGAAGGTGTTACGATAACTGGTTGACCATATAGAAAAATAAGACATTGGATCCATTCCTCACACCAAACTGCAGGATCAATTCTGAATGAATCGGAGACTAAAATGTAAAAAATATAGTCATGTAAGTATTAGAAGAAAACATAAGTGAATTTCTTTATAACCTGAGAGTGGGTAAGATTTTCTATGATTAAAATCTGGAAGCAAGAAGAAAAAAAGTTTGCTTACATTAAACAGAAAAAACACGAAAAAAGCAGCCTTTGGATGGCAAAACAAACAAACAAACAAACACGAGAAGTAAAATCAAGACAAGTAATAAACTGGGAGAAAATACTTGCAATTTGTATGATGGGCAAAGTATTACCATCTCTAATGTGTAAAGATATTCTAAAAATAGAGAGAAGACTAACAACCCTATAGGAAAGTGGGCCAAAGATACGAACAGCTTACAGAAAAAAGAAATGCAAATAGCCTTAATCATATGAAAATCTCTTCAACCTAGTTCTTAATAAGAGAAATGCAAATTAAAACTACCCTGAAAGGCCTTTCTCATCGGTCAGATTGGTTAAAAAAAATATTCCACAACATACTTTGTTGGTATGGCTGTGAGAAGACAGGCACCTTCATCATTCCTGGTGGGAAAAATATTACCCCTCTGAAATACTACCCCTCTGGAGGGATATTTGATGATGTCTAGCAAAGTTACGTATGCATTTACCCTTTGACTTCGCAATTCCATTTCTAGGAATCTATCCAAAAGATAACCAATAAAAATATGAAAAAAGTATGCAAAAGACTATTAATTATAGCACTATGCTCTCAAAAGGAAATTGGTAGAACAAACTATAAAATGTTTACGCATTTGAGTAGTATGCAACCGTAAGAAAGGAATGAGGAATATCTCTATATACTGTTATAGAACAATCTTCAGAAAAAAGTGAGATAATAAAAATGTGCATAGTATACTACCATTTATCTAAGAAAGGGGACCTGCGAATATATATTCACATTTTCTTGCCTTTTTTCAAAGTATTAAGTAAAACAAACAAAAATAAATGTTTACATTGGAAATAGAAAACAGGATGAAGAGAACAACGCTGAAAGTTCCTTATTTTGTAGATTTGACTTTGGACTGTATATTTACCTCATTTTTATAAACTAAATAAAAATTTATATGACTATAAACATTTAAATATAAAAGTCAGAAGCAAAATGAAACAACTGATCATACTTCTTAGGTTGGTAGGACAACCGTACAGAGAGGAACACTTCTAGATAAGTGTGGATAATAGGAATTTGACTGTACATCCTAGTGGGATAAAATCTAAAGAAGAAATGCAAAATAAATTAAACCATTTATCATATCATTGGTGGTAGCATTGTCATTAATATGCTGAAACAGTCTTGAGCATTCTGGGGAATAAAATAAACAGGTACCTATGTTGTTGTCATTAAGAACCAGAAATTTTGTCATGAAAGAAAGGAAATATGGATGTAAAATTGATGAAGTAAAATTCTGTTGTCCTAAGTTTGAATGAGAAAGATCATCATGAATGCCTGAAATATTTTAGCTCTATAATAATAATAACAATAATAATTTCTAGCTCTGACTACTGAAAAGACCTAGAAACATGGACCAACCCAGTAGCAATGAGCATGCCCAGTGCCCAGATTGTGGTTTTAAATACCATTTCTCACTCACAGTAAGCTGGGTTCCTTAGGGAAGTAGCTAATTACAAGTCTGGAGCAGGAAATGTGTAAGATGAGCCTGGAACCCTCCTCATGGCAGGGAAGCCATTAAAGAGTCAAAAGGACCCATGGACAAATGTCAACAGGCTCCCAATGGACAAAGGTGGAAAATTTACAAGTCAATAAGGATATTAAATGTATGTAAGGATAATTAATTGAAATACATCAAATATGTTTAAACCCATAAGTTCACAGGGATAGTAAAAAACTAATTGGTCCCCTTTGGAGGGTGGTTGAGAATCAATTCATTATTTTGAAAGCTATTATAGAAAGAACTATTTATCCTGACTTTTCCAAATGAATTTATTTGTACTTCTGGGCAACCAAGGAATGGATTATTGTAAATGTCTCTACAAGAAGTATTTCAGTTAATAAATGAGGAAAGAGAAATAAAATTAAAATATTACTATTTGGTAACCCCTAAGGAATTACTGAATCTAGGCAATAATCAGCAATGATGGTTAGCATCACAAATGGGAACACAAGTAGACATCGTGTACCTCATGATGGAGGAACACACATACTGTCTATGAAATATTCTTGCTACAAAATTAAGCCTAAGTCTCTAGATTTAACTACCAATTTAGATGAAATGTATGGGACAGAAGGACCTGTTAAATGACATCAGGGGAATGTAATCAAGAAAATCTAGACTGTGAGAATCTCTGCAGGAAAAATGACCTGATCTCTTCAAAAACGAAATTACAAGAGGGGGGGAAAAAGAGATGGAGAAAGATATTCAGTAGATTATGGAGACTGGAAAGACAAATTAACCAACTGAATCTTGATTCAAGCAAAGAAATTGTATATCAAAACAAAAACTTATGAGAGAATTAGAAAAATGTGTATACTAGAATATTTGACAGTATTACAGTATTCTTTTCAACTCTTTTAGGACTGAAAATAGCATTGTGGCCATGGTTCTTTAAAAGTCCTTATCTATTTTGGATACATACTGAAATATTTTTGATGAAATGATATGATGTCTGGGATTTCCCTCAAAATAACTAGAGTTAGGTGGGGGATTAGGCAGAGGTAAAGATGAAACCAAATTGGCCATAAGTTGACAATACTGAAACAAGGTAACAACTGCAACGGGATTTATTTTACTATCTCACTGTTTTTGTATATATTCGATATTGTCCATAATAAAGAGTTTTTTCTCTTTTTTCCTTAATTTTTTTTTCATTATTTCTTCTAAAAATGGGATACGAGTGCAGAACATGCAGGTTTGTTCCATAGGTATACATGTGCCATGGTGGTTTGCTGCACCTATGGACCCATCCTTTAAGTTCCCTTCCCTCAACCCCCAACCCCCTACAGGCCTTCATGTGTGTTGTTCCCTTCTCTGTGTCCATGTGTTCTCAGTGTTCAACTTCCACTTATGGGTGAGAACATGTGGTGTTTGGTTTTCTGTTCCTGTGTTAGTTTGCTGAGGATGATGGCTTCCAGCTTCATCCATGTCCCCACAAAGGACGGGTTCTCATTCCTTTTTATGGCTGCATAGTATTCCATGGTGTATATGTACCACATTTTCTTTATCCAGGCTATCATTGACAGGCATTTGGGTTGGTTCCATGTCTTTGTTATTGTAAATAGTGCTGCAATAAACATACATGTACATGAGTCTTTATAGTAGAAAGATTTATATTCCTTTGGGTATATGCTCAGTAATGGGGTTGCTGGATCAAATGGTGTTTCTGGTTGTAAACCCTCAAGGAATCACCATACTGTCTTCCACAATGGTTGAACTAATTTACATTCCCAGTGTATAAGCATTCCTATTTCTCCACAGCCTCACAAGCATCTATTGTTTCCTGACTTTTTAATAATCACCATTCTGACTGGTGTGAGATGGTATCTCATTGTGGTTTTGATTTGCATTTCAATAGAGAGTTTTTTCAAGTCTCATTTATGATAAAGTATCTGGAATATGAAGAACAATACCTATATAGTATATTACTTGTTTTAGAGGACAGACAAACCCAGGTTCAAACTCCATTTCCCATAAGAGGAACTCTGTCATGTGTAATTCTTGGAACTGTAGAAACTGAAAAGAGCTATATGATCTGTCACTGTCCCCTCGAAGCAAAGGTATGTACATAAACCTAGATTTAGCTAATTGTGTGCTGTCACTCAGGACTTCCAATCTTTGTGAATGTCACCGAAACCCAAGCAACAGTGCCCAGTACCCAGTGGTAGGACCATCTAGTCATGGCAGTAGGGTCAGAGGTATTGTCCCAAATACGCTATTATGACCATGTGGCTCTGGCTGTAGTTTCTGCTGTTTAGCCTCTCTTGGCTTTTGCTTGTTTTCTGAATCAGCTTCTTTGAAAAGCAAATTAATTCTTTGAGATACCCATGTCCTTCCAATAAATTTCTTTTCTCTTTAAGTTAGGTTGAGTCAGTTTTCTTAGCTTGCAACACAGGTTCCTGAGTGTCATTTGAATAAAAAGTTAAGCACGACTATAATACATATAAATTAATGTGTGCCTTAAAAAATAAAGCACTACATAAAATGTGTGGTAGTATTTTTATGTACATATGCATCTACATGTATAATAGATATGATGATATGCTTGTATAGAGAACTGTATGAAGTAATTAATTTCTTCTTGTTATCTTTACTGTTAAAAATAATGATTAGAATAATGAGATAATAAGGCATAAGAATGAATTAACTCCTTGACCAACATAAACATTTTTAATCATATAACATCTATTAGGATAATACTATCTGGCTTGCCTTCAGCATTTGATTGCTGTGAGCAATAAATAGGATAATTGTAGGGAAAGAATTCGAAAATATAGATGAAAGGTACTGCCATTGTTATTTAGCTGATATAGAAGCAGCAGACAAAGCCAGTGTAGGGGGTAAGGGGATTTTTGATATCTAGTGACTTTGTAATTTGTGAAGTATACTCCTTCTATTGTGTCCACACCTTCTTTGCTTCTTTCATCCCTCATGCTCTGTAGAATAGCTATTGGTATTTTGCCAGGGCATGTATAGGTATTAGGTTCTCCATGATTGAGGAAAAAACCTAGGAGAGGGGATGAAAACTGGCAGACTAGGACAACAGAAAGATTTAATGAGTTTAGAATAAAGTCACTGTCCAAGGTACTGAGAAATCTCAGATCCATATTTCTGCTTTAATAAGCTATTCTCTAAGGCTAGCCAGATAAGGAAACCTTAAATGATCCTTGGTGCTCCCAAGGTCCAAAGTGGAGCCAGTCAGCTTCACTTCCTCCTGTCCTAGATGTAACTCAGCTACACAGGGAGAGGGACAGAATCACTCACAGCGAGGGATTCTACTCCCAATCAGATCTTGTGATGAGGCTTAGAAGAAGCAGTTAAAAGGGGCAAGCTGGCACTAGGGAATGAAGAATAACAACAATCATCCAGTCCTAGGAGCAGATAGTAAAAGGTCATCCTGGAGGATGAGATATCTGTGTAAGTGTCATTATAACAGTAGACCATATTCTAAAGAGGCAAATGATTACGAATATCCCAAGATATTCTAAAATGCCAGTAAGAAACCCCAAGTGGGTAAAGCTTAGATATTCAGAGAAGGAGTCAGTGACTTGCAGATATGTTCAAGTGGGTGTCTTTCCAACAGCAAGGCCTTTCTGGGAGACTCTCTTTTCTGTAATACATTTCTAACAGCTCAATCCAGTCAGGAGTGATTCACAGTTGGGGCAAGATGGAGAGGAGAGGGGTCTTTTCTCTGGTTGCCTGCTCTGGACACCACGGTGGGGCACTGGCTGTGGTTGTAGTGGCATTCTTCCTCACCACCCCCTACTTCTTTGGTTTCCATTCCAGAAAGGTGAAGACAGCCAAGATTCATATTAAAGAAGTGAATTGAATTTAAAGCATAATAAATAGGCTAGGCTTTCTAATCAGTTTCTCCATGTCCGTTCCATACAACTGAGAAGTTGCCTATTTCAGTATCAGAAATTTAACAAGTCTTACATTTTCCATAGAAATCTTTGCATACATGTATGTACTTTTTGTCTTATTGAATAAGCATACAGCATACAATGGAGGCCTTTTTTTATGACTTGGGACTGTTACTAAGATCATTAACAACTGTGCCATACTGTGTTGTGCTATAAACCTAGGATCTGCCTGAATGTTTAGCTCTAGAAGAAAGAGATACAAGCTGCTGTGCTGCTGGACACCTGTAACCTATTCCGTAGTCTTTAGGTTCAAATAGTTTTTGAAGGATGTTTTTATTGGGCATACACTTATAGGTTGACAATTATTTTCTCTCAGTGTATTGAAGACATTATATCATAATCTTCTGGGTCCCATTGTTACAGTTGAAAAGTCAGCTGTTATTCTAATTATTATTGACTTAGGTCATCTATCTTTTCTCTTTGACTGCTGTAAGATCTTTTATTTGTCTTTGATATTCTGTAGTTCCTCTATGGTATATCTAAATGGGGATATCTTTATATTTACCTCACTTTGGATGGCATGACTTCTTAAATCTGAGGATTGGTGTCTTTTATCAGTTTGGGAAAATTTTAAGCCATCATTTATTTAAATATGTTTTTTGCCTAACCCTCCATACTGTTTTCTCAGAAAATAGAAATCCTCTCTGGAGAAAGAGGATCATCTCCATTTGGAATTATAAGATACTAAATCCACAATCTCAATTCTACATGTCTTTCAACATTTTTTCACAATTTTTTCTGGGCCCTTTGGGCTGATTTTGAGTGATTTCTTTAGATCTATTTTCCAGTTTCTTAATTTTATTCCTTTAATAATGTTCATGTAGCCGTTCTGCCCATCTGTTGAGCTTTTGTCTTTCTTACATTTTTCATGTTTGAAATTCCATTTTTATCCTACTATGACTGATTATTTTTATAGTGTCTTGCTTCTTATTCATATTTTCAATCTCTTCTTTTTCTAAGTATATAATATAACCTACTTTATATTCCGTGTCTGATGGATTCAACAGCTGGAGACTTTGTGGGTCAGGTTTGCCTGTCCGCTGATTTTGCTGCTGTTTCCTCTTGTTGCTTTCTTTTTCCCTTGTCTGTTTTGTGATGTTTTTAAAACTGTGAATTCATATTCCTTAAAACTCTCCCTGTGGGAATTGTGTGGCCTGGGTTAAAAGGCTCTTTCTCCAGAGAGGATTTCTACTTTATACTGAGAAAACAGGCCTTTGGAGTCCCAGCTTTATGGGAAGTAAGGCAAGCCTTAGGCTTTCTGTTCTCTGTATTCTATGAAGTTGAGAAAACATAAACTTAAGTGTCACCAGATTCTCCATGTAGAATAGCCTCAACCTTTCTCCAGGTTCCAACTTTGGCTTACTTTTTTGGTCCCTGTGTAGGTTTCCCGGGCCTCTTATAACAAAGTATCACAATCTGGATCACCTAAAACAGCATAAATTTATTCTCTCACAGTTCTGGAGGCCAGAAGTCTGAAATCAACATATTGACTGGGCTATGTTCCCTCCCAACCCTCTAGGGAAGGATCCTTCTTTGCCTGTTCCAGCTTTCGATAGCCCCAGGTGTTCCTGAGCTTTTGACATCATAACTCCAATCTCTACCTCCACCTTCTCATGGCTGTCTTTCCTTTACGTCTTCCTGTGACCAAATTCTCCTCTTCTTATAAGGACATCAGTCTCGTTGGATTAGGGCCCACCCTAATCCAGCACAATTTTGTCTTAACTTGATTACATCTGCAAGGACCTCTGGTTTCAAATGAGATCACATTCACAAGAGGTTAGGACATATTGGGGCTGGGGGCACTCAATTCAAACCATAATAGTCTCCAACAATTTCAATCCCTTGCCAGCCCTTAAATGTTTTCTTATGCATTCTAGCACTTTCACAGTTATCATTTATATAATCTTTCTGTTTTCTATTCAGTGTCAGCTCTTATTTCTCACTCATTTCGTTGTGCTTGGCCATAGTAGCTCCTTCCTTTTTCTCATTGTGTTGCCGACTTACAAATCAGAAAAAAAAAAGAGCATGAAATAAGAAGAAGGCTTTAAATAGGGACTCAGTAGACATAATTGTGAATAAAGTAGAAGATAATTACTGCATGGCTGTTGCAATATCTTTTTTGAGACGGTGCTCAAAGTACTTTTATCCCTAGATCACTGTGATATATCTGTCTAGTCCTTGAATCATAAAGATCTGGGGCTGAATCCTTTCTCTACCTCTTACGAGGTACATGACCTTGAGATATATGTAAGCCCCTAATTTCACAGTATCTTATGGAAAAAAAAAACCACTATTACAATAATAGTCTTTTTAGGGTGTTTCGTGGATGGATGACATAAGTGCCAGTAAAACCCATGGCACAAAGCAGGCATTTAGTAATTGCGCAAACAACTTTCTTTCTGTGTTCCAGATAGGTAAGGACTTTGAATAATCTGCCTCTGCTTAAGAGAAGGGTGAAAAGTGATCTTTCATGTTGATACACAATCGTATGGTGTAATTAGGGCAAGTGTGCTGCTTTATAGAGGAAACTGAACCATTGAAAAGTTAACTCATCAAACACGAAAGAAAGACAAATACTAATAACCATACAAAAGGAGAAAATCTGTTTTGCTGACGATCAGTGGTTCCGTAACCCTTAAAGGGGGAACTGAAATTCAAATGAACTCATCCCTCCCATTTGTACTTAGTTTTGCAAGTTAACAGCTTGTTGGTTCTCTGTTTTAAATGCCACCCTTTCTTCAACTCCAATGACACTTCATTTCTGTCAACTGAGAGAGAAGAGATGGAGGAAAAAAAAAAAAACCAGATATCATTGCCAACTGTATTTCAAACTCTGTACACGAAACCACCCAGAGACATTTTAACTTGCATTTGAGAGCCTCACCCAGGCCCACACTCCAGAATAGCTTTATAACTTTATAATCTAAGGAAGGAAAAGCCAGAAATCTCCACTCTGTGACTGACTCACACACATGCTGGAAGCAGAGTTCACAAATCTAATTCCTTTCTCCATTCCTGCACATTTTTACCCAGAGAACACAAGCGAATGGAGGCGGTCCAACCCACTCAGACAATTCCTGACAGCAGCTCCTCGTGAAAAATATTATGTTTGGGGTGAGCATTTATCCAGGAGCAGTGCTGAAATGAGATGGTGAGGATACAAATGGGGAATAAATGGCCAATGTAGAGAGAGCTGCAGAAACGAGGGTGATTATGCAGGGGCTGTCCTCTATGAATACATTAGCTCCCCAATAAGCCCACGCATTTTGACTGCTTCCAAAGCAATTTCTCAGGGTTTCAATGAATACAGATGTCTGGAAGTGTTTTCTAAGCTCGGCTTCAGACAGACTGCTCATGTCGCCAGTCCTCAAAGCCCTAGCATTAAGTCTGGGTGGTGAGTCGGGCCCCACACAGTACCTGTCAGGTCATTGCAGGCATTGTGAGATGCTCACTGTGGGTGTCCAATCTCCCCTTTAGGTCAGGGGCAAGGGCCGTCCAGGGCCAGTTGCCTGCCTGGTGGGGTAGGAGATTGAAGGAGGTTAGAGGTGAGAGGAGGGTGCATCCAAGCTGCAATCCTTCAGTGGGAATTGAGTATCAGGAATTGGAGACATCAGATGCAGACACTAAGGCCAAAGATGCCAGAGTAGGGCCAGTAGGTGGGACCAGACAGATGAGGTCTGCATGGATGTGTGAATAGGCTGGCAGTGAGGTGGAGCATCTCAGATAATCCCTACGGACACCAGTAGGCACAGGGTTCTCTCCAAGCATCGGCAAGCCTGTAGAGTGTGGGGGTGGCTGGCTGCTGAGGGTTCCCCACGGAGAAGACAGTGGGGGCCATCGTGGGGAGGACATCCTGCAGCTCTAATACTGGGTCTGCCAAGGATACTCCCTGGTCCTAGAGGTGGGCAGGCTTCCTTCTAGGACAAGATCCTTTGTTGTATCCATCATCACATTCCTGCCTAACACCAGGGGACCTAACAGGAACCTCAGATAAGAAAGAGGGCTTCATCATAGATTTATGTTTTCACCGGCCAAGGGGGAAGAGCCAGAAAGCCTAGGAATTGTTCCTGTAGGATGAGAAATAACATAGAGCCTCTTGGGGATCCATGCCATGAGCTGATTGCTGGAAAAAACTCTGTACTTTGAGGCAGGAGAATGGCGTGAGGCAGGAATGGGCTGTGGGTCTGGCTAGCACCTGGGATCAGAAAGCAGCCTGCAGTGAGCCTGGCTGCATCTTGCTGTTTATACACCCTGAGTTTATTTCTCTGGGCTATCTCTTAACAAAGTCTTTGGGAATGTTCTATGGGCCACTGTGGAGAAGACAGAGACTGTCAAAGTGAGAAATCCCAAGGGGAGCTGACTCAGGGTCACTCTTGTCCAGCCACTCTCGATGCCTGTTATTGCTTCCTAGAGCACACCTTTGCTCACTCTGATGGGCCTCAGTTTGATTTTAAAAGAGGCTGTTCCCTTGAGTTGGCAGCTTAACCTCTCCCATGCTCCCTCCCCCAGCCAAGCTGGTTCTGAAGTCCTCTTCTTCCTGAAAAGTCAAGAGGCTCCACCCTGTGTCTTCCCAATCCCAATCACACACAGGATTCAGGACTGGACATTCAGAATCAGTCTGTGACCCTCAACCTTAAACCCCATTTCTCCACCCCCAGACTCATTCACCCTGGTGGGAGCTGAGCCGAGCAGTTTGAGTGAGAAACCCCACTCACCCTGATCCCAAGCTCCACATTCTCGCCCCCGTAGACTTCCATGCCTTCGTCCAGCAGGCCGATCTCCTGGAAGTACTGCCGGTCCACAATGAAGCAGCCAATGAGGGCAGGGCTCCTGCAGGGGCAGGGGAGAGCAGAAGGGCTGTCTGGTGCAGCTGTCCGAGGAGTAAGAGCAGTAAGGCCTTCCTATCAGGAGGGTCTGGTTCTCTTCCTTCCTTTGCTGCCAGAGCCAGTGTGAGCCTTGTTCTTGGAGTGGCCCCTGGGTCTGGCCTCACCCAACCACTCCAGAAAGGCTGTTTCATCCGGGCAGTGGGTAGACAGCTGCCATCCTGGGATCAGCTATTAGTGGGGTGGTGCTTGTGTGTGTGTTAGCTTTGAGAATTGGTGCTCAGCCTGCCAGTCTAGGTTGACTGTATCTCCCGCTGCCCTGACCCTGACCTCTGCACAGCCAGTCTCTGTTCCTGCTTGGGAATGCATACCAGCTTTCTTACCCTTCCCCAACTTGGAATCTGTATGTCATCCTTGGTCTACTTAGAAAGATTAGCTGGGACCAGGTTGCAAAGGGTTTTGGGTAGCAGGGTAAAAAATTTGAATTTTATCTTCAGGTAAATAGGTGTCCATGAGGAATTTTAAGCAGGACAGTGATGTCAGCAGATCTGTGTTTTTTTCAAAAGAATAGTTAGGCAGCTGTGGGTGAGTGACCAGAGGGTAAGGGGTGGGAATTGAGGGGCCCAGCTGGGAAGCTCATTGCTGTATCCAGGTGAAAAATGATGGAGAGCTGAGTCAGAGTATCAGGAACAGAGATAGGAATTTTTTAAAGACATATTTTGATGTAAAATCAGCCCAACTTCAAAATAGATGAACTACACAAGGGTGAGAAAGGGAGAGGAATCTGGATGCCATCTGGCTTTCTGGCTCAGGTGACAGTGGGTTGGAGACCACTCATCAATACAGGGGCACAGGAGAAGAAGCTGGTTTCAAAAGAAAGAAGCATTGGTGGTGGAAAAACTGACCTTAAGGTACCTGTGTGACACACGAGGAGATAGCCAACAGGCAGAGCTTAGGTACATGGCCTGGGTCTGGAATTCAACAGGGGTCTTAGGCTGGAACAACCTGCCAACAGCTATGGGGTCCAGGAGCTGGAAGGCTTTTCCTTCCTTGAGGGCTGTGAGCTTGGGTCTCACCAGCTCTGTGAAGACACCCAGTGCAGCACCTCACAGAGAATGATTCACATGAGGTGAGTTAGCGTGAGAGCACGGGGCTACTTCTCTGCTGAGAGCCCTGCTTATGCAGTGACGTTGAATTGTTCTACTGCTTATTGCTACCATTTCTAGCCCTTGCCTGGCTGGAGGACTTGGTGGCAGTGGGGGAATAAAAGGAGAAATGAAGGCTCCTCAGGGATGAGAAAACTGTCGGTCCATCACATGCAAATGAACCCATCTTTGAAAATGGAAACTTATCAAGGTGGAGAAAGGCGATTTTGCAGGTCATTTCCCTGGGGAATGCAGATACAGGAGACTTCTGGGGCAGAGACTGACACCCTGGAGCCACTGTTTCTCTTCCTTTCAAATCACTGCATTTTATTCTAAATGGCTTCACCCTCACAGACCTGCAGGCATCCTGGGAAGCTAATCCACCACTCCTAAAGCAGACTGAGACCCTGCTGTGGTGGAGGTAACTGAACCCAGGCCTTCGAGGTAGTCTCTCTGGGAAAAATCCCCCTTCCGGATGCATGTCTCTAAGAGAAGTTCCCTAGCCTCTCTGAGCCTCCGATTCCATATCTGTAACATAGGATCTATTCTAACCTCACACGGACTAAATTAAAGCACTTGAGAGCCTCTGGGACATAACTGGCACTCAAAAGGCCATTTAAAAAGGTAAAAAGATGCAATTGTGCACTAAGTCTAGAAGATCCTCTCTTTAAATACGTGATGATTCAGAAACATCAGGCTGGCAGAGTGGGGCCTTGGCATTTGCCTCTGCATTCCTAGTGTTGGACAGGGCAGGGCACGCTGGAAAAATGCTTTCAGGACACACAGGAAGGGACCTTCCTCAAACTGACAGTTCAAGCCAGGTAATGAACAGAATCTGAAACAGTTACTCTGAGATGAGCACAGGCCACCTCAGTGGTTTATTATTAACCGGCTAGGGTATTAAGTGGATTCTATCAGCATGAAAGAGTTATCGATTTACACCTTGCCTCATTCCTGAAAGGATTAGAAATAGCTTATGAGAAAATTTAAAATACATAGAGAACCATAAATAGATAAATGTCTGGACAGACCTAAAGATTGCAACAAATTGGAATGCATGTGCAGAACCAAGGTCCTCTCTCAATTGTTCTTAAAGCAGACATGAAAGCTTGCCTTTGAGTTTCCTGTTGGTCAAAGTGGAAATGAACACACATGGTCTTAGAAACAAAATGTACAGTTCTCATGTGAAAATGTCATATTAATTGATTCCCTGGGGATAGCAAGTCTTTCTTTGACTGGCAGTCAGTTTGAAAGAAATTTCTCACGTGGATTTTCTTAATGGGGTCACCTGGCGACTTAGGGAACAGCGATCACAAAGACATCCCTTTAGAATACACCAGAAGATATTGCTGGGCTCTTTTTATGACTTACACCATGTGTGGGCAAAGCACTCAAGTATAGCTTGAAAGAAAAGGGAGCTCGGATGGGCAAGATACATTTGTATAAATCACAGCTTTCTGTGGAGCTGTCTTCATCTGGGAATAAAACCAGGAATGTTCTTCCAAAAATCTTCCATAGAAGTTATTTCCCTCAACCAAGTTTTTGATAAAAATTGGGTGATAGAAAATTTGAGGTTGAGATGACATTGTCTGGCAAGGACCTGGAATGCAGGCTTGCTGATTGAGACTGGACCAGTACAGTTAGAGATGAGCAGAACAGAAACAGTTACTGTCAATGCAGTCTTCTGCAGGAATGCTCATTGCATGGGGGCATATTTCCTTCCAACAGCATTCATCAGGCCTGGGAGCAGAAAACAGCTACACCAGTTCTGAGCTCAACAGTGGACAATAAGAGGGGTGAAAACTAGCCACTGAGTCTAGCTTCTCTGGGTGGATCCTGGCTCTACCGCCCAGAGCCTTTGGCAGGGCCATTCACCTCTCTCAGTCTTGCTCTCCTCCTCTTGTAAAACAGGGATGAGACATGAGCGGTCAACAGGTTGCGATGATGATCAAATGAGCCAATGCGTGTAAAAGACCCTTGTACATAGCAGACTGTCAGCAAATGTTTAACAACACAAAATTGTGGCAGGGGCCGAGCAGAGTAGGTATCAGGTAACTTCAGGAAAGTTAGGTGGTTTTATCCCGTTTTAAGTATGAGTATACATTTTTTCTTCTGGCAAGGAAAAATGTGATCTTAAGTAATAATCCCTGACTTTCAATTAAATTTTTCATACCCTTTCTCCCTAATATAATATAAAACAACATGAGCTTCTAATCTCTTGCACTCCAAAAACTGTACCCTAGGCCACCTTCTGGTGCCTTCTGTTTTATAACGGGCAGGACTTCGCAGGGAACATAAAGACACCCACCGTATCATCAATATAGACAGAAATAGGCCAGGCGCAGTGGCTCATGCCTGTAATCCCAGCACTTTGGGAGGCCGAGGCGGGTAGATCACGAGGTCAGGAGTTCAAGACCAGCCTGGCCAACATGATGAAACCCTGTCCCTAGTAAAAAATACAAAAATCAGCCAGGTGCAGTGGCAGGTGCCTGTTATCCCACCTACTTGGGAGGCTGAGGCAGGAGAATCACTTGAACCCAGGGGCCAGAGGTTTCATTGAGCCGAGATCACGCCATTGCCCTCCAGCCTGGGTGACAGAGTGAGACTCCGTCTCAAAAACAAAAACAAACACAGACAGAAATAAAAACTAGTGGGGACAGCTTTTGGAGGAGTCCTGAACCTTAAAAGCCGAGACCACACAAGGGAGTCATTCATGAGTCTAGGAAGATGGCAGCAAAGGCAGGAAAGAACTTGGGACCTTTGAAATGCAGTATGAAGTCACTTTTGTCTGAGTCTTACAGAATAACACTCAAATATCATCAAGGTATACACTGTCCTGTGGGGTCCGATCTTGCCTCTCAGCCCCTCCACCCCTACTGCCGGGGGCTGCTGGCTCACTTCCCACTTCTAGTGACTTTGAACCTTCTCTGTGTTCATGAACTTTGCATATGGGTGTCCATTCCCCAACCTAGCCATCTTCTACTCGCCTTCAAAAACAAGTGAAAATGCTGCCCTCTGAAAAGCATTTCCCCGCTTTCAATGCAGTTTCTGCCTGCATGGTAGAATAATGTTCCTATTCCAATGATTTTGTCTGTCTTCACTAGACTCCAGGCTTTTGGCAGTGGGAACCAAATCTTCATCACTCCGGATCCCCAACCTGGAGCACAGTGGTTGGCGCCCAGCAGACGTCTCACAGTGATGTGTGAAAATGGGTCACTTTGAGGCTGTGAATGGATTCTGAGATCTTCAGAGCCTGTGGCAGTGACTGAAGATCAGACTGCAGTTCCTTTCGACCCTGCCCACCCCTGTCATCCCCACGATGGGGCTCAAGTTGGAGAATAAGCATTGGACCAGTAGGCGGTCCCTAGCCTGGAGGTCAAAGCGGAGAGACCCACAGGTAAAGGTTTGCTTTACCTGATTGGCGCTGTGGAGTTCTCCAGCTTCCACCAGGCCTTGGGGGGATTTAGGTAGCGGCACCACAGCTCCCAGTCAAAGCCCTGGGCAGCCAGCGGGTACTCTTCTATCTCAAAGTTGTCATATTTGATGTTATCAAAGGATGGCGAGATGATCCGCTTCCGGTTCTCCTTGATGCGGGTGAGTACAGGTTCAGCCCTGGGCAGAGAGGAGACAGCCAGAGAGGGTAACCATTTCCAAGGTGGAAAAATCCAGAGTAGCATCTCCTGAAGGTCCTTCCCCAGCAGAAAGAGGAAGGAAGGCCTGCCCATCTCCTCTGATGGAGAGGTGCACTGCCTTCTGGGAAGGAGCTCCTATTCAACTTCCCGCTCCCTGAGGATTGCCGGAATGGCAAGAGGCTGCACCACTCCATTGGCATATCCAGAGCTGAGCTGAGAGATTCTTATTCCAGCCAACCTTGTGCCTGCTCGCTTTCCCTTTCTCCATTAGAAAAAAAAAAAATCAAGACTCAAAAAAGAAGAAAAAGAAGAAAGAAACAGATCTGAGGCTCCAGAAAAAGCTTTCACCTTGGGCTTTGATTTTGCTAAAATTCTATGTGTCAACCTGGAGGAAAAGACAGATGAGGATGGCAGAGACTAGGAGCTGAGAACAAACCTACATCCACCAGCCATGCGATGTTGCCCTGGAATGCCAGCTGTGCCACATCCACCCCCCAAAGCGTTTCCCAACCACCCAAGGAGGGGTGGGGCATTTGGGCTTTCCCAGGGAGCTGGGAGACCCTTGAAGGCACCAGGCGAGTAAAGTGTTTGCAGGCAGGAATAAGCTTCTCATTAATAATACATTTGGTGCATAATTGTTTATTCAAATCAGCTTGAAATAGTAAGTGTCCCTCTCCTATCCTGGCCATAAATCCAAAGAAAATGCTGTTTAAATAGTCACAAGTGGCAAGCAGGGACTTCAACTATAAAAAATGGCTGTGTTGCAGCCTTCATTTGGGCCTGTTATGGCAGCATCCAGGCCAGGCTGTGTGCACGCCCTGCTGCTCCTTCCTGCTGAAGTGCCCTTGTCTCCCACTCCCCGGGGGCACAGGTTGGCACTGTGGAGTCTGGGGAGGAGAGCAGACCCCAGTGACAACAGGCATATTGATAAAAGGGTGGCCACCTACTTGCCCCAGCTACTTATGGTCATTGCCAGAGCCTGTGTCTCCCAGGCCCAGGCAAAGTTACACACAGCAGGTGGCCCTGTGCCCTCCAGCCCTGCAGGGAGGTCTGCATCCGCCACTCTATTCCTGGCTGGCTGCAGCCACTTGGGCCTTCTGTCTGGTCCCTTTCCCCCCAGCATCTGAGCAGCTCTGACCAGAGAAAGAAAGATGTTCTTAGACAGTTTCACCATAGGGAGAATCTGAGATTACGTGCTACCTCCAATCTGGCAGTGGGAAAGCCCAGGGCACCTGTGACAACATGGGGCAAGCTTCCCCCACCTTTGCCCACTTGCTGTTGGCCCTGGCTGTGAGGCTGGGCTTCTGCCTCACGTCTGGCCCAGCTCTCCTTTCCTAGGTGTGGGAACCCTGTCCTTAGCGGGACACTCTCTGCTTTGCCCTTGGCATGTACCCTTCTCCCTGATGACCCTGCCAGCCAGAGTCACATGTGATGTCACCATGCATATTAGGCACCGTGTGCTGACCTGTTGACCCCTGGCTACCCCCTCCCCTCTACCACACCTCGAACCCTAAAGGTCCAGCCTTGTTGCCTGGCTCACTCACACACCTACATCTCACCTATTCCCAGAATTACCTCTTTTCCCTTAGGCTATGACCAAGATCCTAGCATGCTTTGCACTATTGGAGCTGAAGCCCCAGATCCCACTGGGACTCCTCCTCCTCTCCCAAGGGGCACTTACCAGCCCACATTGAACTCCACGTGGGCATCAAAGAGTGCCACCACAGGGGCAGTGGCCGCCCTCCAGCCACTGACCCTGGAGCGGATGAGGCCTTCCTGCTTGCTGTGACGCACGACTTTGATGAAGCCTGGCTTCTGGCTGTTCACCTTGTCCACATATTCGGTCAGCTTCTCCTTCAGTTCCTCTGTCAGGGAGAAAATGCAGCCTTAGCATGGGAGGGAGGTCAGGAGGCAGAGGGGGCAATCACAACAGTCACTCTTTTAGTGATGACCCCCAGAGAAAGGCTGGGGGACCCATTCCCCTCCCTGGGTCTTCTTCAGTGGTCCCCACAGTGGCCAGCACAGGTCAGTTTTGAAGGGAAAAATAGAGGGGAATATTTCCTGTATTTTCAGTATTTTCTGAGGTCCAGCAATGCACAGGGTCATATACACCACAAACAAGGTCTATTTAATCTTCACAACAAGCCAATAGGAAAATGGTAGCTCAAAAGATTTTATCAAGTTCTCCAGCATCATGCAGCTTGTGAGTGGCACAGTCCACTTTCAAACCAGGCCTAGTGACCTGAAAAGCCATCATCAGCACGGCTACCTCCTTCCTATTGGTCTCCATCTCCATCGGTGCTCCTATAACCCCCAGGGGAAGATCCCTCTGCCAAGACCCCAGCCCAGGATCCGCTCTCTGCCTGGATCTCCATCTTTCCAGGAAGTGGATGGCCAGGAGCTGTGCCCATGTGAGTAGCTGGTGTTGGTTTGCTGCCTGTGGTCCTGGACCTGGCTAAGCATTTGATGCCTCTGCTTCTTCATAACTGTAAATGGGGCCTGCAGCAACAGAAACAGGCCTCAGCAGCAGCCCCCTGAACCCTCAGCAAGAGAGGGCACAGCCACTGCATTCATTACCTTTTTCATAGCAGCTAAGGCAAGAGCCCATGACAGCCCTCACAGTTGGTTGGACAGGATTCTAAAGTTCCTTTTGAACCAAGCATCCATCCCAAGGTGTGAATTCCCTCTGTCTGCCCTGATGAGTGATCATGCAGCCCCTGCAGTAAAAGGGAAATCCATGCAATCCATTCCTTAGAGGGCCTCTTCAACTATTAGATGTTCTTCCTTCTTCTGACCTCCAAATGCCAGGGTCCCTCAATCTTACATTCATGAGTCCAATGGGACCTATTTTGGAGCCATAGAAGACAGATCAAGTCCCACTTTCCACATAACAACTGAAGCCCATTCTTAAGTCCTTGCTAAGGACTTCTCTAGGTCAAATATCTTCAGTTCTTCCTTGTGTTTCCGCATATTTCATGATTTCAAATTCTCTAATCATGTTGAACTTCCCTCTAATTAAGTTAGTTTTTCTTGAACCCTTTCATATTATGCAGAAGTTGACCTAATACTTCTAAAGTAAACTGGGCTATACAGAATAGAAGAAATAAATCACCTCCCTTAATCTAGAATCTATGCTCCTATTAATATAATCTAAAGTCACAACAACTTTGATTGCTTTTGTCTCAAATTAAGCTTACTGCTAACATATACTTACAAATTATTTTTACATGGTGCTACTAAGTCAGGCCTCCTCCATCCCATCTCTGTGGATGCGGGTGCATGTGCAGGTGCTTGTGTGTGTGTGCACACATGGGTGCCTGCTCTGAGTCAAAACAAAGAATCTTATGTTTACTTTTATTTAATCAGCCTTTCTAAAGATTTCCACTATTTCTTTGGAGGTCAAAGTGTTTTTGTCCCCTGATTTCATTACCCAATGTCTTTCTTATCCAGCCCTTCTAGGTTTCCAGCTTCTGCAAAAGTGATGAGCATATGGCCTTTCTTGTCATTCAAGTGATCCTTTTAAACAGTGTGACCCCTGTCCTAAGCTAGGGCTGGTGGGGGCTGTCAGTGTCCTCATTCCAGCCTGGAGAAAACTCGACTGACTTCTGGGCTGCCACTGACATGCTGTATATCTCACTGCAGTCCATACGGAAATGACCTCAAGATCTCCAATTGCTGCAGCTGCCTGGGGAGGTCACTGTCCCACAAATGTCAGGACATTGGCCATGGAGCAGCATAACTCAATATGTCTCACACTTACAAGGTCTTCAAGCACCGTTGCCAGGAGGCTTCTTAAAACATTTACTGTTTTATCACTTCCAAGGTCCATTTCTCATATATCCTTTTTGAAAAATTTAAATAGAGCTCATAAAGTCTGATATCTGGGTTTTTGATGGTGGCAGTTAAGTGTTGAGTGCACAGAACTTGAAGTGAGAACTGGGCTAGTACCAAATGGCCTGATACAAATCCCCTCTCTTCCCCATGAAAGGGATACCTGTCCCCTTCTCTCCCTCCTCAACCCTCAGGTGAGACTCCTGCCAGTTGACTCCTGCCAATACCTACCATGACTAAGGTATTGATGGGAGGAGGCTGAGGATGATTGCTACCAAATGGTCTCCTATGAATTTCACCTCTCTGAATTCACATCTTTGTGTGGCTGCCTCACACACTGAGTCTGGGCTGGACCGTGACACAGCAGGACACAGCAAGAGGGACCCTGCGCAAGTTCCAGGCCTTTTGCATTTGCTGTCTTGCTGCCCTAACTAAGGAAGGTCTAGGCAGCCTCTTCCCCAGCCCAGTCATTAGGCCACCCCACAAAGGCCCCAGACAGGTGAGTGAGGCCCTCGTGGATCCTTCAGCCCCAGTCGGGCCACCAGCTGATTGCAAATGACAGGGAGAGCCATTGTGTAGAGCAGAGACAGGCTGCCCAGTGATCCCAGCCTTTATTGCAGGATTCTGGGCCAATGGATGGTTGCTGATTCACACCATAACTTCTGGAATGGTTTGTTATACACAATGGCTGTAATAAACATTTTCTATTGTTCTGGTCCGGTGCTGGGGTTAAAATAAGATTGTGAACTCCTGATGCACAGGAAATGCAATCAGAGGAAGAATGAGCTTTGAGGGGTGGCAGCAAGAGATGGAAAGCTTTGCTTCCTATAGGAGCTACTTGCCTCTTTGTACCTGCGAGCTCTGTTAACACTGAGCTAGAGTAAAGGCTTCTGGTGGACCAGATAGTAGAAAAATTCCATCCCCAGTTAGTTGCATCCCAAACATGTGCTGCTGATTAGAAGAGGGAATTCTCTTAGCCCCAACCAAACAACTGCTATCCAAAAAAGAAAATAAAGAAGAAACAAAATGCCTTGAAGTACCCTAGATGATACTGGCTCTGTCTTTGCAAAGTACCTTTACTTAATTAGGTTTTCATGTTTTCTTTCAATCTTTGTTAAGTGCCAAAGCAAGAAAGAACTATCCCAAAAATACTTCTGCGTTGGCTGGAAAATTGCTTTCCAAAACACTGTCCATTGTATATTATATATATTGACTATTAACTATTTTATATACACATAAACACACACACATACCTGTTCACATATAATATCTCTCAGAACTTCTTAGCTCCAAAGATTGTGTTTTTGGAGTTGAACTTGTGTTTTTTCTTACAGCCAAACACAAGTACCCAGCCCATCATATTTGCCTTCTTGCTAAGGCTGCCAGGAAGCTCAAAGACAAATATAATGACTAATCACAAAGATTTTATCAGGATTTTTGCTGCCCTATCTTTGCTAAACCTTTGATTTTCTGGTTCAAATTTAAAAGCTGATTGACTTTTACCTTTTATTCCCTATGCAAGCTATCTTTAATTAATTTTTTGAAATTTCTATAAATAACATTTAATAAAGTGTCTTGGTGGGTTAGGACAGTAGTATAATTGTGGAAGGAAAAGGGAAGGTATATTTTGTGCTTGTTTTAATGCGTTGGAGAAAGAGGAGGCAGGGAGTCTGCTTGCTGTGACTCTGCCAGATCTAGAGTCAATGTGCAGCTGTCGATAGCCCATGTTGACAGAGAAATACAATTTGCACCCTGCATGGGGCCAGGTGTCATCCTGCTTATGTTGCTACTTCAGCTCTCTCCTACTGTCCACAAATCCCTGATCTCCTGACATTGGAGGGACCTCTGTAAACCAGCACTACCAGAAGCAGTGATGAAACACCACTCACTCCTGGGAGGTCACAGGCCACTCTCCACATCCCCACGGGGAGCCTCCTCTCCGGGCCTGCTCAGGGCAGGCTGCTTGCCAGCTCTCATTTCTTCAGACTTAGACGCCAAGGAAACACAGGGGATTCACCAGCCTGGTCAAACAGAGCCCTTCTCCCTTCCTCATCTACCCCCTTCCACTGCTTCTATAAGAAGTTGTTGGCTCCACAACCACTAGCAGGCTGAGCCGGAAGGGTCTGGCATGGAGGCTGTTAATCTGATTTAAGTACTTAATGGGACACTCCAATCTCATGCATAAAGGAAACTAAAGGATCTGAAAGTTGATGCCTAATGGGGCTTTGCTCTTTGGAAGGCAGGTGCACAGGCATTTTGTAAAACTGCCTTCCTATAGGCTTGCTGTGGAGAACCGGGCAGAGTCCTCACCTCTCCCTCAAGGTTCAGATGAGCATTTCCCACATCTTCTCTAGGTTTTGGGGACATAGAAATGAAGTGAGAGTTCACCCATTCATTCATTCATTCATTCAACAAATATTGAACACTTACTGATATGATTTGACTCTGTGTCCCCACCCAAATCTCATCTTGAATTGTAATCCCCATGTGTTAAGGTGATTGCATCATGGGGGCAGTTTCCCACACGCTGTTCTCATGATAGTGAGTGAGTTCTCATGAGATCTGATGGTTTAAGTGTGGCACTTCCTCTCTCTCTCTCTCTCTCTCTCTGTCTCTCTCTCCCTCTCTCTCCTGCCACCTTGTGAAGAAGGTGACTGTTTCTCCTTCACCTTCTGCCATAATTGTAAGTTTCCTGAGGCCTCCGCAGCCATGTGGAACTGTGAGTCAATTAAACCTCTTTTCTTTATAAATTGCCCAGTCTCAGGTAGTTCTTTATAGCAGTGCGAGAATAGACTAATACACTTACTATTAGTCCATTCATGGAGTAATAATCTTTGGCATGACTTGATCATACCTCAACAAGGTACTAATCTAGTTGCTGTGATTATAACTGTAAACAAGACAGTCTGCAATGGACTGAGTGTTTATTTATTCCCCAAATTGATTATGTTGAAATCCTAACCCCCAGTGTGATGGTATTAGGAGGTAGGGCCTCTGGGAGATTAATTAGGTCATGAGGGTGGAGCTATTATATTAGCCTGTTTTTTACTGCTGCAACTAAGAATACCTGACACTGAGTACTTTGTAAAGAACAGAAATTTATTTCTTCACAGTTCTGGAGCCTGGGAAGCCCAAGAACAAGACGCTAGCATTTGGTGTCTGGTGAGGGCCTTCTTGCTATGTCCTCAAGTGGCAGCAGGGAGAAGGGCAAGGTAGCCTAAAGCTTCAAGAATCCTCTTTTTAAAGAGCCTTAATCTCATGAACAAGGAAGCAGCCCTCATGACTTACTCACCTCTGAAAAGGCCACACTTCTTAATGTTTTCACACTGGTAATACCTAAATTTTGCAGGGGAAATACTCAAACCACAGCAGCCCTCATAAATGGGATTAGTGCACTTATAAAAGGGGCTCCAGAGAGTGCTCTTTTCCTCTTTCTGCCATGTGAGGATGAGATGTGAGCAGTCTGTGACCTGGAAGAGGGCCCTCACCAGGACCCAACCATGCTGGCGCCCTGATCTCAGACCCCCAGCCTCTGGAACTGAGAGAAATAAACATCTGTTGTTTATAAGCCACTCAGTCCATGGGACTTTGTTATAGCAGCTCAAACTAAGACACAACCCTTATGGAATATCCATGCTACTGGATGTTTAAAAGGCGTGTGGTAGAAGAGACACAGGAAGAGCATATTGGTCCATTTGTGTAGCTGTAAACAAATACCTGAGGCTGGGTAATTTACAAAGAAAAGAGGTTTATTTGGCTCATGGTTCTGCAGGCTTTATAAGAAGTGCAGTGTCAGCAGTCGCTTCAGGTGAGGGCCTCAGGCTGCTTCCACTCATGGTGGAAGGGGAAGGGGAGCCAGGATGTACAGAGATCACATGGTGAGCAGGGAGGCAAGAGAGAGTGGGGAGGCACCAGGCTCTTTATATCAGCTGTCATGGGAACTAGTAGAGGGAAAACTCACTCATTCTCCCCACCACCCCAGGGAGGGCATTAATCTATTAATGAGGGATCCACTCCCATGACTCAAACGCCTCCCATTAGGCCCCACCTCCACTATTGGGGATCAAATTTTTTTTTTTTTTTGAGACAGAGTCTCGCTCTGTTGCCCAGGATGGAGTGCAGTGGTGCAATCTCGGCTCACTGCAAGCTCCGCCTCCCGGGTTCATGCCATTCTCCTGCCTCAGCCTCCCCAGCAGCTGGGACTACAGGCGCTCGCCACCACATCCGGCTAATTTTTTGTATTTTTAGTAGAGATGGGGTTTCACCATGTTAGCCAGGATGGTCTCGATCTCCTGACCTTGTGATCTGCCCGCCTCGGCCTCCCAAAGTGCTGGGATTACAGGTGTGAGCCACCATGCCCGGCCTATTGGGGATCAAATTTTAACATGAGATTTGGTGGGGACAAATATCCAAATTACAGCAGAGAGGGAGAGTAAGCAGGAAATGCTGTGGAGTTACCATCTACAGAAGTAGTTGTCAATTAGGGGGAGGAATTGGGGCATGAATACCCCATGGGTGAACTGAATTTTATCCCCTTAAATTCATATGCTGAAATCTGAAACCCTAATACCTCCGAATGAGACCTTATTTGGAAATAGGGTCATTGCAGATATAATTAGTTAAGATGAGATCATACTGGAGTGGGATAGGATCCTAATCCAGTATGACTGGTATTCTTAAAAAAAGAGTAGATCTGGATGCAGACTGAGGTAGGAAGTCATGTGAAGAGGAAGGCAGAGACTGGAGTGATGTATCTCTAAGCCAAGGCCTGTCAAAGATGGCCAGCAAAGCACCAGAAGCTAGGAGAGGGGCATGCAACAGATTCCCCCTCATAGTCCTGCTGGCACCTTGATTTCAGACTTCTAGCCTCCGGAAGTATGAAACAATGTCTGTTGGTTAAGCCACCCAGATGGTGGCACTTTCATTACAACAGACATAGGAAATGAGTATAACCCAGCTTCCTCACTTATCAGGTGGGATGACATTGCAGAGTCTCCAAGTCTCCTGGTGGTTCCCAGGATGATAGAGTCCAGGTCCCCACAGCAGTACCATGTTCATTGATGCCCATGGTATTAGCTTTCTTCTCTTCTGTCTCCCATCCCCACTCCCTCATCAGTTTTCTAGGATCATCTACCAGTTAAATTACTTGGCCCCAAATCTTGTCTCAGGATCTCCCTGGCTTCTGGGAAAGCTAAACTAAGACAGTTGTACATTCCAAGTCACCAAGGGCCCCACCAATTGCTTCACACTTGCCTGGTTCTTGAAAGCATTTAAATTTTCAACTCTTGACCTATACGCATAATGTGTATGGATGTGTGTTTGATGGCTTAAATTCAAAATATTGACCCTATTTCTCTCTTCTCTCAATCTCTGCATTAATTGGATAAAAGAAAAAATGGTAAATATAGTATACTATCCGTTATTCTAAGTATTTGGTATATGTTATCTCATTTAATCATTTCAACAACCCTAAGATATAGCTCCTATTATTATCGTTCTATTTTGAAGACAAGGAAATTAAGGCACAAAGTGATCCAGGTAGCAAGTGGTGAAGATAGGATTTAAGTCCAACTAGGCTGTCCCCAGAGTCCATACTGTCCACCTCTACACTCTATCCTGCCTCCCAAGAATAAGAAGCTGGCCTGCATAAGAATCAGCTTGTTGAAATCGCAGGCTCCAGAGTACCATCCCAGCAAAGAGTCTGATTCAATAGATCTGGGGTGGGACCAGAGAATCTGAATTTCAAACAAGACTCTCCAGGTGAGATTCTGACGGATGGGCCAAACTTGGTTACAACTGAAATACAAAGGTGGGCTTTATAACGGAGTACAAAAAGGCACCTCCTGCCAAATACGTGTGGTTCCAGCCCATAACACAAGGATGTAAATGCAGTCTGAAAACGGCTGCCTCACACCTGCCCAGGTAATTTTTCTCTTCATTCTTCCAAACCCACTGGCCCCATCTTGCTGCCCTCAGTTGCCGGTCCTTCCCTTTCCAGCTGCTTTTCGTTTCTCTACTTGGCCATCTTTGGGTCTGATGTTTTGGACTGTCCCCTGTCATTTCCCAGCTGCCTTCTGCAGAGGCCACGGCTTTTTGTCCCATTGTGGCCACACCCCTCCTTCCTGGCTCAATGCTGCTCCTCAAAGCCCGGCCTGGATTATACCTTTGCCACCCCATCCCTCCAGTTGCCCAGGAGGGGAGTGGGAACACCCCACCCACACCCCCACTAATCCACCTCCCACTGACAAGTGCAATTAATTGCTTGTCTCCAATGGTGCTAATTTAAAGATTAAAAGTGTGTTTATTCCTTTCCAAGTGAAAAGTGGCTTGTCTTCTTCAGATCAGAAGATTAACTGGCTTTTCTCTGAAGCCATTTAGGGCCATTGAAACACAAATGCTATGTCAACACATTTTAAAGGAGAGATTATTTATGAGGATGCAATGGTTGTCAAACCTAGCTGATCATCCACATCACATCACATGGGAAGCTAAAAATTAAATAAAGACAGATGTCACCGTCCGCACCTCCATGGAGAATCTGGAGTGGGGGCTCAGGACTCAGATGGTCCTGCTGATGAATGATGGTGAGCCTGGCTTGGGCAGCTGGGATCCCGGAGAGCTCCGGGCAGCATTGCTGCGTGTATTCCTCTGTCTTGAAGATCACTCCAGACAAGCTTTCAAACCCTGGGCAGTTTACAAATGCCTTCCCCGAGGTTCATTCTTATGTCTGCTACACTTAACAGCTGCACTTCTGTCCAGCTCATGTAATAGCTGCACTTCTTCAAAGTCGATTGATACTAAAGGAGATTTGGAATGGCCTTAAATAGTTCCCTTACTCAGGCTACAGGGTTCAGGCACACAGTGTTACAATCTTCCTGGGAAGCTGCAAACATTAATTCAGCCTTATCAAGTTACAGAAAGTCCCAGATTTACCACCTAATAGGCCCCACCCATCTGTTTTAAAGTCTACTCTTTGGTGTCACAGTAGGGCATTCGTGGCCACCAAAACCCACAAGGAATATGCACCCCATACTTAGCGGGGTCGCCAAAGCCAGGCTCTCAAAACCCACAAACACCTTCTTATCAGTGCCAAAATGGCTTATTCTCCCTAAGATGTTATATCTTGTAAAAAATGGTCAGAACTGGTTTCTGAAGATGACCGTGGCAGGTTATAGAAAAATGTTTACCTGACCAGTTAGGAATGTGTTGTGTTCTAACCAAAGTTTAACACAGTCTCCCTTTCTTCCTCTCTCTCTCAAATTAAGACAAAATAAAACAAACAAAAAACCTTGAGTTCTAATGTTTGCCACTGCCTGTGGTATAGATGCTTCCACCATTGCTGATTTCAGGCTACCAGCCTGACGCCACTGAGTCTGAGTTGGGAAGAGATGTGCAGAGTTGGGTGAGGATGTGCACGATGAGCTCGGCTAGTCCAGGTCAGCCCCAGCGCTGGTCTAACGCCCAGGGCTGGTCTAACGCTCTGTGACCCTTCCCCTACACCACATAATGTGCACTGTGCTCAGCACTTCAGATCAATCCATCCTTTATTCATTCACTCAACAATGATATATTATGCACATATGATGTGCACCACTTAAGAGCCTCACCTCGTTACCACCCTGCAAACAATATTTATAGCTAATGCTTATTTATTTATCAGGTGCTGGGGACTGTTCTAATCCTGCTTCATTTATTACTCATTCAGAACTCTCAGCAACCATAATGCTACTCAAGGTAGGTAGGTAGCATGACTATTTCTGTTCCATAGATGAGGAAACACAGCCCAGAGAGGCTAAAGGATTTGCCCAGTATCACAGAGCTAGAAGATGGCAGAGCTGAAAAGCAAACCCAGGCAACCTGAAGATAATAACCTCATTATTATCTTCAAACGGCAAATGGGAAAAATCAAGGATGAGAGACTTTAAAGAACATATTCCAAGTAACACAGAAGGTAAGGAAGGAGCAGGATTCGAACTCAGGCCTGCTTGCCTCTGAAGACTTGGCTCTTTTCCAGTCTGTCCAGCAGCCTTCCGAAGGAGTCAGCTTTGTAGGCTCAACAGAAGCTCTTCCCCTGGGACCATAACTCCGTGTCCTCTATTTGTCCACCTTGAGTAATTTAGCAAATGGGAATGAGAATAATGAACTAATAGAAGTCAGTGTCTTTGCTGACTAAATGACCTTGGCAAAGGGCCACCTCGCCTTTGTACTTCCTGGGGCTGTGTGAGGAGGAAAATCCTGTAAAGTAAAGGTGGGGCAATGGACCAAACACTGTGAAATTACTTACAGAGCAAGAACTACTCCTGCTACTCTGAGGAGGGTATGCAGCAGGAATCACAGGACTTACTAAAAATGCCATGATAGGTGACTGATGTCAGCTGTGTCCAGGCAGGAGTGGACGCTGCTCCAGCCCCAGCTCCTCCAGCTTAGGAGTACTGAGAAGAGTCCTCCCATGAGCTTCTAGGGAGGGCGTACCAAGAACTCAAAGCCTTGGGAATTGCTGGCAGATAGTGTTTAATAGCAGGTGATATCAGAGCTGAGAACAAGCTGTGTGGACGTCCCACTGTGCAAAGGGAATTCCAGGAGGCCCAGGTCCAGGTCCTCCTGCCCTATGTGTGAGCACTCAGGAAGGTCCAGTGCCCTTAGCAGTTAAGCCAGAGGCCAACTTGAATTTTGGTGCTGGCTTCTCCTTTTTTGCAAGGCTTAGAGTTTAGAGTGCTGCCGAACTCAAAAATTTGATGATCCTAAAATCTCATGACTGAGAGCCCAAGAGTTTATGATTCTGAATCCAAAATTTCAAAATTCTGAAATTTTTAGAGTCTCTGATTCTTAAATACTAACTCCCAGGATTCTGAGATCCCATGAGTCTAAGCTCCTGTAAATGCCAGAGTAATCACTCTAGGCTGTGCTCACCACCATCCTACCCCCAGTCCCCACCACCAGTTGTTCATGGCTTACAAGGTCAAACATCCTGGTCCAGCCTTCTCTGCAAGACTGTGTGCTCGTCATTTTCCCAAATGCACTAAGCTCGGTCATGCTAGAGTGCCCTTGCACTACCTGCTACCTCCACCTGGAACATTCTTCTCGCCTCCCCTGTCCCAGCTCAGCTTCTGTAGGAAGCTTTTCCTCACCTGCAGCTCTAGAAGGGGATGGGTTTTTCCTTGGGGCAAAGACACAGGGGACTAGAAAACATACACCAGGCAACCAGTGAGGGCCAACCTCAGGCCCTGAGCTCCATCTCCTTCCAGGGCAGCTCCGAGCATCCTCTGGGGGAAGAGTTAAGGCTCCCACAGGCTGTATGTCAGCTCCACACTCCTGCAAATCACTGCTGCTCAGGCTGTGTGACCAGGGGCCTCAGCCTGGCTGATTCATGACTCAGGAGACCCGGAGGGCTTCACACATGTACTTACACCTAGCCTGATCTTGTCAGTGGGGAGGTGGAAGGACCTTTTTCTCTGCTTCAGAACACCTTCCAGCAATGTATTCTCAAAGGGAGGGGTCCCATGAAGGACCAGTGAAAAAGCAGAACCCAAGTGTTCTCCTGGCCTTCCCGTTTTTCTTTCTTTATTGAAATATGTCAAGTAGAACAGTAGGAACAGAGGCTTAGGGAGAGACAGGCCTCAATTTAATCCCCAGCTCTGCCATTTACCTTGACTTTGGGCACAAGACTTAAACTCTCTGAGCCTCAGTTCTCTCTTCTACCTATTTGGGTCGCTGTGGAAATCCACAAGACAATGCCTGGCATGTTGTGAATGCTTCACAGCTGGTGCCATTACCTGCTCATCAGTCTGAACTCCTTTGCTCCCTTCCTCCTTTCCAAAGGAAGGTCCCTAGGCTGGGTGCAAGCTTTCACCCTCTGTCCTGCATTTCTGAGAAAGCCAGCCCTGCAGCAAACTGCCCTGGGACATCCCCAGGTGCAGGACACAGTTGCTGCTCTTCAAGGGCCACTTACCACCTAGCCACTCTGATTCAATTTCCAACCCCTTCCCATCTCAACCTGCATCTATTTATTTAACAACCCCTTAACAGTGATTTCTATGTGCAAGGTACTCCTAAGATCTTTATTTGTATTGCCACTTAGCCCTTATGATCACTCTATTAGGTAAGTACTACTAGTAACCCATTTTATAGATGAGAAAACTGAGGCATGGTTAAATAATTAGCAAGTGGTAGAGTCCACATTCTAAGTTCAGCACTTTGGCTCCAAATTCCATGCTCTTAATACATTTCCTGTCTATGGGACCAAGGGCAAGAGGGTGCATTTAATGGGCATCCACCCAGGCTTTGCACTAGGCCCTTTACAAATGTCCTGCCAGCCTCACTTTCTGATTTAAGGCAGATGAAAAAATAAAGGAAGGCTAATGCTATCTTTTTTTCTCATTCACTGCAATCTCCTGAGGCAGGAATCTTTATACTCTTAGGCCCGTCTTACAAATGCGCAAAATGAGGCTAGGAAGAGGGGGCCAGGGTATTTATATATCGATTCCAGCAGTCATTGGTTAAGGACTGCTCCAGGGGCAGGTTAAGTTCCAAAACATCCAGTCTGTCCTGTGCAAGGCACAGCAACCTTCCAGGGCTTTGAAGAAAGCCCCCAGATAAAGAGAAGCAGGCATCTGGGCAACTGGAAGCGCTGTGCACACCTAAGAGGTAAGGCCGGAGCCATACCCCAGCCCTGACAGATCTGCTACGCCGAGCCTGGCATGTGGCAGAGGTGCCACAGGCGTGTGTTTCGTTTTCATAAATATGCATTGCAAGAATGAATGAGTGCATGAGTCATGTCTTGGCTCAACGCTTTCTAATGACCAACATTTATACTCCTCCAGGAAGACTTTAGTACTGTTTTTCTTTGGTTTCCTCTGCCCTTTGGCCCTGTATCCCTCATTATGCATTGAATGTTCCACTGGACTGTGAGCTCCTTAAGGAGGGACCTATGGTTTTACCCTTCTCTGTATCCAGAGAGCCGGAGCCTGGCATTCAGTAGAGGTTTATTGACTACATGGATTCATGGCACATGGGACAGAAATCCTCATATAAAGGTTTTGAGGACCTCTCTGGAAAATACGCAGAAAAAAGCTGATGGGCCCACTGGTAAGCCTCAGAACTACCTTGGAGTTAAAAAGTCACCATTTAGCCTGTAATCCCAGCACTCTGGGAGGCCGAGGCAGGCAGATCACCCGAGGTCGGGAGTTCAAGACCAGCCTAACCAACACGGAGAAACCCTGTCTCTACTAAAAATACAAAACTAGCTGGGTGTGGTAGCGCATGCCTGTAATCCCAGCTACTCAGGAGGCTGAGGCAGGAGAATCGCTTGAACCCAGGAGGCGGAGGTCGTGGTGAGCAGAGATCGCGCCATCACACTCTAGCCTGGGCGACAAAAGCGAAACTCCTTCTCAAAAAGAAAAAAGAAAAAAAGTCACTGTTTATGTGGAACCTTCTTTCTGAAGTTTTTAGCACTTGGCACAGGTTCTGACACATGGTGAACATGGGCTCACCAAGTTTGTTTCACACACAATCCCCATTCAATCCTTTTGGGACTCTGCAAGTTCAACAGCATTACAGCCATCTTTTTAAATTTTATTTTTAATTATTATGGATACTATAGCCATTCTAACATAAGGAAATGGAGGCTCAGCAATGCTAAGATTTTTTCCTAAAGTCATATAGCTAAGGAACAGTAGGTTCCATCCCAGGGATCATGGGGCAGGTCAGTCAGACTTTGCCATCTTTCCTCCTAAAGGTCCATGCCGACCTTTCTTAGAACCTCTGCATGCTCAGTCTCCTGGAGGGGGTCACTGAAACCAACAGTAGAAAGTGTGGGAAGGCAGGGCAGGGCATGTCCAGACAATGGGAGCAGGCAGTCCAGCAGCGAAGTGGGTGGGGCTGACCCTCAGTTTGGGGATGCCCAGCCTCAGACTTGAAACAGCACCCATGGGGTCTGGGTGTGGGGTGGGCCAGCACTGCCCCCCAGGACAAAACCTTTCTTATCAGCCCTGGGGTTACTGATGGGACTGGAAGGGATTGGTATTGAGGGAGACTCTTAAATTCAGACTTTGGTCCCAGGTGGGCCACTGTCCATGTTCCCGGGCTCCTAAGTGGGCTGAGAGTTTACTAACTGCTTGAGTCTGGTTAGGCTGCTGCTAGATCCCAAATGTAGAAAAACAAATGACTTCTGGAAACCTTGTGTATTTTTCTGTTTGTTTGTTTGTTTGTTTGCTTTTAAGCACAGAGTCTAAGGCTAAAGGCATGCCCTTGTCAGCTTTCAGCATGAACTGCCAACATCAGCCTGTTTCTAGGCCCCGGCCCAGGCCATGTGGGCTTCCTTGCTCTCCTTGCATATGCTTTTCTCTTCCTTTAAAGCCACCAAAGGCAGAGACCCGTGTCCCTGAGATGCTATCAGAATGCCAGGCATGGGCTGCCAGTAGAGGAACATCAACAGCTAGCTCAGAGACATCAGGACAGGTGGGATGGACAACCTTGCCCAGGAGCTGCCCTCCAAAGACTGCCAAAGACTATCAGCCCATCTTCTCACTGCGCCTTTCAGCATTATTGATTTTTTCCAGATCCCTCTATTTCAGGAACATACATCGTCATAGTCCTCTCATGAGATTTACTTTAGAAAACTCAAGAAATATTACTTCCCTGGTAGACATGCCCCCAAATATCAAAAATATTGCTCCTTCTCACTTCATGTCCTGTTTGTGTTCCTTTCATTCATGTGTTCAACTGGCAGATATTTACTAAGCACTGGGTGTGCGGCAGCCCTGATGCCAAGCGGTGGAGACGGGGAGTAAGTCAGTATCCACCTCTTAAGAAACTCGCAGTTTAGTGGGAAGAAAGAATTAAACCAGTAACTTGAATGCACTGAAATATGTTCTAAAAGTGGTTGTCACAAGGTGCTATGAAAATACAGCGCAGGATGTGACAACCTCTGCAGGGGATTCAGGGCAAGTTTTACAGAATGTTATTTGCATTTGTCTCAATGGATGGATGAAGGGGCTTTCCTAGGAGGATAAAGGGGGCATTAAAAAACCATCACAGGTAGAAAAACAGAATGCATAAAGGCTAGAAGCATGAATGTGCATGGCATGCTTGAGAAGGAGTAACAGATGTGGGCTATGGCTGAGTGTAGGGATACAAATTCAATTTGGGAGAGGAGGTTGGATAAGTGAGTGGTAGAGAGATTGTGAGGGCCTTAGAAGATGAGCCAAAAAACATTAGGAAGTCATAAGGAAGCTTTGTTTGGATTCCTCCCACCTAAAGGTCTCCAAGAGATGAACTGAAATGTCAGGAAGAACTTTTCATCAATTTCTTAATTAAAAACTCTACTGTAGCAGCAGAAGGAACTGGCCCACTCTAGAAACCTAAGGAGGTGAGGTTTTTGTTTTATGTTGTTTCCCCCCAAATAACACAAGTCATGGGCTCCTCACTAAGCTCCACGCCTCAATCATGGCCTCACTAGGTCTCTAACAAGGGCCCTGGCCCATTGCTCGAGACAGCATCCAGGACAGGGATAGATATAATTAGAGGTGGTACCGACAGGCGGGGTCTGGTCCTCTGCCCTGATTCTTGATCCCTTCCTGACTACATCCTGGCTTTCCCTGGCACCGTAATGGGTTCCTCACTTCCCCTGAACATTCTGAGTTAGAGTAGCCAGGCCTGATGCTCTCACCATGGAAACGACTCATAGACCACCCAGGTGAGAGGCTGGGCTGGCCCAGCCAGGGAGCAGGGTCTGACATGCTGTTAGGGACCCAGTCTGAAGACAACTCAGCACACAGACTCAGCTCTGCGGTATAAGGCAAAGTTGATCTCCAGGTTCAGAACTGGGGTTATCATCTTTCCTGAATATTCATTCACTCATTCAGCAAAAATGTGGATGACACAGTGCCAGGCACCCATCTTTAAGTAAGGTTCAGGCCCTGTCAACCTGGGCCTTGTGAGGTCCCACAGTTGGAAGGTTGGGCATGGCTGGTGTCCCCATGCCTCTATGACAAGTTTACAATGCTGCTGGCCCAAGAGAGCCACAGAAGACAGCCTGGTGATTGGTAATGAAGTGATCGTGTCCAACCAGGAGCAGAGGAGCCAAGAGGAAACAGGAAGAAGGAAAGGGGACAGGTGGCCTTGGCCTGCTTCAGTGCCCACTGTGTGGCAGGGCCTGTGCTTCGTCTGCATCAGCTCATTTAATCTGCATATGTAGCAGGGCCTGTGCTAGGGGCTTCACCCACATTTGCTCATTTAGTCTTCACAATGATCCCATGAGATGGGGAAACTGAGACCCAGAGCCTATAAGGATGGTGAGGAGGCAACATCAGGGACCTCAGGGAGCTTTAGGTGTTCCTGCATGAGGCAAGGGCCAATTGATGTGTGGCAAATAGAAGTGGCCACTGCACTTGAAGGGGAGGTGAATGAACCTAAAAAACCACTTTCAACAAGGTATCTCCCTGCAGAGCGGAGGTAATGATGCAAAGAAAAGAGAGAAGGAAGGAGGCCCATTGGGAGAAAGACCAGCAGGACAGAAACAAGCAGCAGAGCCGAAATGAAGAAAGGGAACCTCACTCTGGATGAAGGAAGATGGCACGAAGGATGGAGAGCAGGCTCTGAAACGCTGGGGAAACAGGAGGGGAAAGCTAGACCTTCTGTAGGCAAAGCACACTGACCATGACCACGATGCAAATGTCAACTAATTAAAAAGAGACTCTCAGAACCAGTGGGCACAAGGACAGCTGTTCCTGGCTACTGCTAAGTGGTGGAGATGGGGAGGGGAGAGGGAGGGGGGACACAGCCAGGTGGGAGAGGTGCCATTTTCCTGGGGTACAGCTGAGCCTTACCCAGCAACAACCACTTCCCTCTGTTGCTGATCCCCATGGGGCTGAACAGTCCCAAAGAGTTAGAGAGAAAAGTCTTTAAAGTCTGGGCAGGAAACCGAGGAACTCGGATAGCTGTGTGATACATTCATTGCTTTTTTCTCACCGAATTTGAAAGAGCAAAGAACTGGCACGACAGCGGCTGGGTCTGTCAGTGGTGTTCGCAAACAGTGTTTGGCTTTCTCGATTCTGGCCTGGGATCCACAAGACATGGATCAAGAAGGGCAACATTTCGAGAGGTGAGGAAGAGAGAGTTTGCTTAGAGATTAAATGATGTCATCAGCAGTGGGGGGAGGAGAAACGCATGAAATGGGTTACTATGGAGAGCTGCAGGGATGATGGAGAAAGAATTCACGTGTGGGAGGTACCGATGAATCAGACGAGGAAACTATCCAGATGGGAGCTGAAAACAAAACTTCCCTCCTCAGAAGTCTACATAGCAACACGGACAGCTTGGTAACAAACAAAGAAAATGGAAGCCAAGCGTGGGGATGATCTCATGGCAATTGCAAAGATTTGCACGCGGGACTCCAGTCTGGGGCAATAGTGTGGTTGGGGGCAGTAGGGATTAACGCCACCTAATCTAAGGGTGAAAGTGTTTGGTGAGGTCAAAAGGGAAGAAGAACAGAGGTGAGAGCTCTGGATCTCTAATCTGCAGTTGATGCTCTGACCAGATGGAGGGAGAGAGAGGCTGTATTTCTGGCCCGCACTGCAGCATCAGTGGGGAGGAAAATAGGGAGGGTCTTGGCTGCCAAAGGAAAGGCTTTCATTCCAGTCAAAGCAGGGTGCTGGACAACTTGCTGAGCTAACAACTTCCTCTCCCAGTGGCTGGAGAGAATGATGCCATAGTTCTCTCCCCTGTGCATCTTGGGGGTCTCTGGGAGTCAGAGGAAACCTAGGAGTCTTTTCCTGTGAACAAATGCACCCCCATGGCAAATGTGTGCAGACACACACATATCTACATACACAGACCCCCTTTTGCCTTTTTCGGGGTATTTAGGAGGTCTCCAGAGACCACCCATGGTTCTCCTAGGACTCTGCAGGCAGGCTCTATTCAAAGCCTTTTGGTATTCTGGGCTTATCAACTCCTATCACCCACAAAGAATTGAGTGGTGAGGTGGAATGTTGGGAACTGTAAGGGAAATGCCCGTGTCTTTTCACAGTGCCTGCTTGAGAGAGAAGGGGAGGCCAGGTATTCACAGAGCCTGGGTTTTAGTAGACAGATATCAAAGAGTGTATGGGAAAGAAATCTGTGGATTGTAGGCTTTGGGAGGAGATTCTCAAAACCAAAATTCTGCTTGTATAACCAGTGATGATCCAAAGCAGGAAGAAAAAGGGAGGAAACCCAGAATAATTAGGACCTGGAGAACTCTTGAGGACTTTTATTTTTTGAGACAGGGTTCACTCTGTTGCCTAAGCTGGAGTGCAATGGCACCATCTCGGCTCACTGCAACTTCCACCTCCCCGGTTCAAGTGATTCTCATGCCTCAGCCTCCCAAGTAGCTGGGACTACAGCCGCCCACCTGCCACCATGCCCAGATAATTGTTTTTGTATTTTTAGTAGAGACAGGGTTTCACCATGTTGGCCAGGCTGTTCTTGAACTCCTGGGCTCAAGTGATCCACCTGCTTCAGCCTCCCAAAGTGCTGGGATCACAGGCATGAGGCACCACACCCGGCCCACAAGGGCTTATATTTTTAAAAGGGCATAGAAAGAAAATAGAAAGGAGATTCAAAATTGCAGTTGATTGGGCTCTGTTAGAACAGTTAAGAAGATGAGCAAGAAGGGGCCGCTGGCTGGGGCCAATGGCATACTGTATGAGATGCCGGAGAGAAAGTGCAGCCCCTCAGCTTCCATTCAGCCGCTTGCATCCATGCCTGGGAGACTAATGTGCAATTTGAAGGGAAGAGGAAGGAAATTAACATTTATTAAATAACTGCAATGTTCCCTCACTGAAGTGCTCCACACATTATAGGCATTATTTAATCTTCAAAACAACCCTGAGAGGAGCTTTTGGTATTTGCATTTTATAGATGAGAAAACTGGGATGTTAAGCAATGTGTTCAAGATTGCACACTTAATAAGTAGCAGAGGCTTGATTCAAATCTGTATATGTCTTTTTCCAAAGCGTGTTCCTTCTGTGTCCACTACCTCCCTGTCTAAATCTTAGAGGTCCTAGGATAAACCCATGCTCTGGGCATTACTACCTTGGCTAGCTCTGCCTGAGCTCACTGGGTAGCTGGTGAAATAGAGGAAAGGGCTAAATAGTCACCATAGGAAATATTGGCTGTGAGGCAGCAAGCACTTTCTAAGCACTTTTCACTAATTCATTTACTCCTCCCAACAAGCTTATAGGAAAGAGCCTTTAATCCCCACTCTTTTAAAGATGAGAAAACCAAATTCAGAGGCTTTATGGTAAGTCACCAGCTCATAAGTGGCAGAACCAGGATATGAACTCAGGCAGTCGGGCTTCAGCTCTGCGCAATTAACTACTCTGCTAAAAATGAACACATACACAGTGCCTGACTGATCCCAAGAAGCTCCAGTTTCCCAGCCCAGGTGACCACATCACAGGACATTGGGTTATCACTGAACTAATAGGAAGTTTTGATATGGAGAAGAAAAGGTTGGAAAACCAGATGGACGCATGGGATTTTAACCCAATGAGAGGAAAATGATTATTTATACTACAGACAATGGGACTTAACTCAAGCACAGGCAAGATTTCTTAAGAGTGGAAGAACAATGTCCCAGGCACATGAAAACAGCATGTACAAGTATCCTGAAAATGGACAGAGGGAGGTGCTTAAGAGAAGCTGAAGGAAGCCTCTGCAGCCAGGGCAGAGGATAGCAGGTGCACAGGAGTGAGAGGGAGCTGGAGCTGAAAGGAAGGTGGAGCCAACCCTAAAGAAAGGGCCTGATATGGACAAACATGCTTCCCCAAAATTCATCTGTTGAAAGTCTACTCTTGCAATGTGATAGTAATAGAAGGTGGGACCTTTGAGAGGTAGTTAGAATTCATGTGGTCATGAATGGGATTAGTGCCCTTATAAGAGTCATGAGAGAGCTTCTTCTCTCTCTCTTTCTCTCTCCATCATGTAAAGATATGAGAAGGGGCTTTCTGCAACAGGGAAGAGGACCCTCACCACACCCTGACTATGCTGGCACCCTGATCACAGAACCTCCAGTACTTTGAGAAACAGATGTCTGTTGTTAAGCCACCCAGTCTATTGAAGTTTGTTATAGTAGCCCAAAGTAAGGCCCTGAAAGCCATCTTTAAGAGGTTCACCTTTATTCAAAGAGCAAGGATCAAGATTGAAAAGGGGTGGGTTTTGAGTGCCTGTGTCAAAAAATGGCGATTCTTCAGCCCAGCATAGTTTTTTTTATCAGAACAAGTCAATAAATACATCACATTTCTTTAACAGGCTAGGGCTGCAGGTCAGGAACACATGTAAACAACAACAACAGCAAGAATGACTACAAACAGTAACGATATAAAACTTTGAGAGTCAGTGCAGTATAATGGTTAAATGGACAGATTTTGAGGGCTTCACTAACAGGGTTTAAATCCCAACCCCACTTACAACATATGCACTTGGGCAATTTGTTCTGCCTCACTGGGTGTATGATTTATGTTATAAATTAGGAACAATAACAGAACAACTCACAGAGTTGTTAAAGAGTTAATGCAGGTAAAGCTTTTAGAAGAGTGCCTGGCAGGTACTGAATACTCAATAGGTGCTAGCTCTTAGTATTGCAATTAACATTTATCGAGCACTTACTATGTGTTAAATATATAGCAATAAAGATTTTACATGCATTATCCAATTTAATGATTGTGGTGGTTATATACACAGGTTTTAAAAACATTTTTATCTTCAAAAATGAAGCTTTATTTCTATTTAATTGAGTGTGGGCTGGATTTAGTTGCCTGCTCCTAAAAAATAGAATATGGCAGCAGTGGAAGTGATGATGTGTCACTTCTGAGACTAAACCATAAAAACCATTCCAGCTTGGACACTCTCTCTTGGATCACTCACTATGGAGGAAGCCAACTGCCATGTCATGAGAAAAGATCCACACAGACCATCCAGGCCCAGTCAAACCTTCTGATGACTGCAGCCCTAACCAGCATCTTTACTACAACCTCATGATCCAAACCCACCCAGCTAAGACACTCCTGGATTCCTGACACTCAAAATTGTGTGCAGTAACATGCCTTTGTTGCTTTAACCTGTTAAGACTGGTATAATTTGTTACATGGCAATAGATAGTTAACGCAATGATCATTAGACAAAGTGTTCCTTCATATCCTTGAGGAAGGTTGCAAACTCAAAATGTGAGTAATCAAGGACTGCGGCAAACCAGAGAATGTATGCCCTGTCTAACGAAGGTGTCTTTCTTTGTTCTGGCTGCTACAACAGAATACCATGGACTGAGTGACTTAAGAACAACAGAAATTTATTTCTCACAGTTCTGAAGGCTGGGGAGTTCTAGATCAAGATGCCAGCAGATCCAGTGTCTGGTGAGGGCACTCTTCCTGGCTCATCAACCACTGTCTTCTTGCTGTGTCCTCACATGGCAAAAGGGGCAAAGGAGTTCTCTAGGATTCCTTTCACTTTGTTTCCATTCTTAAATATGCTTCTCACTCCCAGCTTTGATGTCACCAGGAAAATCTGTGCTGTCCCCAGGTTAATCTTGTCTCGACTCTAATTGGCTGGATGGTGATGGAGTAGGTGTCTAGCTCTTGTTCCATTTGCTGCCAATCTCTTTCTATTGGGACCGTGCCATGAGTATGCACCACTGAGTTACTGATCCAAAGAGTGTTAAATTTTCCCAACTGTGAAAATTGGTTCTAGTGCCAGGAGCGGGGCTAAGTGCCCACATCTTCAATGGCTGAGGGTCGGCCGGGGCAGGAACGTAGGCAGTGCTTGGATACGGGACACAGGAGGGCAGTAGTGAGACGAGATCAGGGGAAGACTGGATTCCAATCATGGAGGACACAAAACACCAGGCTAGAGTCTCTCAAAGGGTCTCCATCTGACCCACTGCAGGTCCCCAAACTCCATTCCGTCAGGAAAAAGGATGCTTCTGGATCCTTTGCAAACCCAGAAGAGAATCAGGAAATCATGATATGTTCAACCTCAGACATTCCAGATCTGAGAGCTCAGAGTACAGAAAATTTATCTCCTTTCCTAAATGGGGAATGAACAAATCAACACACAAACTCATGATCAACCTCCTGGAGGTAGCCAGTAAATGTGATCCTTCACAAGGACTTAGGCTATTGTGTGACTTCAGCTCTGATGAGCTCACTGCAAGGTTTGGTGCTGGGCAGCATGGTTGAGCTGGCCTGTTCCCAGCACTCGGTCCTAGAGGCTCAGGTCTTGGCCCCACTGCCCTGCCTCCTGTAACGCATGCAGATGCTGAGGGGGCCATTCCAAGTACCCCTTTGACATCCTGAGCATACACTCATCTTCTAGGAACAAGGATACTGGGATTCCTCTACTAGGGAATAGCCCCTTCTGTTGCTCTGATCAAACATTTCACTTTCGCATATTTAATATTATCATTCAAAGTCATAAATGAGAAGGGCCAGGTTGCTGTGTATACAGTACACAATGCACATTCAGCAAACTTTTACTTAGAACCTTAGATTGCCTGTGTGCCAGGCTCTGTTCTAAACATTAAAGAGACACAGTCCCTTGTCTCAAAGAGTTCCTAGCCAAAGGGAAGGCAGATACAACAATAGATCCATAAGCTCCGTTCTAAATGGTGAGTGCTACCATAGAGGTGTGTACAGATAGCTAAGGAAATTCCCAACAACTAACTCTTGTTGAGAGTAAGGAAGGGCTTTACAGAAGCACTGGCATTTTGGCTGGGCCTTAAGGAATAAAGAAAAGTTTGCCAAGTGGACAAAGGTGAGACAAATCCTTCTAGTTAGAGGAATAGTATGTACCAAAGCAAGAAGAGATGAAGTAGGCTTACATATTATTAGGTGAATTCAAGGTAATCACAGATGGCTGGCACAGAATTCTTCACATAAAGGCAGAAAGGCTAGAAAGCAAATAGGCACCAGAAGAATCATGCAATCATGGTTTATTTTCTGTCACCTTGGGAACGCTACCCTTCAGAGTGTTTATAGAACAGAGATTGTCTTAAACGATCCAGCCTGGTGGAATTAGATTTCTTTCCTCTTCATTTATGAAATGTAAGCAACTCATCCAATATTCTCAGAAAAAATAACTGTTGTCATTGTGGGCGTAGACATGTTTTAATCCATGATGACAGCTTGTCTTCAATCATAAACTGCTTTTATCTTATTGAACCAGGCTTTGATGGTGGGTGGCTTCCTCTGATCTGCTGCCATGCTGGGCAGAACTTTTCAGCAACAAAAAGCAAAATGATGAGCTTCTTTTGTCAAGGTGTCCATAGGCCTCTGCTCAGGGCATGGAGTTATGTGACACTGAGGACATCAGCCACAGCTCTTGGAGAGAAGGATTGCACATGGCATGGCTTTCTGTCCTCAAACTTCATTATCTCAAGGCATAAGTCCTCTTTTTCATGGATAGAGCCAGTGTCCCAAAAACTCTTTAAGGAACTATAAATCCCAGTCATTTTCCAAACCTAAAGTGTGGCATTTTAATGCACCTGCCTTGCAGCTGCGGGTAAGAACAGCGTCTGCAGGAGGGAAATAGGAAGATATAAAAATACAAATGGCTTCTTGTAGTGCTGTTGGCATCTGACAAGGAGCCTCAGGTGTCCCCACGGGCCCCGGAGATGGTGTAATGCTTGTTTCTCTTTGGAGTTAGCACAGCTCTAGAAAGTGGGTGCTTCTTTCTTCTCTGCCCCAGGCATTCCCCTGAGGAAAGTGAGCCTCAGAACTGGGAAAGAAAAGTGATCCTTTAGGAAGAATCATGCTCTCCCCAGGGCAGAAGGAATGACGCTCCAGCATGATGTGGAGGAGATGAGAGGACACAGACAGGGAACAAATCAGGGGTCTGTACAGCAGAGGGGTATGCAGAGAGCTAAGCAATGCCTGTAACCAAACACTTGACCTTGAACTTGCGGCATCCTTCTCAAAGCCTCCCACAGGAAGGGCCTTCCACAGTTAGTTTATCCAACCCTTCAGCACTGTGTGAATCCTCCACATCACATTTCCGATATGGGGTCCATGCCCTGCTTGATTATCTCCTGGCATGGGGAACTCACTACCTTATAAAGCAGCTAATTCTCCTGTTGAATGGCTGTGGGTGAGAGAAAAGTCTCTCTCAAGTATACAAGAAATCTACTCTGCAGTCACATCCACCCACTGGTTCCAAGTGTTTGCCCAGGGGAACTCTGCTACCAGCCAGTCCTGATTTGGGGAGCTGCTTTGGGCATCCCAAGTCTTCCCTTCTGGAAACTGAATACTGTACTTCTAGATCCTTTCACCATCCTCATGTGTCATTCTTTGTCTCTGAGAGGTCAGATCACATTTTCTTCCCTCTGGAACTTCTCCTTCTGAAAGTCCCCAAGGGGTCTTAGTCCAGGGCTATACTCTCTCCTCCCCTGTTATTCTGCCATGGGAGAGAGAGGCTTTGATCCAAGCCAGTGCCCACCACCTGGGGAGGACAGGTTGCTTGGTAGACAGTAGCCTTGCCTCACCCTCAACTGTGCTGTGAACTCTGCTAACTGCTGTGCCAACTCTCCCCCTGGCCAGGTACAGGAGAGAGTGCTGACGGTCTGTGGGCTGTAGGACACAGTGCTCCGTGATGCTGCAGAAGAGGGTGAGGTTGCTCCTTGTCCTTCAGTTTAATTGCTGTGGATGGTACAGAGGAAACCCAGCCCTGCTGCCAGCAGCTGTAACTGCTCCCCCTTAGATGGTCGGAGGATCCCTGTCCTCAATTCCTGGCCCCTATTCCAGAGGAGTCATGTGCAGTGGGCAGGATCCAGGCAGCCTGGCTCTTCTGAGGGAGCTGTGCCCAGAGATACCAGGCAAATGATGAGCGAATGCCCCGCCACTTGCTGGCAGCAGGAGGAGAGCATTCCCATGTCTCATGGGCTCCCCATGAAACGGGCTTTCTCTTCCGTAAAGGAGTGAGTGTCTAGGGGAGTTCATGCGTGCACGGCATGGAGCCAATTATCGCTGCTCCAGGAAATGGGGATGGCATTGATCACTGAATTCCCCAGGGGAGCCCTGGGCTTCAGTGCCAATGCCTCTGCCTCACCATCCATCTGTGAATAGGGGTAAGACAAGCGGGTATATTAGTTGGATTCAACTTCGGCTGCTTTTATTCTCTCACCCTCCCTAGGGAAAGCAAATGCCCATGAAATTTAGCAAGGCAAGAGGAGCAGGAGCAGGAGCTGAAGCACTCAAAGGCTGATGTAAGCCCTGGCCCGGAAGGAGTTAAGGATCAAACGGCGCCCAGGGAGTGAGCCAAACATTCCATGTTATAGAAGTAAGGAGAGTCACGTGGGAGGAAAATGTCTGAGTGTATCTGAACCACGGCTCCATCCAAACCTAAGCCCTCCGCCCCACCCTGCGTTCTGGAATTCCTCTCAAGCTTTACTGCCCGCAGCCATATTCTCATTCAAATGGGACTCTCTCTGTCTCAACTCTCATTTCAACCTAACTCTGACTTCATCTCAACCTTAACATCCTTTTGACCTCAACCTTCCTCCCGGCTCCAGCCCCGCACAGACCCTGACCATACCCTGGCGACTCCATCAGCTATGATTTCACCACCACCTGGCCTCAACTTGAACATGCCCCAGCCACACCTAACCCAGACCTCAGCAGACCCGGACTCCACTCCCAGCCCATGGCCACCCAGGCCAATCATGTTTCCTAGAGCAGAGCATGAAAGGGGTCCCGCCTGTCATGGGGGAACAGATGAAGCAACAGAGCTGCTTTGCTGTGCTCTGTGTTTCTCCTTCCTATTCTCCCACATAACTGTATGTCAGGTGGCCAGACACCTTCTTGTACCTTAGAGAAGTCAGACTCAGTTACCTGACACTTCTGTGCCTTGAGCCCCGGCCGTGGCAACCTGAGTCAATGGCCTCCACTCTTATTTCTCTCCACTCTGTGCTGGGTAATGGGAGGCAATGTGGGGTGTGGGTGGTCAGGGCAAGGTGGATACAGGAGACAGCTCCTCTTCCCTCCCTTAGTTTTAGATTTCTAGGCTGTGAAGGAGACTCATGAGAAAACCACGGCATCACTGTTAAAAATCATTTGGTTTTATTCCCACTACACTTATATTGTTTTTAAGACAAAATTAAGACCATGGTTATCTCCTCCACAGAGACGAGTTAAAATAATCCTTTTCAAAGTGAATTTGAAGTGGCTAGACTTTGGAAGGAATGAGATGGAGGTGGAAGGGTGTCGCAGATTTTCACTGACTTGGAGGAGGAGGGTACTTGTGCACATGAGTCTGGGGTTCAAGGTCTCTTCTTCCATGGGCTTTTGGATTTAGAGCAAAGAGAACCACATAGAAGCAAGAGGGCTCTTTGTCAGGGGCAAGTCTCAGAACACAGGAAAGGATCACATTTTCTCCTTAGGAAAGTTAGAGAGACGCGCCGAATGCAGACCACAAGTGGGGGCCCTCTGAGGGCGCCTTTTGTCCAATCTGCAAGCTGGGAGATATCTTTTCAATGCCTAGAAGCTATCAGATGGAAGAGAGCAAGTTCACGTTTCCTGAGAGTGAGAAAAGTCAAGATTACTCATGCAGCGATGGGTAAGAGTTCTATGTGGCAAGGAGGACATATGGGTGTGTGATCCTTCCATGCTATGCCTATATTCTGCATGTCTTTCTTGCTGCAGGCAGCCTTACTGCTGCACTAGTCCTAATTTGATTTTTAGCACCTTCAACATGGTCCTCTACAACAAGCAAGGTGTCGGCAGTCCTGCTGGACCAGAAGCCTCACATCTCATCTCACGGAGGTTCATAGCAGAGAGATCGGAGAGTCCCAAACAGCTACATGAGGATAAACATTCCCCCACAGTGTATCTCCCTATTGTGATTTTCTCCTTGTGAACTGTGTAACTTATATCATCATCTTAATAAAAATATATCTGTGAGAGCAATTGTATGTCATTGAATTTTAAAATAATAGCCATATTTTCCAAGCACCTACTATGGGCTAAGCATATAGCCTGGGTTAGTGGCTGCCAGGGCTGTTGTAGACAACCCTCCTTTGGTAGGTAGGAGGATAATCATCATAATGTCTGCAGTTTCTACAAGATAAGAGTCTGTTGTAATGACTCAGCTCAGCTGTTTATTGTACCTTTTCTGGTTTTCCACCTTGGTATCTGGTGACAACTATCAAATTACAGTTAAAGGTTGAAATATTCTGTCTCCATAGGGCTAACTTTTTATACTAAATGAACTGAAAGCTGGTAAGTATCACAAAACGCTGATATTTCCAGCCCCCTGTCCATCTCCAAAGTCGCTTGCAGAAATGGTTCGACATTTATGTACTATTTCAGCCATGTTGAAAGGAAGGGATGGTTCCCAGTTGCCATTGCAGTACAATAAAGGCAAAGTTGAACACCAGGGACCCAGAGGGTTAAAATGCCATACAAGTCGGGGCAGTATACCAAAATAATTTCAAAATGTGGCCAAAGCCATATTCTGGAATCACAGTCATCAAAACAAATATGATAATCAGAATACATGGGAGATGCCTGAGATAAAAGCCAGCAGAACAGAAAGGACATGGGAATTATCAAAGTCAAATATAGTCCAGGGTCATGTCCTTGGCCAGTGGATGTTCCCATCCCCGCCCTTTTGGAAGAAAGCCCAAGGCCTTGCCCCATAGGTGTGGGTCTTCAGGTTCTTTGCAAGAGGGTGAGGCCAGGAGGAATATTATCCCTGGAGGGTTTGCACTGAGGTGAGGGTCTCGGGGCCAGGTTGGACCAGGAGGAGGCCTTCCTTAGGACAGCTTAGAATAGCCTAAGTGGAGAAAGAACCTACTCAGTTCAGGGAGGAAGCAAGCTCATTGCCAAAGTACTGAGCCTAATGGATTTAAACCAGCAGATTGCCAAGCCCAGGACTTGGGAACAAGCTGGGATTTTACACGTCATAGGCAGAGACAATGTGTTCAGGCCAAGGCCGTAAAGGGGAGGAGTGCCTGAGGATGGCTGTGGATGGCAGGGGCTGGTTTTAAAGGTTGGCGTGTCCAGCTGACAGTCATCCTTCTTTGCAATCGTGTGGCTTTCTGACAGACCAGGCAAAAGGCTGGTGCTGAATCGCTGAAAGCACCCTCCAATCAGATTAGCAAACATTCCCTTGAGGAAACAGACCAGGCCACTTCTGCAATGAAGAGGCAATTAGGGAAGCTGCCTTCCCCTGAGAGAGCCACCACCGCTGAGACACAGCCTGTGCCACTTCAGCACACACGTCTCTGTTCTGCAGAGCCAGAGATAAATAGCAAAGGCCACTGGGCTTCAGCCCCATTTATTATTATTCAGAAACAGCACTGCGGAGTGTTCTCAAAGTCAGCTGCATGATGTAGCCAGCCAATGCTGCCAGATGATTTAGGGGACAGGAGAGGAGATATTCCCAGTAACCGTGTTATCCCAGACAGTCAGGAGGCACTGCAGGACAAGGGAGCTGCAAAACTTTATTTGGCCACTGAACTTAATAAACCTAAAAGGAGGGCAAAGGAGAAGAGGGAGCATGGCCAAACAAAGGTTTGGAAAGCTAAAGGAAAAGGGACCAGATCCCCTGGGATTACGAGCAGCAGGAGTAAAGAGCGGCAAGCCATGGCTGCTCCACAGAAGAGAGGGAGGGAGGCCAGGGCAGAGCTCCCAGCTGCCTGTTGGATGCACCGAGTGGAGGCCCCACCCGCAGTCATTCACTCCTTGAAGCAGTGTGTCCTGAGCGCCCTATAAGAAACATTGTGTCTAAGATGTAGCCCTCTCCCTGAGGAGTTTACAATAGAGCTGCCCAGAGAGAGAAATTATACAAAACAGTAATCAGAAAACCATACATTAAAAAGTATATACTACTGGCCAGGCGTGGTGGCTCACGCCTATAATCCAAGCACTTTGGAAGGCCAAGGCAGGCGGATCACTTGAGGTCAGGAGTTTGAACCAGCCTGGTCAACTCGGTGAAACTCCATTTCTACTAATAAATACAAAAATTAGCCGGGTTTGGGGTCGGGCGCCTGTACAATCCCAGCTACTTGGGAGGCTGAGGCCGGAAAATTGCTTGCCGGGAGGCAGAGGCTGCAGTGAGCCAAGATCGTGGCACAGCACTCCAGCCTGAGTGACAGAGCAAGACTTCATCTCAAAAAAAAAAAAAAAAAAAAAAAAAAGGAATATACCGCCATGTGGCCTAGGGGAATGTTCCTCTCAATGAACAGATCAGAGAGCACCCAAGATTTATGCAGAGAAGACTCTGGAAGAAGGTGAGTCGGGCAGAGGAGGCATATGCACACCAAGTCGCATTCCTGCCTTCCAAGAGTCGCCGTCTCTTTGGGGTCACCTGTTGTGACTCCTACTCTCCCACTTAAACAAATGTTTCTTATATAAAGGAAAAGAGGCTGCCCCCTCAGTCTCTGTGGGGAACTGGCAAGGCACCCACACCTGCATCGTAGGCAGGAGGGAAGGTCTATTTTTGCTAGGACCCAGTGCTGATCTGACATGCTAACAGCCCCTACTGGGCCCAAGTCAGTTTCCATGGCGTCTGGAGCCTCCACCCTCACCCCTGACCATAAGTTCCTTGAAGACACAGGATGAGTATATATGGCACAGGGCCAGGGTCAGAGCAGTGCTCTGCAAAGGAACCACTTGATTTGGGTCAGTGAAAAACTACATTCCTAGGCTGTTCTCAAGGCTGACACGTGAGCCCAGATGATCAGGCTCCAAAAGGCAAAACAGCAGCAACCCACAGACACATATGTGCGTCCTAATCACCAACTCCTCCAACTTTGACGTGGTGGTGAGGCATTGAGGTGTCACGATGTATTTTTCAAGGGAATGTGTCTTTAATTAAAAACAGCCCTGGTACCACAGGCTAGAGGTGAAACCAGCATTTCCTTCCAAATGCTACCAACAGATGCCACTCCCTGCTGAGGCGTGGGAGGCTGGTGGCTGGTGGCCTTCTGCCCACCTGCTTCTAGCTACTGGCTCATGGGGGCAGCCAGGATGCTCTTCTCCCCAGCTCCCTGCTCAGGGTCAGCAGCTCAAATCCTGGGAAGGAAACTCAGTCAGTGTCTGGGTTCCTAGTGCGTGAACTCCCTAAAGGCAGTCTGTATCCCTGTCCTCCCACAGGGCAGGCCCAGCAGGTCCCAGAATCAAAGCCGCCTCTGCTCTCTGCACAGTCTGGTCTGGCTAAAGGGCAAGGCCTGGAGAGAGTTTGGGACTCCACCCGGCCACAGTCCTGGGACTCGTCAGATCTCTATCTTCACCACAAGCCAGCCTTCCTGTGCTCAGCCAGGTCCTCTAGGGGACCCCGGTTCCCCAAAGTGAAGCCCCATGATACATCTGTACCCAGATAACTCCCCGTATCCTCTCTGCCCACCCCCACCCCAGCTCCATGCTCTCCCCAGTCACTAGAGGCAGCTCCATGCAGGAATCTCTGATCTCAGCCCTTTCTAAAGACAGTCATTGTGCCCTGCATTTTATTCAATGTTGTCCTTGGTTCTAGCTTTGTCCCCAAATTACTATGTGAGTTGGAACGGGGAACTAATAAGGGGACTGGACCAAGTCCTGAGTCCCCTCTGCTATGTGAGTCTCAGGTCTTCTTTCCTCTGTGGGCTGACTTCTGTCTGTCTTGTCTGAGGTCACCTCTATCCCTGCTATCTATGTAAACAAAGATTAATACACAGTGACAGGTCCATAGCTAAACCTTAAACTCCATTGGAGCAACTAGAAGTTAACTCAAAGCTCCCTGCACTACCAGGGTTACGCCCTGCAGCACTATCAGCCAAGACAACAGCATGGGCTGGGCACCCTCCGCCTCTCCCCACCCTTCTTTGTCTCTCTGGACGGGGCTCCCTGGCCCTCCCACAGGGGAGGATCAGAGACAGTGGGAAACTCAGAGAGAGGGTGTTTAATCTCCCAGCCTCTCCCTGTCAAGGACTCCCTGTGCTGGCTCCTGTTTCCCTGTGTCCTCTCTCCCTTCAGGCCTGGAGTAGGAGGGATTCCTGCTGTTTCTAGCCCCAGGGTCTTGTGCTGTCCCTCCTGGCAGCTTCCTTGCATCCTGCTCACACCTCTACACTCATCTCTTGATGAAACTGCTCAAATTACCCACTTTGAGAGTGCCACCTGCTCCTTGCCAGCACCCTGCCATCAGATCCTGCGGTCGGGGGATTGAAGATTGTGTGGAATATTGGGGGGAAGGGAAGTGAGTTCAGAAGCAAACCTAGGAAAAGCCCTAACACATTTTTATGTTCATTATACTCAAATAATAAAGACAGCAAATGAATTAAAGGGCACATCGGTGGTATTTTTACATGTCTTAAATGAGCAATCAGGGGCACTGTATAATTAATTTCCATTTACCATCCTTTGCTTGCTAAAACTTTCTCAAGATTTCTCACCCCTGCAGTTTTCAATGACACACCTGAAAGTCTGCTTTGCTTTGCTGCAGATAATATGCACACTAAGAGGCATTTTCCCCTGGGTCTGGAATTTTAGTTGAACGATGGCTGTCTAATTTTATGGCTCAGAACTGGTGGCTCCTGTCTCCTGTCTTACTGCGTCTCCAGAAATGCAGCAGCCCTTGGTGCTTCAAGTGAAAAGGCCTGGGTGACCCTTACTTAACCCAAGCTGTTAGCTGTCACTGAGACAACATCTCTCAAGCCCTCCCCAGTATACATAGGGAACTATACACTGGCACCCTCCAAGACAGCCTCCTGCTAGGACATGTTAGAGACAGTGGGGTCCTGGCTTGACTCTGTCAATGCCTCCTGGGTGCCACAGCCCTTGGCAGGTTCATAGAACTTAGTGGAGGCTGGGTGCAGTGGCTCATGCCTGTAATCCCAGCACTTTGGGAAGCTGAGGAGGGAGGATCACTTGAGCCCAGAAGTTAGAGATCATCCTGGGCAACACAGCAAGACCCTGTTTCTAAATAAACAAAAATAAATTAGCTGGGTGTGGTGGTGCATGCCTGCAATCCCAGCTACTCGGGAGGTTAAGGTGAGAGGACCACTTGAGCCCAGGAGATCTAGGTTGCAGTGAGCTGTGGTCACCACTGCCTTCCAGCCTGGACAACATTTTTTTCCCGCTGTCTACACACGAGGAGTGATCTGAATATACTAGAACTGAAATCCCCAGGACAGAGGGCAAGGTTTGCAGAAATAAGCCCTTGCTTATTATAAGCCTTGAATTTCATGAAAGACATGTTCTCCTGCTTCTTTTAGGCTCCCACAGAATCTAGTACAGCTCTGGGCTCCACGGGAGCTCAATGCATCCTGATTGAGATGCTGATACATAGGGTGACCCATCTTCTTGGTCTGCTCAGAACAGTGCCTGTTTTGGCACTGAAAGGCCAACTGGGGCAGACGGCCATCCTTCTACAGCAAATCTCTCACCTGCTCAGCCTGGAACTGCTCACATTATCTTGGCATGGGACAATATTAGAGATGCTCTCTCAAGGTGGAGCATGAGATGGAGATTCCTGATTCTTAAATAAACACTTTGCCGAGGAAGGGCCCTTGAGGAATCCTGGCCAGCAAGTGAGGGAAGCAAGTCAGGGCAGGGGAAGAGGCTGAGCAAACAGCTGCACCATTCAAGTCTAGCCTCGCTCTGACCCCACAGGGAGCCCTGGGGCATAAAGCGCATCTCAGAGTTGTCCCATCCGAGGCAAGGCTGGAATTTTTAGACACCCATATCGGTCAGCCACTGGTTCTGGGCCATATTGGGGAATGGGACCTCATATCCCGGGCATTTTGGGGTGAGGCATCCCTGGAAACAGAAATTTCAAAAAAGGTAGGGCTTGGAGCTTCTGGCCACCAACACTCATAGCACCTGGGGATAGGTGAACTGGCCAGCAAAACGGATCTGGATGGGACACCAAGAGCATCCACTATAGTAACGTGGCTCCAGCTGGTATGTGGGGTGCCAAGGGAGTGCCTTCAACACCGTTGCCAACCATGCTTCCATCCCACTTCCCCAAAGTGTACCTAGGCCTTATACGTGTGGCTCCACTGCAATTTAAGGTTTGCATTCTCTGGTCTGACCTGAAACCCTTGTTAGCTAGGGCCCTACTAGACCCCTACTAGAATTTGCCAAAGTGTTTCCCAGAGATGGAACCTTACCCTTGGTCCCCCAGACCTGGTTTGGACTATGCTTCAAAACTGCTGAAGCTTTGGATCCCCGATCCCTACCCCAGCCTGACTGAGTCTTATATAACCCAAGCCACCGCTTCACACAGGTGCTCTGTCCATCATCAGATGGCCCTACTCTGCACAGTCACAAAACTAAATGGAGCCCCAGGTTCTAAGCACTGTGGACAGGAGGTGCTCAAACCACAGTCTTGCTTAACAAGGTCTAACCCTGGTCTCTGCATGACCTGCAGAGGTTCCAGCATGCCTTGCAGTTGGCCTGTGTAGATTTGGACACAGTCAATATCCCAAGGCTTTTAGAAATGCAGTTTTTAAAAGTGTCAAAACATATGTGCATGGACCTTGTAGCAGATGCTGTTGATGCCCAACTGATATCCTTGGAGCCTCCTTTCTTCAAAGTGCTCCCTGCTAACCATCCTCCTTACTCCTATCTCACCACATTTAATTATCAGAACTTTTGTCCATGGGCTTCATTCAAATGCACAGAAGGCTGCTCTGCCCCAGCATGTGGAAGGCTGAAGTGCTAGAAATTAACACCCCCAGAAAGCAACTCTCAACCAATGATGGAAGGGAGCTAGTGGATAAATACCCCAGCTCCCTCCTCTCTCAAGGGGGATCATTCTAAGGCATGAATTTTACACCTATTTCCCAGAGTATCCCAAAAGGATTAAGATCTTCCCACAGTGGTGCCTGGCAGCTCTTATTGGTGGTCTCCCTTCCTTGTCTTATCTCCCTACCCCACTGGCATATCTTGAACTTCCTGAATAAACTGCATGCAGTTGAATCTGTGTCTCAGAGTCTGCTTCTGGGGGAACAGCCTCTCCAAGGAGAAGCTAGAGAAGCTGGGACAAGCCCTGCACCGTGTAGCTCAGGCCCTGTTTAGCTGGCTGCTGTGCATGCCTGAGGACCCCGGTGGGAAGCTCTTCTGCACTGAGTGGCCCTGGAGGGGAAGCAATAGTCTGGCCAAACATCCCTCTGGAGGTGCAGATGCCCCATTAGGACTCAGAGGCACTCTCTACTTTCTCTGGAGGCCATTTGATCTGGGGAGGTGATTTTAATCAGGGATTTGATCATCCTACGGACGATTCCTTATTCACGTTCATTCTTCTCCAGCTCCCTCAGGCCCCTTAACAACATTAGACTGCAATTTCAGGTTTATATAATTTGGTGCTTAATGCACCGTACCACTAGCCCAGAACAATTGAAGTAACTCACTGAGGTGTCAGCTTATATCAGAGCCACTCCTTCCCAGAAGCCTCCACTCTGGGTCTGTGGCTGCACCCGGGGCCCCAGCATGGAGCAGAGGGAGTCTGGGAAGTTGACTACTCCAGGGGTCCAGGCCCTGGTTCTTTGAAGCCTTGCTGTGTTATAACTAGGGTATTTCACCATTCTTCAAGAGGATGACTGTGGAGCTAGCTGTGCAGCCAAGCCAGGCTCAGCCTGTCCTGACCTCTTCCGAGAGCCTGGGTATCCGCTCTGTTCAGCAGTGCCCATCTATCCAAATGCCCCCTAAAGATCGTCCCTCAGCTGTTTCACAGGCAGGTCACATTTGGCACATTCAGGACTTCACACTGGATCTTACTCACCAAACCTGTTCTTCCTCTAATTCTGTCTGGCCCATCTTGCAAACTGCACTGTCCTTCACCCCGTCACTCAAGCTAGAAACCTGAGCTGCATCTTCCATTCCTTCCTTTCCTTCATCCCCTACATTCATCAGCAAGTCCAAATAGATCTCGGATGTACCCACTTTTCTCTCCCTACAGCCATTACAGCCTAGACAATTATCATGTCTTGCCTGAAGCATCGCAACAGCCTCCCAGATGATTTTCCTGTGGCTACTCTTACCCATTCCCAAATTATTCATTACACAGTAGCCAGAGAGAGCTTCAAAAATGCCCATTTGCATACTTTTGTTTGTTGAAAGCTCATCAGCATTGTGTATTGCACTGAAAGTAATATTCTAAAAAGTCCCACATGACAAGGCCACTGCCTAATTCTTCAATACCATCTCAAGCCATCCTCCCGCTTCCTTACCACCCTCCAGCCACACTGGACTTCTTGTGGCTCTGAGACCATGTTACCTCCTGCCTCAGGGCCTTTGCATGTGCTGTTCCCTCTGCCTGGAACACTTTTCCATGCTCTTCACATGGCTCTCTCCTTCCATCCTTTAAAGCTCAGAGGGGCCTTCTCCAATCATCTAACCTGAAGCATGCTCCCCACCCCACATTAGATTTATTTCATATCATTCTTTTTATGTCTTTTAAGGCATTTATTATGGCCTGTAATAATTTCATTTGTTTCTTGTCTGTCTCCCACACTACGCTGGGAGCTCTGTAAGAGCAGGGACTGGGTCAATCTCATATTCCCAGTGTACAGCACACTGGCCTTGCACACGGTTAGTGATGGATTCATTTTCTATTGATGCATAACAAAATACTGTAAACTGAGCAGCTTGAAACAACACAAATTTATTATCTCATAGTTTCTATAGGTCAGAAGTCCAGGTACAATGAGCCTGGATTCTCTGCTCAGGGTTTCATTGGGCTGAAATCAAGGTGTTGGCCAGCACTGTAGTTCTCAACTGGGGCTTAGGGTCCTCTTTGAGATTGACTCGTTGTTGGCACAATTCGTTTCCTCGCAGTTGTAGGACTGAGGTCCCTGCTTTCCTGCTGGCTGTCATCTGGGGAATGCTCTTGGCAACAAGAGGCTGCCCAATCTCCTTGCCGCATGGACAGTTCACAGCATGGGTCTCTTCTCAGGCCACCAGAGTACATCTCTGTGACTTCCCCTTCTGCCATCAGCTAGAGAACACTCTGCTTTCAGAAGGTTCATGTGATTATGTCAGGCCCAACCAACCGATTGGGGACCTTAATTACGTCAGCCAATTCCCCTCACAGCAGGACTCAGATTAGTATTTGCTTGAATAACTCGGCGAAGTGAATATACACCACTTCCCAGGAATCAGGGCTGGGAAGGGTGGGGGATGACTTAGAATTCTGCCCACACAGTGATCAATAAATAGTTGCCGAATGAGAAAATAACGTGTCCTTGTAGCCACCTACTTGTATAATAAGTAGGTCCTCCAAGTTCATGTGAGTCTGTCTCTAGGTACAAGGCAGTTAAAGAAATACATAAGTAAAAACAAAAAGAGTCTAGTGGGAAATATGAGAAAGGAGAGGAGAGCCATATTGAACCTGGAGCTGGGAAATGTGGGCACAAACCCTAGCTTGGCCACCATCTTGCAGTGAGAACTTTGGTGACTCAGCTCCTATGGTTCTCAATCCCTTCATCTAAAGTGGGCATAAAAACCCTAAAACATAGAACAGAAAAGACAGAATCTATCTCCCACCCACACCTATGCGTCTTCCCACCCATGCATCCATGCATCCATCCACCCATCTCATTTGCAAAGCAGGAGGGTGGGATTTGTTTTTCCTGCCACGTAGAATTCAGGAATTCAGCAAGCAGCAACGCTCTCCACTGTTGGACTCACATGTCATAGGAATATGGAGTACACAGGTCTAGAGGGCAGCAGCTGGGCACCTAAGACTGTGGGAACTCACTCCAGAAAGATTAAACAGCAACCTTGAATGTTCTTTTCGGAGAAAATAAAATCACTTCAGCCTCATGCTTGAGCAGCCCTGGTCAGGAACACTCAGCAAACAACTTTGTTTTCTTTGATTCTCTGCATTAGTTCTTATTTTTAAGCCAAATGAAATTTGACAACACAGACAAGCTCGCAGACACAGTCCAGAGGAAGTGGGCCTGTGAATTAGCCAGAGGCCTCGTCCAATGCAGACACATTCCTTTCTTCAATGTCTAAGCTCCTTAGGGAAATGTGGAGAGTCAGTGCTACCACTGGGTAGCCTGGCATTAAAATCGTCCCTGCATTGCTGGAATTTTCTGTTGTATCACTGAATGTCATTTGGTGACAAGTTAATTCCTTCCCACTGTCTGATGGAGAACCCGCTCTGCACCTCCTGATCTCATCAGCAGGATCCTTCAGTCAATTTCCTCCCGAGACCAGGGTCGGGACACCCTGCCAAGGATGCTGGGAACCTGACCTTCACCATTAACCCTGTTGGAGACACTCTTTTTAATTTCCATTTGGCATGGAGCTCATGTAAACTCTGAGCCCCTACTTAATTTCTAATTCATTTCTGTCACCCCATCAAATTCATCAGGTGAGGAAAGGTTTAAAGATTTGCTTTTGTAAAGCTCCAACTCACATTCCTTTCCCTGGATGAGAGAAGCACGGGGCCCAAGATCTATTCCTGAGTTTTGTTCAGCTCTGACGTGCTGTGGTTATTTACTCCCAGATGGCAGCCGCCACCACACCAACCACAGCCACCACAGACATACTCCACAACCATCCCCCAGGGTAGCAGGTCACAGGCAGTGCAGGAAGAGGAAGCCACACAGGGGAAGGGAATTAGGGAAGCTAGGGCAGCGTGGCGAGCCATGGCACCTCAAAATGATAGCAGCCCAAACCCTGAGCCAACCCATGAATAGGACTGAGCCCTGCCCCATCCCCTCCCCCAGCCCTTGCTCCTGGGCAGAGTCCTGCTGAGATGAGCCCCACCTGACTGACAAGCTGTCCTAAGTGACCCTTCCTCTATGTGACTCCTCTGCAGCCTGGTCGGCTTTCTCAGGCACTGGCCACATCTATTCCTACTCCTGACTTGGACCAGGGAACCTGATTCAAGTTCCTTCCAATGTCTCAAGATTCAGGGAAGTGACTCACCCAGGATGGCATCTGAGTCTACAACCCAGGGACAGAATCCACACCACCATTGCAAAACCATGCGCCTTTCTGAAACGGCTGCTCAGCTCAGAAGGGGCCTCCCTGAATCAGTGGAACTAAACCATATAGCCAACGATGATGCCCTCAAATTGTGCACACAGTGAAGGAAAGTTGCACAGAGGAGTGGCTAATTCAGCCTATCTGGAGTGGCTACTTTCTGAGAAGTGAAGAACAAGTAATTATGAGAGAGACGGAGAGAAAGGAGGAAAGAGTGCAAGAGGGGGTTTTCAACAGGGATGCCTGAGATAAAAAGCATTTCAAGAGAAGCTTCTGCTTCTCAAAGTGGGAGTCAATATGGCAGAAGCTGCAGACAGACAGACTAGGGCCATATCTGACCTGCCCATGTGTCTTGTTCAGCCCACCAAGCATAAAAGTGTGAATCTCCAACTTGAGAAAACTTGCCAGTCCTGCAGGCCAGCAATAGGCTGGAGACAGTGCTGGCTGCCCCTCTCAGGAGGGCTTGGGCTCATTCTTTTGTTCACCAGTTTCCACCACTCCTTATTGCCTTGCATCGGCCCACATCCCATATTCACACTGTCTAGCCTTGTTAGGCAACTGAGTTTAGGACCCCTGAGCATAGAACAAGGTTAAGGACTCAGTCTCTGCAGCTGGATCCAACTAGGGCTCAAATGCTGGGTCTGCCATTCCCAGCTGTGTAACCTGCAGCTTCTCTGAGCCTCAGCGTTCTCATCTGTGAAATGAACATGGTATTAATAATACTAAGATGTATCTCCTATGAATGTCCTTAGGGAAAAATGAGCTAACACATGAAAGATGCTTAGCTAAAACAAATAGCTCTTGTCTGTATTCACTTAGGTTAATATACCAGCCTGAAGGCGGGGTGTATATACCTGCGAGGAAGACATGTATTCTGATGATAGAACTACTAAATGGCTCTGTGCTCAGCCATGCATTGTTTAAGGAAGAGGAGTGCTGCCTTCCCCTATGACTTTGAAAACTCTTCTATCCCCATGTTTCTGTCTCTGTTTCCCTTCAGTCCTCAGAGTCATTCACTGAGCCCTCATGGGGCATACAGCATCGGGTGAGGCTTTGTAGGAAAGAGAGAAGAAGGAATCAAAGAAGTTGTCTCTATTTAGGATTAAGTTACTGCTGAATCTCAGTTTCCTCATCTATGAGATGGGGAGAAATACTGAAAAAATTAAAGAAGCCATGTGTAAATATGCCTGGCACAGTGCTTGGAACACAGCAGGTACCTAATAAATTATCATGTTGATTCCTTCCCTAATTAAGACGATTCAAAAACAAAGGCAGGTTCTGTCTTTTTCCATCATCATCTCCATTTACCCAAATCCATTCAATCACCAAGGCCCAGTTCAAATGCCAGCTTTTCCAGGAAGCCCTCCCAGAGTGACTGAGATCTCTCCTCTGGGCTTCTCCAGCACAGTTTCCCTTCACCTGTGGCTCATGGCACTCAGCACTTTGCTTTGTGTGCTTTGCTTATTTGAGTGTTATCATCTGCACTCGGCTGCCAGCTCGCTGGGGACAGAAACACTTTCTCATCGGTCTTTGGATTGGTGTGCTGAGCGTGATGGCTGACACTTGAGAATGCACTCTGTGAATGTCTGTTGAATGAATGAGTCCAGCTAGCAAAGCACTGGACCAGGGTTGGTCTCTAGGCATTGCCATGAATTAGGTGTGTGATGTTGGGAAACTCACTTAACTTCTCTGGATCGCAGTTTTCTCTCCAGTCAAATGAGGATGTTGGATTAGTTTTTAGGGCTGCCTGCCCCAAACTGCCCAATGCCCCTTAAGGGAAGCCCATTAGAGTGGGAGGGACCTACACAGTGAACCAGGTCACTACCCTAGTTGTAGGTCAGGTGCTCAGTGGAGAACCACCTGAGCCACTGGAGAAGGCCACTGGAAGTCACAGTATGGGCACCGGCGATGGAAAACACAAAGAGAATCACATATCTCTGCACGCAGGCCATGCCCTCTTTGGTTGGCTACAAATCAAGTCTCTACTCTAGCAGCACAGAAGGGGTCAGAGTCAGCCATGGGGCCATCCAGAAAAACTAGCCTTCTGTTAGTGGTTGCTGGTAAAAACCCTTCCTGCTCACTAGTCAGACATTTCTTTGTTTTGTGCTTTTTTTCTGTTTCAATCCTTTATTAGAAACCATGCAAAGTGGCCAGGCATGGTGGCTCACGCCTGTAATCTCAGCACTCTGGGAGGCCAAGGTGGGTGGATCACTTGAGGTCAGGAGTTCAAGACCAGCCTGGCCAACATGGCGAAACCTTGTCTCTACTAAAAATACAAAAATTAGCCAGGCATGGTAGCGCACGCCTGTAATCCCAGCTACTCAGGAGGCTGAGGCATGAGAATTGCTTGAACCCAGGAGGCAGAGGTTGCAGTGAGCTGAGATCATGCCACTGCACTCTAGCCTGGGCAACAAAGCAAGATCCTGTCTCAAAAAAAAAAAAAAAAAAAAAAAAAAGAAAGAAGGAAAAGAAACCATGCAAACTTTAACATAAAAAATACAAGTGCAGTAAGAATCTTTGTGTCAATATGATTATCAGGATTTCTCTCATGGCAGCCACCCCAAGACCAGGCCTAACTAGAACACCCTGCTGCAGGCTGCCTTTACGTCTCCTCCCTAAAATTCTACTTATGCCATAAGCTCTTGGGACATGAGCTCCTAAAATCAACCATAACCTGGGCACAGTCTGCATCTGTGCCAAATGAGGGCTGGAACACCTGTCTACTTGCCTGCTATCATTCTCTGACGGCAGGAACAACATCTGGTTCCCTGCTGCCTCCCTCTTGCAGAGCCTTGGGCCTGGTACTCAATTTGTTAAATGAATGCATGACTGTAAGAGCAGAAGGGGTGCAAGTCCCTGTGGGCTTGAGCAGAGAGGAGAGACAGTTCCTGAAAAAAATTGAATTGGTTTCCCAATTTAGGTCTCCTGAGAGTCGATTAGGACTCTCATTTTTGAAAGAAGAAAAAAAAAAACAGAACAAACAAACCTCCCTCACCAAAACTGGCTTCCCAGTCACCACGGGAGAGAGCAGATTTCTGTTGCTATGCAGCACAGGGGAGCCCATACCTGCTGTGGGACCCTCAGACCCAGTCATTTGCACCAGCTTCCCCAACTCCTAGTGCTGTCTCTAGCACCACCTCCCGCCCTCACCATCCAACAAGGAGGTGCTCATCTTCCGAAAGATAATTATGCAGGACAGATATGGGCAGCAGCTGGGGTGGCTACAGCACTTAACTCTCATCCGCATGCTCCACTTTTTGCCGAGCACTGAGACTCTGAAGCTACTGGAGGCCACTTGGGTCACTGCATGGTTTGGGGCAGCCTTTCAGGAAATCAATTCCACCAGAAGTTATTCCATACTCCAAAGATTTAATGTCAGTAGGGAGCATTTGATTTGTTGAGTTTTTAACTGTTTTAACTATTCAGGAAAGCAGAAGGAGGACCCTGGCATACAAGGAGTGCCCTGTGTTCAGCTGTAACTATTGTCTGCACCTGATTTTGTCTTTTCAAGCTGCTGAGAAAGATAGGCTGGGTGCCAAGAATGAACAAGGAGACCTTTCCTGCTGGCTGCACTGTGGCCCTAAGTAATGTTCCCTGGCCCTTTCTAGGGACAGCTTGATCCCAGTGGCTGGCAACAGGGCCCCTCAGAGGGCAGGAGAAACCCCTCCTGATTTACTCCCAACACTCAGCTCCAGTTTGGGGACTTTCCCTGTTGACAGATGATCACACAGCTGACCAGGGGAAGAAGGCCTTTTTTTTTTGTATTTGATTCCTGCCAGCTTCATTTATCAAAAACTGGTCACCTTGGCTAGTCCGTAAAGCAAAATGGTACAGAGCCCTCTTGCTGTAGATTGCTACAGGGAGCTCATGAGCAAAAAGAAGGAAGGTCCTTTGCCCTCCCAGGTGCTGTCCTTCGTCAGCAGGGTAGCATGCTGGGGAGTTCCTGATTCTCTAAGACAGTTTCCTGTATCGAGTAAAGGGGACAAGAGGAGTGATGAGCTACCCACACCACTGCCAGGCTCAGGCAGCTTCAGCGGTGCAGCATGTTGGGACCTCAGCAGAGAGGCCGGTGAGAGCAGAGAAGAGGCTGGCAACATGCAGGACTAGAGCTGGAGAAATGGATTGAGCCCTGGGGCTGGTCCACAAAGAGGCGGGTGACTCAAGAGCTGATATACTTAGGCATCACTAAGGATGCTCATTTCAGGAGGAGCTTATCGGTGGGAAGTCCCAGCCCCCATGATGTAGGAAGCCAGGTGGATCGAACCGTGGAAGCAGAGCCCCAGTTTGGTGTACAGGGAACAGAGTCTAGCCCCTCAAGGAAGAGGATTGACCAGGGCTAGCTGGGAAGCTGGGGCCCAGCTAAGGGGATGAGGCAGGCATCAGAGCAAGATTCCATTCCATCAGAGAACAGCAAGTTGACAGGAAACAGAGGCAGGCCAAACGCAGGACCAATGCAGAGAAGGTTGGGGAAAGCTGGGGTTGCTGGCCAGCAGGTACAGGGAAGTCATCCCAGGCTGCTGCACTGCTGTTAAGTCAAGGCCACCCACTGGGAAGAAACAATACTTCTCTGCAGAGTCTCTGCAGAGTCTCTGCAGAGGTCAGGACTGGCCACGCTGCTAGCACACAGCATCTTGATGTACTTGGCCAAAAGGTGCCTTCTCTGGACTATGCAGTTAGAAAAGGCACTTTGGAGACAGACTCACACCAGGATGCATAATTTAGCAAATAGACAGCACAGACTTTATTTTAGCCCCTACGTGCCCCTGGCCTGGGTGCCCTGGCATAGAATCATGCATGGCAGCTGAGAGGTAGGTTCAGAAATGGACACAGTTGAATCAGTTGAATCTGTCAGATATCTATATCATCTATATCTATATCATCTATATCTATATCTATATCTATGAGAGAAACTTTACTTCCATAGAAAGTGGCCAAAGCAGGGCCCAGGCCTGGGGTCAGGGCTTGAATCAACAGGGAGAGATGGGCATTCAATACTCAGAGTAGCCAGAAACTCAAGAGTCATATAAGTCATTACAGTAAGAGCTTGGGAAAGTGCTGCTGGACACCACCAGAGGAGATGTAGCAGTGGCCATGCCCAAGAGGAACTCTCAGGCCTGGTATAGGATGTGGCAGGCAGAGGCAACCTCAGGCAGCAAGGAGCAACAATAGGAGAACCCAGGACTCAGGTGGTACTGGGTGGTGTGCACCCCAAGGTTGCCAGGTATTTGCTGCCAGTCTTGAGGGTGAGCCAGCCTAGTTGCACTGGTCAAAGCCATAGAGGCAGGCAGTGGCAAAGAGCCTTTGGCTGAACGGGCTGACAGCCCATGTGCTTGGCTGTGTAAACACCTTTAAGCTGCCTGAGTCTTGGTTGTAATTTGATTAGCTACATGGGATTCTTTAAGCTCCATAAAGCACAATACTGTTGGACCATTCTTTTCCTCTGTTTTTTTTGTTGTTTTTTTTTTTTTAACTTTTGCAATTATTCCAGCTGCATGCAAAGCTGTTGGTAGTTTTACAGCCTGGAATGAGTATCTCTTGTGTAGGACAGAATCTTTGAAACATTAAACAATGATTAGGCAGACTCTGGGCCAAGGGATAATGGGGGTTCTGCAGGGGGTGGGGAAGGACCCAGCAGCTGGTGGCAAGCAATCTGGGGAGCTCTGTTTCTATTTCATCACTACATTGACTTTCTTACCAACAATTAAAAATAACAATGATTCACAGTTGTGCAATTATTTGTCATTCATCAGGATTTTGAAGGTGGCTCCAGGTAGCAGTGGGTGGTGAAAGAGGCTCAACCCATTGTTAGTGGGGACTGAAACACCACTGTTCACACAAGCACACACAAGCCCACGTGCCCATGTGCCTGTATATGCTGCTTATGCATGCACACTACTGCGTAAGTGCGCACACACAGGTCCGCATCCACCCACAAGCACACTCACACACAGACACACAATACACACACAAACACAGTGCTCACATGGATGCATTAACACATACATGTGTGCACACATGCACACACACACTTGTATGCATGAATATGAACACATGGATATGCATGCAAGGCATGCACACAAACACATGTGTTATATGTATGTAACACGATACACATGTACACAAACGTATGTGTGCATACATGAACAGAGTACTTGCATATACATGTATAAAGATGTGCAGACATACACATGCACATACATGCACACTCACACAGGCATGCCAATTTCTCCCTATTTCAGAGAGAATAGGAAGCTGCCTCCCTCTCACAAGGTGACCTAAAGCATGGCTGCCAACTGTTCAATTACCTCTCACCCAACAGAAGCCAGAAAGCCTCTATGCAACCCATCTCTCCTTCTTACTGAAACCCCAGGCAAAGCTCCAGGCAAAGCTTGAGGCTAGGACACAGACACACCCTTCTCTGAAGTTCCCTTTTTGTCTCCTACTTCACTGGTCCTGCTGCCCAACATCTCTCTCTCTCCAGAGGGAATGGAGAAAAGGGATAAGGACAAAATTCAAATAAGTTGTTTGGAATCAGAGACCCATGGTGTACCAGAGGCAAGCAGCCTGTTTAATGGTAAAGGGTGTAGACGCTGAAACCAAACAGTCAAATCGCACCTCTGTAACTCTGGACAAATTCCTTAACTTCGCTGGGTCTGCCTCCCTGTTACATCAGGTGACATTGGTAATGGTCCATACCACCATCATATGGCACTGATTAATTTATGGTGAAGTACTTAAAATAGCTCTGGCACATACTAAGCGCTCAATGAGCTGGGGGCGCCTGGTCAGGACTCTTTCTATCTAGGGGCACTGGGGGTCACTTGAGTCTCAGGCCCAGGCCTGGAGAAGTGGGGGTCAAACTCCAGCCCGGGCCAGTGGCAGCTAGCTGAGTGGTGCCCAGCTGGAAGCCTGAACACCAGCCTGGGAAACCCTTCCTGGCCAAGCCTGCCTGCTGCCCCCAACAAAGTAGATGCAGGACCCCAGCCATCACCTGCACCCAAGAAAGGACCAGGGAGGCTCACCTACGTTGGACCTGCCATTTTAGTGCATGTGGCGGCTGTCCTGGCTCTGGTCTGCCCTCCCTAAGAAGCAATGGGGTGGGCTGGCTGTCAGGAGAGAACCAGAGAGGAGGTGCCCAAGTTGATGCCTCCCAGGCTTCCAGGAGTGGGAGAGTAGAGGAGATACAAGGTCCAGGGCCAGCGGGCCTGGATTTGAATTCCTGTCCTAGCACTTCCTGGCTATGTGGCCTTGAGCCTGTCCCTTTTTTCTTTTTTAGACCCTCTGAGACTTAGCTGCCTCATCTATGAAGTGGAGATGGTGACCACATCTACCTCCCTGGGAGATCATGACTATTCTTTTGTCAACAAAATTGACAGAATGACTACGATGAGCGGCACACTGGGTTAGTTGTTGTTGGGGTCTGGAGATGACCAGGATCATGTTCCTGTCACACTGGTCACCTTGGCTAGTCTGACCTAAACTACTCACTGTAATTTAGTCAGTCAATAACCAGGTAAAACACAGCAGGATAAGGAGGAGCCAGGGTGCGTGGGAGCACTGAGGCCAACCTCCTAATCCAGCTGGGGCGGTGCTAGGGGCAGAACCATGGAGGAGTTTCTGGAAACAGTGGTAGTAACGCTGACTTTGGAAGTCTGGAGCTAAGCAAAGTGGGTGGGGTAGCGGAGGACATTCATTCCCAGCAAAGGAACAAACCAGGATGGTCTGGCTATGGGCCACCATGCCCACAGATAGTGCAGACAAGCAGGAAGAAGTGCATGCTGGACAAAGCGATGAGACTGCCTGTGCGGGAGGATGTGGTCTTCTGTGGGAGTCAGAAGACCCAGGGCCCTAGCTCAGCTCTGCCATGCAAAGAAGTGGCACACTGGCAGGTTTCTGCCCAATGTAGGTCCGCAGTTTCCTCCCAAGAGCCAGCTAGGATTAATTGGCTGACCTTGGGTTCTGCCCATCTGACACTGTTGTTGGGAGGGACAGTTTCCTTCTGCCCATCTCTTGAGGCCCGCTGAGTTGTATGCCTTCTCCTGGCAACAGATATGGGAGGTTTCTAGCAAACATGGCCAGCATGAAGACCGGGTCCGTGAGCAAAGGAGATCCCTGGTCTGGGAGAGACAGAAGATTCCATCCAGCCTTCAAGCACATGAAGGGCTGGGAACCAGCCATTGCCTTGCTTGAAAGCAGCAGCAGGAGACAAGTGATGGGCTGGATTCAGGTTGGGCAAGGCACTGCCAACCCAGAGCAGACAGACATCTCCAGGGTATGGGATTCTTAAAAGAATATTTGATATTACCATTGCTTTGATGTGCTTTTAATCACAAATTCAAATTAACTTTGAAATTTCAAGTGGCATGAAAGAAGGGTATGTGATTTTTATGTTTATCAAAAGAGGACAGGAGTTCAAAAAGGAAGCAGAAACTGACTACAGCAAAGAAAACTTTTTTTTTTTCCCCAGAAGTGGAAGTGGCTGAATTGTGGGATGGGGCGAGGGAACAGCTGGGACAGCTGGAGAGGGAACCTGAAAGAGTTCACGTTCACTGGGCACTTGCTCTGTGCCAGGTACTGGAATACCTGTGTCACATGAACAAGCCCCCAAAGTGCTTAGCCAGGCACTCAGCACAAAACACGTGGCCACCAAAAACCTGTTGAAGGACTGAAAGAACGAAGCAATGAATGCCAAGAGTCAAAGGCAGAGATGCCTCTATTGACTGAAAATCCTGTTGCTTCTCTCCCTCTGGAAGTCTGTAGAGGTTGAATCATGCAGTCCCAGCTAAAGACATTGGTCCATTGGGATTTGCTGAAAAGTCTGGTAACTGAAACCAGCAGGCTCAGAGCTGTGCTCCCACCATTTTCTTGATTTGACAAGGAAGATGAGGAGGGGAGGGGAAACATGGCCTTCGAGCTGCAGAGCAGGCAGAGCCTGGTCGCTACTGTCAGGAATGCTTGCAGAGGTTGGGTAACGTGGTCGCAGGGAGGCTCAGGGTTGATCATCTGACTCTGAGGATGGGAAGTGAGTTCAGGCCAGGAAAAGAAACTTACCTTCTCCTCTGCACTCCACCCCACATTCATGCCATATCCCTGGGATGCAACAGGGAAGCCCCAAGGACCCCGGCCCAGGAAGAAACACTCCACCCAGTGGTGCCTGCAGCCAGAGGCTAGCTCTGGGGGAGCTGAGGCGGAGGCAGCTGTCCCAGGCTCCTCAGCTGCAGCACAGATGGAGGACAACAATTAGAACAGTGACTCACAAAGAATCAGAGTGCCCTGGAGCCATGCTAAAATGCAGGTTTCAGGCCTTGCCCCAGATCTACAGATTCAAAATTCTTTCATTAAATCCATATTTATTGAACAACTACAAATACCAGGCACTATTCTAGGTGCTGGAGATGCTTCACGTGGCAAAATAAATGCCCCTGTCTTCATGGAGCTTACACACTGGGGGAGGGAAATGTGCAAATAATTAGGAGAGAGTAAATGAGTGAGCACAGTATGTCAGAAGGCAGTTGGAGATACAGAGGAAAAGAAACAAGGGGTGGGGTGAGGAGTGACAGGGAGGAGTGCTGCCCTTTAAACGGAGTGATTCACTGACCTCCCTAGTGGGAAGGAGGCATTTGAGTAAAGGCCTAAAGAGGAAAAGGAGCAAGCTGTGCAGATATGGAGCAGGGTAGAGGGGAGGGGGTAGAAAGAACATTCCAGGTGGAGAAAACAGCAAGGGCAAATGTCCTGAGGCAGTGGCATGCCTGGTATGAATCTCCATATTATTCAAAAAATAAAATTTTAATAATATACAGACGGGGTCTTGCTATGTTGTACAGGCTGGCCTTGAACTCCTGGGCTCAAGTGATCCTCCTGCCTTGGCCTACCAAAGTGCTGGGATTACAGGCATGAGCCACCACACACTGCCAAATGTCCATATTTTTAACCAAACTCAAATGCTAAAGTTTGAGACTGCTGCAGCAGAGTGACAGCATGATAGATCGGAGCCAGCCCCTGAAAAAGTGGAGCTTGTTGAGAAAGTTGCTAAGGAGACAGAGAACAGGGATTCAGGCTCCTACATAACGGCCACTTACAGAGCCTTCAGTCCCTGGCTTCTGAGCGAGAGCTAAAGGTCTAGAGAGGCTTGGAAGAAGAAAGCAGTGATTGACTGCCCTGTTCCTTTGCCCTGTTCCTCAGTTCCTGTGTTTGAGGAAGCACAGGCCTGACCCAAAGCAAAGGTGTGGCCAAAGAGAGCTTGGGGAGACACGAGGCGCCAGCATGCACGGAACCAGTAATAGAAGCCTGGGAAGGAAGGCTTAGTGAGGAAGACATTCCGACGGCTCTGCTCGGCTGAGTAATTTAGAGTTTTAAACACCAACATCCCTTCCATTGTGTTATCTCATTCAAGCCTCCCAACAACCCCTGAGGTGGGAATTATACATCTCAATTTTACAGATAAGGAAAATAGGGTTCGCAGAGGTTAAGAACACACAGGTAGCACAAAGTCAGAAAGAGCTGGAATGGAAAAGCTGGCCGAATGCCAAATTCTGCGCTCTTCCCACCAAAACAGCTGTCTTTCAACAGTGGCTACTTGTCAGCTGTTGTCATGATTATTGTTCCTGCTGTTATTTTTATCACTGTCATTTTAAGTCACCCTTGGCACCCAGAAGCTTACAGGGAACTTTCACTCCGATTCCCCCACCTCATCCCCAGTGCCTCTGTGAGGCAGACAGGGCAAGGCAGGGCCTGATGTCCCCATCGTGGCACATGAGAAAACCTAAGCCCAGAGACCCATGGCCAGAAAGCAGCAGAACCGAGCCTGGAAACCAAGTCCTAGAACATTTCATCCCCACTTTAGACTTATCTGCCAAACTCCCCATGGCAGGGACTAGGTCTGATCCATCACCCTCTTCCTTCCGTTAGCCCAGGCTGGTACTACAGAAATCTTAGTTGAACCGAGCTGAGTTGGCCTGATTTGAAAAACATGAAAGTCTTGCACTGAGAGGCCCAAGAGAAGCAGCTCCCCGCGTGGAGTCTGCACAGGGTCTGGCCATAGCCGCTTTCCTCCAAGTCAGGCTGAGATCCGAAGGGCCTTTAGCCATGTCCTAAGGCTAGAGAGGGGCCACGTCCTCCAGGAGCTCACTCTAGTGTCTCTTCTTCCCCTTTTGAGGGTTCAGCTCAGCCTGGGGTCAAGGAACCCCATTCCTGGTTACCTCCCTGTCCCATTCCACATGGGAACTCTAGCCAGGGCCAGGCCCCTTCCCACCATGTCTGGCCTCCGCTCTGGCCCTGTTGGCCATCAGGCCACTGAGCCTGCTGCTGCGCTTGACTCTGGGTACCCATCACCACAGCCACATTGCCTCCTGCTGCCTCCCTGTTCCCTCACAGGGCAGGAGAAAGACAAGTCCTTTATTTTCGGAGGCAACTCTTGCTTCTGTGCCCTGGATCCCATCTTCCTCCTCAGAGGCCCTGCTCCAAACTCTGGCCTCAGGTGCCCACCTCCCCAGACCCATTAAATCACTAGCAGTAAAACCTGGGCCCTGAATTTCTTTAAAGCCCTCCAAGTGATTCTAATATGCACTCAGGGTCTCAAGAACAACCTACCTTTAAGAAAAGAGAACTAGAACACAATAAAATACAATAGAATTGAATTGAACAGAATATAATAGAAAATAGCAGAGTGCTTTGCACATTGTGAGGGTAAGTATTGTTTCTTAAAAGTCGTGTTCCCATCGTGTGTGTATGGGTGTGAGTGGGTGTGTCATCCTGGGTCATGATGTAACTTTATTTCTTACTGTAGAGGATGGTAATTTTTAATTTTTATTTTTGGAAAACATTGCTCCAGTTCCTGCCTGAGCTTGTGATTCTCCTCTACAGTCAAGAATCCTCGAGGAAAAATCTCCCCTCACTGCCTGCTCTTTATCTTCATCTGGCTTCGACAGCCCCCATCTCCAACATTCCACTAAAGCTTCTCGCTGAGGTTTCCCAGGTCTGTCCCTTCCACACCCAGTGGCTTCTGCTCAGGTTCCTTGTCCTTCCACCTGTCTGTGGTTTCATGTGAATAGACAGTTCTCTTATTCCTGAAATTCTCTCTGCCCACGGAGACTGTGCTGTCTTCCAGATTCTCCCGAGCATTCCTCCTCTCTCACCTGCTAACGCTCTTCCTCCCGATGCCTACATATCTTACCCTCAGTATTCTCTCAAGCTTCTAACTTTCGGTTCTTTCCTCTGCCCTTTTGACCTCCTCTCCTTCCAGTCAATGGCTTTAATTACTCCACGCGTGAGACTCCAAATCCGTATTCCCACATTTCCCCTCTGGGGCTCCCGCCGTGCAGTTTGCTGGCTTATGTGCTTGCCTCCTGGAAATGGGGTAGAACTCAGGGAGGGTAATAGTGACAGGGATCAATTCACAGTCACACATGATGTGACCACTGCAGGCAGGTGAGGCAAGCAAAGGAGGATTTATCATCTCCATTTTCCAGAGAGAGAGAGAAAGAGACGCTGAGAGGCTGAGGGACTTTTCCGTGGTCAGTTATCATCCATGGTGGAGAGGGTTCCAGAATCTATGACTTCAGGCTTTAGTCCAGAGCTCTGGCCCTTCACACCATGCACTGGACACCAAATATGTTCAAAAGTGAAGCCACACGTTATTCCTGAAACTAAAGCTTCTCTAACAGAGCTGTGAATCATTAGGAATGCTTTTTAAGACCAGTCTCAGTGGCTCACACCTGTAATCCCAACAATTTGGGAGGGCGAGGCAGGAGGATTGCTTGAGTCCAGGAGTTTGAGACCTGGCTACCCAACGTAGTGAGACTCCATCTCTACAAAAATTACAAAACATTAGCCCGGCATGGTGGATGCACCTGTCGTCCCAGCTACTCGGGAGGCTAAGATGGGAGGATTGCTTGAGCCTGGGAGCCTGGGAGCTGTGATCGTGCCACTGCATTCCAGCCTGGGCAACAGAGCAAGACCCTGTCTCAAAAAAAACCAAAATAAAAAAAAGAATGCTTTTTAAAACAGCGATGTCTAGAACCCTCTTTGAACTCACTGAACCAGAATCTCCTAGGAGAGCTTTTTGTTTGTTTTAACTTAATATTTTGAAGTAATTATAGATTCACAAAAGTGTACAAGAAGGTTTCATATGCCCCTCACCCAGTATTCCCCAATGGTAACATTGTACACAACCACAGCACAATATCAAAACCAGGCCACTGACATGGCTACCATCCACAGAGCTTGTTCGGATCTCTCCTTACATAGGCAGGCACTGGTTTGGGTGTGCATATACAGCTCGATGCAGTTGTGATGACAAGTACAGCTTTGTGTAACCAACACCACAATCAAGATACTTTACTGAACCATCACCACAATGCTCTAGAGCTTTGGTTGTGAAAGGTCTAGGGTGCTGCTCGTCTGCATCCCTGATGACGGACTACTGCACCAGGGCATTGCTCCTGCTGCCTGCCTCTTCTGGGGCAATGCATTGCCATCCTCTGAATCACCCTGGCTTGAAACTCTGAGCCATCATTGACCTCCCCTCTGTTGGCCCGCCTGCCCATGGCTTCTCAGCCAAATGGTCCAACAGATTTTTCCTTCATAATACCTCTCAGGCCTATAACTTCTCCCTGACTCCAGGCCTCTTGACTTCTCTCTCTACTGCTGCAATAGCCTTCTCATCCATTTCCCTTCTTCAAGATGCCCTTTTCCCCCGCCAATATAATAAAGCATGACCAAATTCCTCCATTGCCCAACTCTGACCCCATCATTCCTCTGACCAAAAGCTTTAGATAGTTATTGCCATTTACAAAATAGAGTTCAAACTCTTTAAGTTCAAATAGGAAATCCTCTATATCTGATTCACTTTCCTTATCTAAATTTCTCAGACTCAATATCAGCTTTGTCCATATGACTTAGAGTCCAAATGGCATCCTTAAGGACATGAAAAGGTTCTCACTACAGGGAAGAAATGAAAGGCTCCGAGATTTCTTCCTCCTAGTGCTCCATACTCTTCTCTCTTATTATGTGAGGAGTTCAGCCTCTTGCTTGGGGAATGTTTTCATCCTTGAATGCTGGTTCTTCCATCCTGTGCCTCCTTACAATGTAAGACGTGAGGAGGATCAGCAGGCCTAGGTGAAGTCCAGGGATAGAGTGTGTGGGGCAGGCTAGTCAGGCTGTCTGGCATTAGTCACTAGGGAATGGGAGTTTTCTTAGGCGCCCGTTTTTTGGGTCCCAGGCTAGATGATGGTAGGCAGCCATCAGAGATGGGAGCTGAGCCCTTCCTGTCTCCCCCATGATAGACAATTACCTTTAAGACTATGTTGCCTATTTGCATCCTCGATGCCTTTTCCTTTCTTCATGTCCACGGAACAATGAAAGTCAAATGATTCTCCAGCAAAGCCCTTCAGAAATTTCTAAAATCCCCTTACAGCACTGCTCCCACACTTCTTACCACATGATGATAAAATGAAAATGAAGATTTGCTTTCTCAGATTAAATACATTTCAATTATCCAATGTATTTCAGCTTTAATTGACAACAAATCACAAATTGCCCATCTGAACTTCTCATTACAGCAACTGATTCACTAGGAAATTTATTACCTGACAGCAAAGAAAGCTCAAAAGATAAAACAAGCTTAGTGTTTCTATGATACAGTGACCCAGCAGTCTATTTTGAGAAATCATGCATTATCAGAAATACATTCATATAAATGGTCCTATCAAGAACACTGGTTTTTCAGCTGTCTCAAAATGTGGTCTTTCAGTCTGGAATGGTATATGATGGCATATGGGGGGGCAAAGAATCAGAGACCAAGAAATGTACACCAGGGAAAAGGGGTGGCTGGTAGTGCTGGAGAAAGAGAGTTAGTGATTTGATGGCTTCAACAAGGTGTTTGCAGGCCACCCAGGGTCTGGCTAGGGACAGATGGAACAGGGAACAGGGGATCCAGCAAAGAGGCTAGACATTCAACAAGTCTGTTGCTGTCATTGAGTTACGTGTCCACTGCCATCCCCATCATCACCACCACTACAACCTCCATCACCACCAGCACCATCATCACCACTGCCACTGCTAACATAACACCAGTGAACAATCTTCCAGGCAGAGGCTGTGGAACCCTACTAGGTGAAATGATGCATCATGGAAAAGAGTCACTGGACATGTTCACTGTGTACATGGTAGGGTAGGAGGTCAGGGCCTTCTATCTTATCTATTGCACTGGAATATGGGAGGGGAGAGTAGCCAGCCAGGAGAAAAAGCCTAAGGACCAGACCCCTCTGGGATGCAGAGGCCATGCTCAGACGGAGTGAACCTTCTGAAGCAGTGGCCACCATGAATTTCTCATCTATGCTCCAGAGAAAGAGCAGCCACAGACAGCCTTGAGCAAATGTGAACCACGACGCTGAACCATCAGCTTAGATGTCAGCCAGGAAGTAGGGCCTGGGCCCTGGGAAGCTCCGACACTCACCGTTACTGCTGTTGTCATCCACCAGAATGATCTCCTTGAGCAGATGTGGGGGCGTGCGTTCCATGGCCGAGTGGATGGAGCGCAGCAGCACTGAAAGCGCTTCATTGACGAAGATGAACACGATGCTCACCTCTGGCAGGCTGTCAGGAAATGAGAGGTTACGGCACCTGCAAAGAACAGCCAAGCGCTTAGATTTGTGACTCAGCTGGAGTCATCTCAGGAGCTGACCCAGCCCATGTCCTGGCTCCAGCTTTGCTGGAGGGCTCGGGAGTCCAGATTCTTCCAAGGGCCCCTTCTTTGATGCACTTAAGATGAGCCCTAAATGTCCAGCAGAAAGGCCCACAAGCATTGAAACCAGTTCACCCCACACCTGAGTTGAAGTTGTCAGTGACTATGCCAGCTGAACAGTAATGCCATGAGCACTTAGGACAGCACATGGCAGCTGGCAGGTAGTCCCTGATTGTTTACTGGAAGAATGATTCAATGTTTCTAAATCCAGTAGAATGGGGAATGCAACCAAAGTAAATTCGTAGTATTTCCAAAATGGTAACCAACACCTAGGTGAGGCCAGACCTCAGGCATCCAGCCTCAGGAGACAAAGACGCCTCCTCCCAGAGACTTCTGCCAAAATCTACTTCCCTTTACTCCAGAAGGCATACTGCCTGCAACTTCTCCTGCTTCTCACTCATCACAGAAATCCAGTTTCCAGAACAGGGTTGGAGCTAGAAACAGTCTCAACATGAGGAAAAGGTAGAAGGACCAGGTCCAGTCTCATTTCACAGACAGGGAGCATGAGGCTCAAAGAGGTTGAGTTCCCACCTATGGCTGCACTCTGAGTCAGCTACCATGACAGAATCCCAACTCTGGTCCTCTGACACCTGCACCAGGATCTCTCCTTGAAGCAGAAATGGCCATGAAAGAGAATGCCCCTAACTGGCCCATTTCCCCTTAGCTCTGCTGAAATCCTGAAGCCATTTGGTGGTCTCTTGAGGACTTGAGGTATTCCCCACATGAAGAGGAACACACAGTTCTGAAATCAGATCCCATGAGAGGCCAGACGATGAAAAGTGCCGTGTCTCCTGAGGGTAGTTCCCTCCTCTGCAAGCATAGTCTTTATGGGCAGGAGACCACTGCTGGTGCCCTTCCCTGCCTGATACTAAATGCTGTTCTAGAAGGCACTAAGCTCCCATTTTCTGTGTAGATGAATGAAAGAATGGGGCAGCAATCACAGCCCTGTCCCAGGCCCTGGGTTTGGAGAGGAGGGTTCCCACTGAAGGCTCCAGGGCGTTAGGGCTGGTGACCATGTTCCACTGCTCCAGAGTGGGAGGTGCAGCCAGGTCAGAACATGCAATAATGAGCATAATTGCACAGGGCTTCTGCTTGTTGGTAATTGCAGTTGCAGAAAAAAGTGTTGCAGAATAGGAATGGGCCTGCTCTTCCTTAATGAGGAAGGCTGCAGGATAACCAGCAATGAGCAATTTGGAGAAATCACCATGGGGCCCCAGCCTGCTTAAGAGCATGAGATTAATAAACTAAGATCAGCATCTCCATGGTTACCAGAAATTTACAGAAACTTTTCCCATTCTATTTCCAGCTCTCCTTCTCTCTCGCCAGAGAGGAATGGGGGAAAGAAGGAGTTGACCCTTTTCCTAAATCTACTTCGTACTTGTGATTTTAATAAAACCAAGTTAATAGATTGGTGTAGAATTCCTTTGTTCTTGCATTTAATGGAATAAATATTTATTGAGTATCTTCCACTAGGCAGGTAGTGCTACAGGCACTGAGGGTACAGCAGGAAGTGGACACAGTCCCACAGTCCCTGTCCTTATGGAGCTTATGCTTTGACAGAAAAACAGATACATACGGAAGAAAAAATACAATTTCATATAAGTGCTAAGATGAAAAGAAACTCTAGGCAAGAGAATGAGATGATGTCCTGGCAGCTGTTGTAGAAGGGGTGGTCAGGAAGGCCTCTCTGAGGAAGAGAGATTGGATCAGAAACTTAAATGGCATGCAAAAGTGAGTCGTGCAAGGGTTCTGTGGATCCAAGGAAACCAGTGCTGTGGCTGGAGAGGAGGGAACCAGCTGATTTAACCATGGTGAAAGAATGAAGGGAATAGGGAGGTGAGGGGAGGAACTTGAATGAAGGAGAAAGACTGGTATGCCTTCTGAAGCTCATCGGATCTTTTTCAATTTTTTGGAAAAGAAAAATGTGAATACAATTTTTAGAACAGCAATTAAAAGATTTATGGTTGACAGTCAAATAAGTCCTCTAGCTAGTATTTATTTATGGAGATCAAGACCAGCAGTTGGGTTTTCCCTAGGCATGGAAACTGACAGAGATGAGTATTAACACAAACACCACTTGCTAATTGCATTTAAAAAGTAATACCATCTGTGGCCAAACAAATAGTACATGAATTCTTCTTTTATATAAAGTATAATAGACAGCTCCCAAGAAGGCCAATGGATTGGCACAAGTTCACTGTCCTCCCTACTAAAACTCCACCAGCAATGAAGACTTTGCTTCTGTATCTCTCTGCACTTCCCCACGGGGTCTGCACTGCGTTCCCAGAGCCTCAGTATCCAAATTTCCAGGGTGTTCAGAGATGGGGGTTAACTACTTCCCCCTACTCTCTTCCCTTCTTACTTCTGAACGTGGTGCCCAGTCTCCCCCTTCTGAGGAGACCAATTTTAATTCCTCCCAGTAGCAGCCCTGATGGTTTGAGCTGCCAGTCTCTGGAAGCTGGTCTCCGGATGGTCTTTCTCCACGCAGAATGAAATGCTGTATTTGTATAATAAGCTAAGCCCTGCTGATCACGATTTTCACAAGAAAGACTTTTGAACATAAAGTTTTCATAAGAAAACTCATTTGAACATAGCTGAACACATTCTCTAGGGCATCACATTCGAACCTGTTTATTGTCTGCCCCTCTCTACTAGAATGAAGCCCCCTGAGAGCAGGAACTTTGCTTTTGGACTGTGCTGTCTCCCAACCTTGGACCACAGTCTGGCACTTAGTAGGCACTCCATGAATGTTTTTGGAATGAAACGAACCTAACAGCTTGCTTGTTTTATCTACGGCCTACATTTTGAGTGTCTGCCGCTGATGTCAGACTGCTCCTTTTTCTTACAAACCTCCTCCCTTGGAAGGAGAGTCAGGTCCCGGTCCTCCCGCCGACCAGCAGGCTCCTGTTCTCCCATCCTCCCTCCTCTTGCGTGAATGGCCCCAATTCCTCACATTCGCAGTCTCCAGAAGTGCTCAGTTTCTTTACACTGTAATCCCTTCAGGCCAAACGCCCTGACCTCCTTAAATCCTTCTTTTCTCTTCTCTCCTGGGACTGCTGGGGCCTCCTGGCGACAGCCATGCTGCCGCTGTGGCCTCTCTCTCGGCATCAGGAGACACCTTTCCTCAGCCTTCAGTTTCTCCACACCTGACCTAATGTGGCCCTGCGTGAGCAGAGAGGCGAGGGGTGGGCAGGGTAAGGAAGATGATATGGGGGGATCGTTTTTGGGAAAGCGTTTGAAGGGGATGAAGTCACCCAGGTGCTGTTCCCAGTTCTGCCCCACCTTGCTGTGTGACCATGAATGAGCCACCTTCCCTCTCTGCTCTATGTCTTGGTCACAGAATAAGGAAATGGGAAGAAAGGATCACTCAGATGGCTTCTCTCCACAAGATTGAGGCTCTTCTATCTTACGTTTTCCAACTTCCCCTCCCTCCCAACCCACAAATGCCACAGGACACATCCCCTTGCCACCATCGTGACTATGTAGGGTGACAAGCTCATCCCAGTTTGCCCAGGACCTTCCCAGTTTCAGCACTGAAAGTCCTAGGCACACCAGGTCAGGCGGTCCCCCATGCCTATACCACCAGCTCTGAGGGCACAGACTGGCCTTGCTCACAGCCTCCTGCCCACTGCCTCACACCATGATGCAAGCAGCAGGTCTTCCATTGGTGTTTGTTGAATAAATTCCCTTTCAGTTTCCACAAAACACACGTTCATGCCACATCATGACACGGTCTGTAGTTCGTATCTTCACCTCAACACTGAAGCAGAATGTACATTGCTGAAGGGCAGGGGCAAAAAGAGGGAAGAAGAGCATATCAAGCAAGACATCTACATCCTTCCTGGTCATGCCATCCTCATCACTGCAGACACTGAACTCAGGACAGAGGGCTTTGTGCTGTAGTCCAAGTCACCTTGAAAAGAACACGCCTCCAAGAGCTGCGTGGGAGAGGACTGCTCTGGACCCAAGCCCAGAGCTTTTGCTGCAGAGTCCAGCCACTTTCTCGGCCTGGCAACCCAGCACTGACCCAGTGGCCTTTGCTCCCAAATCTGTACTGCTAAGATGCCCTCCCAGAGCACCTGGATTTTCCAGAATTGGGCCACCCACACACTCTGCTCCAGTCCTGCCGCAGCCGGGACCCTGCCTACTCGCCCAGAGCCTCCCTCCCCTCTGCCCTGATGTCTGCCTCTGCACTTGCCTCTCTGCTCACCTCTGCAGAGAAGGGCTGAGGACACAGAGCTCTGGGAGTCACACTCTGGGACCAGCCCTTCCGTGTTTAAGCTCCTCGAGAACTCACAACTGCACGAGACCGAGCCCATGCTCATTTTGAGAACAGGCATATTCTCCTGTAAAATTAAGCCATAAAAACCTCCCTTTTTACTTTTATTCTTGTTGAAAGCTGAGCCATTTTCCACTAGAGATAAAAAAAACAAGGCATTTCTGAGAGGGGAGGGATATGGTTGTCTAATAAGCCGGAATTGATGGTCATGACAGACTCCATTCTATTGAGCTCTGCACACAGAAGGAGATGCAGGGATGGGGAGCAACAACTTAGGGGGCTTCTCTGCAGAGATCCCCCAGGACTGTTTGGAGATATGTATGAGGCAAATTTACAACAAGGGCTTCAGTGCTGTACGATCATGTGAGAGGCGGGGAAGCAGTGGAGGAATAAGTGAGGTAAAGCCCAGTTCTCGGCCACCAGATAAGACCTGGGGCGGTGGCCAAACCTCATGCGCTATAGCCAGACACCTCCGTCTTGGACTGGCAGACCCTCCCCTCTTTGACCTCAGCAAGTCTGCAAGGTCCTAGTCTATCAGAGTGAATTGTTCATAGAAGCTGCTTGACCTGGGGGTGGGGGGTGGGAAGAGTAAGCAGGCCCCTTCTAGAATGAAGATCAAAGTAGACTGTGAATTGGGGTCTGTCTGCCAAGACACACTAGGAACAGCATCCAGCTATGCCAGGGTTCTGGGAGTGGAGGTGGGGCCCACCTGACAAAGCAAGTGAGACGGTGGCACTCCAGGCAACCACTCCCCTCAGGGGATCTTCCTGGTCCTGCTTTCTCCCCAGGCTTTTCCTGGAGAGTCCCTCCTCTCTCGGCTGTAGTCAGCATACAAGGGTTCAGGCTCACTAACCCCCTGGGACATACACCCAGGGAGAGGGTCTGGCCCCAGGATCGGCACTGTCTTCTTGGCCCTCAAGGCCACCATGGCCTCACTCCAGCCTCTGTCTCCTACCTGTATGCATGGGACTAGCTTGATTATCCTCTGGCCTTACTCAGATACATCTAGCTTCTTCCAGATCTTTCCAGATTAGATTCCCAGGCCTGTCAGCTCCCAGATGGCAGGACATAATAAAACCAGAGGATGAAGGCAGTATGGAGGTTCCCATTGGCCAAGAGAACAATCAAGACTGTCCCTCCTTCTGGCTGGTATCTGTATCCCCATAGCCTCTGGGGCTAAGAGACTGCAGGGTGTTTGCTGCCCCACGCGGAATACTCAGAAATAATACTAAAAACTTCCATTTACTGTTTACCATATGCCAGAAACCATGCTGAAACTTGTTTAGATGTTTTTACTATTTTCCCCATTTTATTCCTTTCTACAATTCCGTACGGTAAACAGCATTATTATCCCCCATTTAACAGTTGAGGGAAATAGAGTCGAGATGGTAAGTTATCTTCCAGGGTTTAAACCTGGGCTCATTTGATTCCAAAGCTTGTCTTCATAACCCTGCTGAATGATGGTTTCTATATCTTCCTTTCCATACCCACCCAGAAGTGCTGACAGTGAGACAGTGGTGTTGTGTCATTGGCAACCCAGAGACCTTGAGCGAGGGGCGAAATGAAGGAGTTGTTCCCAGGCTGCCAAATCTGCATGAAGAATGAAGAGGCTGTATTCTGTCTAGCAGGACAACATGGACAAATACGATCAACACTACTGAGTCTTTGAAGCCCAACATGGTCTTCCTGTGACACTCCTGCCTCTGGGATGTACAATCCCGGTGACTCCTTGCACCGAGGCTGCTGTGTCTTCTGTTGTGTGGCATCTCCATTTGACTCACAATTAACAGGACCAGTGACTGATTTCCTGAGCCCCAAATAGCCATCAAAGAGCTAGCTGCAGGCCTATGAGGCAGCCTAGCACAGAAGCTCTGCGTAGCTGGATCTAGTAATTTTAAAGAATGACCAGTGGCCCTGTCCAGCCACTGGACAATGGAGGGGTTGAATGTAGGAGATCCTAAGAAGATGATAAGTGAGGCGCAGGGGAGCAGAAATGATGAATAGGAAGAAGGGCGTTGTCAGTGAGTGAACTGTAGACGTGGACATGAAGTCACTGTTAGAAACACAGCAGAAGTGGGGCAAAGAGGATGGCAGGCTGGAGCTGTCCAGGATGTCTTGAACCACGCTGCCTCCTCCAGAGCCTGCCTGTGTGGCTTCTCATTGTGTGATTGTGGGCCTTCATCAGCCTTCAAAAAATCCCAACCACCTGTGGTCACCTGCATAGGTTTGGTTCCTTGCTCCCTGAGAACACGTACATAACCCAGTAGAGAAAGACCAATTCCCTTCCTGGGCTGGAGTCCAGTCCCCTGTGAGACTCTCACAGATTCTGCTTTTCTTTCATGCCATGTACATGCTATTGCAACATGTTTTTATATGTGATCATTTAACAAACGTCAGTGTCTCCACTAGACTATAAGCTGTACAAGGTTAGGGCCGTGTCTGCTTTGCTCATCAGGTATCCCTAATACTGGGTATGAAGTTCAGCACAGAGTAGAAATTCAGAATGCACCTGGTGATGGGCTGAGTGAACACATGAATAAATGAACAGCAGAAAGAATTCAGGTCCATAAGGGCTCTGTGGATGGGAATTCTACCATGACCTGATGGGAATGGAATCACTGAGTTGTACATTTACTCCCTGCCTGACTGCAGCAATAAGACTAGATCATCCCACAAGCCAAAGGGGTGAAGAACAGGATGATGGAGGCAGGGTGGGGATACTAAATATATCCAGGACTTCAGAGATTTGGCAAGACACTACATCTGTCCCAGATATGGAAGAGACAATGGACATCTGCGAACTGGGAGTTCTGCAATGCAGGAGAAATCGGCCAGACCTGCATCTAAGAGCAGAATTTGGTGCAAGAATTGCTGATGAGTAAACTGCTAAGTATATGTGATCATCAAAACATCCAACTTTCATCCAGAGGCAGAAGTTCAACCATCATCCTTTCAGGTGAATTTATCAATTTAGAGAAAGGCTCTGCTATGTAAAATGTAGACGGAAAATAGGAAATCAGGAAAGAGAATCATTTACAACGTAAGCAACCAACAGGAAGCAGGGATACCATTTGTCCCTAAGACATCTTAGAAATCTGGGGAATGTGGGATCCCTGGGCTGAATGAACAGCCACCCAGGGAACAAAAGCCAGCTGGCTCTGATGGAAAAGCCACGTTAGGGACACTCTGTGTGGTGGGTTTGTCAGTGAGCAGGCCAGGCCCATAGCACCTACAGCTGAGGAAGGTGGGGCAGGGCAGATCTGCTGGGGCCGGGAAAGGCAGGTCCTGATAGATCCGCAGGGCAAGGGAAGGCGGATTCTAAGGAAGAATGGGGCAACTTTGCTCTCTAGCAAAGCCTGGCTCAGGGCTCGGCCTCTGACGCCCAGAATTCTGGGGCTGGAGAGAAATTACTCCCCCAGGGACTTCTGTGTAACCTGTCCTGCAGTGCCTGTCTGGCCCTGCTCTCATCTACTGCCAGGGCAGTGCCCTGTCCCATGTGCTCCTTGTCCACATAGCAGTCCTTCAGGTTGTTAAACTCATGAACATGTTCCCCCAAGTCTTCTTTTTTACAAATCAGAGACCCAGACAATAAAAGTGACTAAAAGTTAAATAGCAGTTCCTATGTGTCAGGCAGTGGCCCATGAGCTCTACAAACATTACACAAACTTTGCAGTACCATCCCTAATTTACAGATAGGAAAACCAAGGCACAGAGAGGCCAAGCAACTTGTTGGCGGTCACCCAGCTTATAAATGAGAGACCTGGCCTCGGAAAGTGGGGAACCAGGTTTTAACTACTACTCTATAATCTAAACAGAAATTTCACCTGTTTGTCATACTACCGAATTTCTCTTCTGGGTTGTCCTCCTGTAAATACTTCACTTTCTCAACATCTCTTAAAACCCAATTCTGCAGTTGTGATCTGAGCAGCAGAGTAGAACAAAGCTATCACCTCCCTCTTTTAAAACATTATACTTCTATTAATATAGCTCAAGATTACATTTCAAGAATAACATTATACTCTTGGCCCACAACGAAATTAATATTAACCAGAACCAGAGGTATTTTCCCAAAGTACTTTAGTTAAAGAGTAATTCCCCTTTGTTTGTACAGTTAGTGTGTTCAATTCAATGGCAAAATCATGATTAAGAATGTTTATTTTAACCCTTTGTCCTTAAGTTGCCTTCATGGAGAACACATTGTCCATAGACCTCTGGGTCTCCTCCACAGAGGCAAGATCCCAAACTAGGAAAGTTCACCTGGGCAGGGCTGGGCAGGGCAAGCTGATAAAATAGTGTCCTGGAATCATAAGACCCCAGTAAAAATACCGGCTCGGCCACATAGCGCCTGTGGGAATTTGAACAAATTTCCTAACCTTGTGAATGTTCGGTATTCCCCTTTATAAAATGGGAATAATAATAACAACCCCAGAGCCACATGAGGATAAAATTAAATAGGAAAGTGTATGTTAAGCATTTGTACAGAACCTGGCACACAGTAAGCGAGCAGGTGACGGCTCGTGAATCTTTCGCTCATGGTTAGCAACTCTGGGATGGTCCAGCAGTCATGGCCTACCTGCTCCTGCTGGAGCCATCTCCCTCCTCCTCCAGGGCCAGCTACAGAATTTGTGGGGCCCAGTGCAAAAGGAAAATGCAGTGCCCTGTTTAAAAATTATTGTTATGAACTTTAGTATAGTGACAGCAGAGCCTTAAACCAATCACAGAGCCTTTCTTCTTCCAGGATCCTGTGCAACAGGCTGTACACTGTCTTGTTTTCCTAATACTAATATTGTCACTGTAACAAATTATTACAAACTTGGTGGCTTACAACAACACAAATTTATCATCTCATCATGCTGGAGGTCAGAAGTCCAACACAGTTCTCGCTGGGCTGGAATCGGGGTGTGCAGCACTGCATTACTTTCTCAGGAAGACCTATTTTCTTGCTTTTTCCAGCAACTTGAGGCTGCTCACGTTCCTTCCCTCATAACTGTCTCCTATCTTCAAAGCCATCAGTGGCCGATGAAGTCTTTCTCACATTGTCATCTCTCAGGTTGATCTTTTGCCTCCCTCTTCCACTTTTAAGTGCCCTTGGGGTTAGATTGGGCCCAGCCAATGAATCCAGGAAAACTTCCTTAGTTTAAAGCCATCTGATCAGCAATCTTCGTTCCATCGGCAACCATAGATCCCCCTTGCTATGTAACATTACATACTCATAGGTATGGGGGATTAGGATGTGGACCTCTTTGGGAGGCCATTATTCTGTCTACCCATGAAACCAGGACCCCCAAAGTTCAAAGATGCCAGATGTCTCTCTAGAGTCTGGACTGTTAAAACAATCTTGCCCACCGAACACTCAGAGCCCCATGAAATGGTCCCTAACCTGCTCCCAGGAAGACCAGTGCCCCTGGCTCTGGGCTATATTCTTCCTCTGCTACTATCCTGTCCTGCTTCTTATCACTTTGGTGCTCACAAAGGATTACCTCCAGCTCCAGACCCAGGGCTCTGTTGTGAGCCTGTGTGTGGATCTGTCCCAATTATTCCCACCTAGGGCTGCAGAACATATTCTGACCACCTTTGCCAACGCCTCCTGTCCTAGCCCCACGCCCTAACCCACCTGTCAAACCCAAGAGCCAGTCCATCCTAACCCCTGGGAGGGAGGGACATGGGCCTCAGGGGACACTGGTGAGAAGGGCAAAGTCATTACTGATAAGGCTCAGGAGCCTCTGAAGATCTGCTGGCAAGAGGCAGGAGGCAGTGCGTGCCAGAGGCTCTGCCTTGAGCTGCCTTGGAGGGAGGCCATAGAGTTGCCATGGAAACACAACCCTGGAGCTTGAGACCAGAGCCCCCACTTCTATCCACACCCACGATCCCTTAGACTTTCCTGTGCCCCTTGTTTGGAAACAGCCACTTCTTGCAGAAAAGAATGTGACATGAGTCTGAGGCCGAAGCCGCAGAACTGGAGAGCACACATGTTCCACCTGCCTGGCCCGGCTGGGGTGAGAAGCCCACCTTCCCAAATCACCTCACACTGGCTGGCTCACTTCAACCCTGCGCCATCCTCCTTCTCCACAACTCACACCCATCTTTTCAGTGACCTCCCAAAAGATGTCCCCTCCTCCTACCTCTCCACCCCTTGGGCAAAGGACTTCTTCAGTCGCTTTCTCACATCTCCATTTTTCAAAAAGAAATGATGTTTCACTTACACACAGTAAAATGCACAGAGCTTCAGTGTATAGTTCAATGAGTTTTGGCATGTGTACGCCTCTGTAGTCCACACCCCAATTGAGACTTGATGTTTCCTTTTCCTCTTCTTGCCCCTCCTAGATTATTTTGGAGCCTACCAATAAGGAGAAAGAGGGTGGACACCGAGAGGCAGGAGGAAGCACACAGAGAGAGCCATAGGACATCTGGAGCCTGCGGCTGGGGCCATGGGGGATGGAGCCGGGTCCAGCCAGGCTGGGATGAAGACTTTCTGCCCTTCAACCCTGAGACTAGGTATCTTCCCAGACCAGGAAGGAAGCAAGTGAACCCCTGCCCAGTCCTGGCCAAGGCCCCACATGGATGAGGTCCAGGAGGCTTCACCAGAGGAGTCTGAAGTGTCCTGCCTCCCCCAGTTCTTCCCACCTGGATGGCTGAGGGGTCTGCCCTACTGCTGCTACAAAACTGCAAGGAGGATGAATGGCATTTTGATTTCCCCAGGAGCCAAGGGGCCTGGATCCTTGAGGAAGTTGGTCCCCTCTTTGTGCAGATGAGGTTGGAAAAACTGGCACACTTCCTATGCCTATTACATATTCATAGGTGTGGGGGATTAGGATGTGGACATCTTTGGGAGGCCATTATTCTGCCTATCCATGAAGCCAGGACCCCCCAAAGTTCAAAGATCCCAGATGTCTCTCTAGAGTCTGGACTGTTAAAACAACTCTCCCCAGGGAAGCCGGCACAGGGAGGTGCCTTGCAGATGCCACCCTCCAGGCCCCGCCTCCCTGCCACAGAGAGGTGCCTTGCAGATGCCACCCTCCAGGCCCCGCCTCCCTGCCACAGAGAGGTGCCTTGCAGATGCCACCCTCCAGGCCCTGCCTCCCTGCCACAGAGGCACCAGAGGGACAGTGCTTCTGTGACCATCACATCCAGGCCACTGCCTTACTAAAAGCCTGCGAGGACAAGTCCTCCCCGCCACGGAGCCTGGGAAATGGTCAGCAGACTCGCCCTCCCACCAACCTCTGTCTGGGTTCCCATCTCAGTGTAAACTCCAGGAGATATCCGTCCGACGCTTTGTTGGGTGCCGGGCACATCATGAGTGCTCAGTAAATGTTGGCTGGATAAAAAAATAAACGAGGCCTAGCAACTGGCTGGACCGATGTTTTTCCTTCTAGTTGTGTCCTGTCTTGTCTATAAGGCACTGGCACAGCATGGTCCTATCTCAGCCACATGACAAGCTGGGTCAGATTACATCTTTCAGTACCAAGAAAAAAAGGAGACAAAGTAAGTGACTAGCTAGAGGTGAGAGAAAGGAGGGTGGGCAGGATTCTGAACACTCACTTTCTGATCTAGGAATGAAGCCAAGAATAACATCAGGGTTAGAATTTGGAAGAAAAGAGCCAAGAATACCAAGAGCAAAGTGTGGAATACAAGCAGCAGGAACAGAAGTCCCGAAGAGCAAACTGGAATTCACAAGAGGCACAGGGGCTCCGGCTATGGCAAGAGCCACACAGCATGAATCTTCCAGAGACTGCAGTGACTGTGGGCTTCCTCTCCACATGCTGACCCACATCCTCTCAGTCCAAATCCCAACATTAGCCAGAGCCCAGGCATCATTCTGAGCCTTGGCAACAAGCCTTGGTTTCATGTGCACTAAAACAGTTTTTTCCAACATGTAGACGCCGACCTTCCTCCCTCCAAAACTGATCAGCAAATGCTCAGTGCTATATTGTTAAAGCGGGCCTGCCACTCCCATTAGAGTGACACAAATAGATGCCTCAAGGCAGTGTGAGGACAGTGGTTACATGCACAAATTCTATTGCCAGACCACCTGCCCCAGCTCTGCCACTAGTGACCTTGGGCAGGAGATATCATCTCCCCATGCCTCAGTTTCCTCTTCTGTAAGATGAAGGCTAATCATAGGACCTACCTCAGAAGGTTTTACTGTGAAGACTCAAGGAGTTCTTATAAATTAAGTGACAAACATATGCCTGAAAACATGGCTTATCCTATATAAATGTTTGCCAGTGTCGTTTGAAATAGGATGAGAGTAAAATTTTGAAAAGATGTTTCCAAAATGAATTAAGAAGGATGAGCCAAGCAATGGCCTTGTTACAAGGCAGGGATGTTTTTATGGAAATTAACAGACAAAAGGAGGCACTGTTTTACCTAAGCACATACTTGTTTTGTGTGGTCCACCAACAGCTCTCCAATCTTGGGCGTGCGTCTGGCACGTGAGCTGAAATAGAGCTAGACGGAGCCTTCCAAGTACATGTGCAAAGAGAACCCTCCACTGTTAAAGCCACTTTCACAGAGCCCTCCCTGAGGAGTGAGGAGGCTCTGCTCTGCCTTTTATCAGAGATTCTGTTTTTCTGTCTGGAAAAAGGGGCTGACAGAAGTTGCTTGGTGCCACGGGGGAGGTGTGGAAGCTCCACAGACTGTAAAGTTCTGTGCAGAGGGAAGGTCTCTCTGTAAGGACGATTGCTCCTCTCCAGCAGCTCAGAAGAAAACTGTAGAATTCTGCCCACCTAAAGTCCTTCAGAGTTCCTCCCTCTCTCAGGCAAATTCCTCCCACAGGTGAGAGTGGGTGGGGCGCTTCTCTCAGTCAAAGATCAAGGGCTCCCACATGCGCTCTCATTGTGCAGCATTGTGCACAGTCAAATAAACAATGGTGGGCCGATGTCAAAGCCACGATCCGGCATCTGAGACATGGGCTCAAGGCTCAGCTCAGTTGCTTATCTGACTGTGTGACCTCAGACAACACTCTTTCCGCTCTTCAGTTTCCTCAACTCAAACCGGAAGAATCTACCATTGCCTGGCGTACCTTCACTGCCCTGTTAATGTGGTCCAAATGGGAAGGGCATTATCGGCACGTCCAGCACTATGGGAATCCCAGTTGTTGTTATAACCAGGTTATAATCTGTAAAATCCACCCTTTCCTTGGCTTCCTTTCCATTTTCCCTTTAATTTTGAACAAATATGGATTGAGCTGTGCCTGTGTTTTGTAACAGATTGACTGAAAAGTCCATGGCTCTTCTTCTGGCCAAGGTCATGGCCAAGTCCCCTGCAGGAACTAGAGGGCCCTATTCCTGATGATCTCTTCTCCAGAGCCCCTGTGTGCTGCCCCCACCAGACCAGCTCCTCTCCAGACCCAGGAGTGGTCTCTGCAGCTCCTCTGTGGACTGAGGCCCCATGACACTTAGCTGAGGTCACTTTCAGGATATTTCCAGAATCCAACCCCATCTCAGCACCTCCCCTGCTGCCATCATGGTCCAGGCCACCACTGCCTCTCACCTGGAAGCCTCTTAATTGGTCTCCATGCTCCCAGCCTTGCCCCCTCGGTCTGTTCTCAGTATAGCAGCCACAGGCACCTTTGCAAGTGACAATTAGCATATTGCTAATCTGCTCAAGCCCTTCCCATGGATCTCTGTCTCACAGAGTAAATGCTGCACTCCTTGCAAAAGCCTATGAAGCCCTTCTCCTGGGATTCACCTTGACTGCACATCGGAATCACCCAGGAGCTCTAAACAATACTGAAGCTGAGTGCTGCCCCAGAAACACTTATCTAATTGGTCTGGGGTGTGGCCTTGGCATCAGGATTGTTTTTTAAGGCTCCCGTGATGTGTAGAATGGGCAGCAAGGTTGAGAACCACGGCCCTAATGATCTGCTTCCTGTTGCTCCTCTGGCCTCATCTCCAACTACTGCCCCCTTACACACCCCATTCCAGCCACAGGGGCCTCCTTCCTCTTCCTCAAACATGACGTGCCATGCGTGCTTCTGCCTCAGGGCCTTTGCACTTGCCACTTCCTCTGCCTGAAAGGTACTCCCCCCATCCTCCAACAGTACCCTCATGGCTTGCTTCCTCTTCTCCTCCAGGTCTTTGCTCAAATGTTACCTCTTACTGAGGTCTTCTCTGACCACGCAGGAAAAATTGCAGCTCCCCACTCTTGTCCCAGGTGTCTCTCTCTCTCTCCGACTTTATATTTCTCCATAGCACTCACCACCACCTAACATACTGCATATTTGACTTCTTTGTTTTGTTTACTCTCTGCCTCCACCCAACTAGAATGCCAGCTCTGTGAAGCAGGGGTTTCTGTATGTTTTGTTCACTGCTTTGTCCCTTGTATTAGTCCATTCTCATGCTGCTATGAAGAAATACCTGTGACTGGGTAATTTATAAAGGAAGGAGGTTCAATTGACTCACAGTTCTGCATGGCTGGGGAGGCCTCAGGAAACTTACAATCATGGTGGAAGGCACCTCCTCACAGGGTGGCAGGAGAGAGAATGAGAGCCAGCAGGGAAAATGCCAGACGCTTATAAAACCATCAGATCTCATGAGAACTTACTCACTATCAGGAGAACAGTATGGGGGAAACCACCCCCATGATTCAGTTACCTCCTACCTGGTCCCTCCCACAATATGTGGGGATTATGGGAACTACAATTCAAGATGAGACTTGGGTGGAGACACAGCCAAACCGTATCATCCCTGTGTCTAGACTATGCTGGCACAGAAGTGCTTAATAAATGACCTGCAAGTGAAAGCACATTCTTCTCTCCCTTTGGACATCCTCAGCTGCTCTTTCATCCTAGCCGAGCCAGGTTCTCCCTGAGCCACAAATAACCATACCCAATTATACAGTATACAGCAGGTGTTCAATGAATGTCTGTGGAGCTGAACTGAATCTTCTCCCTAAAAGAACACGGCCTCCAAACCCAGCAGCAAGATCTTTCTCAAAGACTCCAGATATAAGCTCACTGTGGTTTGCAGCTTTTAAAAAAATGTAAAAATGAGGAGAAAAGGGGGAAAACACTGTGGGGGGGAGCTCACAAAAATTAATGAGATTTTCTCAGCTGAGGTACATGCCCACATTTTCAATAATTGGGAGTAGTAAGAATTCTCACTGAACCTTAAAGGAACATCCTTCTGTAACAAAGAGAGAAGTCAAGACAGACTTCTCTGTCAGATGTAACGACTTGTTAGCCCCACAAGATAGATGTACTTTAAAAACTAATTTACAGAAAAAAGATTATGCATAAAATGCAACTAATTGGGTTAAAATGACGTATTAACAGGAATGTGAGATGATTGTAGTGTCCTTAACGAGTAAATTAAGTTGTTAATCCTCAAAATCTCTACTGGAAGAAAGCTTTGCCCCTACTCAGCTAATGGAGAAACTGAGGCTGAGGGAAGAGGAGAGTGACTTGCTGAACGCAAGCCGAGGGGACAGGCCCTGGCTGAAGCAGGAAAGGGACCCAAGAATCCAGGCGCCCAGTCCTGCTCTGTTCCCAGCACTCTGGGGACCCCATCTCCCCATAGGCAGGTCGACAAGGGCCCAGTCACTGACTCTGCTCACCCACTGGGTCTGAGGTCAGGCAGGGGCCGGTCCAGGGGCAGGCGGTCGCTGAGGTAGGCGTTGTAGCCGTAGTACTGGAATTGCTTCAGGGCCACGCGCCGGCCTTCGGGGCTGAGCTCCTGGCCCCAGTGTGCAAACAGAGAGGAGTCTGTGAAGGGCTCGGCCTCTGCCTCCTCAGGCTTGGCAGGAGCCTCTGGAGAAAGAAGGAACAGGAGACAGTGGGTCAGAGTGCACCCCTGCATGTGCCATGACAATCCCTTTCCCTTCCTCACAAACAGCCTTTGGTAAAACAATCTTAGCCCCTTCTTTCGGGGTCAGTGCTGACTTGGGTTTTCATGCTTCCCAAAGACCCATTCATCCATGAATCCATCCATTCATCTAACCCACAACCACCAGGCACAGGAGTTAGAGAAATACACCTGACAGGGTCTGCTGAGAAGCTAATGGATGTGACATTGATGCCCCATGGCTTCAAGTCAGGACCCCCTTTTTCCCCAGTCTGCCTCCCTGCCAGAGATGTTGGCCCCAGCCCTCAAACTGGGCATCTGCTTCTCTGTCCCTAGCCTGTACCCCCATTTCCTGCAATTCCCAAGCCCACCCCACATTGAGGCACCCAAGCTGGGAGTCTACTCCTCCACCCAGTTCTTGCCAGCCCTTCTCCCTCTTCACTGTCTGGTCCTCCAGTGAGTTGCCTGGTGCACCATGTGACATTCACCTGGCTGTCAGCACCCCGGCCAGACTGCCTCCTGCTGCTTCCAGACACTGCCCACCAGAATAGCAAATCCATGACACAGGTGACAGCCAAGCCACACCCAGCCTGCCCTGCGCTCTGGGCCCTGCTCATGGGAGCCCTTGTGGACTTGGTGGAGGCAGCTCAAGGCCAGCACATGGTTTCCCAGGAACTTCCCAGAAAAATGGAGGGGAATCACTAACTGTGAGAGCAGAGGCTTTGAAGTCACACAGTCGTGGATTCCAGTCAGTGCTCCACCACGTCCTGGCTACATGACCATAGCACAGTCAACCTCCCAAGGCCAAAATTCCCCAACCTAGAATGCAGAGATAATAATACCCAACCAGCCTCCAGAGATTGTGAGGATTCCATTAAATAAAGTGTATAAAGCATTTAGATCAGTTTATGTCTCAGAACAAGTGCACAGCCAATGGCAATTAGGGTTATTATAGCAAGGGAAGGTTATTGAAATCTCTCTTTGATGGGGGCTAAAAGATAGATCTTGCCAGGACATGGGCTGATAGTCCAGGACTTTGGAATTACTTCCCTGGGACAGGCCATCAGGTGAATCATTTGAGGTCAGAAATCAGAGAAATTGGACAGAACTGGCAAGCCCACTGGACAGGGTCGTCTATGCTCACAAATTCATGAGGGAAGTAAGAGATGGAGCCAGGAGCCTGGAATGAGACAGTGATCAGAAAAAACAGAAGCAGGTCAGGGACAGGAGAGGCAGGCTTGGGACACCTGCCCACATCCCCTTGTTGGCCTGTATGGAGTCAATGGGTGTATGACACACCTAGGTACAGGCTGGAGATGAGTAAGGAGCTAGGGTTCTGAAGTCTTCAAGGCTGGAGTGCTGGGGCTATGGACTGCCACCTCCTCATGCGATGCTCTCCTAAAAGCCCATCTGAGAGAGAGGAGACTGCCTGGGAACAAAAGAGGGAGGCTTCCAAAACATAGGCTCCCCCTACCATGGAAGGGGTGCTCCAGTGGCAGGAAGCCTCCATCACCAGAAGCAGGCAGAGGCTATCAAGAGTAGAAGGGGACTTAGCAAGCTCACGATCCTGAAAGCAGAGATGCCAGAGACCTCAGTGTGAGAGATGCAAAAAGATCTGTCAACAAACTCCCAGGTGCCGAACTCACTGGGTGCACATGCATTAAGGTACCTCTCCGGGCCACGTCCTCCAAATGGGACACCCCTGTAACTCTTGGGATAACCATCAGAGCTAACACTTGATGAGTGCTCACTCCTACCACGAGCCAGGCTCTGTCCTAAGCATTTTCTCTTATCAACTCATCTCACCCTATAAGGTAGGAATTGTTGTCATCTTCATTTTATATATAAAGAAAGTGAGGCATAGAGAGAATAAAAAACTTGTCCAGGTTCACACAGAAGAAAGTGCAGTAGCTGGATTTCAGTCCTGGGAAGGCTCTCCCCAGGCAGTGGTCCTCCCACTATGCTATACAGCCTCTATAAGGCAATGAGCTGCTAAAGTACGTGAAGTACAAAGACAAACATGGCATACCATCTCGGTGACTGATTTTCCTTAAAGACATAAAAGCAAAGTCGGAAAATTTAAACAGATTAGGATATACTGAAGAATAAAATGCAAACTATGCAAACTCTTCTAAGACACAGCATTGTCAGGATTGCAGTGGCTTGCCCAAATCTCCATCTCAGAACTTGCTCATTCTTCTCCCCTACTAGGCATGCTTGAAGGGTAGCACAAGCATGCATGATCTTGAAGGTCCTTGTTATCTCTAAAAAGATGTATGACTCATTCGTTTGGAATGGGGGGTAGTAAAAATCTAAATCAGTGAACCAACTGAATCATATAATATTTAAAAGAAATGTAGTTTTATTGCTCTCGAATACCTAAGTGGATATTACTAAGTAAAATGAGATCAGTTAATGGAAAATTATGATCCAAAATTAGGCCTGCATTGCATAATAATATATTATAAACATATTAAAGTCCTGGTGACACCACATGGTCCTACCTTTTCACTCAGTATGGGCACGAAGGATGACAAACTCAAAGCCAGTGAGTCCTGAAAGATGAGGTGGAGGGCCTACAGCAGGAAAGGTGTAATATTTGTTGAATTTCTGCCAAGAGTCAAGCACTGCGATAGGTCATTTCCTTATCGAATGTTGCCTCTCTTCCTCCTCACTGGTGCAACTCCACAGAGCAGGACCACATCTGACTTGACCCCTGCTGGACTGCCAGCTCCTAGCACAGTAACTGCTTCTTACAAGGGACTCAATCGATCATTTCAAAATACATCAGTTAATAAGTAACCCATAGTGGTTAGACAAGATGAAACCAAAAGTGAAAAGGTTAAATGTCTAATCCAAGGCCACCCAGTGTGTCAGTGACATCGAATAAAGGCCTGGCTCCTCCAAACTCCACATTCTTTTCTCTACACCAGGGGTGGCAAACCATGGTCCAAGGGCCACTACTTGTCTTTGTAAATAAAGTTTTATTAGAACACAGTCACATCCACTTGTTAACATATTCTCTTTGGAGCTGAAGAGCAGAGTTGAGTATGTATGACAGAGATGATATGACCCGAGAATCTGAAAACACTATCTGATTCTTTAAAAACAAAAAAAAGTGTGCCACCCCCAACATTTTCCCGAGCCCTGTCTGCCCTGTACCTTAGAGTTGACTCTCCTGAGGTAAGGAGGCCTTGCCTCTCTGAACTCTATTTAATTTTCTTTACTTCCAAAGAATTGGTTAAGAACACTGGCTGTGGAGTCAGAATCCTAGGGTTTATCCTCCAGCTCTACCATTTGCCAGTTTGGTCCACCTCACCCTGAGCCTCAGTTTCCTCTTCTGGAAAATGGGGTTGATAACAATAGTGCCTTCTTCATAGAACATGTGTGAGGATAAATGAGATGGTCAGGTAAGGAGCTTGGCACGGTGCCTGGCACATAGTAAGCTCTCCATAAACACTGCTGAAGCCCGCACAAAGCCCACAGCCCTATCGGGCCGCCGGAGTTGGGACAGGAAGGTGACCTTGCCAAGGTCCCCAGCTCTAGAAGATGCTGACGCCTTCCAGCCCCACATGAAGGCTTTCCATGTCCATAGACAAGTGGTCTATGCTTAACCAGACCTGGACTCCACTCCCGTCTCCAGTGAGAAAGCAGGCCTACATGGTCATCCAGCAAAGGGGACCACCTTTGACATAAGGGGGACAGGCAAAGAGGCCTCAGAGAAGTGTCTGGGCTGGGTCTTCTACAGGGGTCCTGGGGTGTTTGGCATATCTGGTGATACCCAGACCCTCTGATGTCTGGCATCTAGGGATGAGGCACCTTCCAGGATTGGACTCTGGCTGAAGCCCCTGCAGGCATTCAGACCTACCTGGGCATGTCTGACCAACTGATGAGGTGACTTAAGAGAAGCACATCTCCAGGGGCTGAGGACTCCCCAGGAGGGCCCATTCGAGGCAGAGATTGAGCAGGGCACAATGAACTCTGTGAGCTGCAAAGCCAGAGAGTGTGAAGGGGAGTATTTGGAGGATTCTGAGCACAACACAGAGGCTGTTACTCGCCCCCTGCCCTCACCCAGCCCTGAGTGCTTGTCTGGGTCCCAGGGAGAAATAGGATGAAAGGGAAAGTGAAGGGGCTGCTTCACCAGACAGCCATGCTTGGGGACCAAGCGGTGCTTGAGTCAGGGAAGGTGGAAGGAAAGGGATGATGTGATTAGGGCAGGTTGGGGAGCCCCAAGTACGGCCTGAGGAGACCCCTGGGCCAGGGGAAACATTACCATGCCACGTCCTTCTCTGATCAGAACCCTCCAAGGGCCTTCCGCCACCTTCTTGTTAAACACCTGCAAGGCCCAGCACTCACCTCCCATCTCTGCCCCTGGTTTTCTCCTCTCCAGCCACACCGGCCACTCATCAGACTCACCAGGCACATCTCACCTGAGTGCCTCAGCTCCAGCATTTCCCTGCACATCCTCCTGGTCAGTTCCCTCACTTCTATGTCTTTACTCAAAAGTCACTTTCTCAGCAAACCCTATCCTAAACATCCAGCCCTCTCCCCAGTTTTTACATATATAGTCTCTGATATGGTTTGGCTACGTCCCCACCCAAATCTCATGTTGAATTGTAGCTCCTATAATTCCCATGTGTTGTGGGAGGGACCCGGTGGAGGTAACTGAATCATGGGGGCAAGTCTTTCCCATGCTGTTCTCACGATAGTGAATAACCCTCAAGAGATCTGACGGTTTTATAAAGGGGAGCTTCCCTGCACACGCTCTCTTCCCTGCCACCACGTAAGGTGTGCTTTTGCTCCTCTTTCACCTTCCACCATGATTGTGAGGCCTCCCAGTCATGTGGAACTGTGAGTCCATTAAGCCTTCTTTTCTTTATAAATTACCCAGTCTCACTTACGTCTTTCTTAGCAGCATGAGAACAGACTAATATAGTCTCCATTCATTTTGCTTGTTGTTTGTTTCCCTGACTGGAACGTGGCTCTGTGAGGTCAGGCATTTGCTTTGTTCTCTGTTGAGTCCCTCAGACTCAGAACAGCATCTGGCGCCTAGTAGGTGCTTAACCAATACCAGTAAAATGAACGAATAGGGCATTAGCAGTGGGTCGTCGTGAGGTCAGAAAACTCCCTGCCTACTAGAGATTCCCCAAATCTTTCAGAGGGAGTAGAAAGGGGGCTGCAGTCCTGTGCCAGCAGGTAGGAGCACAAAGCCAGTGAAGGCATGGCCGGGGCAAATTCCAGCTGTGTGCAGTTAATTCCTCCCCAGTTCACTTAAGCAAATGATTGTGCACAGTTACGCAGACTGGCACGGCATGTTTAAGAGCTTCTCAGGTAGTTCCACAAAATACGGTCAGTGGTAAGCAATCTCCACTGCTCTCCCAGGACTCCTCTGTAAATCTCTTATACCAGAGAATTACCAGGCTTCTCTCCCAAGTATCCAGAATAGGACTGTGCATGGAGTAATTACCCCCAAAATATAGGGAGAAGGAAGATAAGGAGGGAGGCAGGGAGAGAAGGAGGCTGTGTCTTCTTCTTGCCTCTCTCTCTCTCTCTCTTTCAAATCTCACCAAGTAAGGCTCAGAATCAAAAAGATTCCACTGAAGGGTCCAAACATCCCTCTTCCCAGAAACCCAGGCACAAAGGGCAATGAGGTGGGAAGACCCAGAGACTCTAGAAAACTGGCCTAAGATGCCCTCAGGAAGTGTCCAGCTCAAACCACAGAACCACAGAGAGCCAGAGAGTCAGGCCAGGAGTGCTCTTCCTTCCTTGAAACCCAGCCTGCGGTGTCCTCAAAGCTCTGGCAGACACGTTGATACCCATCTTCCCTCCTGAGTCTCCTCAGTCTCCAAGGTGCTCATTACAGAAATCCTCACCATCAAGCCCTGAGGGGAGGATTCCCTCCAGAGGACACTAATCACTCCACCCTTGAAGAGAAAGGTACAGTTGATGGGTCTGTGCAAAGCATGACATTTCTGACATTAACAGGCAAACAGGCTGACTCCTTCCTCATTGTTGACATTGAAATTCTCCCTGAGGGAACCAGCAAGCAGTCATTCCTGCCCATCCCCAGGGTGCGGGGAGCTGCAGCTTGGCCAGCCCTATTCAGAGATGCTCCCTGATAGCTGTGCTTCCTTTGTTTGCTGGGCCTTGGAGCTCACTGTCAGCTTTGCCCACAAAGGGTGTTAATCCCTTTTATCATCTAAGCAACAAATATTTCAGCAAGTTTGTTCTATGCCAAGCTTATTGCTTGGGTATTGAAATATTAAGATTACTCAGATGTGTTCCCTATCCTCATATAGCATCCAACTTAGTGGGAAGAGCAAATATATAGAGAATGTAAACAATGCTCTGATCAAGGGTATATAAGATGCCATTGGGTCCCTGTAGGTGAGGGGAAATGGGGCAGAGGGAAGGCTTCCTAAAGGAAAGGATGCTTGAAGTGAGGGGAAATGGGGCAGAGGGAAGGCTTCCTAAAGGAAAAGATGCTTGAATTGAAGAATAAGTGCAATCCTCAAGCTCACTCCAGGGAAGTACACCCCAAAGTAGAGGCCAAGAAGAACCAGGATGCAGGAGGAGGAAAGAGCACTCTGTGGGGCTCAAAGCTGCTAGACAGGTGGCTGTACAGATCGGAAACCAAGAAGCCAGACCCAGAGCATCCAGAGCCTCAGCAGGCTGGGGGTAGCCCATGGAATGGGGGCAGGAAGAACCACAGTGAAGACTGCGAGTCTGAAAGCCTTGGGATTAGCGTTATTATTTGGAAATAGTTTCTGAACCTACAAGCAAGTATCCCAAAGCTCAGCATGGTAAGCATCACAAAAAGGTACTCTCTAAAGTGGCACTGGGCACAGTGACTCATGCCTGTAAACTCAGCACTTTGGGAGGCCAAGGTGGGCATATTGCTTCAGGCCTGGAGTTTAAGACCAGCCTGGGTAACATGCAGAAACCCCATCTCTACTAAAAATACAAAAATTAGCCAAGCATGGTGGTGTACATCTGTAGCCCCAGCTACTCAGGAGGTTGAGGTAGGAGGATCACTTCAGCCCAGGAGGTCGAGGCTGCAGTGAGCTTTGCCACCACACTCCAGCCCAACAGAGCAAGACCCTGTCTCAAACAAAAGAAACAAACCACAGAGTGGCAAAGTGCATTATTTGGGGTCCAACTGCAGGCTGATCTTGGGTGTCTAAAAGCTTTATCCCTGGAGCTGATTCCCTAGTACAGTGTACCCCAATTCCATTGCACTGCACCTACCTCTCCTAGAATGTAGGTTTAATCAATCCCATCATAGATAAGAGAAAACTGCAGCTGGAGACATTAAGGGGCTTATTGCTGAGCTCACAGTCCTGACTGCAGCCCTACCTGCAAATTATGCACCAAGACTTGTTGTCTGACTTGAGGACTGGAGATACTTCAGTCCCCAGGAGGCTACTCACTTGGTCTGTACTGGTTCAAACTAGTTGTTAAACTATTGAAATACCTTCCTAGCGGTGGCAAACAGCTGCCGCCTAAAATACCTCCAGGGCCCCCCTGCAACCCCAGGTGCTCTGGCCCTTTTCTTGGAATGCTCCAGTTCTTTTCACCAATCAGCAACTCAAAGGCCCAGCCAAGAACCCCAAGATCCTGCTCTAGGCTGTGTTGAGCATTCCTGTCAGTTGGTTAGTACTGTCCCTTGACAGTTGTTTGCCAAGTATATTTTGACTACCAGTTGCTTGAGTCCTTCCTAGGTGGGCCCCTGTGAATGAGAGTGATGGGTTTCTAGAGACCCACTCACTCAGGTCATTTGCTTCCCCATGATCATGCCCAGTCCTTATTGTGCATGACTGTTTTTCAAAAAGTTCTACCAATGATCACATAGGGCACCTGGGAAATGCCATAATGTGGTCTCAGTGATATGCCCACAGTGCCTGACACACAGCCCATTGATAAGAGTGGAGCTTACAGATACATCCTGACAGGTCCATGCTAATTCATGGAGACAAGTGGGAAGTGGGGCAGGAAATAGCTTGCAAAGCTTTGAGCAATGAATGCAACAAAAGCCACAGCTCTGAGCGTTGTGCATGGGCTAATTGGCCAAGCAAGAGGAGCACATCTGGAGGCCCTGCCAAGGCTTTTGAGGCTCCTGAAGCCAGTGATGCTGAAAGTAGGAATTCCTGCATGAAGGGTTCTGCTTCAGTGGGCAGTCCACACAAAGCACTGGCCCCACTGGCTCGTGCTCCAAGATTGTGGTGGTACTGAGACTGCACAATGGAGTGGGGAGGAAACGGGCTTCAGAGTGAAAGGGGTATTGTAATGCTGCCCAGCCCTGTCTAGGTCTGACTGCCTCACCTTCTAGGACCAGATCCCTGCAGATCCCCTTCTGCTGAAGCTGAGTCATTTTGCCAGCTCTTGCCATCGCTGGAGATAGAAATTCTGAGGTGCTGGTGGTTTTTTGGAGGAACTGCAGGAGAGGCTGTAGCCTGGACCTCTTCCTAGGCAAGAATCTAGCACTCATATCTGCTCCTTGGATTGGAGGACAAGGGAATCAGAGGAGTCAAATGGCATGGTTGCTGTTGGAGGTCAAAGTGGTTTAGGGCTCCCCCCTCAAGGTTGGGCCGCAGGAATGGTCAAGTCCTACCGAAGGGTCAGACAGAGCCACCCAGAACGCAGCTCACCTGGCTGAGGACCCCTGGCCCGCTGCCCAAGCTAGTCTGTGCACTCTCTGGGAGCGGCAGCTCTGCTTCTTGTCCCTCGGTTTGTGCACCTAGGGATGTGCTCCCAGGAAACCACTGGAGCCTTCTTGTTTCTTGTGGTTTACTCAGTTTACTGTGTCCCTCTCTCAGGCAGAGGGGATCACTGAGAAGGCTTTGAGGGTGGGTGGGGAGTGGGGGCTAGCTTTTGTCCTGCAGCCAGTTCTGTAGCCACTGCTATTTCTCTTTCTGCCCTCAGGCCATGCTTATAGCAAAGCTCTGGTTGTTTGGTGATAAGATCCAGAACCCAGTGAGAGGAGGCAGGAGAAACTAGGTCAGGCAGGTTGGGGTGCCAGGTATCTGTCTGCCATGGGCCCCGAGACCCTGAGTCTGAAGTACACTTGGGGTGCAGACCCAGATGGTCCTGTCTCCTGGTCCTCCTCCCAGAGTGCACTGGGGACCCCTTCCCTCCCCGCTTCTGGGTCTGCTATTCGCTCTCTTTGGGAAAGACCCAGAGTCCCTTCAAGCCTTCACTTTCTTCACTTGTGAGATGGAAACCGACTGTCAGAGGTCACTGTGAAGTCAGCTTTGGGAAAGATGAAAGCTAAGCATCAAATAATGCAGCAAGCATTGCTGAATATCCCAGATAAGAATTCATAAAGAAGGTTTTCCTTTTCTTCCACTCCTCATTTTAAAAGCGGCTTTATTGAGGTATAATTTATATACCATAAAATTCACCCATTTTAAATGTACAATTCAATGATTTTTTTAAAAAAACTTTTCTTCCACTCCTGCAGTGCATTGTTGCATGCTTTATTTTGGGTTAAAAAGAAGAGGGCTAATTGAATGTTCAGAAATGTACATTTCTCTTGTCGGCTTTCAGTAAACTCCTGCCCGCTGACTTCCAATGATGAGAAGTCACCATTATTCCCATTAAAAAGCTTGATGCTTGGGCCTTGCCCGAGAAGCCCAGACCATGTTTGCAGAGCATCAAAGCCCAGTTCACCCGAGCACTGCTAATGAGGGCAGGACTCACACCACCATGCAGAGGGATCACATCATAAACAGCCGGAACAGCAGCGTTCAGCCTCAGCTGCCTTCAGCTTGCCATCTGCTGTGTCGCCTTCACGGCCTGTGGGCCTGACCTCCCCTGTCTTCCAAACACCCAGCCTTGAGATCCAAATCCCAGCCTTTGTGCCTGGTCCCAGCCAAAGCCAGGCACTGAGACCCGTGGAAAGCTGGCTGGTCTGGGAGACAGGAAGCCTTGGCCTAACCTCATCTCCAACACTGGGCAAACCCCCAGCTCCCTGGGCCCTGCTTGTCTTCTGTAAGATGGAGCCAGTGTTTGCGTTTTACTTGAGCGAGAAGGGGGACTTCGGCACATCATAGCGGTACTCTTCTTATATCCAGCAAAGCAAGATGTTATGCCTCTGCTTGTGATTAGGCTCCCAAAGGACAATTTTCAGATTTTTGAAAACATCCTTGAATATGTCAAGTGCCCTAATAATGGTAAGTAAATGCACTATTCTGTTGATGGAGGGCTTCCCTTCTTCTCTGTTTCTAGAGTTGCATTCAAACATGAGCCGAAGGTCTTTTGCCAATGGTCCCCACAATTAGGCTTTCTCTTCCTGGAATCCTCAGAGCTGCCAAAAGAACGAAGTGGAATCTGACAGCAAAGAGCTTGGAACCAATCAGGAGGAAGGAGCCCTGACAGTCTCAGGTCCAACACCATTAAAATCCTCTGTGCGAGGACTTTATTCAGCATGGCAAAGGAAATCTAGGATGGCTTCCTCTGACACCTGAACAGTGTTGCAGGGAAGAAGAGAGGCTTCTTCAGGGTGCCTCAGCCCAAAGTAGGGTGGGGTCTGCCATCCAAGAGATGTCCCACTGCAAGGCCAAGTGCAGACTCCATTAGGGGCTGAGCCCACCAGACTGAGGAGCTCTGGAGGCACCTCTGCCCTGGATTGGCTGTGTGACCCTCATCAAGCTCTTAAACCTCTCTGAAGCTCAGCTTGCTGTCGAATGTGGATAATAATGTCTATGTCTAAGCTTGTTGCAAAGATTAAGTGAGATGATGGACACCCCGAAAGTGCTTAGCAAACCATCAGATAGGTGGTAAAGTGTATTAATAGTTTCCTATGGTGCTCTAGCAAAAACCACAAACTTAGTAGCTTGACAATGCAGACATGCTATCTTACAGTTCTGAAAGTAAGAAGTCTGACAGGCATCTCACCGGGCTAAAATCAAGGTGTTGGTAGGGCCATTCTCCTTTCTGGAAGCTCTGGAGGAGAGATTCTGTTTCCATGCTCTTCCCAGTTTCCAGAGGCTGCCTGCATTCCTTGGCTTATGGCCTCTTCCTCCGTCTTCAAAGCCCACCACAGTGGGTCAAGTCCATCCCACATCGCAGCACTCTGACCTTCTCTTCAGCCCCTTCTGCCACATTCAAGGACCCCTACGGTTGCGTTAGGCACACCTGGGCAATACAGGCTACTCTCCCTCTTTAAAAGTCAGCTGAATTCACAACCTTAATTCCCTATGCAACCTTAGTTCCCTTTTGCCATGTAAGGTAACATATTCACAGGTTCCAGGGATTAGGATGTGTACATCTTTGAGGGGCCATTACTCTGCTACCATAGCAAGAGTCCAATCATTGTGTGGCTTTTCCCATCTATTAAAAAGAGATTCTAATACTTCACTCACAGGGTTATAGTGAGGCAAAATACCAATAGCTGACATTTGCAAAGAGCCTACCATGTCCAACACTACTCTGAGCAAAATGGCTCTGTCCACCCCAACACTCACTGAGTGTGAACACACCCCGTACAATCTGGGCAGGGCTGTCATCCAAGTTCTCCAAAGGTGCAGCGCACCTGAGGGCTGCAGGTGGCCATGAGCTGTGAAGGAGCCTTATCTCTGCCCACTCCTCCCTGACCTTGAAGCCCTTTTGGCCTTTCCTCCCTCGTACACTCACTAACAAGGTAGAAAGGAGAGCCCTAGCTGGTGCAAAGCAGGGACTGAGGCAGTCGCCCTCCTGCCTCCCTGTTTCTTCCTGACCCACACAGACGGAATCATTATAGTGTCCAACTGGCTTCCTGCTACTGTTCTTTGGACTTCGGTGTTGGTATTTGGCTACTCTTAAGTGTGGCTTTCAAAACTCCCTAAAGCTGCAGTTCTATTGTTAGTTTGTTGTTGCTTTTATTTGGGGAGGGGGGATTCAGAACCCTCTGAGAAAAAATGTTAAAATTGTTTTTCTTTATAAACTACCCAGTCTCAAGTATTCTTTTATAGCAATGCAAAACAGATTAAGACAGCCAGGGATACAGGAATTTGGCCCTGCACTCTGGGAGGTACTGGCAAGAGTTAGGGAAGGCAACTCCAGCTAGGTGGGCTAGGACTCAGGAAGGGTGGTGGGTCCCAGCAAAAGACCAGAGTCAGTTCAGTCCGGGCTGACATGGCAGACAAAGGACAGGAAGACATCTGACTCTGCAAGCTTAGTCCAGATACTACAGGATGATCTCTCTCCGTCAGAAAAATCCCACTCCACTCCTGACGGGCTGGCACTGCTGGGTCTTTCCTCCCCTGCAAGGGGGACTTCTGGGCCTGGGTGTGTCTGAGTGTGCGGCTAGGATGGCTGGTGCAGGTAGGAGCAGCAGGGCTCAGCATGTGCACACACACTCACAGAAGTGGAAATAGCCTTGATTAGAAATTATGCAGAATGAAAGCTGCTATTAAAGGGTCAAGTTTTTACACTCCATGCCAACTATATAAAGTACATGTGAAAAAACTCATTTTAGAGAGTGACAAATGTCTGTATCTTAGGAATCAGAATTTATATGTGCCATTACTTGCTACTTTAAAGCAACCTTTAAAGCTAGAATTCTGCCTAGGAGAGATATAATAAACTCTGAAGCACATACCGTTATCCCCCCCGCTCCCGCCCGCCACCGAGCTGACAGCCCGGAGCTGACACCCGGACTTCTAAATATACACTACACTGTTCACACATAAAACAGTGTTCCCAGTGTTTCCACACATCAATCTATTGGAATGAACAAGCCGGACCAACCCTGCTAATGTTAAAGAGGCATGCTTCCCTGACACAGACACACGGATGGGAACAGCTGGGCTAGACAGGGAGAAAGCAGTGTGGCCCTTGCCAGTAGGACAGCCTGCAGCCCAGAACAATGCCAGACGCCATGACTCCTTTCAAGGCTCTGCTACAAGAGTCCTTGCTTTGGGAAACCTGCAGCCTGAATGAAGCTGCAAAAATCATATGTACCTTTCATCTGTAATATTACTCTATCATGTGCTCCCCTGTCTCAAACAGCCTCTCCCAGGAAGCCTGCCTGTTTCCAGTTTCTTTCTTCTGGTCTTAAAGGGAAGCGGGGTGCTGTAGGAACAGCAGCAAGCATCAGACTTCACCCAGAGGGCAGTCAGATTACAGATCGTGGGGTCCCACCCCAGAGTTTCTCATTCAGCAGTCTGAGGGGAGGCCTGAGATCGTGCATTTCTAGCAAGTTATGAGAGGATGCTAAGGCTGCCGGTCCACGGTCCCCACTCTGAGAATCTCAGCTGTAGAGGAGGAACTTCCTAGTCTTGGCTCTCAGTACATTCAGTGTGTGGCTGTGGCAAAGTCTTTTCTTTTTTTTTTTTTTTCCTTTGCGATGGAGTCTTGCTCTGTCGCCCAGGCTGGAGTGCAGTGGCATGATCTCAGCTCACTGCAACCTCCACTTCCTGGGTCCAAGGGATCCTCCCACCTCAGCCTCCCTTGTAGCTGCGGTTACAGGCTCCTGCCACCACACCCGGCTAATTTTTTATTTATTTATTTTTTATTTTTTTAGTAGTGGTGGGGTTTCACCATGTTGGCCAGGCTGGTCTCGAACTCTTAACCTCAAGTGATCCACCCGCCTCAGCCTCCCAAAGTGCTGGGATTTCAGGCATAAGCCACCGCACCCGGCCCTTCCTTTTCTTTAGGCTGCCCTTTTCTCATCAGTAAACACAAGGTGATCTCTAAGATCCCTTCATGCCCTAAAATGTCACAATTCTAAGGTGCTCAGATCACTGATTGTGGCTTACACAGGGCCTGGTGGCTTTCACTCAGAAGCAGAATGTTCAATGGAACCACCTGAAGTCACACAGCCAGGCAGCAGCTGATTCTAGGACCGGGAAGTAAAAAAGGGTCTTAATGCCCTCATTCCTGCTCAGTGCTCCCTCCACCACCCGGGAGGGGTCCTGCAAAATGGCTCTGGGGAAAGGCAATCTGCTCAAAGAACAAGTATTTGGGGTGTCAGCCAAACCCCAGAGCCTGAGCCCTGGGCACACCAGCAAACCTCCTCTCTCAGAGACCCCTTAACTGTGTTGGTGCCTGGGTCTAGATGTATAGCATGCACCTGCCCCTACAGGACAGGCAGGTGGGAGGGTAAGCAGTGCTCTGCAGTGTGGAGAGAGAGGATATCAATCACAAGACCCTGGAACTATTAGTACAGTCTCCCACAAGAGAACAGGGTTCCTGCTTCCCTCAGTTATCACTGGCTGTATCCTCACACATGGACATACACACTCAGACAGACAGACAGACACACACACACACACAGAGAGAGAGAGAGAGAGTTCCAGAAGCCCGCAGCAGCCTACAAAAGCTCATCCTGAAAACAGATTCTTCTAGTCCCAAGTGGTTGCTCACTGCTTATAGCAAGAGCATTAAAAATGTGTCATTTCAAAGATGAGAAAAGAACACTTACAAAAACAAACTTGTGAGAAGAAATATTATTCAGTTAACTAGCCCACATCTGATTCTTTAAATGTAGTGTACAGTGCAGAAGGATAAATACGAGCCAGGGCCCCAGCGAGGTTGAGGTCTGCTTACACGTCCCCTGGGAGCCCTAGCTGTTGTGGCCCCAGGGCTGAGCGTGCCATCACTCCCAGCAGCTGTCGGCTCACTGGACGTCTTTTCATTACTGTCCTAAGTCGTAAATCTCTCACCCCCAGCAGTCACAGCTGTATTTCATCAGGGAGAAGTGGATTTGTCCTTCGAAAAAACTGAACAAACAGGCCCTCCCAACCCCAGGCCCTGGCAGGATAGGGAAAGGCTTTGAATCCACGTCAAAGAAGCCATCAAAGGAAATAGGCCATTTTCAAACAAAATCCATTTCTTGAGCATGACGGTAAAAATATTTATCACATGAAAGATGTGAAACCTTTATGCTGTCTCGACGCTCTGTATTATGAATGCAGTATGTGTCCGGCGGAATGTGTGCAAAAACCGTCATGCTCATGATTTTGAAAGGGGGAAAAATTAGTCCTTTCCATCTGGCAAATTCTTAATTTACCAACCCAGTCTTGCTCTGTGAGCACCTGAAGCAGAGGAAGGAGGCAGTCCCGGCCTGCAGCCAGACAAAATAAGCAAAGGTTTTGGACAAAGAAACTGCACGTCCAAGATGTAGTGAATGGGGTCCCAAGCTTATCTATCTCTGTCAGCCATGGGCTTTGAAAAGCATCCATACTGATAGCTCCTGTACAAGGTCAGGCAAGGCTTCTTCAGTGGGTCCCAGGATTTTCCACAAAGTCTAAACTTTCTTCCATAATCATGAGTTTTTGCTCCACAAATGGATTTTTAAAGTGAACAAAAAAGCCTATGCCCAGAAAGATCTTGAGAGGCCAAGCCAGCCTTCCCGGGAGACTCGAGGTCTCCTAGGCTCAGATCTAAGGAGGACTCTGCTCAGAGGCCCTGCAGCCCTGAAGTTCCTCCTCCACACCATGCCTCAAAGTTGGTGGGCACCCAGAGATGGCACCCTGATGCACAGCCTGTCTTGGTCCCATGAACATCTCCTCTTCAGGAAGGAGGCATGGGCCCAGATCTAATGCCATTTCCTCCTGGTGGGTGGTTCAGAAAGAAGCTCCCTCGTGGGCCCTGGCACACTGAGAAAGACACATTGGCTTGCCCTACTTTTTTCTGAGTACCCACAGAAAAGTGAAAATTAAAGTCCATGAATTTGGCATTGTAAATAAAATGAAATTCATTTATTTGATTAATATGCATCAAGATACAGCAGTGCAGAGAGCAGCATAGCCTAGCGGGGAAGTGCCAACCCTCTGAGTCACACTGCCTGAGTTTGGAGCTTGGCTTCACTACTCACTAGCTGTGTGACCTTGTGCAAGTCACTTAACTTCTCTGTGCCTCCATTTACTAATGTTGAAAATTGGGGATAATCATATTACCTACTTCCTTGTGGGGTTATTGTGAGGACTGAATAAGTTAATAACAGAGCCTTTCACATTCTATGGGCAACATAAACACCGGCTGTTGTTACTATTATTGTTACTGGTCAGGTGCTGGGCTGGGAGCTGGGGATGGAATTACGAGCAGTGGGGAGTTGTTGGGGTGGCTGCTTATTATTTCTTGTCTTCCCCACCAGAGTCAAGTACACAGAGTAACTTAGAACATAAGGCAACTTCTCTATCCTCTCTACGAGGACAGAGAGAATACAGATCCCACTGGTAACCTGGGCGAGGTGCCTTGGGATGCCTGAGGAAGGTCTGTTCCCAGATCCTCAGCCCCATTCCTGCTGAGGTCAGGGGAGGAAGGGATGTCAAGGAGGCCACATTGGCACCGGGAGCTGAATGCCACAGTGGGAGGGTCTGTATTTAGACTGATTTCCCCTGAGACTGGGGAGTTGGGTGGGCAGGGTCATCCATCACACTGTGTAGCCCAGGGCTAGGAAGCAGAGATTCCCACCTTATGGAGCTGTCACTGTGCAGGAAAACACCAAGGATTACTCAAAGCTTGAGTGCTGCTCCTCCAGGCTGCACGGACGGTGTCACGCTGCCCTCTGATCCTGGGGCTCGTGATCCGTATCCATGGCAGCTCAGTAGCCACAGAAGCCAAAGCCACCTGGCCATGAGGTCAGGAAGCACAGCTTAGGAAGGGTCTTGAGAATGGCCTCCGGGAACCAGAGAGGCCTGGAGGTGACAAGCTTCTCTGCTGCTGGGGCTGATCAGGGGTAGAGAAATGGAGTGCCCAGACCACTTCATACACTTGCTTCACCCACCTGTATAAGACATACCACGGTTAGCTCCTGGACCATGGACCTGGGCAAGGTCAGCTGGCTCCATATTAACCTCTTCTCCTCTGCCAGGCCCCAGGAGGATGTGGAATTACTGCACGATATTTATGTAGGGTACTCAGCTATCTCTAGGGGAGGGGCTTGCACTGTCATACTGCTGAGTACTTCTGCCTTCTTCCCTGGCCTCACTGCATGGCTCACCAGTGCTCTGCTCAACATAGGGGGTAGGAAGGTCTCCCAGATGTGGATGTGAGCCAAAGTCAGGGCCCAAAGGAACCACAGGAGGCATCCATCCAGACCAGTGCTTCTCAGCTCTTCTCAATCATAACCTACAAAACTGTATTTTTTGCATTTCACCCATTATACGCAAACAGATATAAGGGAAACGAGGTTACAAAACAATCTTTAGCATGACCATGTGTGATTAACTCTGACACATTCTGTTTTATTCTGTAATATTCTATTAAGAAGGAATGCTGTTCATGACCTAGTAAATTGATTTCATGGCCTGCTGGGTGGGTTGTGACTGCATTTTGCAAAACACTGATGTAGATCAACGGACTGCAACCTTTATAAACCAGTGCCACCTTTACGTGAATATTGAAATCCCTACCCTCCTTTCATGTTACTTGAAATTTGAAAATAAATTAGGTATCACAAATGAAAACAAATAGAAACAATGGCCATTTTGAAATATGATTTTTCAAAGTACATGTGCCACTTGACTTTCCCAAGATTTTGATACGGACACCCAGGAAAGGAGGGATGATCCCCCATTGAAAATAACTTATTTACAACTGAGGTTTCCAAAAGAGTCTGTGGAGCCCCCTTGGGGACAGTGGACCCTGAGAGAGGGGTGAGGGGAGTCTGAGACCCCTCTTTCCTCCTTTGCCAGAATAGCTCTAATTCAGTCTGTTTACCTATTAGGATTTTGCATAAGAAACCCTTTAAAGAAAGGGTCTGTGGCCAAAGAAGGTGCTTTGAACCATGAAAGCTAATGAGTTCATCTGTCTCCTTTCTCAGGGGAAACGATGAGGCCAAGGCATTTTTTCTATCAGAGAGGTTGGAGGACTTGCTAAAGATGACACAGAGAGGTAAAGTTGGGGCAGGAATGAGCGGGAAGCAAGACAGAAGGGAGACCTGGGCAGGGTGTTCCTGAGCTCTTCAAACTGCTTCCAAAAGGCCTGGCAATAGGACACACGCAGATCAATGAAAGGACCCATTACTTGGCTTATGTGCAATTTCTAGAAGGCTCAGAGTAGAAAATCTTCTTACCTACTGGGAGTCAGAAGCCCTGATTAACAGCTACATGTGTCTTTGATTAATAAAAGATGGAAAATGAACTGCTCATCTCTGCACACAGGCAGTATGTGCGGAGGAGAACATCTTCCGAACCTGGGGCCCGGGAGGCAGGAGGCCCTTAATGGGGAGAAGATAGACATCACCGTGTGTGCCCACCGGCTGCATATGCTATGTGTGCCCACGGCAGGCAGGAGGGTTCTGCTGTCTCTCCACACTGACACGCAGAAGCCACACTGAGGATCAGGGCTCATAGCTCTATAGCAACTACTACATCAGGTGCTGCTGCCCCAACCTAGGTCACCCATGGCTCCATGGCCAGAAATCTTCCCAGTGCCACTGGTTCCGCTGCAGCTGCCACCCCTGCCCCTTCACAGAGCCCTTTCTTACCCAGAGCCAGATGAGAGAGGTGATATGGCAGAGGCTTTTCTCCCAGCTTCCAGCAACATCCTCTGAACACAGCACAGGCGCCATGCCAGTCTGATGGCCAGATGCAGGCATTTAAAGGGAACCACTCTGTTTGCCAGAGCAAGCCCAGGTCCCAGCCATAAATGTCCCCAAGGGTTGGAATCAGCCCAGGAGACACGCCCACACGCTCATGCATTGTGCACATTCAGGGCACAGACAGGCACCATGGCTGAGAACACAGTTTAACCCAAGTTCTCAACCCTGGCTACACATTAAGTCAACTGGGAATGAGATAATCACATCAAATTAAGAATGCTCAGGCCCAACCCTGGTTGAGTCAAAATCTCTGGAGGTGGGGTTTGGGGCATCTCTTTTGTAGTATTTCCTTTCATTGTTTTCTCAACTCTCCAGGTGATTCCAATATGCAGCCAAGATTTAGAACCACTGGATTAAGGATAGTGGTTTCCAAACTTCAGTGTGTATACAAGAATCCACCTGGTAAGTTTGTTAAGACTACAGATCACCCCGAGATGTTCCATCCTAAGAGATTCTAGGGAAGAAGGTCTGGGTCAGGATAATTACTAAGAAGTCTTAAGAAATTAGCCCCTCCCTAATCAGCAGAACTTCAGGTCAACTAGAAACATCTCAAATCTCAAATAACAAAGCAAGCCTTCCTGTCTTATCCTCTGAGAAAAATACTGTAATCCTTTTATATATCATAAATGTTGTGCTGGTAAAATACCATGCCTTCTTTCAGATGTAGTAATATGTTATCATTCTCCTCTGTCCCACAGCCTTTGGAAGTTTAATAACTTATGACTGCAAGGTCTGTTTTCCTCATCTGAACGTCATAATGTTTCATCTTCCCTGCCTGAGCATGGAAAGACCCACCTCCCCAAGGCAAGTTGTTGAGGGCTCCTGAATATACTCAGGTGTAGAAAGAGAAGTCTGTCAAGGACACAGGCTGTGGCGGTCCCCAGGCCCCCACTGGTGAGTGCTCGCCTCCTTCCTGCCTGCCATGCAGCTCTAAGAAACAGCCAAGTCTTGTTTTAAGATTCTGAGTCTTTTCTCCATACCACAAACTTCTCATGTGTTTCTGAAGCAGTGCTCCCCAGCATACACTTGGAGAAACAGATGGAAAAAAAAAAGCTTCCAACCAGCCCTTGCTCTAAGGGCAGGTGAGGCTGGGGCTGCAGGGAGGTTGCTGGGAGTCAAAGCCAGGCCAGGTTGCAGGACAGAGGATCTCAGGGACTCTTCATTGAGCCCCACTTTCCTGAGTCACTTGTAGTTAAGATTCTCGGGTCTGGGGGCTTTTTCAAACAGGATGCTCGCTAATGCTGGTCTACCACTCCACTTCAAGGATGACCAGCTTTGTAAGCAGCTGTCACTGAAGGGGGTGTGGCAGATTCTACAGGTGCTGGTGCTGGAGAAAATGTTATAAACCACCGAAAGAAGGATACAGGAGTCCAACAGGCTCCCTGCCTTCAGCGACCTTCGTTCTCCAGTGTGAGATGGATAGGTGAATGAGTATTGCTGGTGGACCATCATTGCACATGGGGCTGGCTGGCTGGCTGGACAGATGGACAGTCCTATAGACAGATGGCCATACAGCGGTTGCCAGGGTTTGGTAGGGACAGTGTGTTGGGCACAACCACTGCCTCTTGAGATGAGGCCACCAGGACACAGCACTCTTTAACCACGTCACTGTGAATCAGCCAGCTCTGATGATATTATTTTTTGGATCCCGGTAGCCAAGAAAAGCAGTCTGAGTTGCTATAAACATAAAGAAGCCCGTCTGCTTTCTTGCCTCTGTGAATGTCTCAGACAGTGCAGAACTAACGAAGGCCCCAAACCATGGTACCAGACTGTTCCCAGGGACTTCACAGAGGGAGCAGATGAAAGGCATGGAGACAGCGCTGAAAGCCTGCCCCTCATTATAAGCACTTCCAAGCTTCACAGCAATAGACAGTCCTCGTCAAGTTTGTTGTTATGGCTATGTCTTTTACAGGGTCCAGTACAGATCTCCATGGCAGAGACAGGCTGCTGCAGGGCTCAACAGAAGCCCCTGTCCTCTAGAGAGCAATCCCTGGTCCCCTGACCCCTAATTCACTTCTTCTCTAAACCTCACTGGATCTGCATCTTGGTGATCAACCTCTGACTTGTTTTCAGTTTGATCCATGAGGGCCATTTAGGGCTGCTCACATAGGCTGTGAGCTCTCTGAAAGCAAGGATCATCCATGCCCTTGTCAGCTGAGGGTCTCAGGGCTGGCTACATGGACGGTGTTAAGCAGATTTGCTAAAAGGTGGACTGTGAGTTGGTTGTTGGGGAATGAGTATAGGCTCCCTTAGGTGTTTTCAGCTTCCTCTTGCAGACTTTTCCAAAGGTATTTAGGGGCTCAGGTGGCAGTTAGACATGGGGCCTTTTCCAAGGACCCCCTCAGCCTGTCTTCCACTCAGCTCCATTGGAGAAGAGCATATTTAAGGACATAGTCATTCCATCAGGCCCCCAGAACAGGGTCCCTAGTCACAAGCTTTCCAAAACATCACTGGTCTCCAAGAGGATTTTGTTCTTTGAATGAATTGAAGTCCTGTTTGCTTGCCTTTGTAACTGCTTCCCATAGGAACCTTTAGAGAAAGACTGTCCCTCCAATCTGCTTCTGCCTCTCAGGTTACTTTTGCCAATTGACAGGGACACTTGGATGAGGATGGTTTTGAAGCTGTGACCAAGATGTTTCCCTGCCTTGAGAAGTCTCACAGCCAGCCCCCATCCATGCTTGACCACAGCTGTTACTTTCATTGTGTCACTAAGGGCAGAGACCCTGTACCACCAGGTTCAAGGCCAGGTCTTCAGTCCTCAGGCCCTAAGGTTAAGACCCAGGCACCAAGGGACATCCACATTCTGTCTCTACATAGTCCTGTGCAGGCATGGAGGAAATTGTACGGTCATGCCCTACATTCATATCTTGATCTATGGATGGGAATTTCCATCTTAGAAGACAAGAAGAAGCCCCCTATCCTTCTCCATTTATCTCACTTTCCCTCTGTCATCAGTGTGTGAGGAAGGCGCTATCCTCCACGCAGTCGGCTAGGCAAGTGAGCATGCTGTAGACCCCATTATTCCTATGCTAGAGGCTTGGGGATAGTGATAGGATGACTAATCGCTAGCTAATTTTGATCTTTTGATCTGTATATGATTCCTGTCTACTACTAAGCTAGCTGAGATATTGGCAGAGACAGGGGATTGACTGAAAGACCCCTTTCAGGCTCCACTAGCTGGGTCCCTTGGCAAATTCTCAGACCCCTTCCTTCCAGAGAGCTTCTTCCTGCCCCTGTGAGCCCTGTGCTGGGCAGCATCTCCCCAGACTACAGAACAGGAAGGACTGCCAGGAAGTCAGGTACCATGGTGTCTCCATGCTGCATTCTTAGCCTCTGACCATCTGTGGCCCCAGGACACTACTGTGCTCAGTGGGATGTTTTCCCCCTCCAGGTCCCCCTCCTAAAAACCTTTGCCTGAGAATCAAACGTCCTGCCAAATGGCTTCTTGATTTCTCCCCATTCATACTCAGGGGCCCGGGCACATCAATATCCCTCTTTCTCCTGTATCTTCCTTCCCTGCCTTTCCTCAGGACCATTTTCTTCCATCATCCTTGTGCTTCAGTCTCCCTCATCTAAGAAAACCTTTTCTGGGTCACTCTCATCCTAGCCTCTCATTTCCCCCACTTGCTTCCATTCCACTCCTTTTTTAAGAGGTCTACCCTGGCTTCCGCCTGTCCATCCGTCCTTCTGGTTGGCTTTCTACCTCTCTCATGGTTGCAGCAGTTCCCCAAGGGCAGGACTGTGCATTCAGAACATGGCGTCGGGCTCAGCACCTAATAGATGCACAAGAGAAGTTTGGTAAATAAATGAAAGAACAAATAAACCCACTCGATAAGTCATGCCCCACTTTAGGACTCAATTTGTTACCTATAAAGCAGTGAGTCATGTAGGACTGGTCCAGCCCTGACATAGTATTGTTCTGGGACTTCCATCTCCGTGGCATCATGATAGGTAGGTGGGGACTGGCTGCTAATCATGGTGCTGGTGGCAATGCAAATTGCAGGCAAGATTCTTCTTGCTGTGATTCCCCAGGTCTCTTTCAATGCTTCCCCCTTTCCTTGTGCTTTTTGGCATGCACCAGCTCCACCATGAAATTTTTAGCCTAATAGAGGTGATGTATATAAAGTCCATAGCACAGGACTTGGCACACAAAGTAAAAATAAGAACCCTTGTAGAAGCAAACTAAGCAAGGAAACTGAGGCTCAGATAAATTTTGTTACCTGCCTGGGGGTACTCAGCAAGAAAATAAGGTAGGCAGGATAGAAATTCTGTAGTACTTTTCTGATATCATCTCCTGACCAGTGGGGCCATAAGTCAGTCCCCTTGGCTCCTGCCCTGCCCAGGACCTGACTGGATGTCTGTTTGACAAATCAAACAGCTTTGCAGCCTGGCCCTCCCCATCAGCAGCACAGTTGTCTGGGGGCCATGAAGGGCCTGGCGAAGAGCTGGTCAGAGAGTGATGGGGACATGGCTGAGTCAAGGAGGACAGCAAGACCAGGCTCAGCAGAAAGCCACTTGCAGGAAACAATTTGGGTTTTATTTAGGGATTGCTTGCAAGATAAGTAGGTTTCTTTGGAGTGTGCAGAGTGTGCAGCCAGGAAAGATCAAATGATCTATCTCACACTAGGCACAGCTGATAGCAACCAATTCCCATGACAGGACAGGGGCTCCACTACCTGGATGGGGGCCATGTCTCCCACTGTTCTGCACTGCCTGGCTGGAGCAGAAAGAGGGATTTGCAGGGCCTGGTGCCAATGCCTGGCTATCAGGTTCCCTTGCTCAGGACAGGTCTGGGGCTGGAAGGGTAAGAGGGGTCACACGGGGACAGGGGTACCGCAGGGACAGTCATTTCCTCACTCTCTCACTGACTTCATGTATTTCTCAGAGCTTCCCTTTTCTGCCCCCAGTAAATCAAAGTCAATTCAAGATGGGTATATTCAGAGAGAGAGGGAGGCAGAGAATACACTAAAATGTTGGTAGTTCTTTCTGGGCTGTGCAACTGATGATGATTATTCATTCTGTAATAAGAAATCGGTAACAAATGACAAGTTAAGTGCTTATTGAGCCCCTTCTGAATGTGCAGAGTGAAACAAAGATAGACCAGACTCTTATACATTGAGTCTAGTTAGAGTAATAAAACTAATGATTACAATGTCTACCTACCTTGAAATCAGCTATGCTATGTTTATAAAAACACAAACTAAATGCCAGACAGTATGTTCAGTATTTCTATCTTCATTATATTATTTCATTTTCAGAATAAACCATGGGATAGGTATTACCATCCTCATTTTGTATACAAGGAAATAGAAACTCAAAGAAATGTCTTAGAAAGACTATATATGGGCCGGGTGCAGTGGCTCCCACCTGTAGTCCCAGCTACTCAGGAGGCTGAGGTGAGAAGATCACCTGAGCTGAGAAGGTTGAGGTTGCAGTGAGCCATGATCAAGCCATGGCACTCCAGCCTGGATGAAAGAGTGAGACCCTGTCTCAAAAAAATAAATAAATAAAAAAGATTCTACAGCAAGCAGGAGGCAGGGGTGCCATCCACAGCACCCACCTCACTCTGCCCTATCCCACTTACTGCTCTTACTACAGCCCCAAACCCACCTCCCTCTAAACAAGGCACTCTCAACCCATCCCTGGTACATACAGGCCCAGAAATACCCCGGAACTAAACAGCACATTATTAAGTAAAATTAAATAGAATTCAATAGGGCTACTGTCACTTATTTGACTTCTTCAGTGCAAAATACTTCAAGGCAAGAGCTTTGGATGAGTGAAAATGTATTTATTGAGCAATCAAATGAAAGCACTCCAGGCCCAGAATATGCTCTTCTATACAACTTATTTTATAAATACAAACCCAGTCTCATTCAAACATTCGAAATGAAAGATTTGCCTTTCAATGGAGAATCTGCATTTCAACATAAAGGTGTCTTAGTTATTCAATAGAGATGCAAGATCCGATTAATGCTGTATATTTAGCATTTAGAAAGCCTGAGGATTCCAGAAGGCTCGTTTTGGGCCTAAAGATGGCAGAGTGTGCAGACGGTGCAGAGTGAAATATGTGAGCTTCACTTTCAGCATCCTGAGTGCCTTCTCAGAAGGTAGGCTTGAGGGCAGCAGCAGGGCTGTCTTTTTTGCAAAGCCAAAGTGTGTATGCACACAGGGGGAGAGAGAAGCAAGTTCACTTCTAAGCCAGCAAGTTTGTTAAGCTAACTGAACACCTATTGCATGTCAGGCACCTGGCAGACATTGAGACTTTAATAAAATAGACCAAGGCCAGGTGCAGTGGCTCATGTCTGTAATCCCAGCACTTTGTGAGGCCGAAGTGGGAAGATTACTTGAGGTCAGGAGTTCAAGATCAGCCTGGCCAACATGGTGATACTCAGTCTCTACCAAAAATACAAAAATTAGCTGGGTATATTGGTGCATGCCTGTAATCCCAGCTACTTGGGAGGCTGGGGCAGGAGAATGGCTTGAACCTGGGAGGTAGAGGTTGTAGTGAGCCCAGATCCGACACTGCACTCCAGCCTGGGCGACAGAGTAAGACTCCATCTCAAAACAAAACAAAAAACAACAAAACCGATGTTAATAAAACAAACCAAGACATTAAGTAAAATAAACCAAGAACCCAGGTCATCACAGATTGTGAAATAGTAAGAGAAACTTGGAGGAGAGCTGCTGCTTTAGATAGAGTGGTCAACACAGGTCATAGGAAGGACCCATTTGAAGTGGTATCCAAAGATGAAAATGAGCCAGCCATAGAACTAAGGAGACAGCAAGTATAAAAGACTTGTGGCCAGAAAGAACTCAGGGGGCTCAAAGAACCAAAATGGCACGAGTGTGATTGGCTGAGAGTGGTAAAGATAGGTAAGGTATAAGGCTGGGGAAAGATCGTACAGGACCTGTGAGCCTTTGTGAGGAGTGTGGCTCTTGTTCTAATAGCAATGGGAAAACTTGGAAGGGTTTTCAGCAAAAGAGGAACAGAATCCGATTAACATAATTGAAAGTTCAAAAGAATGAATGGAAGGAGGCCAGTGCGTAACTATTGAGTAGTCCAGGAAAGAAGTGGCTTGGATGATGCTAGTAGTATTGGATATGGAGGGAAGTATTTAAAGTATATTTTGGAAGTAGAAACACTGGGCTTTAAAGTTAAGTAAAGGTGGATTCATTCATTCAACAATCATTGGAGATCAAGAAATCTGAAGGCCAAGGATTTATTCCTCACTGTATCAACAATGCTTTAGGAATGCAGAGGCTCCTAACCATGGGAAGAGTTGCTGCAGTGCAAACAGGGACGCCTCAAATTCACCATAGATGAGATAACATATATGTATACATTTAATCTATTCTAGAAAACATACTAGAGGACATGAGAGACAGTGTTGACTCCACAGCTGTCTAAAATGCCCTGACCTGCCTTTCCCCAGAGTGGGAATGTCAATATAAAAATGGGCACGTAGATGAGCAAAATGTCCCTGAGTCTGACAGCCTCCTGACACACCCAGGCCTCCTGCCTAGCACAGGGTAGGCATCTTTTAGGGGAAAATATCGTGCTCATTCCACAAATGAACAGAGAGGGACTACTGAATACCATGTAAATTTCAGTATGTAGATTTCAACTTTCTCCCATTTCAATTTTATCACAATAAAGTGAATAACCAAACAAGATCTCTTCTTTCTTTTTTCTTATAACTACTTCGTGCCATTTCTCTCCATGCTTTCTACCTGCACAACACATCTTGTTATCACATTACAGTGACTGCATCTCAAATAGCTGATAATTATCATATTTCTAGAGGCTGTTAACATCTACTTTCCACAGTGATATCCTTCCAAATCTCCATGTGAGTCATTTATTTCACTTTTTTATGAACATCACAGGTAGGTGCTCAGTGGAAAATAATCATTAATCTCATTAAAACAGCAGGGTGAGAAGCTTAAGAGCATGGCTCCTGACATCCTAGAAGTCTAGAATTGTGGCTCTTGAGACCCCAAATTGAGTTTTGTTCCTTTTAATAATCATGAATGTCAACATCTAAAAGCATACTTTAAAACAAAATCTTCAAAACTTGGCCAGAGGCTGTTGCATCTTGTTACTTATGCTCACTTAACAATGCTAAGTGCTTACGGTACCCAACAATACTGCTAGCCAGCCCTGGGAGGGGACTGCATGCACAGTTGTTGCACCTGCCCAACTGGTATTCGTTTTGTTTTCAGAAGAAAACTGCGGAGATGCCCCTAGAATCCCCCACCCCAACAGAGATCCTACAGGGAGCTGTTCATGAAACAAGTCCCCAAGGCCTTCTGGATTGTCACAGTTGGAGTCCACATCCATCTGCCACACAGCATCTTGGTTCCATAGAATTCCAACTGTGTAGACCCTGACTCCAGTCTACACAGGATGAAACAACAGGCACTGAATCCAGGAACAGAGCTGGGGGAGCCACGGTTTTCTTGACGCATCCCATTCTCTAAGCTCAAAACTTCCCTGCCTGTAAGGTGAGATGGCTCATGACGATAGAAATATGGACATGGCGAACGTGAAATTGCCCTTCCCTGTTCAGCCTTCCCTTCTGGTCCCCTGAAGGCTGTGATCTCTCAACTTATTAGTTCAAGAATGATATTTTTCCTTCATATCTTCCAGCCAGGTCCCCCTGGAAATCAGAAATCAATTAGTTCAGTCTTTCCCTGTACCAGCTGATAAGGTTCTTATGAGTAGCAGTGAAATTGGGAGACATCCAAACATTAATAACAGCATAGAGAAGTGACCCCTCGTCATCATGTCTCCCGGGATTCCAGACTCTTACCTTGCAATAGCTGACTTATCAGGGCCTGGAACTGTTCTCCTGTGGTTATTCAGGGATACCCAGAGCTGGGGAATGTGATTTCTCAGGTGAACAGAGCTAGTTGGACACATTCAGAAGGCAGAAATTTCTCCTATAGCCTATAAAATTAAAGGCAATAAATAAGCAAATGAAATGTGTTTCCTAGGACTCTGGAGGTGCTTTCTTTATTGACTCATAAAGCATTGCCCAGCACTCTTGTTCTGCTATGGACAGCTCCGGTGACAAGGATGAGCTATCAGCTCACTAATTGGAATGTCCTGTTCTCAGGAAACTCTTTTTCTGAAGGAATCAAATTTCCAGCCCCCACTGTCTCTTTTCAGGAGCGATTGCTCACAGGCATTTAGATATTTGAGATGGCTATTTCATAGCAACTTGGGCATGATGTGACAGGTGCAAGGAGAAGACAGATTCTGGGAGATGCCCACATAACAAGAAAGTTAAGCTGGGAATTTTCACTAAGGCACCAAGATGCAATGGATACCAGATGCCCAAGCAAGTTCTCAGACAAGTCAGTGCATGACACTTCAAAGAAGGTGACTGAAAATTAATTAGTGATTCACTTAGATTGAGGGACAAAGGACTGCATTGTTGAAGATTAAGAGGGTCTATGAAGAGGATTTCTGAGTTGGGGTCCACCCATCCCCGAGGGAAAGGCTGGATGACCGACCTCCCACCGCACACTTAGTGGGAGAGGCTTCAGTGGAACCACCTACAGAATAGATTTGGGTTCCCTGAAGTTGGAGAACACAGGCATCTGTGCCTGACTCATAGTGGAGAAAGCTAGAGAGGCCACTAACACCTCCTCCAATGGCAGGATGAAGGTGGCCAAACCCAGAACCCATGGAGGGAATGCCAGCCTGCAATTGTTTTAGTAGGCATCCTGCCCAGGAAGGCATCTTTCCAGGGCATGGGATCCCTCAATAAGCCACTATGAGGGACCAAAGGGGCAGGAACCATGTGAGGGTTGGGAGTAGCCAGTTGAAGCTGAGGCCCTGGCTCTATCAAAGAAGCTGCAGTCACCTGGCCCAGCAGGGGCATCTCCAGAGAACTCACACAATCACAATAGAAGAGTCATCTTAAATATCTGCCTGGGCCTGCAGGCACAAGGCCACTTCAAGACAGTATCAGTCAAGTGGGAAGCCTCCTGCCCTCCACACCTTTCCTCTCCCTCCTCCTTTCTAGAATGGTGAGAGATCACAGCTGGCAAATAGGGAGGAAGAGCTGGGAGAGACAAGCAGGAACCTATTCCCCTCCTTGGACTACAGATCCTCTAGTAGAATTAACAGCGAGTTTAAGTTTTGCTGATTAAATAGCACTGGACCCTCTTAAGACTGTGTTTTGGTATAAATTTATATACGACTTATGACAAAGAAAGTCATGGTCTTGTCTGAATTTTCACCCTATAGCAGAAGACTTACTCTTACTGAGCACATTTAAAAGGATAGTGATAACAAAGATACAGATGCTTCTGTAATTACACCCCAGGAGTCTTGTTTATTCAAAGTACCAGATGTACCAAGTCAGAGCATCAAGGAGAGGCTTTATTTGATCACCCATGGCTAATTTTGCCAGAAAGTCCTACAATTAGGAACTGATCCCTTTGGGACATCAGGCTTTATCTAAGATCAAAAGCTTCAAATCCACTGGGTCATAATATTTTCCTGACTGTGGAGGGAGGGGCTTTATGCTCTCAGCAAAACAAATCTATATTTGGGGTTGTTTGTCTAGATTTGCAAAGATAATTTGAGGATATAAGGAAGATTCTAAGAACATACAAAGAGAAAAGAAAACAAAACAGGTCACATAGAAAGGAGCAAAACCTGGATAGTATCAGACCACAGAAGCAACACTGGGAGCTGGAAGGCAATGAATCAGCACCTTCAAAATTCCAGAGAAACTTGTTTTCAACCTAGAGTTCTAAAGCTAGCTAACATGCCAATCAAATGTGAGCGTAGAATAAAGACATTTTCAGACATGCAAAGGCAAAATATTTATTTCCCATGGCCTCTTTCTTGGGAAGCTACTGGAAGACATGTTCCTATAAAAAGGGAGTAAACCAAGAAAAAGGAAGATAAGGAATTAACGCAGGGGTTCAGCCCAGGAGCAGGATAAGGGACTCCCTGAGATGAAGCCGTCCTCATGCCCCAAACGGCAGCACCGAGGCAGGCCTGAGCAAACAGCCCAGATGCAGCAGAAGGATGGAGCACTCCTGGAAACCAAATGAAATGAATGGATCACATTCATAAAACAGATTTGATAGAGCACATACAAAAAAATCAATGCTAAATGCTTATTTAATTTTCTTTATAAAAGGGCAAATATTAATATGACTGTGTCTGGGGTTGGCCTGTTTGACCTCATTTCCATTCCTTGCTCTTCTCTGGCCCGTTCTGTTTCATGGGAGTTGAAGCGAGCAGAGCAGGCTGACTCCTGCAAGCCGCGTTTCTCAATTGGCTTCTATGTGAATTTGGCCAACAGGAGGCACTGAAGAGAGATGGGGGCGGGGGAGGGGAGAAGCCTAGGTGTTTCTGCCCCTGGCTGTCTGTCTCTTGCGGCATCTCGGCATCTCCCGCGGAGGTGGCATCTCCCGCGGAGGTGGCACCTCCTCAGGGCTGACTCCTCTCAGAAAGGACTGCCCTGGTTCCACCTTCTGCCAATGGCCCTGCGTCTTGGGCTCTGGAAAAACTGTCCATGCCCTTGGCTCTCTAGCCCTAGGCCTGGTGGTGGCAGCTTCCTGCTGTGCCTAATTTCTGGTTGCCTTGACTGCCTCTGTTTGGCTTCCCAATTCTTCCATTACTTGTATAACCCATTCCTTAAATTCTGCCTAAAATGCTTACTGATTAATGTTTTCCTAATTGGACACCGATTCAACTAGGAAAAATAAAGTTTACATCATGGAAGTCTCCTTAACAGGGAACAATATTTTCACAGTACATAATGTTAATACTGTCTACCGTTTTAACCCAAAGTTTGAGGATTGAGGAAGAGGAGGTATGTGTTTTAAGGAGATAGAAAATATAAGGCAGCCAAATCCTTATCGACTATAATAAGAAATCAATACATAATGTCTAATACTATTGAATCAGAAAACAGTGGTGCCAGCAAATTATTTAGAAATATGGTAGCAAATATGAGTTGAAATAGCTAAGGGGTTCAATAGTGCTTCCCAGATCTGGGAAGATGACTGTGGTGAAGCAGGGAACTATTTTATTTTATTATAGATACTATTTGAGGTTTTTTAACTATGTAAAGGATTACTTTGATACAATTCAAAAAATAATCTAAAAATAATGATTTATTTCCGTGGTTTACTGAGGGATGACATTAAACTCACTAACCTACAGTTTGCAAAGCTGACCTGTGCCCCATGCGGAAGTCACGTCATTGATTCATCTGTAGCCTCTGGCCCCAGTCCTTCTCTATCCCACACTCTGAAGCTTGTGGACCAATGTTTTCTTCTGCAAATTCATCTTCTGGAAGCCTCATCTAGTAAAATCCAGGCCAGAAACATGAGCTCATTTAAAATAGCTATGCTCTCATCAATGTCCCTAAACTCAAATTGCACTGTGGAGAGGTAAGTTACCTAGATGCTCTACCTCCCGGGTCCAGGAGTGATAGAGAAGATGAGGAGAGAGGAGCAAGGCTGCTACCCCAAGCCCCACCAGGAGGCTAGAGAAGAGAGATGGGAGAGTTTGTAGATCTTGGAGCGGGGAGGGGGTACAGGAGGCAGAAAATACTGCTATTTGTCACCTTCCCTACCTTGAGCTTCAACTTCCTTTTATTCAATAACCTCCTATCTGAAACATCATCTCCCAGAACAAGCCATGGGTGGTAGCCACAAAATAAACTAAAAGAAGGGGTCAATCTTTCTTTATTTCTTTCTTTCTTCCTTCCTTCCTCTCTCTCTCTCTTTCTCTCTCTCTCGCCCCCCTCGCCCCAACCTCAGTCATATCCCAATAACTGACCCTCAGTCTCTGTTATTTGTTCTTTTGGGGCATCTCATTCTGAGTTCTACTCTGTCCCTTGGATAATGGTGAAATCTATTCATTCTCAGTTATCTGTCCATCTTCCTCTGGCCTAATGGTCTGAATTGGTTCCAGGTAGTGGTTTCTCTTATCTCTCACACTGCCTTCTGAGCTGCAGTGGTCCATGAAGCACGTTGTGAACGTATCAGACACTCTGCTTCTAGTGTCTGGTTAGAAAGAGGCTCTGAGCAGTCTCTGGTCACCACCTGGTCCCAGTACTGGTTTTGAGATCTGATTCTGTAATGCAGTGGCACCTTCCTACTGGGGATCACTGAGAGCAGAGAAGTGACATTGAGAGGCTGGCTTCAGCCTCCAGAGTCTTCCCTGACTCTCCAGATGAGTCCCTTCATCCCTGTATCAGCACTTCTCACAGCGTGCTCTACAGAACCCTAGTTCCGTGCAGAGTTATTAAGTGCTATGTGATAGAAGGTTCTGTGGTGAAATGGCTAAGGGAATTACTGCTTAATCCTGGTTAGGGGAAAATGATTCCTGACTCAGGACTTCTCAGGCCTTTCTTGGGAACCTCCAAGAGTGAAATGTACCTACAGCCCTGGGCAACCTCATGTGACTGGGGAGCCCTTCTTTGTGGACACATCCCAGGACTGATGTGCCATAGGAAATGCTGTCTTCCATCATCTTCTCCAAGTTCCTCAGCACCGACTTTCCAATCTAATGGAATTTGCTCAAACTGCTTCCAGAGGGAAACTCCAATGGAATCCTGGCAGGAGGTTTCTATGGGTCTGGGTGGCTGTGCATAGCTGGTGAGTAAGCTCAGGACTGAGAGAGCAGCTGAGCCACCCAAACAGCCCCCTGCACTCCACTAGGCAATTCATCTGCAAATTCCCATGAGAAGGCAGTCTGTGCTACCCCTTGCCCTGGCTACAGCTACACCTCTACATGCCCTGTGCTCCTCGCTGAGCATGAATCCCTCCTCGCTGGTCTTAGCTTAGGATCCCCCCAGAAGCTGACTCTTGGGCAAGCATTTGAGCTCAAGAAGGAGATGAAGAAAACCTGGTAAGGGGGAAACATGAGACAAGAAGGGAAGGCAGCGAGTAAAGGTGCTTTATGCAGCCAGCATGCTGGGAGATTAGGACCAAATCCTGATGGTGACACTCAGTGTAGAGCACATGCCTCAGAGCTGACTTTCCCAAGGGACAAGGGAACTAGGGTATTTATACACTATCTCCCGGCAGTCATCAGCTCATGCTGTGTGGAGGGCAGGACTGTGAGTTTCCCAGCACTCTGGCCTGCCCTAGTGTAGTAGACACCAATGGAAAGAGAAAGCACCCAGGCAAAGAAACTCAGGTGCTGGTGGTTGGAATTTGGATCAGTGTGCACTGAAGGAGTAGAATGGGGGGAAACGGGCAAAGCACAGATAGCACGACAGCACCTGCTGCACCTCTGAGGATGTCATCACCCCTCCTACCCTAACAGGCCCTTCAGGAGGCACAGACCTTGTTTGAATTATCACAGTTGTATCCCCAGAGCATAGCTCAGTGTCAGGCCCCATAGTATTGTTGAATGGCAGATCCTTCAAAGCATAGCTTAAATACATTTCTTTGAATTACCTACCCCATTCCACAGAATTAATCATCCCTGTCGAAGTCCCTACATCCCTCTTTGCTCCCCTCTAGCCACACTGAATTATGATTGCCGTCATCCTTGTCTGTTTCCCTACTGGGCTACGGGCCTCCTGAGCAGGATCCTTGTCTCCCAGGGCTGAGGCCCATAGCAGGAGCTTAACATGCAGCTCCTGGACTGCATGGAGCTAGTTCCACTGGGGCCTTTGGTGTGGAGTACTCAGGGTGAGAAAGAACATTCAGCTCCAGCCTGTCTGCTGGGAAGCCCATGTGCAGTCGGAGGGGCCTGCCATCCTCCCCCAGCTGTGCCAGCCCCGTGCAGTGGGCACGCCGTCACTGTGCATTTGGCTCTGCCCTAGAGCTGTGCTCTTCACACTGATCCCAAGGCCCCATTTATGAAAGCCCTCCACCCTGGCCCACAGACCCCTGGAGCCAGAAGGCAAGGGAATGAGGCCTCTGGGCAGATGGGTCAGCTTGGACTGTTCTGCAATGAGGGAAAATGTACAGAGGCAGAGAGAATGAGGGGTGGCATCCTGGGCTCACTGAGAGAGGGAGGCCATCCTCTCCCAGGAGCAAGACCCAGCCCTTTATGGTTACACAGAAGCCATGAGGACAGTCACACCAGCTTGGATTCCCATACACAGGATAGTCTGTCTTCCTCTTGGAGGCCCCTGCCCTGTGCCGGTGGGAAATCAGAAACATGGCTACTGATTGCAAACGTGTTAAGAAGAAGAAAAAAGCAAATCAGTATCCCAGGCACACTAAGGTGATGGGCTGGTACATCAGTTCTTCAGCAATCTTATGAAATTAGCTAAAGCCAAACTTCCAGGCACAGGGAAAACGGAAATAAACCCTCCAAGGTCAGATGCACAGGGCTTGTCCTGCCTGCTACAAAGCTATCCCTTGCTCTACAAAGTGTGTTCCATGGCCCAGCAGCATGGGCATCGCTGAGGAGCATGTCAGAAATGCAGGCTCTTGGACCCCAGCCCAGACCTACCTCATCATAATCTGCATTTGAACAAATCCCCAACTGATTCATATGGACATTAAAATCTGCGAAGTTCAGCCTTTGCTCAGATTCACTCCATTTGCTCAGGATTCTCCCCTTTAAACCATAAGAAGCTATGGGTTTGCCAGTCTGAAATCCTGAGCACCTTCCCCTTGGTCCAATCTGATGCCCACTGCTGTGCCTAAGAGAGGGACTGTCTTGCCTCCTTGCCTCTATGCCTGCTGCTCCCTTTGCCTAGACTGTCCTCCTTTGCCAGCTCTACTCTTAGCCTGCTAAAATTCAGCTCTAGGGCTCCCTTCTGGGCAGCTTCCCCTGATTCCCCCGGCTGTAAGAAGCCCTCCTCTGGTCTCCCATGAGTCTATGCTATGACTCTGTCCTCAGTCATAGCACAGCTTTCATCAGACTGTGCAGCTCTGAAGTCTCCTCATCACATGGGGAACTATGCGGTCAGCTCTATACAACCAACTGCTGCCACAGACACTTGAAACGTCTTGGTCGAAGAGGAAAGGATGTCCACTGGACATTATTCTGAGGGTAAAGGCCATTCATTCTGGAGAAGCCAATGGCAGATGGATCTGAAAATGTGCCCCCTACCCTGGCCCAGCCTGCTCCTGGCCATCCACACAGAGCTTCTGGGAGCTAAGGCCTGAGGAGGGTTCAGGAAAGGTCAGCACGCCAACTTCATAAGACCATTCTGAAATCCACACACTCTTTCTCTTCCGATTGAGGCAAGACCCTGAATGGCAGAAGGCTCTAAAGGCAGCCCTTGGTGACGCTAATGAGCTGTGGGAGGGCAGGTGATGGGGGCTGTGATGGGAGGTGTGCTTTCAGGATGCACAGACGTTACTTCAATAAATAATGAGCTCAATATCCGTGGGCGAGTTGGTATTTAGGCTCCTTTCCGTGTGTTTTTGGATGGATGATTAATGCAGCTGTAAAAGAGAAGCCGTGAGCTGTGTGTGGGCAGATGCAGACTGAAATGAAGGCCCCGAGCAAAGTTCCATCGTGGGACATGGGGGTCCAATGTGTAACCCCCTCCCCGGAAGGACACAGCACCTACTCTGTGCGGGGGACTTTCCATGCATTTCTCATTCACCTTGTCAAGAGCTCAGTGAGATTACTGTTATTACCTGCATTTTACAAATAAGGAAACAGAAGCTCTGAGCAATTAAAAAGAAAGGATTATCAAAATTCGCCTAGCTGCTGAGTGCTGGAGTCAGGCTGCTCATCCGAACCTGTTTGTAAGGCAGAGCTCTTGCAAAATGCAACAAGCCTACTGCTGACCACCAGAGACCTAAGCTAGTTCTGAGCAATTTGCTTCATTTCAAATATAGCCAGGTGAGGCCAGGCATGGTGGCTCACACCTGTAATCCCAGCAGTCTGGGAGGCCGAGGTGGGCGGATCACCTGAGGTCGGGAGTTTGAGACCAGCCTGACCAACATGGAGAAACCCCCACCTCTACTAAAAATACAAAATTAGCCAAGTATGGTAGCACACTCCTGTAATCCTAGCTACTTAGGAGGCTGAGGCAGGAGAATTGCTTGAACCCAGGAGGCGGAGGTTGTGGTGAGCCGAGATCACGCCATTGCACTCCAGCCTGGGCAAAAAGAGCAAAACTCCATCTCAAAAAAAAAAAAAAAAAAAAAAATACCCAAGTGAAATGTTAATAAAGCCCCCAGGGGTCTCTCTGCTGCCTTCAAATGATGGAATGGACACTAGATGGAGCGTGCAGAAAGTCACATGGGTTACAAAAACAAGAGTCCCAGGGACTAGAAGGACAGAACCCAAGTTATGGGGGGACCTTAGCAGCCCTGCCAAAGGTCCAAAGCAGGTGAGGAGAAACTGAACAGCTCTTCCAGGTCCCCAAGGAGTGGAGCCCACAAATCAGTGCACTGAGACTAAAAGAAGAGGCCCCAGGGCCTGTAGCTGGGAGCAGCCAGGGCCAGGCAGCCGCGACATGAGCTTCAGCATCTGCCATGCCCATGATTAATCCCAGCTCTGATTCTAGAGTCAGGGCTCTATGAGACCTTGGGCAAGTCACTCAACATTTCCAAGCCATCGGTGACATGTGATCATCATGCCAATCTGGAGGAGAACCTGTCAGAAGACAATGTAGGGACAACATGTTTATTAGGTTAATGGCTAAAGGGGAAAAAAGGGTTTCCTCCTGTTCTCACAAACCACCCAACACAACATTTTGACAATCAGTTCTCCAGCAGACACCACCTGCGTGTTCTCTAATTCAATTCCATTCCGACCCCATCTACCATTGGTTGAGGGCTAAGTCCCACAAGACTGCCTCCACTTCAGATGCTGCTTGCAAGTAGCAGGTGGTTACCTATCCTTTTGATGACCCACTATAAATCAGAGATTCCTATGACCCCCTCCTCGGTGTGATTAATCTGCTAGGGTGGCTCACAGAACTCAGGGAAACACATTACTTATGTTTACCAGTGTATTATAAAGGATATAGATAAACAGCCAGATGGAAGAAATGCATGGTGTAAGGCATGGCAGAAGGGTGCTCCACCTCCAAGAACTTTTTGCCAGAAATGGGGATGAAGACCAACTATGCATTTCATAATATCACAATGGCCAGACACAATTCCTTTTAGGGAGAAGTCTTTGCAAGACCAATTTCATGAGTGCTGGCTGGCAGGTGGGCATACAAACACACACATACACATACCCAGGACCAGGGCACCAACTGTATACCAACTGTGGACCAGACAGCAAAAGAGGGGAGGAGTTGACCTTCATGGGCCAGCATGAAGAACAGGGGGCTTGCTTCTGACAAAGAGAAGGGAGGACCACAAGTGGCAGGCCAGCAAGCTGACATGAGCCTAGGATGAACTGTGGGGCAGGGAAACCTTGTGTGGTAAAGGGGCCAGCAGATGCTTTCAGAACTTGGAGGCTTCTGGAGCCAGTAAAAGTTGCTGCCCTATGTAATCTTCTCTAGGGAGGCCTATTGTGATCCTGAACCTTGCACATGAGTGAATTCTCTTGGTGGAATCTGCAGACTATCAGCACAGTGAGAGCATCACAGAGATGGTTGGTGGGGAGATGGACACCCAGGAGGCAGAGGCCACCTTGAGTCCCTGGGAGTGCGTGGGAATCTACAAGAAGGACTCAGCATGCTGGAAGCTGTGAGATTATCTGAAATTATGCATATATCTTTGAGGAGCGAGTAGGCCTGCTGGCACCTGGGCCACCCTTGTCAGAGGCTTGGCACCATCCCAGGTCCTTGTACCTCCCGCCCTACTTGCCTTCTTCCCTGTATTCATTTCCTCAAACTTCTCTGCCTGTCACAATGTGCTCTGAAAGTCAGAAGCCCATGCTGCATCAGGACTATCCCCATCTTAGGAAATAAAACAAAAGGAATATTGGGTTTCTGTGAAATGAAGGGTGTGTAAGCCCCAAGGTCTTTGGGCACCCCAGGACACTTGCACCCCTGTCAAGAAGGGGCAGAGATGAGGAGTAGATCTGAAAGTTAAATCACTCCAAATGGGTTTTCTTCATCTTCTTCTACTTAAAAAATAATTCATAGTACTAGACAGGTTGACAACTTATTAAAAATGGTTCCTCACCTGGAAAGTGCTGATTACTTACAGTGTACTATCTTTATTACATCCATACTGACATTTAACACTCAATAAATCTCCACTCCCTCCATGAAGATATGTCTGACAGCCAACGGCAGTCCCTGCCTTTTCTCTGACTTCTAGCATGGGGTTTGGCTTCAGGCAGCTGAGCTGTGCTCTGCTACCAGGACCCTCAAAGCCAAGGTAAATCTTAGTGAAAAAGACCAGTCCCGGGATGGCTTTGTCCAAGCTGACGGCTCCTCCCCCAGCACAGCCAAGACCCCCATGTGCTAAAAGCAGCCAAAGCCCAAATGTAAAGGGAGATGGATAAGAGCTGTGTATGTGAGGGAAGGAATAAATGTTCCTGCCATCTCCCTCACCACTTGACCTGGTATGATGGCCAAGGCCCCTCACTGTGGTTTCCCCAGCCACCACAGTCCTCTCCAGGAATGACCACCCATCATCCTCCAATAAGTAAATATGCCCCCAAACTCTGGGCCTTTGCTCATTCTTCTTCAGCCTTCTTTCCTTTGCATCCATAAGCTACTCAATTAATGCTCTGAATCTTCCCCACTCATCTCCCCTCCCCCTTTATTTAACCATTCCACTTCCCTTTTTCTGTGAAAGGTTGTCTTCATGATATTATTATAAAAATCATTTTATGTTGCATCAAGGCATAAGAATGACACAGTGGACTTTGGGGGCTCAGGGAGAAAGGGTAGGAAGGGGTGAAGGATGAAAGACTACAAATTGGGTTCAGTATATCCTGCTTGGGTAATGGGTGCACCAAAACCTCGCAAATCACTATTAAAGAACTTACTCATGTAACCAAATACCACCTGTTCCCCAAAAAACTATGGAAATAAAAAATGTAAAAAATAAAATAAAAAATAGTTTTATATTGCATCCACATTATTTAGTATTAGGAAATGCTAGTACAAATAAAATATATCCAGTGAATATGTAAGTTTTGAGACCCACTGAAAATACTCATTCATCTGTGCATCCTTTCAGCTGTTTTATAAATCAAAATTATTTTTCTCTCCTCTCATTCGAGTCCCTGCACAGGTTTTCCTCAGCAGCTGAGCTTGAAGGTTTCCATACGTTGGCTTCTAATAAGAACAGTGGCAGCCCCAAGCATTGCTCAGAAACTCCATCCACAATATCTGAGGCAGTGCCATGCAAGAGCTCCAGGTATGACCAGAGCTAGCCAGTCCACACAGCACCTCCTGCAAGCTGGGACTCTGTCCTCCTTTCTACTGCACCTGAGCTCACTTTTCTGATGGAAAGACAGAGACAACCAAGAGCTGAATCCTGACTTCTTGAACACTGCCTGCCCCTAGTGCAAATTCCTGCAGGAAAAGTGCACAGTGAATAAGGTGATGAAAATAATGGCTTGAGTGAGGGAGCAGGACAAAGGTGGTTATAAGCCCAAGCTCCATAAATGAACAGCTGGGTATGGGTCCTAGGTCCAAGCCTTACTATCTATGACATTGTGCAAGCTATTTATTCTCCCTAAACTTCAGGGGATAATAGCTGTGCCTATTTTATAGAGTATATTACTTTCCTATTGTTGTGGTAACAAATTACTACAAACTTAGTGATGTAAATGACACAAATTTATTATTTTTCAGTTCTCAGGTTAAAAATCTGCAATGGGTTTCACTGGGCTAAAATCAAAGGGTCAGCAGGGCTGTACTCCTCCTGCAGGCTCTCGCGGAGAATCCATTTTCTTTCCTTTTTCAGCTTCTATAAGCTTCCCGCATTCCTTGACTCGGGGTCCTCTTCGTCTGTCTTCACAGTCAGCCCAGGTGGATCGAATCCTTCTCGCATTGAATCACTGTGACTCTCCAGCCTGCCTCTTTTGCTTGTTAAGACTCTTGTGGACGATCCAGGATAACCTTCCCAACTCAAGGTCAGCTGATTAGCAAACCAAATTCCCTCTTGCCATGGAATAAACTGTATTCAGATTATGGAGATTAGGATGTGGACCTCTTTGGGGGCCATCATCCTTCCTGCCACATAGGGTTGTTTGGAGAGTCAAGTGAACAATACTTGGCACATAAGTGCTCTTTAACTGTTGGAAATTTCTGTATTTGGTTCCAAATCCTTGTGTGAACTCCTGGCCCTTGGCAGCAAAGTACATGGGGGAGCCAGTCTGGTCTATCTGATCCAAGCTTCTTTTCTCCTGGGCCCTGTAAGAGTGAGAGGGCCACTTCCAAGTGGGTGATAACTATGGACCCAACTCACCACATGGATTCCTAAAAGGCCATGCTTACCAGAAGGATGAGTAAGGTCCAAAGATGGCCCACCTGAAAAGCCAAGAGCTTTAACCTCTTTGTTCTTCACAAGGAAAGCTCTACTGTAGACCCCAAGGCCCAAACATGACCTTGCCCTTGACCCACGTGGCCTTTAGTGATGGAATGAAGAATAAAAAGAAGGGCTTAGTCAGCCATAGAAATTAAGGAGCAACATTAGAGCCCACTGCTGTGGAGTATGATCCAGGCACAGTGAAGTGTGCCCCAAACATGGAAAGAAAGTGACTTGGTAATAATAATACCATCAGTAGCTAACATTTTTTGAGTACTTCCTACATGCCCAGACCTGAATGAAAAGCTTTATGGAGTTTATCTTATTCCATCCCCACAGGAGTATGAATGGGGGAGCATTATTATGACAGTGAAATGAGCAGGCACTCACACATGGGTGGAAATAGCTTGCTGTTAGCAAACTGATAGCTGAGAGATGTGGGATCCCTGAAGTTCCATCCTTTGACTTGGGCAGGTCTCAAGGATACGGTGCTAGGAGAGGACTAGTACACATTACATTGAAACCTATGCATCTGAGCTGAACCTCCCTGAGATAATAGTGTGAGCAGGAGCAGTGAGGCAAGGGCCTTTCACAAGGAGGAAAATGCCCACCTGTGCCCACCACTGTCCATGCCAGTCCACATGAAGATGGAATCTCCTTGGCAGGTCGCTCCCTAGAGAGAAGATAGAATCAGTTCCACCCAGTTTGGCAGGCAGAGCTTGGGAGTTGGGCCTGGTTTTAATGCCAGCTCTGCCATGAAAACACCTGTGACCTTAGGAATGTTCTTAATTTCTCTGTGCTTAGACTTCCCATCTATCAGATGATGATGATATTAATAATAGCAAACATTTATGTAGGTGTTTACCAAGTGCAAGGTCCTGGTCAACGAGCATATGTGTTAACTCTTATTCCTTGTAGCAACCCAATAAGGTAGGTATTAATGTTATCCTGTTTTACAAATAGGAAACTGAGACACAGAAAGTTTATATTAAACAATCTGCTGAAGGTCACAGAGCCAACGGTGGTCAGAGCTGGGATTTAAACACTTAGAGTCTGGCTCTAGCCTCAGGGGTCTGACCACTACTCTATACTGCCTCACAACATGGCTGCCATGGTTTGAATGTGTCCCCCAAAAAGCCTGCGTTGGAAACTTCATCTCCAATGTGACAGTGTTGGAACATGGTGCCTAATGATAGGTGTTTGCATCCTGGGGTCATTCACTTCATGAATGCATTAATGCCTTTATCATGGGAGAAGTTTCATTGTTGCAGGAGCAGGTCCATTATCATGGGAGTGGGTTTCTTATAAAAGGGCAAGTTTGGCCTCTTCTCCTTCACTCATTCTCTCTCTCTCTCTCTCTCTCTCTCTCTCTCTAACACACACACACACACACACACACACACACACACACTCCTTCCACCATGGGATAATACAGCAAAAAGGCCCTTACCAGATGTTGGCCCCTCCATCTTGGACTTCCCAGCCTTCAGAACTATGAGCCAATAAATCTCTGTGCATTATAAATTCTCCAGTGTCAAGTATTCTGTTACAGTGCACAAAATAGACTAAGAAAATGCCTTACCTCCTAAGGCTGTTAGGAATTAAATAAGATATCTATGTAATGTGTATGCAGTGTCTCACATGTATAATAACAGTATATAATACATGCCAAATATGATAAATATTAAACACATAAGAAATGAATGGAGGCTCAGTGATAGAGCACTCAGCCCAGTCCAGGGGCCTATAGGGACAGGTACTATTGTTTTCAAATGGCCAATGGTGTGACCAGAGTTACAAGGAAATGCAAGTCTTCCATGGAACCATCTCTGACTTGTGCGTCAGAGACAGCCCAGAAGGTCCAGAAGGTGTGCTCAGAAGGTCTGTCCTGGCAGATGTAACCAAGAAGCCCTGTGCTGCATTTGACTTGTGTTCTCTCCAAATCATGCAGGGCTGGGCCTGGGTCTCCCTAATGAAACTCCAACGCGGATTGTCAGAGGTTTGTCTGGCACATCTAGAACTGGATAATGCAACCTAAATGCACTATTATTCTGGCATAGCCACACTCCCAGACCTGAAAGTCCAGTACCCAAAGGTGGGCTCTGGAAGATAGTGGAGGTGTGGGTGGCAAGGTGACAGAGGCAGGGTGTGCACTGAAGCAGAGTGAGACAGCCACAGAGGCCAGATCTAGGTCTAGCAAGTGTCCAGAGAGAGGTGGTCATCTCTAGTCCAAATCACTTCTCTCCCTGGTCCAGGTGGGGTCGTTGTCACTAGGGAGTCAGAAGCCAGACAAGCAACATGAGGTGGCTCTTCATCACATGCCCTGGACATGCAAGGGCACCTCAACTCTCTGCCATTCCAGGAGCTCTGTGGCAGCTGCTCACTTATAAGACATGTCCTATGAATCATTTGCAAGAAACAGGTGTCAAAAAAGATATACTATCATCCAAGAGCCATGAGCAGTGACATTGACAGGCATGAACACCTTCCAGACTTTCTTCCCGGGTTCAGAGCACCAATCTAGTCACTGAAAGCAAAGAACAATTAGTCCTGCCAGATGGGGCATGTATCAAAAACCATCTCCCAGGGCATAACCAATTAAAGCCTGGGTTTTAAAAAGCCGATTGATTTGCTCAAAGGAGCAAACTCCTGGCTGCAGGGGCTCTTCCTGCTGAGCCATTTCTCTGCATTTCCTAAAGCAGATCTAAAACCTCCCTATGGATTTGGTTTTCATATGGCTATGCACAGAGTCCGTTGATAATCCCTATGCTTCAAAGCACTTGCCAGGCATTTTTCTGATGCATATTCATTTAATCATTCAACACAATTTCACTTCACCCTTTCACCCTGGAATCTGTACCCTGGGAAGGCCAGCAGCGAAGTGCTGGGGCAGCAGATTGGATGGACCAGGCCAAGTTGGCTGGCACAGTCTACACCACACCACAGAGGTGCGGACGGGGACCTCTGAGCCAGTCACTCCCCTCCAGAAGCAAGACAATCTCACTTGGCATCCACAGCCAAGCAGAGCCCAAGGAACAAAGAAAGCCTACCCATTACAGGAGATTCAGATGGACAAAATCAGTAATGAAAAGCTCATCTCTCATAGAAAGGAAGAGTACCTATGATTCATTTAGCATTGACTCAAATTTTGATTTTTAAATTCTAAAATGAAGAATGTGGGATGCTGTTTTATTGGCCCAATCAGAATTAATGAGTAAATGAAAACAGAAAGAAAAAAGGAAAAAAAACTTTCTTCGGGGCAGGGGAAATCACTCCAAATTGTATCCTCGTGTTTAAGTCACCCAGGCATCCTGGTATCAGGCAAAGGCCACCATTTCATCCAACAGTTACTCGTACTGCTGTGCTGCCAGCTTAGTGCCAGGCAATAGGCATACAGAAATGAGGAGACACCAGGTGCTGCCCTCTGGGTCACTTTTCTACTCATTGTGGCCTCACAAGGAACATCTCTGGTACCTGGCAGCTGCCTGTTTAGAAACCAACAATAACACTGCCATAGAAGCTGAGAATGCTGCTAACACAGGGAAGAACTGGCTCAAGCCACAACAGAGAAAAGCACAGGGTTAGAAATAGATCTGCATTCTGCACTATTTACAATAGCAAAGACTTGGAACCAATCCAAATGTCCATCAATGATAGACTGGATAAAGAAAATGTGGTACATATATGCCATGGAATATTGTGCAGCCATAAAAAAGAATGAGTTCATGTCCTTTGCAGGGACATGGATGAAGCTGGAAACCATCATTGTCAGCAAACTAAAACAGGAACAGGAAACCAAACACCGCATGTTCTCACTCACAGGTGGGAGTTGAACAATGAGAACACATGGACACAGAGAGGGGACATCACATACCGGGGCCTTTCGGGGGGTGGGGGGCAAGGGGAGGGAGAGTATTAGGACAAATACCTAACGTATCTGGGGCCTAAAACCTAGATGAGGGGTTGATAGCTCCAGAAAACCACCAAGGCACATGTATACCTATGTAACAAACCACGTTCTGCACATGTATCCCAGAACTTAAAGTAAATAAATAAATAAAAGAAATGGATCTGCATTCTGAAGTTCCAGAGCAGAAAGGCCATGACTTTAAAATTTCTTGGGCCGGGTGCAGTGGCTCACACCTGTAATCCCAGCACTTTGGGAGGCCGAGGCAGGCAGATCACAAGGTCAGGAGTTCAAGATCAACCTGGCCAGTATGGTGAAACCCTGTCTTTACTAAAAATACAAAAATTAGCCAGGCATGGTGGTGGGTGCCTGTAGTCCCAGCTACTCGGAAGGCTGAGGCAGGAGAATCGCTTCAACCTGGGAGGCGGAGGTTGAAGTGAGCCAAGATCGCGCCACTGCACTCCAGCCTGGGCGACAGAGTGAGACTCCATCCTTCATCTCAAAAAAAAAAAAAAAAAAAAAAAAAAAATTTCTTGGACCTCAGTAGGGCAGCTTTTCCTCTATTGGGTGGATCTTTTTGGGCAGCTTCTCTTCACAGCCTAAAGCCAGAGACTACTCAAGAAACAACATCTCCCATTCATGAAAACCTCCTGGTTTCGTGACCAGCTCAACCTTCCTACATAAGCCTGATACGTTCCTTGATCTCTAGAAGGCTCAGTTTTCCCATCTGTGAGTGGTAATAATATTAGCCAATATTGAGGAATTGTTAAGAGAATTACGGATAACATTGTGAGTGTGTAGTAAGTCTCCAGCACACAGTGATGCTCAGTAAGTGATTGTTGATTACAAAATAGAAATGATGTTATCTACGTCTCAAGATTTTTTGGAAAAAAAGCCATGAGGTACACCCACCACTGAGCCTCCCAGTTGGTGACTAGATAAGTAGGAGGCCCTGCTAAGGCCCAAGAAATTGGAAAGTCGTGTTTCTGCTCTGGAACTTCAGAACGGAGATTTATTTCCATCCCTGTGCTTTTGTCTGTTTGTGGCTTGAGCCAGTTGTCCCTTTGATCATAGGAATTTTCCCCCTTTCCTTCACCAACCCGCTCCTGTCCCAGCGTGTGGCAGCAGAGACCACAGCCATGGGGAGCTGTCACAGAGACCATGGCATAATGGTCCAGAACCTGGCTCTAGAATCAGACTGCCTAGGTTCAGATCCGAGGAGCACACATTACCTAAGCCATCGGTGCCTCTGTTTTCTCATCTATAAAATGGGATTGTAAAAGTAGCTCAGAGTGCTGCTGCAAGGATTTAGTGAAGCCATGCATATAAAGAACTTAGCACAGTACCTTGCATATAGGAAATCTTAATAAATGTTAGATATTAGAATTATTATCAACATCAGGAATAAGATAAGATGAAAGGAATACAGTCCCAGGAGTAGGAGCTAAACACAGGAGGATGAATTCAAGTCTCCAGCAGAAAACAAGCACTGCCAAGCAGCAGCATAAACAAGCCAGACACTAGAGCCTAAAAACTGGGTCCTTTCCCCAGTGCTTCCTGTCTAGGATCCCATGTGACCCTGAGAGCCTGCTTCCCCAGTCTATATTTGCCAGTGGCCATCTTGTCTGAGAATGACAACCTACTTCAAGGGGCCATGCCCAGGACTGCCACATCCAAGAGGTTTCACACCATCTTAGTGTCCTGCAAAGCTCAGCTCAAACTCGCCATCTCTTCCACAGCACTGACTGCCACCTAGACATGACTCAGCCATATGAAAGACCCCTTGTGGGTGAGCTGAAGGCAGAGTCATGCCTCACAATTCACTGCAGCTCCCCTTCTTTCCACCGCTATCTGCCACACATGAATTTCTACACAGCCTCAGCCTTTTTTGCTTTTAAGTGCAGAGGATTGGGGTGGATTTGACAGCAGTTCCTCTTCTATTCTGTCAGTACACACACTCCTCATCCTGGGGCATTTCCACTATAGCCAAATCAGAGAGATGAATCCGGCCCATCGTGCTATTATTCAAAGCTGGTGTAAGACTAATGTTCTCATTGGAGGGGAAGTATTTTAATCTTACAACTCCAACCATGATCATCTGGGAGTGTTGCAAATCAGATGCCAAATTCCACCAAAGGAAAATGCAATAACATGGAGTTATAAGCCAATCACATGCTCTGTGATTTGAGCATATAAATGTAGAAGCCCAGCATGAATCTTCAAGAGCATCCTGGTTTTGCCTAGGGAAGGGGAAGGTTGAGGAGTGTCTCAAAAAAAAAAAAAATCCGAAATTACATCTTAAATAAAAAATCCAATCCAGCCCATGAGATGTGAATCAAAAAGTATTTGAAATCAGGCCAGCATTTTGTCAGCAATTTGAAGTTCTGAGCTCAGGGCCTGGACTCGGGGTTTCGAACCGTAGGTTTCCAACTTTGTTTCCTACAGTCCACTCAACAAAGTAAGATGAAGAGCAGCATTTTTGCATGGTGTATACAGGAATGTTAGGTTAAACAAAGCTAAACATGTTTCTTTCCGAAGGTACTTCTCAGAGCCTTCACTACGCTAATAATGAATGTGAATCTCCAAGAGGGGGTTGGGTACGCAAACTTCCCCCAAAATGAATTGAACATTTAGAAAGGGATGACTTGTAGGACATATCAAGACCCATCAAATCAGGGGTTCAAGGAACCTGCAAAAACAGGGTTGTTGGTCCTCCAGAGGAAACCAAATGAGCTCCACTCTTAAGCAGCCATATTCATTTGCTCATTAGGAGCAAAGAGCCATAAGTGGAATCTAAGATGAAGTAGTTATGACAGAAAGTCACGTGTGGCAGCCTCCATTCAAGCAGACTTTAAAAACATCAGAGAGCAAGCAGTAACACCCAGAAAGAGAAGACCAGTGCCCAAAAGCACCAAAGCAAAAATTACATAGAAAACTTGAAGACCCACCAGGAACAAGCCAGAAAGCCCTTGTGAATCCTGAGTTGGGGCAATCCTCATTATAGAAGCGGTAGCAGAGGCTCTCAGAAGTCCCCTGGTACTGGGAACTTCTGCTAGAAACATGCCAGAGCAGAAAGGGTAGCACCATAAAAGGCTGTGACCAAGAGATGGGCAGGTCCTCCTCTCAAGGCAGTCCTCTGCCACCTTCTCTAAGACTCCCAACTTGATGATGCACCAGACCCTTTGCAAAGAGTATTACATCCATTCTTTCATTATAACTTCATAATCCTAATCCTAAAACATATGTGCTATCAGCATCCCTGTTACATGACTAAAGCAACTGAGGCTCAGGAAGAACAAGTAACTTGTCTAAGGACACACAGCAAAGAATAAGAGCCAGGAGCTTCTTGTGTGTTTGTTGAATGAATGAATGAATGAATGAACAAATATGGAGAAAGCGTCTCTTGCAAACACTTCTCCACTAACTTAAAGGGCTGGTTTAGAATATAGCAATAGAGTTTTGATGATCTGCTGACTTCATTTGATTGCAACCCTCTGCCTGAAAAATGACAGGCCCCTCTTCTGTGGTTCACCTATCACCAAAAACCCTAGCATCAGCAACACTCCACATGCTGCCATACTGCAAACTGGGTCCAATTACAGGGAAGGAGGGTCAGCTCTTGCCTGACTCAGTTGAACCCAACTAGCAGCCCCTCAAGTTTAGCCCAAACTTACCCAGCAGTACATTGCTATCAACTCCAATAATGGGGCATGCTGGAAAAATAAAACAGAAGATGGTTCTTAGGAAAAGATTTCCTCTTCATCAATTCTACTTTTCTAAAGAACAAGCAGCTTGCTATCTCTCAGTAGGTTCTAATCAACATCACAGAGAAGTAGATGAAGGGCTACCACACAGAGGGTGGGAAGAAGGAAAGACTGCACCAGGAAGGAAGGGCAGGACCTGCAGGGCAAGCTGATGGGAAACACTGAGCCTCGGTTTCCTTGTGAGGATCCCCCACTACTCTGAATCCACCCACCTGGCTGCTTCTGCTATCCCCACTGCAGTGGTCTGAACCCCCTCCATTTCTGGGTCTCTCCAATGGCCTCCCACCTAATCAACCACTTCTACGCCAGTTCCCTCACCCCCTGCCACCCATCAACCACAGTAACCAGAGTGAACTTCTAGAAACACAAATCAGATCACATCACACCTCACTTAAAATGCAGCAACTGCCTCCCTTCTCACCTGGTAGAGCACCCAAATACTCCACCGTGGTCTCCAAGGGCCTCATCGGTCCTGCTCATCCCATCCTTCTCTTGCTCACTCTGCTAGAGCCACATGGGCCTTCCTGCTTCCAGGCTCATTCCCACCTCAGGGCCTTTGCACCTGCTGTTTCTTCAGTATGGGATGCTGTGACCCAGGGCCAGACCCTTCTTGTCATGCAAGTCTCAGCTCAATCATTGCTTGCCACAGGACAACCTTCCCCAACCAGCCAACATCAGCACCCTCAACTGACCCTTGTCAGTCCCTCTACCAAAGCCTTGTGTCCTGTTTTCCTCATAGCATATACCATTACTTAAAATTATCCTACTTATTATTTATGTTTTACCTCCTGTCTCCAACACACACACACACACACACACACACACACACACACACACACACCCCTTAGAATGGGGCTCCTTAAGAGCAGGGACTTTATGGGTCTTATGGAGCAAGACTTTATGGGTCCCTGCTCTTATGCAGGGCCTGTTCACCTGCACCTCCAGAACCTGGAACAGTGTTAGGCACAAAATAGCTGATTAATAAATTTGTGCTGAATGAAAGAATACTCCAAAAGGTTCTCGTATGAATGAAATGAGATTATTATCTATAAAGAATTTTGTGGAGGCATGGCACCAAATAAGCACCAAACACACAGTATTTCCAGTAACAACTCTCTTATCTAACATGGTCAGGAGCAGCTAATAGGGTAAGCAAAAAGTTTAAAGCAGGAATCACTGAAATTGTGCAGATAAATGTGTATGTGCATATACATATTTTCTATATATATATATATATACACACACACACACATACACACAAACCATAAACACTATTTCAACTTAAAATATTTCATGCTAATATTTTGGTGTAAGGCCAAGGCTTCTATTTGAGCTGTGTCTCCAGATTGGAGTTCTACATCTTTGTTTTCCCTTTTTAAAAATTATAATTCATTTTTCAGGCCTTGTTCAGCTGGTAAAAAAAATAAAAAATAAAATTATAATTCATGACTTTTTATATCATCTATGATTTCCAAATTTGGCTTAAAATGAACTAAAAAACTGGAGAACTCGTCTTAAAAAATGGAGAAGGAATTTAAACTCATATGTGAAACCAATTGAGGGCAAAATTCTTCTAGGATTATGTACATATGTCTTCTAATCTTTATCAGCTGCCCTGCCTACAACTAATTTGACAGCCATCATTGCTAGTAATTGACTTTTATCAAGTCGTTCAATGCATGCAACTTGATTTTTTCTAAGAAGCAATTCTCTTTTCGCTCATATTTTACTGGGTCACTCAATATTTAATTAGATTATGTTAGTACAATAACAAGCTCAGCAAGCACAGGAAGGACTGGGAAGAAACCCAGCTCTGTGACCCTTGGTAAGCATTCACCCAAGTGCAGAGGAAATGGGGGCACTCAAAGAAATACTATGGGTTCCATGCCAGCTATGAATGCCCAGCAGGCTGTGGACTTCAGTCAGTGGCTTCTGTAGAAGAGTCGAGAAAACTCATGAATTTGTGACTTGGTTAAGAAGTGGGTTGGCCAGGCATGGTGGCTAATGCCTGTAATCCCAACACTTTGGGAGGCCAAGGTGGGCAGATTGCCTGAGCTCAGGAGTTCGCAACCAGCCTGGGCAACACGGTGAAACCTCATCTCTACTAAAATACAAAAAATCAGCCGGGCATGGTGCTGTGCACCTGTAGTCCCAGCTACTGGGGAGGCTGAGACAGGAGAATTGCTTGAACCCGGGAGGCAGAGGTTGCAATGAGCCAAGATCATGCCACTGCACTCCAGCCTGGGCAACAGAGTGAGACTCCATCTCAAAAAAATAAATAAATAAAAGAAGGGAAGTGGGTTAAGAGAGATTCTATGATGGTAGCAATGTAATTGTAGTTACAGTCAGAGAAGATTAAATGGAAATATGCCAAAATGTTTTCCCTGGAAGATTGTTATATTCTTAACACTTTCCTATGTCTTTCAAATTTTGACAATGTCCATAAATAATATTTCACAAAAACAGAGCAAATTGTGCTCTTGGCTGAGTCAAAGGATACAAACTGCTGACAGTTACTATCTCTAGAGCCTCTGCTTTATGCCAGCAACTTACATATGTTACCTCGAGTCCTCGTGGTCACTCAGCAAACTGATAATCAGCTTTATTATATGATCAGCCAGCCTTAGAACTGTATGACTGTGTTCACTTATGACGGTCAACATTTAAGACCAGTTCTCTATCCCAATACTGTATTCCCTCCTCTGGTCTAAAAGCCACCAAATGTAGTCAGTATTTCCATCAGCTGGCAGGACATCAAGTCAATGAGCCATCAGCGCTGACCAAATCCTCCTTTCTTTCACTGTCATGTCCTCTACTTTGTGAGTTGATTAGAAATAAAGTCTTTCCTCATCTGTTCTGGCCTTCCCCACTGCCCTCCCACCCCTGACTGCAGCCTGTTACCTCCCTCCCCCACCTGTGGGCTCAAGACTCCCAGACCTGGGACAGATGTAGCTGCATCAGCATTTGCCCTCTAGAGCCTGTGCCTGTATTGCCCTGTCTCACTTCCCTTCCTGGACTGTGGACTTCCTTCTTGCTCTGCCATCTGCTATCTGTGTCCCCGTCCCCTCTATCTGCCCACCTGTGCTTCTGCCCTGTTCCAGCCCTGACCTCCAGGAACCCCAGGCCTCTGCCTTGCCCTCCAAGAAGTACAACCCACAGCATGGCCTGGCCTCTGTTTACCCTGTGCTCTACATGGTGCCCTAGCTATACCTCTTCCTGGTGACTCAAGAAAGATTCAGACCTCTGCTGACCCAATTTAGTACTGACACAGCACAGGAAATTGTTGGGGTTGGGGTGGCTCACAGGTGATGGGTAATGTGGATGGGAAGAGGGTCTCCAACACCAGGTATCAGCAAAATTCTGGTGGCAGCTTCAGATAGACAAAACCCTACCAATGACCATAGAACTTAACTACCAATGACCCTTAAATTCAAAGGACTTACTGGTTCCAATTATCAAAGAGAAAGATGCAGTCCTAGAGACACAGAGAAAGAAAAAAGATCAAGAGAAAGGGAGCAAAATCAAAAAGAGAGGCCAAGCATTGTTGAAACATGGCATCTTCCCACATTTAATATTCTCATCCCATTTCCTTCTACGAAAAGACTTAATTAGCAACCTCAAATAGGATCTCAAAGCAAGTGATAAGGAAATAGGAGCCTATAGGGAGAAAGTCACAGCACAGGGTTCTAGAAAAGTATAGATCCAGACAGGTAGCGTTCACTGCCAAGAACCTGCAGGAGGCTGGCCTCCCGGGAGTCCCTAATACTGGCGGACAGAGATGGGTTTCAAATCCCAATTTCTTCACTTCTTTCTTGAGTGGCTTTAGGTACATGTCTGAACCTTTCTGAGGCTTCATTTCCTCACATGGAAAGTGGTGATGGTAACACCTACCTCACAGGATTGTGGAGGCTTAAATGAGTTCAGGCCAATACCCAGATCAGCAGCCATGTCTGGAGATGTTTTTGGTTGTCACATCGTGGTGGGTGGATGGAGATGCGCCATGGGCATCTCTCAGTAGAAGGCAGCAGGGATGCTGGCAAGCACCGGTCATCATCCTGCAGGATACAGGACACCTCCCATGACAAAGAAGGATCCAGTGCAAAATGGTGACAGTGCCGAGCTAGAGAAGCCCTTCCCATGCACAGCACAGAGTCAGCCTCAGCACGTTTTAGCACCCACAACCCCTCCTCTCCTTACTTCTCTTTATGGATAGTGAATTGCCTCAGGTAAGGAGTCAAGGATCTCCTTTTCATGTATTTTCTGTACAAATAAAGAAGGTAAAAAGGCCGGGCACAGCACCAGGCTCTCCCCAAACCTGGGAGTTCCTTTCCTTCCCTGTCTTTTTGCAGAGCCGTGCTGAGCGGGCAGCCAGGTGCACAGCAGGGATGCACCTCAGGCCGATTTGCTAGCTGACTAGCACAGGGGCCTTGGGGCAACACCTGTCGCAGACTGGAAACTGGGCAGAACAGCAACTCCAAGGAGGCTGACTGCAGAGAGACAGCCAAGCCTGGGCAGCACCTCTGAGACGCCCTCTCGTTTCCACTCACAGAGATAAAAAATGACCCTCCTATTGAACTGTTTAAGTGTGCCATTTTCCCCAGACTTGACAGCAATCCCATATTCAGAAGGTAAAAGTCAGAATTCATTTATTCAGTAATTCACTCAATTATTCAACAAACATTGGTTTCATGCTTTGGTGTGCACAGCACCCTCGTGGTTTGTGTTAGAAAAAAAAATTCAGTGTTATTACTTTTGAAACTCTGTAACTATTTAACCAAGACATCGATGGGAATGAATAAGTGACAGAGGGAAGGAAATGTTTAAATCTCACAGAATCTTGGATCTGACTAGCCTCATTTTAAATGGTGAAAATAGCTGATAAAGTGGTCAAAGTTAATATTATTCCATTATTCACTCTCTGTTTATTAAGGCATCAGAGGTGATTCATTGAGTTTCTGAAGCACAGTATTTTTAAAATCCTACTCTTTCGTGAGCAAACTATTCCAAGACACAATTTGCCTATATTATGTAATAATGTGTCTTCCCTAGAGATGGCCCAAGTAAAGCTACTTGGTTCTCATTCCTAAATTCAGTAAGGCCTGTTTCTACCTTGCCTGAGTTTGTGAGAAAATGCAAGGGAAAGTGCCTTGACAACCAGAAGACCTGGAACAAATGTTGGCCTCTATTACTCATATCAGCCATCATAATTTTCAAATTCCTGGGAGGTAGAAGGAATGAGGCTTGGCTTTGTGCTTCTGGGTGCCAGACTCCAAGTTGCGAAGATGCCTGTCCTTTTTCCATTTATTGACTGCCTCGCCTGGGAAGGTTCTGCCCTCTTAGCTGACACAGCACAGGAAGACACTTCCCTCTTGCAGCAAATGCAGCTTCAGAGAGGCCTGAGATCTTGCTTCTACGTTGCTTGCTCCTTTGCCCACTGCCTTGCAAGAAGATCTGTGGAGGCCTCTGAGGACGAGGCTCTCAGTTGGAAGAAGCCAAGAGCCAGCCTTCAATGTTGCCAAATGCCTGTCTGGCCCAAAGCAGGAAGTCTGCAAGAACACACCCACAGTGCTGAGTGTAGAGCTCGTTTGAGGATAAAGTGCCCACCTCTGAGCTCAGCTCAGCACCTCATAAAGCGAGGCTCAGACGGCATGAATAAGATGTATCTCTAAGGCGAAGTGAGGCTTGCAGAATTTATGCGCTCCTGGGGCCCCTTGCAAACAAGCTTAAACCAACAGTACCTGCCTCTCCTTCCCTTCTGTGTACCATCTGACGTGGCTCCTAAGACTGCCTCTTGTATTTGTCTGGGGTATGCCTAGGCTGAGCAGGCAGGCAGGAGCATGTGTGGCCTTTGAGAGGCCCTGGTTCCCTCTGGGGAAGGACTGCTCAGAAACACAGACAAGAGGCCTTCGCCATACTCTGTTGGCTTCTGCGCAAAGGAAAACAGGTAGAGAGAGCCAGGAAGCAAACAGAGAAGGAAAGTCATTTACAGGAACAGCCTGAGTGGAGAAACCAGATGTGGGCCAGTGTCAGCAGCAGAGATGGTCTGCTGCATAATTCATCCATTGTGGGTCTGTTTATGTGTCTGTTTTTAAGGTTAATCATTTGTTTGATTGAGGCCTCTTCCTCTGATCGCTTCTGTTAGCACATGAACAGCATGCCTGTATGAAATGCAAACATCCTCATTTGGCAGCCGCAGACTTTGCTAAATTATCCTTCCAGCTGCAGATAAGTTGTGACATTTGTAACAACTTGCCAGTCATGAGAGGCGTAGCGTATCCTCAGATAAATTCACGGCTGAATTCCTTCCCAGCTCCAGTCCTTAACGCTCTCCGAATGAAGGGCACTTTCCAGCCCAAGACACAAAATAGTTGAAAAGGAAGCACAGTCACTCATTTTCTTGGGATATTGGTCTGCCCCATACAGACACATTGGCCCAGATTGCAGTTCCCGTCAAAATGTTTGTAATATGTACACCAGGCAAGCATCTCATGGAAGAAGAGGGCTTCCTGCCCCACTCATACACACACTGACAGTCAGATCTCTACCCTTAGGACGGAGAAAAATAGATTCCTCTTCTCAAAAGCCACCCCTGAGGAAGTAGACGGATTTTAGTACAAAGAATCGTGAGTGGGGACCAGATAGTGAAGGCATCGGAGGTAATATGCTTTAGGAGGAACAGTGAGATTTTGGAGTCAGAGAAGCCTAATTCCCAGAGCCAGCTTTCCCACACTTATTAGCTGAGTGGTCTTGGATACATTATTTCACTTCTCTGAGCCTGTTTCCTCAGGGTTAATGTGGGCTGCTATGAAGCCTAGAAATGACGATCTGAAGGGCCTGGCTCACTGTTGTTGCTTGACAGAGAATAGCTATTGCTCTGATTATTATCAAAGACAGTCTAATCAGGTGCCCACCTCCACTGCAATTTCCAGTTTTACCTGTACCTGAATCCTTGCAGGGATGCTACAGCCTGCAGGTGTTCATCCATCCCATCATTTCACAAAGACTCCATGGTGCCTGCTCAGGCCAGGCCCTGCGCTAGGCACTATGTGTTCAGCCGCTAATAAAGTAAGCTCCCAAGAAGCTGAGTTCACTTGAGTGTGAGTTTGACAGTAAGAAAAGATTTCCTAATTTTGAGTCAAAACTACTACAGTGCCACAGTATTCCCTGCGGATTATGAGAAAGCTTCGCCACCTTCTGTGACCGTTCCAACTGTATATTCAGGCATCATCTTTTTTCCCCTTTTTGTTGACGTAAATGTACATACAGAAAAGTGCACCAAATACATGTGTACAATCCGATGAATTTTCTCAAGTTTAGCACCCCCATACAGCAATCTCCCTGGTCAAATCATTGCCAGCAGTGCAGAAACCCCTTGTTCTCCCTTCCACCACTACTCAACCAAGGGTAACCATGATACTGAATTCTAACAGCAAAGGTTCATTTAGTCTGTTTTACCATTTTGACATTATCTTTTAAAAAAATGATTTGTACTGGGTTCTTCTCTCTCTTGGCCTGAGCATATAAAAGCAAACACTGAATAGGTTTCCTTCTATATCATGAAGTTCTGCCTTTACACAGTTTTCTTTTCTGTTGAGCTCCTGAGGGCCAGGGCATGTGCCACAGAGCCTGCACATAGTAAGTGCTCAGTAAGTATGTGCTAAGTAAATGAATGATGGCAGGATCCCTCCATACACCCCAGCAAAGGCAGGATCAGAGCCAACAGCTGCAGGGCAGAGAGCACAGTGTACAAGATCTGAGAAGGAATTGCAGAGCAAAGTCCTCTTTTCCAGGTAATTCTGTCCCTCTGGACTGAATAGCCCTGGGCACACTCCTGACTCCCTGAAGTTCTAGTGAGTAACAAGCATTTTATTCTGCCCTCAAACATATTCATATTTTTCTTATTGAAAAGAAAAAAAAAACTTGATCACAAATAAATCAGGTCATCACCGGGCGTGATGGCTCATGTGTGTAATCCCTGCACTTTGGGAGGCTGAGGCAGGTGGATTGCTTGAGCTCAGGAGTTCCAGACCAGCCAGGGCAACATGGCAAAACCCCATTTCTATAAAAAATACAAAAAATTAGCCAGGCATGGTGGTATGCACCTGTAGTCCCAGCTACTCAGGAGGCTGAGGTAGGAGGATCACCTGAGCCTGGAAGGTGGAGGTTGCGGTGAACCATGATCATGCCACTGCACTTTGGCCTGGGTGACAGAGCAAGACCCCATCTCAAAATATATATATATATATTGGGTTATGGAACATTTAATGAGAGCCTATACTTGCTAGGCAAGAGGGGCAATTTACTGAGTGCCAATTATGTGCTGGGCATTCTGTTTGCCTTGGATGACTCAGAGATGAACCAAGTTCCTAAGATCCCTGTCCTTTTTCCATTTATTGACTGCCTCATCTGGGGAGGCACCCTTGCTGCTCACAAGTAGCTTCCCAGCTAAAGGAAGCTACAAGCACATAAACACACAACTGCAACATCAAAGTGTTGGAAGCGCTAGAACCCAGATATGTACAAAGTGCCATGGGAACATAGGAAAAGGAGCAAAGTTTAAAGAAAATGCCACCTTGAGGGGATGACATTTGAAGAGGGCTTGAAGAATGAGTGGAGTTCAGTAGATGAACACAGGGAAAGGATGTTCCAGGCAGAGTAAATGGCATGATATTTTGTAGTACACACACTCCAGGCAACTGGTTGTTTATAGCCAGTGTCTGCTATGATTAGTCATGGATTGGTTGTGAGATATTATGAATATCAACCTTAAGTAAAAACAAGAAGACAGGAAAGGACAGACCACACTAAGATAACAGTGTGAGTTACCAGATTCTTGAATCTCTATGAAGGATGGCAGGCAGATGGCATGCATACCAGCACTGACTCCTATGCCCACAGCAGATCCAAGTAATCAATCACAGCACTCTCTCCAGTGTCACCCAGAAACAACCTGCTCAGCAAAGAGCTCTAGGCCATCACCACAAAGTAATAGGAGCTGGCATCATCCTGGGTTGCATATTACAGCTTCCATTGCCTTACCACCTCCTCCCCCATCAATGCCACATCATCTGGATTCAGTCTCCGACATCCCAATGAAAGCATTCTCACTAAGATTTCCATTGCCTTCCTCCTCACCAGATTCAGAAGTCCCCATTCTGATTTAATACCACACTCGCTTCCTCCTGCAAACTCTTGCTGCTTCCTCCCTGAATCCAGTGTACCTGCTCTCTCTCCTTCATTTGCATGCCTTCAAGTTCTGTCTATGCTTTCTTCCCACTGTTTCACATCTGGACCCTTTCCACAGTAAATCCTCTAGCCCAGGCCTTACTGATCTAATCTCCGAGTCAGAGAAGCCAGCCATCCATCCTCACTCCTCTGAAAGGAAGTCATCCTCCCCTATGGCCTTCCTTATCAGTACAGGTTAGCAAGCATTTAAAGCTCAGCTCAGCTTTCAGGGACAAAATTATGTATTATTGAGGTTTCCTGCAGTCACCCTGCAGCAACTTGTAATGCCCAGAACCATCTGGCTGCTTTAGTCCTCGGGAGCCTCAGTGATGAAAGGCACAGCCAAGCAAGAGGGTGAAGCTACCAGTGAAAATAAAATTAAGAATTTATTTATCGATTTCAAACAATCTATGTCCCCAGAACTCCAGCATACAGCTCCTCTGGCAAGTGAATATAAAAAATGTACAACCAATACATGCATACACACCATAAAACCCCACATGGTTTTGCTAGGTCTAAGCTATTCATGTATTTTGCAAAAGAGAAACCACTACAAAATATTTAATATGTGTTCACTTCACAGGTGGCTTCTTTTTTCCTAAAGTGGGATGACTTCAGACCCAGGATAGTCAGGCAAGGATGTCAAATACACCATCTAGACCCTGTCCAGATGACTATACTTCCCCCAAATAGCTATGAGGGGGACAAGGAAAAGCAACTGGTGGTTCAAGCGTTTCGTGTGCAGGGCGACTTCCCAGAGTGCTTGCACTGAAGACAGTGCTCATCCCAGGCTCAGGCTTCCTGGAGTAGTGCTGGCCATGCATCAACCAGAACTATTGATTCCCGTCATTGCTATTTTCTGGTAGAAAGTGGGGTATTTGTCTTAGGTTAATTTTAAAAGGACTATGAGAAAGAACTGTGTTATTAGAAAAGTGAAGGCATGTGAAATAACTCTGAAGACTATGCTGCTTCCAGATACTGAGGGGACAAAACTTCCAGTCAATGGGCAAGAAAATAACTCCAAAGACCCAAGGAAGGTACAGCCCTGGTATCCTGGAAAATGTGCAGCTGCTGAGGAGGGTAGAGAGTTGGCCATGGAAAATGGCCAGCCTGTCCTCTCTCAGATAATCCTATGTCCCTTCCCAAACCACATTTTCACTTCTTCATCTTCCACAGTAGATGCCCCAGACAAGAAAAAGTACAGGACAAAACCCTTCAGGGTCGCTCCCAATAGAAAGAGCACCTGCAAGAAAGTTACTCTCTGGCAGAACACATTCCTTGTACACTGGGAACCTGAAAATGTGGGCAAACAAACAGAGGTGAAAGTGATCTGTGAGTTGGTTGGCTTCCTTGGCACTGTTATTCAGGATCATCACTTGGACACTACTGTTAAGTGAATAAGGAGTGAATTAATAAATGAATTTTTCTATTGTTAGAATTTCCACTTTTTAAGTCTCTCATTCATTCTAAACAAAAGGAGAAATCATTGAAACAAATATTGACTGAAGACTTACTTTATATCAGGAATATTTAATTATCATAAAAACCCACCAATGGAGATATGATTTTCCCTATCTTAGAAACATGGAAGCTGAGTCTCAGAGGAAAATTCTGAACTGAGTCAGTCTCCCAAACACAAGCCCCAGTGCATTTTCCTTTTTATTTTTCCTCCTCCTTCTCTTCTTCCTCCTCTCCCACCTCTTTCTTTTCCTCCTACTCTTCCTCTGCTTTAATCTCTTCCTTTTCCTTCTCCCCTTCCTCTTTCTTTTCTTCTTCCCCTTCCCTAACTTTTTAGTTCTTACATAGATCCAAGCTTTATATGCACAAAGATTAAAGTGTGAAATATTTCTACAAACCTTATAAAACATATATATTCCCTTTCTATAGGAGTATCCTGCTCCACCTCTGTGATGGTTAATATTTCATGTCAACTTGATTAGATTGAAGGATGCAAAGTGCTGATCCTGGCTGTGTCTGTGAGGGCATTGCCAAAGGAGATTAACATTTGAGTCAGTGGACTGGGAAAGGTAGACCCACCCTCAATCCGGGTGGGCCCCATCTAATCAGCTGCCAGTGTGGTCAGAATAAAAGCAGCAGAAGAACCTGGAAAGACTACACTGGCTTAGTCTCCCAGCCTACATCTTTCTCCCATGCTGGATGCTTCCTGCCCTTGAACATTGGACTCCAAGTTCTACCTTCGACCACAGACTGAAGGCTGCACTGTTAGCTTCTCTACTTTTGAGGTATGACGGCATTATTGTATATTACCATAATACCATATGATACCCAAGAAATTTAACATTGATAGACCTATTATCTAATATACATTCCATGTTTAAACTTTCCCAATTATCCAATCATGTCCTTTATAGCTCTTTGTTCATTTTCTGATTCATAATCCAATCTGAGCTCAAGCATTGCATTTGCTTGTTATATATCTTTTTGGTCTCCTTTGGTCTGGAACATTCCCTCTACACACATATACCCTTTTTTGTTTTTTAAATCATTGACATTTTTAGAGGATACGCTATTTGAGGTAGGAGATCTTATAATGTGAATGTGTCTGATTAATATCTCTTTATTAGATTCAGGTCAAAGATGTTTGGCAAATACTACATAAGTGATGTTGTGCTCATCCCACTGCACTCCATCAAAAGCCACATAATGTCAGTTTGCCCCATTATTGGTAATTCTAAGTGTGGTCACTTGATTAAGGTGGCATCTGCCATATTTCTCCATCGTAAAAGTACTTCATTCGTTTGTAATTAATAAGTAATGTGTGGGTGTTACTCCAAGGCCATGTGAATATCTGCTTCCCCAAATTGTTGTTGTTTTTTAGTCGCTGCAATTATTGTAATCCCTCCCTTACAGATTCAAGCAGTAATCAGAAGACAGAGGCATGGTCTTCATTCACTTCACTCTCTCTGCAAATCCCATTTGGCACTGGTTAATGATAATGAAGCCTTTGGCACTTTTTTCCTATAGATGCACTTACAGGATAGAACTCCATTTCTAAAATGCATTCCACCAAAGCACAGTGAAAGCAATTACCAATACTCAATTACTCCAGCTTCACTCCATCACTGTAGATACTCTTAAATGCTATGCAAGGGTGGTTTTGAATATCCTGAATGTGGAAATTGGTTTACAATAACAAAGAGAGGCTCAGAAATCTTTGATGGCTCCCAAGAACTACCCGATACAACCCAAACTCCTTATCTGGCACTCAGGCTCAACCAGATCTGGCCCCAGCTCCCACCCCTCTCCCATGACTTCCCTACCTCTCGGACCAAACTGAACTTTTCTCTTCTTCTTCTACACCCCCATGCTTTTCCCTTGCCCATTCTGAATCCTCTGTCTTGAATGCCCTGATTCTCATCTTTCACAAGTGTTTGCTAAAGAAAAGAAAAAAAAAAGCTTCCTCCTTTTCTGACTTCTCTTAATCTGTGACAATTAGGGCCCTTGGTATCTAAATGGCACACTGAGCTTGTTTTCAGAACATCAGTGAAGTTCTAATACCAAAATATTTTTGAAACAATTTGATATCCAAAGAAAGATTTTTTAAACATTTAAGTAGTTATCATGGGAACAATTAGAACTGCTGGAATTGTTTTTATATATTCATAATTTAATATATTTTTATTTTGCATTACATTCAGGAAAGAGGGGAAGGGAGCACTGTGATTCTTAGGACCCAATACATCTTAATCTAGCCTTGGGTGAAAACTCTAAGAACAGAATTGGTGTTATTTCTCCCCTAGCCCCAGGCCTAGCATCATGTGCTATGCATGGTAACTGCTCAATAAGTAGTTACTGAACAATGGAGAGAAAGCTTGGAGTCACATCAATTGTTTGTGCTCCTTTGAAGACGGAATGACTTTCCCCCCTCTCCATGCCTCCAGTCATTTCTCCCTCAGCACATCTCATCAGAAATAAATAGAGGCCTCAGCCCTTTGTGCCTAGCCACTGGCAGAGAGCAGAGGACTGGCCACAGGCCTTTGGCCACATGCTGGCATATCTGAATTCAAGACCTTCACTGCCCTGTGATTAACACATGCGCTACTCCATCCTCTGTGGGAAACTGAAAGATCCTGTTCATGGTGACAATTGGAGAGCAATCTCCCTTCTTTGGCTATATCTGGGGTCACTCCCAGCACCACGCAGAAAGAGTATTTGTATAAGACACAGCATCGGTGGTCACATCCTCTGAGAAGCCTTCTGAGGGCAGGACCTTCCAGCAGAGCACCCAAGGTCCCTGGTTACAGCATCAGAACACTCCAGACACTTCACTATGGCCCAGTGAGTACCAACTACATGCAGATGCTGGCCACAGCATGGAAAACTCAACACAAGGGAAGACTCAGCTGCAGCCCAAAAGGAGCATTACCACCAAGTCACAGAGACCACGCTGATGGATCTGAAGCACCCAAGATTCACACAAGGCAATGTGACATGAAGGGTGTGGAAAGCCTCACAATAGGAAAACCACCTTTAATGGGAGCCCATATTTTGCCTGGCACTAAAGTACACAAACTATTTTAACATCTGCTGTCTCAGTATACTCTCCCAGGGGCCCTGTGAGAAGGGCAGGTCAGAAGCATTAAATATGAAACCAGGTAAAGCTCCCTACCCTGGGTCGTCTCTGTGATAAGGCCTCACCATGTTCCAACCTCTATTCAGGTCACTTCTGCAAACCTTCCATGAGTACAGCTCATTTCCAGGCCTTGTACCAGGCACTGGGCATGCAGAAAGTCCCTTAGAACACAAACTATATGCAAGGCACTCATGCCTTTAGAGATGCATTCCCTGCATTGGTGGTATAGTGGTGAGCATAGCTGCCTTCCAGAGATGCATTTCCTGGGTCTAACCTGGGGCTCAGTGCAAGAAATAGAAATGAAGGTGCCTGCCTTTAAGGAGTTATCCAGCTACTGTGCCACTTTTCACACCACCTTGTGTGACCTGTTGGCCCATCTATCTTTTCTTCTAGGCTGTGATCTTCTCTAGAAAATGGGATCTCTGTGACTCCAGGGCAAATCTCAGGGCTGGGCACATTGCAACATCATTTCAAAGCCAGGCTTCTGTGATAGTGGACAGTCCCAGAGCTCAGCCCTATATATGCATTCGCTGAGCTCCATCCTCAGGCTTTCAGGCTGCAGGCCTTCCTGACCCAGACTTCTGTGTACCACCTCTACATGCCTCTCTGTAGCTCTAACATGAGGATGGTGCCCGGACAGACACAACCGGCACTCTTTCCTCTCGGCGGGGCGTGCAGCTGGTACCGCCTTCCACTTGACTCCTGACAAAGACATGCAGCCTGCCAGGTGATGCAAGAGAGGGCCAGGCTGCAGCTGAAGGCCTTCTCTCCCGGGGGTTGTAAAAACAGGCTGCCCCTCCTTTTGGACTGAATGAGGTTTCTCGCTGTGAATAATGGCATTGAAGTATTCAAGGGCTGCATTCAGGAGCTGAATCATGGAATCCCAGCCAAAGAATCTGCTGAAGACTGAAGGGACCGGCTGTCCAGCTTCACGCAGGGAGGGCTCCTTGAAGCTAATTACTGCCACCAGGCCCTGGTCTCAGACCTTACACACTGGTCTGCAAAGAGCTACAGCTCAAGGTTGCTGTGTCCCCGCAGCCAAGGCTGAAGCATGACCTAGCCAGTCCCCTACAGCTAACAGAGCGACCCCATACATGTGATCCCCAGAATAGGCCCCAGACAATCCTGAGGAGACCTGGCTAATGCAGTGGTTCTTTACTTCTGAGCCACTCACCCCTCAGAAAATCTGAGAAAAGGCTTGGACTATCTCTCCAGAAAATGCATACATGTGCACACTGTGTTATGGAATGAAAGCTTCTGTTTCCACTAAAATTGATAGGTTGGAACCTAATCCCCAGTGTGATGATGTTTGAAGGTAGGGCCTTTGGGAGGTGATTGGATCATAAGGGTGGAGCCCTCATCAATGGTATATTGGTGCCCTTCTAAGAAGAGGCCAGAGAGCTCTCCCAGTCTCTTTTTGCCATGTGAGGATACAATGAGAAGTTGGCAGTAAACAACCCAGAAGAGGGCCCTCACCAGACCCGGACCACACTGGTACCCTGATCTGGGACTTTCAGCCCCCAGAACTATGAAAAATCAATTTCTGTTGTTTGTAAGCCATCCACTCTATGGTGCTTTGTTACAGCAGCTCAAACTGATCAACACATATACATATGTATATGTATGCATACCATCATATGTATACACATGTCTACATATATACACACATACATATGTTTACATGTATACATATACATACACAGAGTTACTCCCATAATTTTTACACATTCACAGATTCCCTAAAGCCCATCCAGAAGTCTAAGTTAAGAATTCTTTATTAAAGTCACCAAAGACGAAAGCCAATTTTTCCATCTGAAACCGCCTGCCCCCATGGGTTCAGGGCTGAGCCGTGTCTCCTGGGCAGGAGTAAAGGGTGAATTTAGCCCTAGGTCCAAGTGGCATGTGACCTCACACACAGTGTGGAGAGCAGTCTGTCTCATGATGGCCTGGCACTCTTGACCCCATCTCACAGCTGTCAGACTCCGCCTGACCCAGATCCGCCAGGAGGACAGACTGTTTTTCCTTGTGGAAATAGTTCATGGTGCTTGTCATTTACAGATTCTCTCTGGATTTCACTCAGAGATGGAGGAAAGCATCCAATCCTGTGGAAATTCTTTATTCTGAGTGCGGCAAAGAATTAGGAACAAGATGTGAAAGGGGGTCTGACCCTTATTCTCACATATATGGGGACACACACAGGTACACACACATAGTTTCTTTCTGAGCCCAGTGCTGTGACAGTAAATCAGCCATATCTACATTATAGCTCAGCCCAGCTCAGACCTTATCCAACCTAATTTTAGTGACAGGTTCTTCATCCAAATTGGCAGTTTGCACAGGGACTGTGTTTAGAAGGTGCTACGGAGAGTCTGGCGGCACCTGAGGCCTGGGCTCGTTATGTGCCTTAACACAGTGGTATTACCATGCTCTGCTACTCTCCTAACCCATCTATCACATGGACACCAGGACACACGGGTGCTGCCTAGAAAAAGGATGCCTCTCGACAAAGTCCCATAATGACACTAACTCCTCTCATCACTCAGGTGGCCCGTGTGTGTGATCTGTGTGTGTGTCTGTGTGCGTGGTACCTGTGCGTGTGCATCTGTGTACTTACACATACAGGCATGAAAACAGAAAAGGCACTGGATATTAAGTACAGATGAGACTCCATGTAGATTTCCCAACAGACAGACCCAGAACAACAGGCACCCCTCCCTTCTGGACCACAGAAATACATCTAGGGGAGAAAAGGGCAGCTGGATGAAGATGAGCTTGTAGTGTGGAGTCACGGACACTCAGACCTGGGCTCAAGTCCAAACTTGAGTGCTCACTCCCTGTGTGACCTTAGGGAAGGCACTGCATGTCTCTGAGCCTCAGTTCTTCTTCTGTAATATGGGAATCATAAACCTCCCTCCAAAGGCTGGCAGCAACAGATACGAGGCTTGAAGAAAAGGAATTAGCACAGTGCTTGGCACATTGCAGAGGGTTGATAAACATCAGTTGACTTCCTGTCCCTTGCTCTGTTCTGAGCAACTCCTGATTGAATCATTTTGGGAGAATCTGACTCTGGTTTTTCAACCCTCCACTGGCCACAGGGTCTATCTCTTTCAAAGACGTGGGTTGTCCTTCCACATCCCACAAGAAGCTGAGATTGGCACATCTCAAAGAGGACTTAGGCAATAAAACTAATAAAGCTGTGCTTCCCAGAATGGAAAGCCTTGCCCCATACCTCTGCATTATGATTGAACTTTGTCTTCTCTGCCAAGCCTCAAGCTCCTGTTTTTCAAGTAATCCAATCTGTTTTGTTCAAGACAAAGGACAAGAGGATTTTATGGAATGAGAAGTCAGTTTATTTCCCGGGACGTTTACATAGGTCACAGTAAAACAGTTTTATGTCTCCAATGACATTTCTTCTGGGACTGTTCAGGGGGAACATAATTTATTTATTTATTTTTTTTGTAAAGCTTTAAAGGTGGTTGTTCTTTTGTTGTAAGTGGGACTGAAATGTGTTTCTAGGCAGCTACAGGGAACTCACTCTGATGGGACTTCTAGGAAAAAAGGCACAAGGCTTGAATGGGTCACGGGTGGAAAATGGGGCAAACTACTGGTGAGCAGCTCAGACCCTGAGTGCTGGTTCCCCCCAAGGGCCAGGAGAAGCCACTGGGAGTGAGGGGACCCTGTTGCTGTGAGATGCCTTGTGATTACAGAGGAGGAGGCTGGAACAGAGAAGGGGGCTTTCTAAAATACGCTCACTTAAAGAGAAACTTGGACCCAAACCCATCCAATGATTCCCACATCACAGAAGAGGAAACTGAGGCTCAGAAACATGAAGTCACTTATCTAAGTCACACAGGGAGTAAGTGTTGGGGCCTATGCTTAAACCATATCTAGGTACTGGAGCTCCAAAACCCATGCTTGCAATTGCCTGCCCCAGGCTGGCCCTGCAGGGAAATCCCCTCTGAGTTGCAGGCAGAGGCTCCCCATTTGGAATAGCAGAAATGCTTTCCTTTACACAGCAGAATTCCTGAAGCCACCTCCAAGGAAGCAGCCTCCCTGAGCACTCCCCTTGTAATGACAATGGATGGCAGGCCTCCCTTGTGGCCAAGGGTCACCAATCCTGGCATCTCTGAGCGTGAATAAGAACAGCTGTTACACAGAGGAATCAGTTTTCTAAATGTGAAATTTCACATTTCCCATTGCTTGTCACCCATCGGATTGCAGCCACAAGCCACTAGTCCTGCGACCCCTTCCTACTCTTGCCCTACAAATGGAAAACTCAAGGAAACCATCAGTAGTTCAAATAGACTTCTACTTTTGGCCTGCCAGCTGACCTGTGCTCCCAGCTGCTTCCATCTGGCTGCTGGTAGAGGGACTGGAGGTTACAGAAGAGGCTGATGGCACCAAGACAGACTCAACTGAGTGGCAGCAGAGGCAGGAGCAACCAGAGCAGAGCAGGCTGGAGCCCAGAGCCTAAGAAGGTCCCAAGAGTGAGGGCAAGTGAAGGATCTGGACCAGGAGGCAGAGGTTTGGTTGCTCATGGGAGGATGAAGGACCAGGAATCCAAAAGTGGACCGAAACCAAGAGACAATTTAGCCATGGGAAAAGACAGATCCTATGAAGGAGAACAGCCATTATTTATCAAGAGCCAACTGTGCACTACGCTTGTGTGGTCCAAATGAGAGGCATTACAGAGGCCAGATCCAGAGCCCGCATTCAAGTTTTGAATCTGCCACTTTCTAGCTGCGGGTCTTTGAGCAAGTCACTTCACTTTTCTGTTGGCTCAGCTATGCACTCTGTAAACTGAGAATAGGGGCCTCTCCTAAGATACCATGAGAATAATATGAGGTCACCCTGCAAAGGGCTTGGTACTAGGCACAGCAAATGACCCGTACTCAGTAAATGTGGGCTATTAGTATGAGTCTTCACAACCCAAGAGCCAGGAATTGATAGTCCCATTTTATAGACAAATAGATTAATACTCCTGTTTTACAAAAAAGGGCGGGGGGGATGGGGAATTCCTGGAGGTTCGGATACACCCTAGGTCACACACCTGTGACTGGCAGACACAGGTTGGAACCTAAGTCTCTGTGTGCCCCGATTCCCCCTGCTCTCTCTGTATGCTGCCCACCTGTCAGCCTCAATGAGCAAAACTACATACCCCCTGCCCTTGTGGGGCTTACGTTCTAGTGTGTGGGCAGAGAGGGACAACAAAACAAATAAACCCACAATGATGAGATGAGTCAGGTGGGCGATAAGTGACACAGAGAAATGGAGTTGGGTTGGGAGATAGAGAAGGATGGGCCACGGGCTCTCTGATGGCGGTGGCCAGGGAAGGCCTCTCTGACCAGATGAAACCTAACCAAAGACCTGAACACGGGAAAGGAAGGAAGCCTTGTGGCTGTCTGGGAGGAAGAGCATTCCCAGGAGCAGGAAGAGCAAATGCAGAGCCCCTCGTGGGAGCAGATCACTGGGCAGGAAGGAAGGGCCCTGAAAGGCCAGGTAGCACGGCCCCATGAGGGAGAGAGGTAGTGGGAGGAGAGGTGGGTCCCTCAACGGGAGAGAGGCAACTCAGCAAGGAGCCCATGCAGAGCTAGAGGATCATAGTTTCTGGGCGGGCCCAGTCACCTGCAGGATAAGTGACAGGTGAGGTCCCTGAGGAGCTGGGATAAACAGCAGGGAAGCAGTCTAGGAGTATATGGGGCTGGGCCCTGAGTGTGACAGGGACAGCAGTGAGATGGGCCGTCACCACAGCCGCCTTCTAGCCCCTGATCAGGCACAGGGCCCTCAGAGCTGCTAAGTGGGCCCAGCTGGAAGGGAAGGATGTGTAGGGACAGGGAGCACAGTCAACCTATACAATGTAAAACACTGAAGAGCAAACACCTTTAGACACCCTGAAAATCAAAGGAATTTCTCCCAAATAGCCCATCCCTGGAATGTTGGAGCAAAGAAGGCCTGGACTTAAATTCTCGTCTCAGCACTAAGTGGCCTTAGAAAATTCCTGGTTGGGCACAGTGGCTCACACCTGTAATCCCAGCACTTCAGGAGGCCTAAGTGGGAAAATCACCTGAGGTTGGGAGTTCGAGACCAGCCTGGCCAATATGGTGAAACCCCATCTCTACTAAAAATGCAAAATTAGCTGGATGTGGTGGAGCATATCTGTAGTCCCAGCTACTCAGGAGGCTGAGGCAGAAGAATCACTTGAACCTGGGAGGCAGAGGTTGCAGTGAGCCCAGATGACACCATTGAACTCTAGTCTGGGCAACACAGTGAAACTCCATCTCAAAACAAAAACAAAACAGAAAAAGAAAAGTCCTGTAACCCCTCAGAGTCTGCCTTTCCTCATCATTAATAAGACCCATGCTGCAGGGGCACTGTTGGGGCTAGACAGGGCCAAACACCCAGAATGTGCTGGCACATAGTAGGTTCTCTACTATTGGTTACTGTTCCCACTCCTATTAGGACATATGGATGTGCTAAAGCTAAGGGGTAAATCATGGCCACGGCTGACGCTAGCTGACTGAGCTGCAATATGTCCAGTGCAATGGACTGAATGTATATGAACCCACAAAGTTCATACGGTGAAATCCTAACCCCCAAGGTGGTGGTACTAGGAGGTGGGGGGTGATTAGGTTATGAGGGCAGAGCCCTCATCAATGAGATTATTGCCCTTATAAAAGGAATCCCAGAGAGCTCTCTTGTCCCTTCAGCCATGTGAGGACACGGTGAGAAGATGGCTGTCTATGAACCAGGAAGAGGACCCTCACCAGACACTGAACCTGCTGGGGCTTTGATCTTGGACTTCCAGCCTCCAGAACTATAAAAAACAAATTCTTTTGTTTATAAGCCACCCAGTCTACAGTGTCTTATTTATAGCAGCCTGAACAGACTAAGATACCCAGATAAGGTCAGCTGTGTAAAACAGGCCAGGTGGACACCATTATACTGCAAAGGCAATTAGACAGCTCAAGTGAGATCCGAGATTCAGCCTCCACCCACCCAAACCTACTGGGATTCTGAATCCTGTTAGGACTAAAATATCTTTTAATTGCCTGTAAGTACAAATACTTTCTTCCTCCTGGGAAAAAATAAAGAGGGGGAAGAAAGAGGATGCATAGCAATATATACATCCACACATGCACATATATGGACTTAATTTAATCAATTGAAATGCATATTTGTGGTGTGTTAGTTATCCCCAGAAAACTAAAGAGACCCTCACATTTAGCCCTGGCATCCCTGCTCTGGGGCTGTACAGATCTGGCCTGTTCTAAATAATATTTAAAAATGAGTGGTTACTCCCCTCCTTATCCCCTTGCGAGACTAGCTACATAGATGAGGCCGCAGAAACAGGGCCCCTGCCACAGTGCTCAGTCCCGGTGGCCTGTCCTTGCTGAGCCATCTAGGACCATCTCTTCTCACCCCCGTGGTCCCTACCCCAGCCCCCAAGCTTCAAAACCCACTCAGAAGAAGGCTTGACAAACTATTCTAACCAAAGTAAGAACACTGATAACCCTCCAAAATCATGTCCCTGAGAAAAGAAATCTGCAATTTCCCATTATTACCAGCTTCAGCTAAAGGAATGAAGCCATAATGGTGCATTGTAAGTCATCCTGGGAAAAGTAGGCTTTCTCTATGCGCCAGTGCCTACCCTGGCCTGGTTAAAACGTTCTGTCCCAAAGGTAGAGCTGTCATCCTCCAGCAGTCTCCAAGGTGGCAGAGCCCTAAAGATACCAGCAGAAGAGTGTCATCCTCAAACATAAAACCAGGCTGCAGAGAACTTCACAGGACACCAGGCTGACTTTGGGCTTGGCTGCACAAGACCTGCCTGTTCCTCAGCTGAGTTCCCTCTCACCAGCCAGCTGAAAGCCCTTTCTCTGGTGCCCAATACAGACACAAACTGCATTTCATGGCTGAAAAAGCCAGTGATGGGATAAGTAGTGTTTGTTATCTAACTAAATTGTAGAGGAAATGATGTGCAAATGAGAAAATTTTAACACAACCGTGGATCACTTCTGACAAGTTCGATTATGGTTTTGTTTAGTTAAGCACTTGTGCATTCTAATGAATTGTCCTATGGAATTATTAATTGGACCTGGGATTTCTAGGGCTTTCCCAGTGCTCTGAATCCTTCCTAGTAGAGATGATGTACCTTTAGGTGTCGTGGTTACCAGGGTTGGTTTTCTACTAAAAAATCTGAGGGTGGAGTGCAGGGCATGCCAGATCCTGGCATCTAAACCAAAACAGTGAGGGTTGCTCTTGGTCTTCCCAAAAGTTAGAAAGACACAAAGATGCAAATTCTTGAAAACACACGGACATAGAAAAAGACAGATTTGGGGCCCCTGTGGTCTCTGGCTTTTCATTAAGAAAGGATTCTAGTTGAGAAGTAAGTCAGAACCAGTAGATCAATTATCCAGGAGCAAAGTGTTAGTCATAGAAGATGGGGAGGGAGCACTGGACCCACCAGCTTCTCTAAGTACACAACAGAAAAAATAGGAAGAGGCCCCAGGGCCATGGTCCTCAGAACATCCTGGTACCTCCTCTCCTGGCTGTGGCTATGCCAGCACTGCCAGGCTTCTTCTGTCCCCTTTCCACTCTAAGGATGATGCTGTGGCAGCTAAAAGATCATGCCAGCCTCCTTGATGGAACCAAACCCAGATCTTCTCCGGCAATGGAGATGCCACACATAAAGAAGAAAGAGCACCCAGTCCACCCAGCAGTACTAGGTGCAATCGATAGACTGTGCCCTGCATCTGGGCACCTGGGGATGAGGGAGGCTGCAATCTAGCCCACACCCTGCTCGCCAGGCCATAAGCCCAGGGGATGCATCAGCCCAGAGGGGTGTGGATCTGTCAGGGCCCCAGCATGAAATTTCCAACTGAGTTTAATTTAAAAACTATTTACAAAGGCAGACAGTATTAAGGAAAGTCAACAGAGGTAGAGGCACCCTTGGCTAGCAAAAGGGGGGAGCCATTACCACATTAGGCCTGAAGGGGTCAAGGGAGAGAGTCCTTCCAGGAGCCCAGCAAGAGCTGTGGCTGGGAGCATTGTTCACGGAAGAGCACAGCCACTGCCAGATGCCTCCACGGCCACGCCCACCTGTGAGCCAGAGGCATGGAAGCCTGTTTGATGCAGTCCGTAGAGATCAGCCTTCTGGGACCAAAAGCAGTGTTGGGAAAGGTGAGGAATGGATGTGGAGGGCAAAGGGAATCCTCCTAGGCCAGGAACCCATTCTCCATATGGGCCAGCCAGGGAAAGCCTGATTTGCATCTTTCTTTCACTCCCCCATCAACTGCCTTATCTCCCCTCGGAGAGCTCTCGTGGTCCCACTGCTGCCACCACCTTCCAGGCACTCTCCCATTCCCCTGTCTCAGCCCCATCTCGCCCTGACTGCAGGAGCAACCAGGGGAAGGAGGGACTGGAGCCCATCCATGAGACTGCAAGCAGGAAAACCTGGAGGCCTGCTCTGGGAACCCACCCTCTCCTACTCTTGCTCCTAGCAGGTATATAAAGTCTGTGGGTAACGATGGGCCATGACCACAGTGTAAGCAGCCAGTGACTGTTCCCAGTGCCTGACAGAGGTGGGTTTTTATGTCCAAGGAGCGACACTGGATCAGGTCTGCCAGCCAAAGACCCGGAAGAGGTCACCAAAGGAGGGGTCCAAGAGCTAGAGGCAGCCAGGGTGCAAACAGCTGGCACTGGGGAGCAGGAGCACAACCGCCTTCCTCCCCTGTGGGTAGGCCCCTGGAGAGAGTCCCTGGCCAGTGCCCTTGGGCGATGTTTTTAACCAACAAGCTTGTAGCGCTTACTGCATGCCCTGCAGGCACTGTTCTGAAGGCTTTACAGAGATTTCCCCCATTTAATCCTCAAAAGAACACCATGAGGGAGGTCCAATTATTTTCTCCATTTTAAAGATGGGAAAACTGAGGCACAGAGGGCTTAAATAACCTGCCAGATCACCCAGGGAGCAAATGGTAGAGCAAGATTCAAGCGCAAGCAGCGAGGCGCCTGGGTGTGTTCTCTGGCCTGCTGAGCTAGTGTGAGCATGCCCACTGCACCCGTCAGCCACAGACACAGCCCCTGGGAAGCAGCCTGCTTCCCATTCCCCTGCCCCAGCATGTCAGACATCTCTGAAAAGATGTTCCATGCCACTCACCGAGCAGACCTGAACAGTCCCAGAGATGACCTAGGGCCTGTGTGGCGTGCAAGGGGATGTTGTGGGCTGGCTTCCTGTGAGGCAGCCTCTGAGGTAGAGAAGGGCAGCAGGACGCTGAGTAGGGAGAGCTCTGGGGACCCACACCTCTGGGAGCAGGAGAAAGCTAGATGGGGCAGAGGGAGAGCCAGGCTGCAGCACAGTGCTGACCACGATGGGAGGGTTAAAGATGGGGTGGCCTGCACAGCTGTCACAGGCTGGAGTGAAGGAACCCCTTCCTGGTCAGGCATTTCCTGTGGATCAGTCCGGGGAGGGGCGTGGGCCAGGCAAGGCAGTCCCCTCAGCAGGAGCACCCCATAGGCAGCTGAGGCTTCTGCAGGCCCTACACCAGCATGTGGGGAAACTAGTCCTGCATTCCTGGCAGGGATCGGGAAGCACATCGCAGGGTCCACCGTAGGGAGCCTTAGAGCCCCTGGCTGGCCTTCCACTGCTGTCTAGGAAGGCTCCCCGTGCCCTTGTTCCTGGCTACCTGGCTGTATCCTCCAGCACACATCTCTCACTGGGGCTGACAGCAGCCACGGGCTGGCAATTCCTCAGGGAGGAAAGCTTTAGGAATCTCGTATCCTCTTCCTTTCCACCCAAGGCCCACCACCTCCTGGCTCTCTTTTGTGCCCCATAATGAGCCCTGAATTAGTTGACACCTCCACCTCACTAGCGAGCTAGAAGTTCTCTAAGGATCTTAAAGATCACCACTATCTGGATACAAACAGGGGTACAAACTAGCAAACATTTTTAAATTACAAGAAAGGTAAAACCTTGGAAAGTCTGTCGGGAGCTCTGGTGACTTACGGTGTAAGCCCCACCTGCTAGAATGCTCAGCCCACTCTCTGGCCACCAGCTAGACTCACTCCTCATCCCTCATCCTTTAATCCAAGTCAGTGACTCTCTAAGTCCCTTCATAGTGACTTGCTCTCCAGTTCTCGGGACGCTGCAGGCCTTGTGAAGAGCCAAACAGATGCTCAGGAGGTCAGAGAGAGTTCTGATTACACCACGGAAGAAACTCGAGGCCAGGCAGCCACTTTCCTGAGCTCCAACTTCATTCCTGAACCGTTCAGTCCTCTTATTCACTATCAGAAAATGGCAGAGAAGATTACAGTGGCGGGAGAACAAAAATTGCTCAAAGCCACCTTCTTCCTAAACATAATTTACAGTACAATGACAGTCACTTCCGATGAAGCTTATGTGAAGGGAACGGAGGTGACTCAGGCGAGCCCACTCAGAAACCCAGCCCACACACCTTTGGCCAGGAAAGGAAGCCAACACGCACTTCACCATAGAGTCCCAGGGCAGCCAGAGCCAAATGGGTGGCTGCACCTGTTCCTGCAGTAATGTTGGCCCTACAGGGACTTTCTCGCTTTAACCCCATAAAGGAAGCACAGAGACCAGCTGACCCCAGAGAGGCCACTGTCAAGAACACTTTCCTGAGGCCCAAGAAAAGGGAAGAATCAAATATCAGACACAGCAAGTGACTTACAAATGGAGAAGACCCTAGAGCCATGTCAGCCACACTGGGGCGGGATGACTTCTACCCACCCTAGGAAGGAAGGAAGGAAGGAAGGCCCTAGGAGGCCCCAGGCCTCTTCTATCCCAAGAATCCTCCCCCTGAGGTGCTACTCTCCTCCTACCTCCACATGACCTCTCCTCATTCTGGGGAATAACCATCAGGTCAAACACACATCGGTCCCTGCCCTACAAACTCTATGCCCCATCTCTGAGAGACGGCTGCCCAAACTGGAAGCTCTTAAGCTTCCCTGCATCCCATCCCTCTTTCCACACAACTTCCAGTGGCCGACAGGACTTAAGGCTAAGAACGGGAATGGGGCCAGGCTTCAGGGTCCTCCCATCAGAGGGAAGGAGGGGATGAGAGTGTCCCTTGATTTTTTGTAGTTGTTTCTGACCCAAAGCCCTGCCACATAGCACAGACAAGAGATGAAGAATCATGCCCACAGAAACACGCAGCCCTGCGTCAGCTGTCCCACCACCACTCAGCTCAACAAGCAGAGGGAAGACCTCTGACTGGTCCATGCCACATGCCACGCTCCTTGGGACCACTGCAGAAGAGCTCAAAGCCTGCTAGAATCCTGACACAAGCTACTGTGACTGGATTTTTTTCTGGATGTTGAAACACAAAAACAAAACAGACAGTCCACTGTATCCACAGAACTCAAGATGTCTAACAGTCTCAGTGTGGCGGCTCCTTCTCCACCGACAAAGACACTTGTCACGCAGCTAGCTGTGCACAATCTGTGCCACTTGTTTCAGAAGTCTGGAGCACACATTTGCCACACAGACAGCATGGGTTAGACTAGCTTCCTATTCAAATCTGGGTTTACAGTCTCCCCACCCTTACTCTGAAATTCTCTTGGAGCACCAAACATGAAACTTCTTCCCCTGTCCTCAGATTAGGCAGATGAGAGTAAAGTAAGAGACTGAGCGCAGTGCAGTCCACTAACAATTCAGGCAGAGGCTCTCCCTTACAAACTGCTTGCCAAGAAAGTAGCAATTTACATGCTTTTTCTTATTACAAGCCCTTTCATTATGTCCGCAAGATCAATTCCATCTGAGTGAAGGTCTACAGTGCTATTTTGAGCCAGGAGGTCTGCCTTCCAGTTTTGCCACCCACAGACATTATGAACTTGAGAAAGTCATTTCACTTTCTTTCAAAGAACTGCAATCAGAATAGGTCCTGCATGCCCTCCAAGTACAGCATCTCTTTTAATACAACAGCTGTTTGAGGCAAATCTTGTCACTCTCACAGGTGAGGACAATGTCACAGGTGAGGAAATGGAGGCTCATGGAAGTTAAGTAGCTTGCTTGCTCTGTGCAGAGGTAACCGAGAGCTACCTCTAGAGGTCTTCAAACTCAAGAAGTCTGGTTTCAAAGCTAATGCTCTTAAAATTCTTACACCGTGCCACTTTGGGAGGCTGAGGCGGGTGGATCATGAGGTCAGGAGATCGAGACCATCTTGGCTAACACAGTGAAACCCCGTCTCTACTAAAAATACAAAAAATTAGCCAGGCGTGTTGGTGGGCTCCTGTAGTCCCAGCTACTCGGGAGGCTGAGGCAGGAGAATGGTGAGAACCCGGGAGGAAGAGGTTGCAGTGAGCCGAGATCGCACCACTGCACTCCAGCCTGGGCAACAGAGCGAGACTCCATCTCAAAAAAAAAAAAAAATATCGTACACCCTGCCTCCCTGGGAAAGGAGGTAGGACACACGGCTGCAAGCAACAGCAACAGCACTGGCTAACATGGGTCAGAAGTGAATTAATTAAAGGACACTGGGAAGCTCATGGAATTGCCAAGAGAGGTAGCGAACCAGGCTCTCAGGTCACCAAGAACATCACCCCAAATCTTATTACTTCAGTAGAGGACCCTCTGGGCACTGCCAATACTGTGGATACTGGGCACTGCATTGCAGCTACCAGCACCCCAAGAACTCAAGGCTCCTGGCACTTCAGCTAGTGCGAGGTACCAGCTCTTGATTCAAAGTCTTAAATCAAATACTTGTGACTGATGTAGCCCAAGTCATAGACCTGGCCCTAAATCCAAGAAAGGCTAGAAATCACTTATCTAGTAGAAGCCTGTTCTGATCAGCCTCTCTTCCTACCAAGACTCAAAAAGTAGGGAATTTCCCAAACATAAGAAGTGGGCTCAGATGCTAGGTGGCCCAAAATGACACATGTCTAACAAATGAGGAAATTGGAGTTCTTCAAGATCCTTTTCAGCAGCATGACTCTATTTAATTTCATGGATTTCAGCAGAGTATATTATAATTCTCATTTATCTGCCCTCCTTCTCTGTGAAATATTACACATAGTTATTTATTACCATTGCCTTGCAGTATCCCTCCATCCTATGGGAGAATGGTTTCTCAATAACACTGAGCTTGAACCTGTAACTTGCTGTGATCAATGGGATATGATATAAACTAGGCCCTAGCAGAAGCTTTAGGAGCCATTGCATATGGAGGCTCTCACTTTCGTTTTCTCTTCCAGGAAAATGGTGTGTTCCAAATAGGGATTGGTCCTTCAGCCTGTGCCTCAGAATGGGAAGACACGTGGAACAGAACCTAGCAGAGCTGTGGCAGCCACAACTGACTCACACAGTCTCCAACTTTAATGTGAGCATAGAAATAAGTGTTTCTTATTCTAAGTCACTGATTTGGGGGCGGGAAGCTGTTTGTTACAATAAAACAGACTGATACACATTTATGGAGAACCAGTCCATACCATTGTCTAGTGAACAAACGAAATGTATAAGTAAATAGGACTCAGTCTCTGCCTTCACGACATTTGTCTGTGTCATTCTTGAATCATAGCTGGCAGAGAGTGGAAGTGTTTTAAGGGAAGCATAAACACAAGCTCTGAGAAGCAATAGGAAAGGAGAGAGAGATTCTGTCTGGGGTTTCCAGGAGGCTCCCAGAGGATGCAAAACTCAGACTGGATCTTGAAGACTAAGTCCAGGGTTATCAGAGAAGGTTGAAGAGAAAGGAGGGGATTTCATGCAGAAAAACCAATATACAAATTCAGAGAGGTGCAAGAAAAAAAATACATATATATGCATGAATACATTCTGGTGTTGCCGGAATATAGACAGGGTGGGGAGGAGGAGAGGTAGGAAAAACAACGAAATGGAGGAGATTTCGAAAGGCCCAGAATGCCATCCTAGCAATTTAAACATCACTCTCAAGGAAACGCGAATGACTGAAAGTTTCCACTGGATCCTTACCTTCTAGGGTAATAGAAATATTACCCTAGAAGTGGTAGAATGGAGGTGAATGAGAAGCAGGGAGCTCAATGAATAAGAAAGACTGTTAGATGAAAACCAGTGCCAGATGATAAGGTCCTTATCTGAAACAGCGATAGTAAAAGCAAAAAAGTTCACGAAACATTTCAGTGGCGAAATCGGTAAGACTTGATTGGATGAGGTTGAGACAGGGAAGAATGAGTAATACACAGAATACAGGGCTACTGATTTTATCTAAATGGAGAATGGAGTCAGTTGTGGATATGGAGGAGGTAGGAAGGGGAACAGGTTTGAAGAAAGCTGATGATCTGGTGTTGTGCATATTACTTTTTTTTTTTTTTTTTTTGAGATGGAGTTTCGCTTTTGTTGCCCAGGCTGAAGTTCAATGACACTATCTCAGCTCACCACAACCTCCACCTGCTGGGTTCAAGCAATTCTCCTGCCTCAGCCTCCCGAGTAGCTGGGATTACAGGCGCCCGCCACCACGCCCAGCTAATTTTGTAATTTTAGTAGAGACAGGGTTTCTCCATGTTGGTCAGGCTGGTCTCGAACTCCCAACCTCAGGTGATCCGCCCGCCTCAGTCTCCTAAAGTGCTGGGATTACACTCATGAGCCACCGTGCCCGGCCACGCATATCACATTTGAGGTGTCACTGCAACATGCTAATGGGGGTGACCAGTTGGCAATTGGAAGACACGGAAGAAACTTCCATCTGCCTGGAGTGGGGGAAAGGTATGAGAAAGGCTCCAGAGGCAGTGTAGACATTTGCTGTAAGTATGCTAGGCGTTCTCAGGGACAGGATGTTGGAAGAAAAGAGAGCAATGGCATTTTAGGCAGGCAGTCAGGGATGTATAAAGCCATAAAGGCAGGATGTCATCAGGGAAGACCAGGAAGTTAGATGTGGGTGGAGGGAGGGAAGCCAGTATCGGCTTTTCCATGTAACAATTTCCCGCAAGCCATGGGCCCGGCCATGGATCAAACATTTCTGTGAGTGACAGACTGTTTGTGTGATGGTAGAATAGCACGACTTTGTGAATAAATTCATAGACTCTTACAAGTAGACTCCTGGAGTCTTTGATGTTCCTTTAAAAATGCAGCGCTGGTCCCTTTCTGGCATGTATAGTTACTTCTTTCATTGTCTTTCTGCTATAAAAACCAGAACATATGTAGTTATTCATGGAAGTAATAAATACATCATTCTTTCTTTTAAAAATATATTTCTTTTAAAAATATAGTGTATTTGTCAGGGGAGAGCTGGTTATATTGCAGTAACAAAAACACCCCAAATACCGGTAGCTTATATCACAAAGGCTACATCTCAGGCTACACGTCCATCAGGATCACCTAGGATCTCTGCTCCTGTGTCATCATTGTCACCCTTACATTGGGAAAAGAGCTGCTAGAATACCTGTACCATTGACCATTGAGCATATATTGGCTCTTAAATTTTCCACCTGAAAGTGACATGTCACTTCTGCTCACATTTATTTAGCCAAAATAAGTCACATGGCCAAGTGTGAAATCCAGGGAAAGTGGGGAATATTACTCTCCCGCAGGAGCACAGCAGCTGTCAGTGAACAGCAATCCAGTCGAGTCCACGCCACACTCTAAGATGGACAGGTTCCTCAATGTCTGTGGGAGTCTTGCACCTAGACTATGACAATTATCATCTGATGTGGGTACCCTCTCTTGAAGGAGCCCGACACAGGGAAGATGCTTTCTCATTTATAAATGCATTTCTCCAGGCCTTGACACCAGATTGCCAATGACCTTGGCATTCCTGGCCAGGAATGTTTCCTGTCTAGGTCTGTACTCCCTGCATAGTGATCCTTCCAAAAGTCTTCATTGTCTTGAAGGCACCCCCCAACCCCTGTCCCCTGCCAACTCTGCACTAAGGATGGAGACGAGCAGCATCTGCTTCTGCTTCTACAGTAGCTTTTCTCTGCATGAAGAAAATCTGGCACAGAACCTATGTTTCACTATCTAAGACACTTTTTTGATCAAATGTCCCCATGGTCTGCTGTTGGATTGGGGTGTTTCTTTTTACCCCTGCAGATACTTGTTTGCCTTTCGAGTCTCTGGGCTGATGCAGTCAGCTCATTCCGGTACAAAACAGGGACAATAATTATTATTCTTACGTGGTTCTGCAATTCACAGATTTTTCCTAAGTAAATGTCCACATGAGCTTTATTCTACAGAACTGTAAACAGATGCCACAAAGCAGTGTCTCTGCCACCAAGGTTCACCAATTAGAGGTACCAAGCCATGAGCAATGGCCCATGAAATATTTAAAATTCTTCAAGATTAAATATATATTATACATTTTTAAAACCCTAAGTCTAAATGTATTTATAAAGCCAGATTTTATTTTCCATGTTCTGCTTTCTAGAACAGAGCTCTCTGGGCATAACAAATTCCTCCCCTCAGTCTTGAAGAGCCCATCAAAGCCAGGCATCTGCAATGAGCTGTTTTCTATTCATTGCCTGATGGACATCAATTATTCTCTATTTTCTTAAACTGTGAATAGTAAGAGACTGTTAAACTCAGGCACCCTAGCAGGAGACAAACAGCAGAGGCCCTGCCACTGCCCAAACCACCAATACCTCTAGATGCCAGGCAGGCTGGCAGCTGGATATTTGCTGAGCATTTCTGATATACCAGATACTGTGCTAAGCACTTAGCATGGGTTATCTTATTTAATACTCATAACAACTCCATCACATAGGTGCTGTGATTACCCCCATTTTACAAAGGAGGAAACTGAGTCCTAGAGAATGTTACGGAAAGACAGCAGAGAGTAGGTGACATATGAATAGAGTCTTAGAGGATAATTGGAAATTATTCAGGAGTTCAAAAGAGGAAGGCCACCCAAGCAAACTGAATGACATGGATAAAGGCATGGAAATGCAGAATAATATTGTGTGTTTGTGGAAACGTATAGACTAGGAAGGCTAAAGCACAGAGTACTTAGGTAGAATTGCCTAAAATTCCAACTAGGAAGGTCAACTAAGGCCAAATTTTGACGGAACTCAAATGCGGTGTGGAAGAGTTTGGGCCTCTTACTTCAGAGACTAGACAAGTAACCAAGGAGAGAAGTGGGCAGGTGTAAGACAGTAAGGAGTTGTGAGGACTGTGGCAAACCAGAAGGTACACACCTTCAGCTGTAAAGGCAATCAGATTCTTTAAGTGTGAGCTGAATTTGGCCTTTAGGGAATCAGCTTGCAAACTCTACAAGGCAATGAGAAGCTGATAAGGGGAATTAATCAGAGACTGATACTGTCAGATCTTTTTGTTAACAAATCTCCCTGACAAGCATGTGGATGATGGGCTATGCGGGGCAAGACTGAGAACAAGGGAACCACCAAGGAGGTAGATGCAGGAAAGTAGAAAGACATGATGGGAGCTAGGACCTGGGTGATACCAATGGGTAGAGAGAGAAAAGTGATAGATTTGAGAATGGAATATTAAAAAGGAAGAAACTGGCAGGACTCAATTCAAAAAGGATATAGGGGAAGAGGGCATGGGAGTTTCAAAGATAATGCCCAAGCCTTTGGTGCAAACCATGGGGCAAAAATTTGCTGTTAAACCCAGGGAGTGGAGGAGTGAAAGATAAGAAGTGTCATTTCAGATAAGCTGATGGGCAGAGTTTTGACATTCTGCTACTATGAGAGGCCCTCAGGGCTAGTGTGGGTCTTGGCCAAGACACCTTGCTAGCTCCATGGTCGAATGACTAAAGGGTCCATCAAAGAGAACAGCCTCTTCTGTATTCCAGGGGTTTACCAAAAGTTCCAGGAGGTACTACTAGTGCCTTCCCTGTGTTTCACCAGGATACCCATTGATGCATGAGGTCACCAGGTACCAGATGTGATTTCATGTGTCAACTTGTCTGGGCCATGGGGTGCCCAGATATTTGGCCAAACATTATTCTGGATATGCTTGAGGGTGTTTTTGTATGAGATGAACATTTGAATCAGTAGACTGACTATATGTGGGTGGCCTTCATCCAATCTGTTGAAGACCTACCTGAATAGAACAAAAGGCTGACCCTTCTGTGAATGAGTGAACCCCTCCTACCTGACTGTTTGGGCTGGAACACTGGTCTCTTCCTGCTTTCAGACTCTAAATGAACATTTGTTCTTCTTGGGTCTCAAGCCTGCCAGCTTTTGGACTGGAACTTACACCATCTGCTCTCCTTATTCTCGGGTCTTCAGACTCAGAACTACACCATGGCCTCCCATAGACCTCCAGCTTACCAATTTCAGATCTTGGGGCTTCTCCGCCTCAATAATAGTGTAAGCCAATTCTTTATAATAATCTCCTTATATATATATATACACACACACACACACACAGAGACATATGTAGATCATGTTTGCCACATGTGTGCACGTGCATGTTAGAGGGGAGAAGGAGAGAGAGAGAGACTGTATATGAGTGTGTGCCTACGTATGCACATGTACCTATATGTGAATGTGTGTATGTCTGTGAGTGTCTTAGAGATTGACCACATATGTATGAGTGTGTATGTGTGTGAGTGTGTACATGACTGTATGTCTTTACCCAGGTTTAACTCTCCTTGGCTTTCATACTCAGTATGAATTATTCTACAGAAACATTCCTGCATCTTTCTGAAGTTCTTCAGAGTCTGGACCTCAGCACTGAAGGGTGCTTGAGCAAGGCAGCTGGAAGACAGCTCAAGTGTCACAGACATACTGACATCCCACCTAGCAGCTTTGCTTGAAGTCAAGGCCTTAATTGCACCCCAGGGCCAGGCCCTCCATCCCCTCCTCCCCAACACAGGCTCATTCACATGCACCGGCTTGTGATGCCTCTAGTAAGGAGGCCAGGCCAGCCAGAGAGGAGGGAAGGCTGGAGCGAGCAAATTCCAGCCCTAAAGCAACTCAGAGTGGGGAAGGGGCCCCTGGATTCCTGCCATCTTTAGCATGCACTTAATAACTTAAGGCAATTTTTTTTAAGTGAACAAATGCCCTCTGTCCACAGCAAACAGGAAGGCAGTCCTCTTCCCTGGGCTGCTGACGGGGCCCTGTCTCTGCCCCCAGGAGACACCTTCAAGCTGTGGGTGCTGTCAGCAGTCATTAGGGCAACATCAACTGGACCTGAATCCACACAGCACTCTGGGAAGACCCTGCTCAAAATGCCAGTGGGCAGGACAGGCCCGTGAGCTTTGTGATCTGGAGTGCATTTTTCAATTAACCCTTCTGGAAGTCCATCGGACCCAAACAGGCGTGCCATAGGCATCCTCTAGAGGAAAAGGAAAGGCAGGCAAAAGACTAAGGAGTTCTCCAGACCTCCCAGACCACATAGAGCTGGGACTGGAGGCCAAGCTCCTGACCTCCATTCTACCTGCCCAGCACTTGGACAAAGTCACCTGTGGAGCCCTTCAGTGTTCACGACCCAAAGCCATTCTGGTCAGCTGTGCTGCTGGTTGGAGAGCACAGAGTTCTCTTGTCAACCAGCACCACAAACGTACTGTCCACTGGGTGCCCCACAGAAGCTCAGCATGGAGCCATCAGCTCCCACTTCCTGGCAAAAGTCCTACTGAGACTAGCAGGATTGGAAAAGAGCAGAGCCAAGGAGGTAGGGTCAAGTGGGAGAGAGTCTACCAGAGCCTCTGGGGGCCTCAAGGAGACAAAGGCAAGAAAAAGGCACTCACTGAGGACAACACTGTGACGCCATGCCTTGCACCCCAGGCTGAGGCCTGCTCTGAGGACAAGCCCCCTGCCTGCAATAGGCCTTTGCCGGCTGCCTTCACTGTACCTCTCCCTCCTCCTGAGTGTGCTGCTGTAGTAGAAAGAGAAAGACACTACACGAGGATTTATTCTGAATATGTGTAAATCCATAGCTGCCTTCAGCAACAACCAGGCAGCGTAGAAGCCAATCATGGATTCTCATAAGCAACTGAGGCAGCACAGTATACAGGCTTTGAGAAAACCCTGCTGGAAGCCCTGTCCACAGCACAGGGCTAGGAACCCTGCTAGCATTGCAGACATGTGGGAGGGGCTTGGAAGTCTTGCCAGCTGTACCACCACTGCCTGTTCCCCTCATCCTTCCCCAGTCCTGAGTGCCCTGGAGGAAGAAGCTCAGACAATCTGTGCTTGCGTGTACATAAGTGTATGCGAGTGCATACGCATCGGGCTGGTTACTCTCCCCCTTTCTCTGCCAGGCTCTGTGCCCGGGAAGGAGGCCCCTGCCTATGCAGCACCCAGCCTCCTCAGTAAGGCTCAGCCAAGGGAAGCCATCCATAGGGGATCACAGGGTAGCAGAGTGGTCAGGGTATTTCTTCCCCTCCTGCAGTGCTTTGGGCCCACGTCTCCACAGGGACTGTATCTTGCACCAGGCAGCATCGCTTCCAAAGCTCTGGTTCCTACCCTACCCTGGTAACACTATTTCTCCCCTTGTCCAGCCAGCCCTAGGTGTAACAAGAGCTCCCTCCTGCTGTGAGTCTCTGGGTCTCTCACCCTCTCTTACTTGCTCCCTTAACTCTGCCTCGATCTCTTCATTGTGATCCTTTCAGGTAAACAATTTGGGTATATTCTGCTTCGGGCCAGGCCCCTTCTGATAGGTGAGGATGTGTATGTGTTTTATGTATGGATGCACGTGTGTGTGAGTGCAGGTACTATACACCGCAGTCTCTACACACCTGCAGCTGTGTATGCGTGTGTGTCATGAACATATGCATAGGATACACCTTTTTCCTGAACTTTCAAGGCTGACAGCAAGAAAGCTATCTTCGAGCATTCATCTCTGAATCCAAGTGCCCCATTTTCTCCCATTCTGACACCATTTTGAAATGATTAGCCTAGGTCTCTACCTGGCCCAACAGCTCAACACTAAGCCCCTGGAGGACAAGGTAAAAAAAACGCAGGAGAAAGCAGGGAAGAGGAAGGGAGCGGAGAGGAGAGAGGAACAACAGGAAAAGATGACTATCATTCATTGAGTACCTGAGCTGGAGCACGGATTTTACAACCATTTCTCCATTCTAAAAACCAAGTAGACCATCGTTCATCTCTTTTTACAAGTAAGAAACCAGGGCTCAGAGTCTTCGGATAACTATCCTGAAGGCACACAGCTAATGAGCAGTGAGAGGCGTTCAGCCACAGGTGAGTCCAAGCCCTGGCCCTTTCCACTCCCCTGTGCTATTTCTCAGTCTCCCTTACCCAGAACATAGTCATGGCCACACGGTGGGCACTCAATCAATGCTCATAAAACCGAACTGAAGCTAAGAAGAAAATCCAATGGCATTCTTAAATACAAAGACAAAGCTCACCAGTCATGAAGAGAGCCAAGCTGGTCAATGCCTGTGCTCAGATCATCTTGAACAACATAATGGAATATGTCTATGGCTGCAGTCCTGGAAAAACACAGAGGGCTTCCCGCTGAGCTGCTTCAAGGCTGACCCTTGGTCAAAGCCATGCATGATATTAAATTCCAGGACAAGTGCTTTCTGACTGACGCATGGTTGAGAATTGGAGCCTCAGAAAGACTGAGCTCATCCCTCAGCCTACTCTCTTGGCAAGGCCAGGGCAAGCACTCAACAGCAGATAATTTGCAGACAGTCTATGCTGCTGATGGAAACTAAAATGCCAGGTAATTAACTAGATGGCAATAAGGGTGCTACATAATTGCCATAATAATAATTACTGTCATAATTCTTTGGAAGGTCAGATGGCTCAAAGTTTGAGACCTGTTCAGAGCTCAAAGTGGGGTCTGGGCACACCTGCCCCCTCATAGTAACCAGTGCATTGCCCTGCCCACCCCCATCCATGTTACTCCCCAGCCCTTAGGTAATCTCCAGAACCCAGAAAATGTTACAGCTGTCTGGCCTCAGAGATACCTGCCCATTGTGCCAAAGCTGGCAATGAACTCCTGTTCTGTTGAACTGCTACCAGGAATGAGGTAGCTTCTTTAGCTTGTTTCATCCTCAGGGCGCCCTATTAGTGATCTGTCATCACCTGCAGGCTACAGAGAAGAAGCTGAGCTCAGCCAACTTGCCAGCAGTCTCACAGCTGGTCAATGAGGAAGCCAGGATCCAAACCCAGGTACCCAGGTCTGCCTTGTTCCAAATCCTACTGTTTTTGCCATACCTACTGATGCTAACGCCCTCCAAGCCTGTTCCAATGCCACAGTGCTCTTTATCCACATACGTCTCCCTAAGGAGCCACCAGGAGTGAGGCGACGTTCGCTCAGAGACAGACACATGTACCATCTCCAGATCAACAGGACCTGGGCCCCTACGGCACTGAGTCAGGGCTAACCATGGCACCCCACTCTCTCCACACTGCCTCCTACTTTACCTCCTCTCCACAACAGCTATTTATAATCCTTATTTGTACAAACGAAACAGTGTATTCTGGCTTTTTTTCCTGCACTTTAAATAACTAAGTTATGGATAAAAGAAACAGAATGAAAATGTTATCCAATCATTGGCCTGCCCTGGTGCATGTCTGTGTATCTGGTATTTTCTCCCAGTGCCATTCCGAGTAGATGCCTCGTTTCTCTGCCTCATTATCTCCTGCTCTCCTTTGTGCTTCTAAACAAAGGTGACGTGGCATGGGGCCATGACTTGCTTACTGCCTGCCTGGCAGATGGAGTAGGGCTGGGTCTGTCATGTACCCCAGCCCCTCGGGAATTATAGTACAAGACCTAACATGGATTGAGCTGTGTTGCTATGTGCCAGCACTATGCATCATCTCACGCAGCCTCATCACACCCCATGCTAGCACCCCTACGTCACAGATCAGGAAACTGAGGCTTATAGAGGTCGAGTGGCTTGCCCAAGGTCATGGAAAGTGATGAAGCCAAGACTTGAACTAGGGCAACCAGACTTTGGTGTCCAGGCCCTTAGCCATGGGTAATAGGTTCACGCCTTTGACCACAGCTGGTCAGAACTAACAAACTCCAATGGTGACTCCTATCGCCAACCTGATGGCCCCTGAGGGAGGCTGATATTCAAAGAGACACACAATGACCATGAGATCTGCCAGAACCCTCTGAAGGAGGAAGTATTAGCCCATGGTAGGCATAATATGAAAGGAGAATGAGCTACTCACCAGCCATTTTGTCTCACTCTTATCTTGAGTAATGGGTTTCAATTAGTCAGTCAACAGACATTTGCTCAATGCCAACTCCATGCCAGACCCTGTGCTGGATGCTGCTGATGCAAAAGTGAATATAACACAGTCTTGTCCTCAAGATGCTTAGCCAGCCAGGGAGACAGATGAGACAGCAATAGCTGAGCCAGAGCTACAGACATACACACTGAGATACAGGTCTATCCTTGCCCAAGACGTCAGATTACCACCCCTCCTGCCATTCTATGTGACTTGAAAACTTCCACCTTTTCCTCAATCCATTTTCCATTGGCACTTACTTCATTCTATTTAGCAGACAAATAGAACCTGTGCAGTTCTTGCTGGATTCTTGATATATTCTCCACGCTGTGTTTACAAATACAACTGCAGACACAAATTTCTCCTGCCACCTGTCCTGCGAGGTATGCTGGTGGCCTTTAAATGCTGGATTCTGTTGATGTTCCTGGTGCAGCAGCAGCAGTACATGCAGCATGCAGCAGTCTGCTCATGTCCCCTGCAGCACGGGAGGAAAACGGCACAATGCAGTGGGGACGCCATGGGGCAGGGAGCCAGCAGACCTTGTTCGGGTCCTGGCTCCACTACTGTCTTGCTGAGTGACCACAGGCAAAGCTGTTAGCCTCTCTGAACCACCATTTCCTTGTCTTTAAATTGAGGAAATTGAATAAGGAGCTTCATCAGATCCCTTCCAAAGTCCCGTGGAGTATCTGCATGGCTCTCAGCCCACAGTGCAGTGCTTTTTACATAATACAAAAAGAATGAGTGTGAACAGCTGCTGGTGAGGCAGACCCTGGCCCCCGGCCAGTTGGAGACCAGGGCACTCTGGTACCATGGGTAAAAGCGTGAGATACTGAATGAGCAGACATGGTGACCCCTGGTTCTGCCACTGAGCAGCTCTGCAACACAAGGCAAGTCAGTTAACTTAGATGAGCCTCAGTTTACACAGTAACATGGTGATAACATTTTCTGCATTGAGTTGGTGTGAAGATTATTTGAAATAATGTGATTTGAAGCACATAGCAAAGTAATAGATGCAACCTCCAGTATTATTCTTTTCTGTGCTGCCCTTATTGTCCATGGAGGCCAAGTTCTGATGTCCTAGGGCTGACTCCTGGTTCTCATGGGCTCCATTTTCCACAAAAGGGCTACTAAGCTCATGCCAGCTCCTTCCCAGGGAAGAGAACCCTGCCCTGTCCCCAGCCCACAGGCTGGGCTCAGATGCCGTTGGCCAGACCTTCTGACCACCCAGCCGGCCGAGCTTCCACAGCCAATCCCTGCTAGGTTTGCCCGCCTGCCTAGATCCTGTGACTTCCTCCAGGGAGTGATGGTGCTTTCAGCTGCAGCCTACCCAGTAAATGCATTTCCTGCCAGGCTCCCACCTTCCTCCTGCATCTGCCCTGGGGACTGTTGTATGCCATGTTTGTCCTGCTCCCTGGGGCCTCACAGTGGCCTGCTGGCTAGACGTGCTTTCCTGCCTGTTCCTCACTTCCTGTAACTGCCTCTGGAGCCCCCAGAGAAGCTGTGTGAAATCACAAGAGGGCCTTTCCCATGTAGAGGGTGGTCCCTATCCACGGAGGTCCAAGTCCTCCACCCATTTCCCATCCAAACACGTACACAGTAATTCATGGTTTAGTCTAAGCAAGCAGATCTTTCAACCTAGGTTCTCTCTCCAGCTATTCCTGACTATAGTTTTAAGGGGCCTGTACAGGAAATGACATGAAATTATCAAGACCTTGGGCTAAATTGGACACATGGAAAAGACCACTCAGCAATACTAATAATAAAATATTTCATTTATTGAGCTCCAGGCACTTTGTATACATTTCCTCACTGAACTCAATCCAACAGCTCAGTGACATAGGTACTAACATTATCTGTATTTTACAGAATAGGACTGGACTGGTTAGCAAACGAAGTTTCCAAGATCACACAACTGGTAGGTCCAGGGCCAGGCTGTTCAACTAGGTCTGTCTGCTCTAAAGCCCCAGTGCTAAGCCAGGTTTCTATCCTGCCTCCCAAGACAGTCAAGGTGGCTCTGGACCCTCAGAGGAAGGCAAGAGGGAGGAAACCAGGGCTTCCCCTCCTTACACCTCACTAGGATCTGATCAGATGCTGCTATTCTGGCCTCTGATAACTTCTCCCTTCCTGACATCAGCTTCTTCCTCTACAGCTCTGTAGTCGATGAAACCCGCCAAGACCTTTAGCAACTCCGTATCTTAGAAATGAAAATTGAGACAAAAAAAAAAAAACCTCCTGGTCCCTGCATGCCACTTACATAGATCACAGCCAGAATGAGTCTCTAAAGAGAAGGACTTACAGACTCTGCTAATTGCGTTTAGCAAAATGACGTTCAGCTTCACATGTGGTAGGTGCACACCACTGTTATGCCTTGTGCATTCCTGCTTTGCAAAAACAATGACCAGAGCTTCATAAAGTGGTGCTTCAAGGCAGAATGTTAAGGCAAAAAAGAACAGGGCTTGGCCAAAGCCAGGCAGCACCACTACCTAAGTTTCTTATTTAATTTCCTGAAGTATGTGTGGTGCTGGTTCTTCCTGGATTTGTCCAGGCCATCTCACGCAGTTACATTTTTACTCTGCACAGTGAGCAGAATGTTTTATGTTTTATATAAAAATGAATATACTGCTCACTATGGATCAGACACTGTTGCAAGTGCTTTATCCAGATCAACTCTGCTGATCTTCATAATAATTCTATGGGAGAGGCACTGCTGTTAGTCCTGTTCCAAACATGAGGGAACTGAGGCACTGAGAGGTCATCCAGCTTGCCTAAAGTCACACAGTTAATCGGGGTGGAGCTGTGAGTCAGTCTGCATTTTTAACCACTGTGCTACCCTACTCTGTATTTCCTAGGAATCTGTTCAATATACAAATAAAGATAAATATATTGCTTTACCTTTGTAAGGCTTTTAAGATGAATACACAAGTCAGGGAAAAAAAAATCCTTTAACCATAATTCTTTGGAGAATTTAGAAAATGTGGTCACCAGGATACAGGCAATCATGTTTTATAAGGAGAAAAGATTTTGTAGGTCTGCATGGTGTCTAGACAGGGAGCTGAGAAGAAAGGATATGTCCGTGTGTCTCCAGGGCTGCCCAGAGAACAGGAGCTTCACTGAAGACTACAGGCCCTAGTGATTAGACAGAAATAGCCCAGCCATGGAGAAAGTCATCCCTAAGCTGACTGGGTCTGGAGGAAGCAGGTTATAAAACACTGTTTCCCAAAACCCAGTCCTTGGACTTGCCACAACAGAACCATCTCAGGATTTTATTAAAAATGTTGATTTAGGACCTCACCCTGGACGCATGATCAGAATCTCTCAGGAAGGAATAAAAGGGAGCATAACCCAAAACCCTGAATTTTTAACAAGCTTCTCAGATATTTGGATTACAACGAAGTTTGGAATTCTCTGCCCTAAAAATCTGATGGCTCTATTTGCTGTGAGAATCTGTGCACTGTGCATCCTTGGGAAATATGACCTGGCCTCCGAATAAAGGATGAGTTACAGCCCAGCCCAGTTCCATGGCCAATTTTAATCTAATACAACTATAATATAATAACAACAATAATGATAACTACCAATTACCGAGCACTTACTACATGCCAGACACTGCTGAGTGTTTTACTAATCTTATTTATGTTAACTCTTATCACACCTCTGTGCTGGAGTTATCATCGACCTTGTTTTGCAGAGGGTGAAATTCAGGCTGGAAGAGTGGGTGACTAGCTAAGGATTACACAAAAAGCAAGCAGCAGAGACAGAATTCAAACCCAATCTGACACCTTGACCTTTCTGGTTCTGAGCTCAAGGTCAGTGTTGCGAACAGCCCGCCCTGCCACCACCATCCCCAGGGCTATGATGGGGCTGGGAAGGCCACTCACTAAGGCCAGGGTGTCCTTTACTTGGCAGGGAGCAGCTGGAGGAGGGCTGCTCTTTCTGCCGCATGTTCATTTCAGCTGAGCCACCCGGGGTGTCTGTCCCCAGACGTGGACACCAGCCAACATGCTGGGCTGACTCCAGCTCCCAGAGGCCTGGGCCTGCAGGGTGGGAGAGACCAGCATACCACAAGCACCCTGTGGCCTCAGCAACTAGTGTGAACTTTTCCCTGCTTGCACCAACAACCCGATAGCCCTGGAGCTCGCGGCACTCCTCTCAGGGGCCTCGTCAGCAGCTCCTATCTGGGGATGAAGCACAGGCTGACCTGATAGTGAGTCCTCCCTTCCTAGAGGTGCCTCCCGGAGCTCTGGTTTCCCAGTCAGTAAATGGGGACCTTAACAGGGCCTCACTGGGCCTTTGGAAGGATTAAGTGAGGCGCCATCTGGGAAGCACCTGGCCCCAGGGCCTGCACATCGCAGGCCCGCTGATCTCCTTACTCCTGCTGCTGCCTCCTTTAACTTCATGGCTGTGGTTCCCATCTGCACAGCACTGCCTGGCCTCCCACCCAAACCTTCAGAGATCCCAGTAAAAGATGCTTTGTCAACAGAGGTGCCCCCCAGATCCCTGGGTGCCGTGGGCCTCCCTTTTCACTCAGTCCCAGGATGTGGGCATATCCAGAGCAGGGACCTAACTATCTTGTTCTCTGTGACATCTTTGGGCTAGAGGAGTGCCTGGCAGGGAGCAGGCACTAATGTCTGCTGAATGAGTTAATTCAGTCGCTGAACAAATGGGAATGGTGCACCTGCTTTGTGCAGGTCCAGTGCTGAGGGCAAACGCATCTGGGGCACAGGGCTCTGCCCTCAGATCTGATATCCAAGGCTCCCTCTCAAGGGCCCGGTGCCAGTAAGGCGCCCTTCCCAGCACCCACACCTCTGCTGCCCCAAAGCATGGCTAGTAGCCTTGAAGCCACACTGCCTCCCCCACAGTCTTCCCTTCAGCCAAGCCTCCCAGAGACAGATGCTCAGACCACCCTCTCCTTCTGCAACTTTCTATGTGAGCCTAGGGCACAAGCCAAGCCCAGAGGCCTCTCCTGAAGAGTGAGCAGGTCGCTTTCCTTTGGCCTGGCCACCCTTCCAGAGAGCTGTCCTGAACACCTCGCTGCCCACAACCTCCTGCAGGAAAACCACAGGCAAGGCAACTATAGACACGAGCCAAACCCAGGAGGAGATTCACCCCTGCCCTTCAGAAGACCCCAGAGACCCCACTGTGAACATGAAAGAGCGAAACAATCATGATGTTGAATTGCTGGGAACACAGAGGGAAACTGCCCACTTGGGAGGCTGCGGAGGGTTCCATGCACCCCGCTTCTCACCTGCAAGCTAATGGGTCCATCTCAATCACTTAAGTTTATTTACTGGCCATGAAAGACTTTGCCCAAAGACTGGAAAAAAGGCTGTGGCTGCGTCTTAGAAAGCAAAGGAAAACAAAACAAAACCTTAGTACCAAAGTGTTGGAAACTGCTGTCAAAAGCAGATCGATCAGAAATAAAGAAGAAAGGGGCTCTCAGACAATAAAGGAACTCAAAGGCAAACTGGAATTTGCTTTACACAAGTGTGATATACAGTTTCCAGACACAGTGCCTTGCAGGGGTAAAGGGCACCTGGATTTCCAGTACCAATGGGAAATGAGGGGAGACGGAGCTGCACAGGGGACCCCGATGCCAGTCCGGCACTTGCAGCCTGGCCTCTGGGCTGGCACCCCAGCCCCACCCACCACCATCTCTCTGGGCCTCGGTTTCTTTTTCTAAAAACTTAAGGCATTGGACTGGATTATTCTAAACATATTTTGTGGTTCTAAAACCTCTTCTCACCTCCAAGTCAACATTTTCAAAACAGAGATAGTCAGTTCTGTCTCCTTAGCAAGCTATCTTCTCAAGGGCTTAGAAGGCGTCCTTGTAACTTTGTTGAAGGGCCCTGGAAGGTGCAGGATAAATGTTTTTCTTCGTCGTTGCCATGGAAACTTGTGACTCCTACATCCCTGATGCTAGGACAAGAGCATGCCAAGAGCCCTGGGTGGTTTGGGTTTGTTTTGTCCATACCCACACCGTGTGTACTGAAGGGCTGGCAGAGCTGCAGGTGATACCTTGCCAATAGGAGACACGGCTGTTCCTCATTTCATGACCAAGTTTCATTAGAAACTTTGGAATCACGGCAATCATATAAGTAATACTGAGGCTGCACTGAGGGGCTCCCAGAATTAGAGCACCCTTTGACCCTGAAAACTGATCCCTGATCTTGCCTCTGCGAGTTTCCCTTGGCCTGCCCTGCGATTTGGGGGTGATGCTTTGTGATTTTTCCTGCCACCTCTAATGAGATATGCACTTCAAAAAGGCACCCTCAACAAGCACTGAATGATACAACTTCATCCCTGTATGACTCTCTGATCACAGCAATACGTTAGACTCAGTGGAAATGTGTGTCAGACACCAGGTCTTCAAGGACCCAGACAGAAACAGGTAATTGGCAGGAAGGTAGATATGGTGGTGGTGCTGTCTATTCAGACACTGGGTTGTCAGAAGGAAAATGGGTTAGAAAATCCTCCCAGCCTATATTAACCCTGTAAACTGCATCCAAATTGCTAAAAGATTTGTGCAATGTTATGATTCTCTTTTCTTTGATGGTGGATACTTCGGAAAACAGAAATAGAATTACTTAAAGTGATGCTCCCTTGCTCCTGTTAAAACAGGGGCAAACAATACACTTCCCTGCATGTCCCACATCCACTTCTCAGACCATAGTGTTCCCCACTGGCTGAGATTAATGGGGATGACACTGTGGCTGCTGATGTTTCTCACTGCCCAACTCTGTACCTACAAGTTCTTTCACCCTCCCTCAGGAATCAGGGTCAGCCCAGTGCCATGCAAATAATCGCCTGTGTTTTTGTGAACACTTTAGACCCAAAATCATCCAAACTCCTCCACCTCTCTCCCCTCCCATAGCCAACTGGACACCAGGGCTTCCTCAAACTCCACCTAGATCACCACCGTTATGATGATGATCTCCGCCTTCAGTACCTCTCCCTGGCTCTTCAAGTGGTCTCCCAGCCAGTCTCCCTGCCTTCAGCCTCATTCCTCCCATCCACCTTCCACCTGTAGTTGGGGTGATCTTTCTAGACCACAAACCTCGTCATGCCACTTTCTACTTAAAATTCTTCCATGGCTCTCCAAGGCTTGCAGGATCCAGTCTTAATCCATTAGTCTGACATATAAAGCCTTCCTGGGCTGGCACCCCAGCCCCACCCACAAATGCATCTCTGCCTTCAGATCTGATATCCAAGGCTCCCTCTCAAGGGCCTCATGCTAGTAAGGCCCCCTTCCCAGCCCCCACACCTCTATTGCCCCAAAGCGTCGCTAGTAGCCTTGGGGATTCCTCCCTTCAGCCAAGCCTCCCAGAGAAAGATGCTCAGACTACCCTCTCCTGGAACTTTCCACGTGAGCCTAGGGCACAAGCCAAGCCCAGAAGCCTCTCCCGAAGAGTGAGCAGGTTGCTTTCCCTCAGCCTGGCCACCCTTCCAGAGAGCTGTCCTGACACACCTCGCTGGCCACAACCTCCTGCAGGAGAATCACAGGCAAGGCAACTATAGACACGAGCCAAACCCAGGAGGAGCTTCACCCCCACCCTTCAGAAGACCCCAGAGACCCCGCTGTAAATATGAAGGAGCCAACCAACCACGATGTTGGATTGCTGGGAACGCAGAGGGAAACTGCCCAGTGAGGAGGCTGCAGAGGGTTCCACGCACCCCGCTCCTCACCCACAAGCTAGTGGGTCCATCTCAATCACTTAAGCTTATTTACTGACCATTAAAGACTTTGCCCAAAGGCTGTGGCTGCGTCTTAGAAAGCAAAGCAAAACAAAACTGTGGGAACAGCCTGTCATCTCACTCAGAGCTCCCCTCCTTGTAGATCTAGCCTTTCCCTCAGCCTTTCTCCCTACCAGATAGAGCAAGCCATGGACAGACGCCTCCATGCTACCATAGCAACCTGGACCTCCTCTCCAGATCACTCCTACTTCCATGTTGTCTACATGTTTCTTTATATATCTGTCTCCACCCTGTACCACCCATTCCAGCAAAGGCCACAGTGCTGGCACATGCAATTCTTCAATGAATGAATGAAGAAATCATCACGTGCTTCTCACTTTTCACATGCAAAGAATAATTCCTACCATGTCCTTGTTCCGGAAAACAGTCATGCCAAGCTCAAAGAAGAAGGAACTAGGTGTCAAAAAGAGAATGTAGAGTAAAGAGGTCAAGAACATTGATTCTGGACTTAGGCAGCATGGGTTCAAATCTCTGCTACTTTCTAGTTGTGTAATCTTGGTCACCTCTCTGCGTGTATCACATTTGTGTAAAGCAAATTTCAGTTTGCCTTTGAGTTCCTTTATAGTCTAAGAGCCCCTTTCTTCATTATTTCTGATCGATCTGCTTTTGATAGCACTTTCCAACACTTTGGTGCTAAGGTTTTGTTTTGTTTTGCTTTGCTTTGCTTTGCTTTCTGAGACTCAGCCACAGCCTTTGGGCAAAGTGTTTAATGGTCAGTAACTAAGTTTCAGTGGTTGAGAAGGATCCATTAGTTCGTGGGTGAGGAGCAGGGTGCATGGAACCCCTGCAGCCTTTTCTACTGTGTGGAGAAAGAGTGAATGATATGACCTTCCTCAAGGTTGTTTCAGGCACTAAATGCACCAGTGTGTCTAAAGTATTTGGGAAGGATCTGGTGCATGGAAAGTGCTTGGTCAGTGTTAGTTACTATTATTAAGAAGCCGATGCCTTCTCTGGTCTTTCTACCTCTGCCACTTAGGGAGTAGAGCCTGCCAAATGGCTATAATGTCTTGGATGTTTCTAGAACCTCATTTTGGAAAGTTGTTAATTCCAGCCAGGCTGATCTGTGATCATTGCAAGTTGTTGCATCCTTGAGAGTAAGTAGAATTTGTGGCCTAGGTGTCCACTGTCTTAGCTTCATTCTCTCATGGCAGGAATCCTTAGTAGGCCACCTCAGCTGGAGTGACAGGGACGTGGTGAGGACAAAGGAGCCTCGATGGAGACCCACTCTGGAACTGGATATGCCACCCATTTTAGGTCGGGGATGTCCCTTCTCTGCTACCCTGTCCCCACCGTCCCCACCACCCACCAAGAGCCTGGCTTCTGCACAGGACACCATTCACCAAGTGCTGCTGGAGTCTTTCCCACAGCATGCCAGGGGCCAGGGGTGTGGGGAAGGGCAGGGCTGCATGGAACGGCAGAAAGGGCCTGGCTTCAGTGCCCAGCACATCAGAGCCTCTGTTCCTCCCCTCGCCACCCACTGACCTGATGCGAATCCCATCCATCCCTAGGACCTAGGCTTTTACAACTGCAAAGTGAGGGGCCAGCTGAGATCACTGACTCCTACATCCCATGGCTCTGTGATGTGACTGGGGCCCCGAATGTGCCACGGTGGGTGGGTGTGGTTATTGCTCCCATTTCTTCTTCTGGCGCTCTGGGCTCCAATGGCTTCTGGTAATATTTGCTCTTCCTCACACAGGAAAGGCCTTTCCTAAGTGACTTCCTCACTCCAGGCCCAAGCCAAGAAACATGAACAATAAAAAGCCAGTCCAGTCCTCTGTCACAATTGCCTACAAACTTAATAAAAATGGATTTTGGGGCCCTGCAATAGTGCGCACAAGGCTTCCTCGTCAGCACTGAAGGTCCCCAGGCTGTGCCAGCCCCTCTAGAGGCAAGAAACCAATGGCAGATGGGTCTAGCCAGGACCCCTGGATGCCATAGGTGTGGGAGATCTGGTCCCCTTTGTTCAAGAGGGTATAAATTAGGCCTAACTCTGGATGGTAGCCACAGTGGAAACCAAGCACATAGTAATGGACATTGAGGGGACCCAACCTTCAGTACACACAAGTGGGAGCAAATGTGCCCTGGAAGCCAGGACTGCTAGGTCCTGCTGACTTATATTCAGAAACAGGCCATCCCTATTATTAATAATGAAACACTCTGATACCTGCTAAGTTCCTTCTGTGCTAGTTCTGTGCCAGTCACTATGCTAAGCATTTTGGGTGCATTAAGTCATATAATTTGTTTATTCAAACAAAAATCAGTGAGCACTTGGTAGATGCCAGAAGCTATACTGTGCACTGGGGTACAGTGGGAAGCACACAGACATGACTCCTGCTCTTAAAAAGTGAACAGTCAAGCATCACAATTCCTTTTTATTTTTAAGTTCTAGGATACATGTGCAGAATGTGCAGGTTTGTTACATAGGTATACCTGTGCCATGGTGGTTGGCTGCACCCATCAACCCTTCCTCTAGGTTTTAAGCCTCGCATGCATTAGGTATTTGTCCTAAATGCATCACAATTCTTGAACTTGGGTGTGCCTGCTATGAAAATCACCTGGCCACACCCTCCAAACAGAATCTTCACTTTCCTTCAAGTGCCCCATCTCTAATTCACACTCAGAAACACTGGTCTGGTGCTATGGAAGAAATCTATTACTTTGCTCAGATGAGGAAACTGAAGTCCAGAGAGGCTAAGTAACTTGCACTAGACCACACGACTTGTAAGGGGCACAGTTGGGATAGGATCCCTGCTCTACCTGGTTCCGAGGCAAAGCTCTTAATTACTACACTACCCTGCCTTCCTGAACCTCACCCAAATAATTAGAGCAGTATTTACAGAGTATCAGATCATTCCATTGCTGTGCTATCTTTCCAACTACCAAACCACATGAGGTAGAAAGCATGACTGTCATCCCATTTTACAGATGATAAAAGGGAGCTCAGAGAGTTAAAGTAACTTGCTCAAGTTCACATGAATAGCAGGCCTCAATGCCAAGATTCCAAGTCAGACTTGACCAGTTGCACAGCTTCTGCTTTTTCCAACATTCCATGCTGCTTCTTTGAATGCGCTTTCATAAAAGTAAAGAACAATGAGATGGAAAAAGCAACAACCGAAACCAGTCTTAGCCTAAACAGAAGAAAAAAATGCAGATATCCTGCTAGCAGGCAAGGACTCAGGAAAGAGGGCTTCCTTCTCCCATGGGCTCTGGGTCACCTGTGCCCCCAGGAGCCAAACCCCATGATGGGAAATTCCAAGCTGTGTGTCCATGTGCAGCCATGTGGATATATATGCCAACCATGCCCACCTGTGGCAGGTATGCAGGCCACATTCAGATAAGCGCGTGCACAGTGTATCCAAGCCACACTCCTTGAAATCCTCACTCATGCCTCAGAAAAAAATCACCTTGTTGGCAAGTGGTCTTCCACCATCCCAGGCAGCAGTTGCCACAGGACCAAGAAAAACCACTAAAAAGCGTTTTCCCATCAAAAGAGGTTTTAGCAGCTGGAGTGCATGTGTAAAGGTCAGTCCTTCACTCAGGGGACAGCCAAGCCAGGGGAAGGAACAGAAGGGAAGGCTGAAGAAGCTCCCTGGGGGATGGTATTTGAAATTCTGCATTGTCCTGAGCTACCTGCATAAATGCAGTGCCCAAGGGAAGGCCTGGATCCCAGGGGGGATGTGGTCATTTGGCCTGCATCAAAATGACAAACACTTCTGTGCAGAGCATCAACTAGCATGCAAGGAAAAAGGTGGGGTGGGGAGCACATCACAGCACACCAGAAAAGAACAGAGCTAACTTCTCCAGGAGCTGAGACACCCTGGGGAGGTTCCCAGCTTTAGAACATTGGCAAACAAGCAGGATTAGGCCCCTCTTCTCCCCAGCCACTCAGCCAAGCTGCCACTATAATTCCTTTCCCAGGTGTCTGTGACACAATCTGAGCCCTGGTATCCCTGAGAAGGCTTACAAGCCCAAAGTGAGCCAGTTGTTTGAGCTACCCTTGAGCCACATCATAGTTGGAAGATAGGGTACACAGGGAGGAGACCCAACCATCCCATCTGCCTTCGTGGACACCCACTCCACCTCCACACCCCTGTCAACCCAGCCAGGACCTGAGGCCATCGGGACTCCCTGTCTTATCCTCCCCATGCACTAGATCCTGCCACTGCTGCCTCTTTATTCTCTCCATTTCTGCCTTCCGCTCTCTGTGCCAACCACACCAACCTGCTGCCTGAGGCTCTGTCACATCATCTCTTGCCTGTACTTGAGGACATCCCAGCGCTTATCATCTCAGAACCTACAATCCCGTCTCTATAGTCCTCTACAAATCAAATTCTGCCACTGCAATGCTGTAAAAGGTATCACGGCTCCCATTGCTCACTGGATAAACACAAAATCTTGACCGTGCCTTCGAAGCCTTTCCCAACCCAGATCCAGCCAACCTACCTAGTGTTATCTACTGTCCACATACTCTGACCTCTAACCATACAAATACACCTATTCCTCAAACAGGCCTTGGTATCTACTGCAGTAGATACCCCGAATGTTGATGATGTCTTCCAGGTTTCTCATCCTTCCATCTTATAAATTATCTGAGGACCTGGCATAGAGCAGGCACTCAGATCAATTTTCGGTCAGATGGATGGATGGGTGGGTTGGGTGTGTGGGTGGGCAGATGAGTAAGTGGGTGGGAGATGTGTATGGATGAATGGATAGATGGGTAGGTGGATGGATATGGAATCTTCTTTTTTTTTTTTTAACTCTTGTCATTTTCATCTGATGCCTCTCTGGGAGGCAGACAGCCTGACCAGACATTTTCAAACACAAAGGCAGCTTGGCTACTACTTTTAAACTGATTAATATGAAGGATGAAAATAATAATGCCTATGTTGAAGAGCTGCTGTGAGGATTAAATGAGAAACGTACAGAAAGTATTTAGCCTTGTGCATACACATAGTAGGTGCACAACAAATGACAGCCACTGCTGTTGGAACAAGGTCCTAATAACATGTGCATTCCTTTGCCTTCCAGTGGGCAGGACCCAGGTCCTCTAGCTTCTCCTAGTTCTGGGTGAGACAGATCTTTCCTGAAGGCTGGAGTGAAGGGTGGGGGTGGAGGCAGCCACAGAGGAGCTCCTGACCTACTTTGTGCAACTTCAGGCTCAGGTAAGGCCCCTAGACAGTGAATGATGCAAACAGCATTCAAAGCCAGCTACAGATAATAAGGCCTGTGGGACCAGGCACTCGGGGTGGCTTTCTTCAGCATGGTCTGCTCAGCCTCTGGCAATGCCCATGGCCTGGGCCTCTATGAAGTTGCCAGGCATGCGTCCCTCCCCACAAACAAAGGAAGGCAGCCCCGGTCATCCAGGCTGCAGGAAGCCCCTCTTTGATACCCATTCAGAAAGACAACGAGAGTTAAGACAAACCTGCTCCACAGGACCTGCTTGCTCAAGCAAGCCCCTGCTCGAGACCCTGCTACCATGAATCTTAGGGTTCTAAGCCATCTCCCTGAATCCATACATTCCCTTCTATCCCATCCTCTACGCTGCAATTGGGGTGAGCAATATTAACATAGATCTGATCCTATCCCTTCCCAGCCTAAAATTCATTCCATGCTTCCTTAGGAAGTCCAAATTCCTTAGCCTGGCATTCAAGGCAGCCCTTCCAGCCTCTCAGCCTGCCCTATATGTATGCTCTATCTACCATTCCTGGAACGTACCATGCTCCTTCAAACTGACAGGCCCTTGCATGTGCCATTCCCTCCGCCTGAAACTCCCAAGTTGCTCAGAGAGTAAATGGCTGAACCAGGACTCCAGGCCCTATCTTCTGACTCTGAATTCTAAACTCCTTTGGTGGAAAGGGCTTGGGGATTCCAGAACAGCCCTACCTCATGATGCAAGATGCCAGGACAGACCTTTACCATTTTTCATTTCCCAGATTTTCTAAATTTGCCATCATTTCATATCACTGTGTGACACTGTGAACAGCCAATGGTTGCATGAATAAAGCCAGCACAGGCTGCAATCTGCATCTCCAAAAGTTTGAATAGCTCAGCTGCAAAAGTGAGCACAGGCTGACATTTCCAATCAATCTTGTCCTTGCCTTCAGTTCCAGTGCACTGCATGGAACACCCTAGTGAGACTGCAGTAGGTAGAAAAAAGAGAGAGGCAGCCTCTGTCATCCCAAGCCACAAGGAAACATCTTTCCAACACCCATTCAGAAGGCACCAAGCACTAAGACAAAACTGCTCCATCCAACACAAAGACCTACTTGTCCCAGCTAGCTTCTGACCCCTGCCACTGTGCTCACAGGAACCTCTGCATGGCCTCCATGTCCTCTGACATCTGGACCTCCTGGGGTTCCTGAGCCAGACCCTCCCCATTTGCCAGAGGGAAGGCCTCTGAAAGCCTCCTGCCCATCTGCACAAAATCATTCACTCCTCTCCATCAATAATGACTTTGCCCATCTAAACAAGTTCTGAATGCAGTAAGCCTCAGGCACACAAAAATAAACACATGCACAATTTATCACTTTTCCCAGCTTGACCAACTCCACTTTTGCAGGCTAAAAGTTTCTTATCCAAGGCAGTACATGTAAATTCAATTAACAGATCTCTATGCTGATGGCAGAAAACTCAACACAAATACAAATCTTCTTTGCTAATCACAATAGATGTTTTCCTGGTGAACAATAGATGCTTCATCTACACTTTCACTCATACTAATGTACTTTATATTAGCTGTTGTGGCAGAGGCTACTAGTTAGAACACTCAAATTATGGCTGGACACATGGCTTCCCAGAAAGAAGACTACATTTCCCAGCTTCCCTTAAATTTTGGCGTGCCTATGTAACTACAGTATGGACAGTAGGGTATAAGAGAAAGTGGTATATGTAACTTCTCAGAACTGTCCTTAAAGAGAAGGGATATATGCTTCTCCATCCTCCTTCCTGCTGGCTAGAATGCACACATAATGACTGGAGCTGCAGCAGCCGTTTCAGACCACAAATCAGAAAGCTCAGGTTGAGGATGACAGCAACAAGCTAAAAAGGGCCCAGGCCTGTGATCCTGGAAGAGCTAGACCAGTCCCAGACTGCTTAACTCCAGCCTTCTTGAATTTGAGAGAGAAATACACTTCTATCTTGCTTAAGCCACCATTATACTGTCCCTGCTGCTAAATCTAATTCTAACTGATACGGCAGATGACCTAAAAAGGCTTGGTCTGCACTTCTAGGAATCTTCATCTATATCAGTGCCAAACACTGCTCATGAGACCATTCTGTCCCACATGTTTGGGCCTCTTTAAGGGGCTTCTTCCATCCAAATGGAATAATTGGCCCCAGTCCTTCATAAGAAGTTGGCACTGGCACAGGCCACCTTGGTCCTTAAGTGCTGCTCCACCCTTCTATCTGGCCTGACCTTCCAGTCTGATTTCCACTGGCTAGCTTTTCTGGCCTACAGCTCTTTCCCATTATCCCCATTTCCTCCCCAACATTGCATACAGGTGGTTTTTATTTCAAGTAGTGGTAACCTTCTTTGAACTGTTCTAGCTACAACCCTAGTGGCTGGGCTGGGACCCTAAGCATTGACCTCCCCTGCCCTGACACACTGGAGGAGAACCTAACCCACACAAATATCCTTGTAGACTTGCTCCCTTCCTTATTCAGCCTACACCTGAAGAAGGGTGGAGGAGGGGAGGAAGTCATGCTGGGGAAACAAAGTCAAGGGCCTGTCCTGGTTGATTTGCTTTCTCAAAAAGCCAAGCTGCCAGCCACCCAGCTCTGGCCACTGGAGCTTACTGGAGCTGAGGAAGGCTCACATTATACAGTGGCAGATGCCATTGAAAAGGCAGCCTGTGCCTCCAGGACAGGACTCTGATGGCAGCCCTAGAGAGCAGAGAATCAAGCAGCATTACAGGGTGTTACAAACCAATGCATCCAGTAGGCAAGACACAGGGGCAGGGACTGCTCAGCTCTGAGCTCCTGCAGAAAACAGGCACCAGTTGTCCCAGTCCAGGTGGAAACACAGGGTACAGTGTCTAGACCACAGTGATAGCTTCCAGCCCACCCTGGGATCTAGTCTCCTGGATCAGCAGGTTGCTAACACCTCTTCCCCAAAGGCTTCCATGCTTCGGACCTCTCAGAAAATGATGCAAGGGGATCTCAAGGCAGTCCCATTCCCACAGTTTTCCAACTGGACACATTGATTGTTTAGCACTCTGCAGTTGGGGAAACTTGGCCAATCCTTGTGCCATGTGAGGCCCAGAACTGTGTAACCCCCATCCTCATCCATTGTCACACAGGGCTCTTCTGAAAGCCTTTCTTTTCTCTCCTCACCACCTACCTCTTTCTCTCTAACTGGCCGTAATTTATAAATAAAGCATTTCCGAAGTTGTCCTAGATTCTCAGATTACAAGTGCATAGGATACTCATTGACACAGACAGGTAAGGACCACAGGAGTCCCATGCCATGGGAGTGTACCGTCTGGAGCAGCATTATCCAACAGAACTTTCCGCAATGGAAATGGTCTAGATCTGCGCTGTCCAAGGTGGTAGCCACCCAGCCATATGTGGCTCTTGAAATGTGGCTAGTGCAACAGAGCAGCTAAGTGTTAATTTTCTTTAATTTCACTTAATTTAAATGTAAACAGCCACATGTGACTAGTGGCTACCATCCTGAATATTGTAGTTCCAGGGGAGTTACACGAATAAGCCAATAGTTGTCTTAATAGAGATTTAATTGTTATTGCAGTAAGCAGCATGGAGAGGAAGAGCAACACACAGTGAGGTGTGCAATGGGGGAATTTCACCTTTCCTGGGGGAGAGGGAACATCACTCTGAAGCAGTCACATTTCAGTGGGTGATCCAACTTTGGATATAAAACTGAAACTCTATACGGTACCAAAAAAAAAAAAAAAAAGCCCAGAAGAAAATAACCAAAAACATTTTTCAGATACTCTATAACAAGTTCACTTTATTTATATAAAGAATAAACTTCTTTTAAGTGGGTCAGCTCAATACTCTACATTTCTCTCTGAGGAAAATAAACTAAATAAAGTTGCTACCCATTTATATGTGGGCCAAACCTGATTTTTTTTTTCTTATGCAACAGAGGTCTGTCATAGAACAAGGTGTTCTTCACCCTCCCCTGAAGGAAAACGGACAAGTTGGCGTTAAGACCACTGCCTTAGCCTGCGCTCTTCAAACCCCATGACTTCCCTTCCACCATTAGAACCTCTAGTGCTTGAGGTCATCTCTGAAGTCATGGAGCGGAAACAGATTCCCAAAGCCCAGAAATTTCCAAGAACTTTGGCATCTTTGAGCTTCCTTGAAATCAAGGGTGCAGTGGCCTTAATTTCAGACTGGGGGGCTGTGATAGCTTACTCCCATGGAGAGAACAAAGCAGGGTGAAGGCTTTGGGAAAGTTGATGAGAGCCAACTGGGAGAGCCACCAGGTAACTGCCCATTTTCTGGGCTGCAATAAGAACTTTAGAAAGGAAAATTGTCTCACGCTTCCATGTGAAGAGACCACCAAACAGGCTTTGTGTGGGCAACATGGCTGTTTATTTCACCAGGATGCAGGCGGGCTGAGTCCAAAAAGAGAGTCAGCAAAGGGTGGTGGATTATCATTAGTTCTTATAGGTTTTGGGATAGGCGGTGGAGTTAGGAGCAATGTTCTGCGAGCAGGGGGTGGATCTCACAAAGTACATTCTCCAGGGTGGGGAGAATTACAAAGAACCTTCTTAAGGGTGGGGGAGATTACAAAGTACATTGATCAGTTAAGGGTTGGGCAGAAACAAATCACAATGGCGGAATGTCATCAGTTAAGGCTATTTTCACTTCTTTTGTGGATCTTCAGTTGCTTCAGGCCATCTGGATATATACGTGAGGTCATAGAGGATATGATGGCTTAGCTTGGGCTCAGAGGCCTGACAAAATTGATAATGTATTCACTGAAAAGAAGGAAAAGGAGAAAGCAGCCATAGGCCCTCTGGAAATGCAGGTCTTCAACAAGAGGCAGGGTTTCCAGGCAATGAGCCATGCATGTGAGAATTGTGGTCACCCACCCCTCACCTGCCATGGCCAAAATCTGGAAAGGAGCCCAGGACCCCAAAAAAGCTAGAAACTCCTCCAGCTGTCCCCCTACCCCATTCTTTCAGACATCCACATTATCACTCATCATGTTGTATCAAAGTTATCTTTGAGCCTTTACCTTCTCAAAAAGACCAAGAGCTTCTGGAAGGCAGGCCCTGGTTTGATACCTCCCAGCACGGGGCCTGGGGGACAACAGTTGTGACAACTGGCTATTGAGTAAATGCAAACAGCATATGGGCAGCATAGTTTTCAAATCCCAGCCCAGCTTCCTAATGGCCATGAAACCCTGGGCAAGTTACTTAACCTCAGCCTCAGAGTTGGAATTAAGTATGAGAAAGCATTTCAGGGTCAGCCTAGAGCCCTTGTAAGGGCTCAACAGCAGGGGCATACTGTGGACAAAGCAGGGATATACTGTGACCCTGCTAAGAACAGAGTGATTCCCACAGACCCCACACCCTTATGCAAAGGACTTGTCTTTGACCAGAGGCTAAATCCAGCATTCTAGCTTCTGCATGGTTCTGTCAGCCTTTCTCAAGAAAGACAACAGCCTGGTTTATTAAATAACCAGGTCCCAGCCTCACCTCAGCTCCAGGTCTCTGCTCCACACCCAGCCCCTGACACCCCACCCACATTCCTGAGCCACTCCAGACTGAGATCAGCAGTTTGTCAGGAGCCACAGCTTCCCATGCAAGGGTCTCAGCCCTGGGCTTTGCTTACTTGGGTGAGTTTAATCTAGATCAGTAGTTTTCAAGTAGTTTTCAAGCTATTCACCCAGGACCAACAGAATTAGTGTCTCCTGGGAACCTGTGAGATATGCATTCTGGGGCCCAAATGATATACCCACTGAAGCAGAAACTCTGGGGTGTGGGAAAGCAAGCCCTCCAGGTGACTCCGACCTACTCTCAAGTTCGAGAACCACTCTGAAGTTTGGCCTAGTTTTCCTTTCTTTATCCCACCGCTTCCTGCTTCCAGATTAGTTATCTTCCCATGCCACCAGGGCGCTGAGGTCCTGAGTAAACCTTCCCACCTGCTGCAGGATTTCAGAAGACCCATCTATGTATACTTTGCCTTCCCAGTCAAGCACCTGGGGCCAGCCACGACTGGAACCAAGACACTGCCAGGCAGCAAGGCTGCCCCTCCAAAGCCCACCTCCACAGCTCCTGTCTTGTCCCAGGGCATGGACGGGACCCAGGCCTCTGTCACCCCCTCCCTGCCTGCCTCTCCCAGAGTTCCACAGGCCAGAAGGAATCCAAGATCTGGGTCCTGCCTCCATGGAGGGGAGAGGAGGGGTAGTCAGGGGAGGGAAAATGCCTTCAAAACTCACTGAAGGAGAAATGGGAAAGCCCCTGGGAAGGCCCTTTATGGAAAGGAGAAGTGTGGAGAGGACTGAGAAGCACCAAGCTCCCCCCCAGCACCCCCACAATTCCCACCCGATGGCAGACACTGCTAACCAGCTGCCCCCGGGAGCCCTTCCAAGTGGTCCTCTCTTTAAGTTTCACTTCCTGCTGAGCCAAGTCGCCCGCAGCTGGGTGCCAAGGTCGCCTGCCATGTCCCTGATTGCAAGTCCACAGTGTAGCTGAGAAATCCATTTAACTCTTAGAAAATGCATGGGCACATCCCTAAGGCAGCCCCGGAAAATTTGCCACAGAGGACACGAGCGGCTCGGGCTCTGCCTGCCTGATACTTCCGTAATTATACATTGATTACTGCTCCCCTTCTGCACTGCTGGCCCACCGCGCAGCACTTCGTAACTACAAAAGGGTTTGCCAGTTACAGGCAAGGGGAATCAATCTTCTGTTGAGTGATGCGTCCTCCCCGGTGGTCACCACTCCCTCCGCTGACTGGCGGCTTCTTCCCGACTCAGCTCAGCAGACCAGTTAGTACCAAGCACCCATGCACCTGTGAGGACAGCAATGTTTCTGGAGCCATGGCTGTGACCTCCTAGTCCTGCCAATGCCCTTCCTTACATCTCAGTGGGCTTGTTCCCCTTTGCCACAGCCTGGCCTTCTTTTCCAGGAGCCACTGGCTCTGGAAGAAGCATTATCACTGAGTGGAGAGGGGGCCACAGAGAGAAGTGGGGGACCACCGTGACGGGGAGGCACAGGTAGCCTCAGGGACACCTGTAATCTGTCTCCAGCATGTCTTTCAGCATGTCTTTCATGAAAGACATTACCTGTGCTTGTCAGCAAGTGTTACTTGAAAAAAAAAATGAGGGGGAGGGATGGGGAGCTAAACTTCTGAGATGAAATTCATTTAAGACACCCTGAAAGTTAACCAGGCTTTCTTACTATAAAGTGTCTCCAAGCCTTTAGTGTGATTAATGTATTTAGGTCATTCCTGATACAGATTTTCAAATGTATTTGTTCACAGAACTCCATTCCCCAGAGCCTGGAATGGAACTGATGTTCCATGGAACATCTTTTGGGAACTGATGCTATCTCACCGGCTATGTTGGAAGAAGTGTGGCTGATTCCCTCACATGGCTCACACACAGCCAGCTCTCCCCTAGACACTCTACTTATGGAAAGTGTCAGGGGAGAGGCAAGAGAATCCAGATTCCAGGACTGCAGGGCCTGTTTCTGACAGTGTCTGTCTGAGCCCAGGGTCTCTGAGCAGGGGTGAGGGTCCCGGAGGGAGCAGACAGGCAGAGTGGAACAACAGGGCTGGTCCTGCGCAGCCTCCTGGGAAGGAAACACAGAATCTCTGAACCTACTCTTGCAGGCACCTTCCTTGCACTTTGAGATTGTGGTCTCACTAAATCTTACCAACAACCCAATAAAGTGTCTATCATTTCTGCCATTCTACAGTTGTGGAAATTGACACTTAAAGAGGCTAAGAAATTCGGAGTCATCGGGACTTGAACTAAGGACTCTGAATGATGAGTCCTGCTCAGGATCCCTGATGGGCTGCTCAGGGCGGGGGTGCCTATCCCCACCCCACCATTCATGCCAGCCAAGCTGCCAAGGACCCAGCCCCTCTCTGACAGCCAACAGGCTGCAGGGTTCTCTGTTTTCAGGAGATCTAGCTAGAGAGCATTTTCCTGACACAGTGTAAACGTTTGCCAGAAACAGGCTTCTCATCTTCCCCAACCCCAGCTTAATCCACGCTCCAGTGCTTAGGAGCTCAGACTGCGACAGCATCAGCCCAGGAGTGGCCACGTGCCAGCAGGCGTGCAGCTTAAAACACAGGTCTGGCGTGAGTCTCCTGTGACAAAGCTCTCCTGGGCCCTGGCTACTGACTTTAACCTGGCTTTGAATGCCCTGGCTTTAGACTTCTAATCTCCAGAACTATGAGAGAATAAATTCCTGTTGTTTTAAGCCACCCACTTTATTACAGAACCCTAGGAAATTGAAACACCCACTAAAGACACGTCCTGCCAGACTTTCCTCATTTCCTTAACAGCATTACCAGGGAAGCAAGTAATGGTCAAGCCTTCCTGCAAGGGTGCACCTCCCTCAGCCAGAACCTCCTCAGATCAGGGGCCTCCTCAGGTAAGCCCATGACCAGGTGGAATAGCCTGGCTGGGGATGCATCTCTACCAGACCAAGTGGACTCTGTCTCAAAGACATGGAATCTTCTCCAAAGACCTCCAGCACATATCAGGAAAGAGGCTGGGGTCTCACGAGAATGCAGAGCAGGATCATCTGAACGTTGATCTGGTTTGCTTTCCCTTATTTCCTCTGAGTCCTCTAACCGAGATCAGACTTAAGTCAACACCAGAAATCAACAGACCATCAGTGCCAGGTCATGGATGAAGCAAAACAATCGCATGGAACTGGTGGGACCTTGTATAAACAATTCAGGTTTCATGGAGGAAACTAAGACCCAGAAAAGGGAGGCATTAGTTGCCCAAATATACTCCATGAGGTGGAAGCAGAAATGGGCTCAGGGTTCCCACTACGTGAAGTTGGGATAAACATAAGGAGCGAAGGTCAAACTCTATCGCTTGATTAAGGAGTCAGCCATCAGGACTGTGCAGCTTGGAAAACTCTATGGGGTACCATTCACATTGTAGTCTACCCCTAGAATTGTATAGAACACACCCTTTGCCCTATACCGGGCAGCCGTGACAGTAGCGTGAAGTGCCACGTCTAGGGATTGCAAAAATGTCACTGGGGTAAGTCGCCAACATGGCACCGGTAACTCAGGTTTCCAGGGGCAATTATGCAATAGATAAAACTCACAAAAAGTGAGTTCGTCTCACTTCTGTGCAAGATAGTGCCCTTGAGTAAAAGTAGAACTAAATACAAAAATCTAACTTCTCACTGGCTCCAGTTTCCTACCTCTGTTGAGTATTTTTGCGTTGCAAATGAAGTTGTGCCATGCAGCTACAGACCATGCAACTGCAAACCAAACTTGCATGATGCCAGCTGCTGGCTAAAATTCTGAAAACAGGAAAGCAGGATACAGCGCTATTTGCAGGGAACAAACATTTCACGATATGTCAATGTACACTACCATTATCTTTAGCTAACAGGAGTGGCTAATGCTATCCAATTATGAGCAATAGAAAAATGTGCAGTAAACTACAATCCCAAACAAGTTCAAATGTTATGCTCAGTGCATATGATAGCCTATAGAACATTTTTTAAAGGTGTACAGATCCTATTACTAGAAAATCCATTTTTCTATCTTCAACAAATAAATGTTGAAAATGTTGAACAAATATCTCAAGAATATTAGATAGAAGAGGTGCCATAACATTAGTCTGCCCAGGAGGCCCATGGGTCTCAGTGAGGCTCCCATGCCAGGCCTTGGGTCTTTCCTAGACAGTCTCAGGACACGGGACACTGGACACTGGATGGCCCTATGAGGTTTCTCAGTCTAGCTGTCTTTATGCTGTTTTAAGGAACTCCAGGGTGTCACAGAGGTGCCTCCAGATCCTTGCAGGTAGAAGAGTCTCTGAGTCTCATTCCTGTTTAACAGGAAGATTGCCATTTAATGTTTCAGTATTGGAGTTTTATGTTATATTCATTTTTAAATGGTTATGGTGGGTTTTTTATATGCAATAATTATTGCTCTAAGGTAGTACCCGCATTTTTAAAAGCATAAACCCTACAATTAGAGAGCTTGGATTCAACTTTTGTCTCAGCCACTTATTGGCTGTGTGACCTTGGGGAAATTACTCAATGTCTTAAATTACCTAATTTCTCTGGGTCCTGCCTATGGAAGAAGCCTCCTTCAGAGCTGTCAGGGAACTCAGCTGGAAGGGCCCTGTCCCCACACAGCTCTGGACCCAACACTGTGCCTCAGTTTCCTCATCTGAAAAATAGGGATAAAAATATCTCCCTCCTAGGGTTGTTGTGAGGATCAGATGAGTTGTACTTTAAAGACACACAGAACGCTGTGTGGCACACGCTGAGCACTCGGTAACTGTCAGCTTCTGTGGCTATCAGTTTGCATCCCTACTATATGGAAGGGGAATTGGGGACCCAGAGAAGCAAAGCAATGGCATCTGAGGTTGCTGGGATTACAGCCCAGTTCCTTTGACTCTGAGCAAGGTACTCTCATGCCACATGGCTGGCACTCATTACCATCTAGCCACCAAGAGGATGCTCCAACATACCTGGTGATCACAGCTGGTCCGTGTACATCCACTGAGTTGACATTTCCCCAGCTTGAAGCAGAAGCTGATTATTTGTCAAACTCAACTGAAGAACGAATTCAGCTGCGAGTGTTTTTGAGGTATTAGAAATGTCCCCAAAGTGGAACTGTATGATGGAAACTGAAGGCAGTGAGGCAGGGGTGGATGGGCACGCATCTCTGCCGCCTGCCTTCACCAGTGTCAGTCAGGGCCAACCTTCCTGGATAAGCTCCCCACACACATATCCTCCTTCTGCCACAAGATGTTTAGAAAATACCATCGCCCCTGGATTCTCAGATCCCCATTTCTTTTTTACATTGTAATGTTTTTGAAATGGTGATTGATGGTGAATCTTATGATCAAGGTGTACTCTTAATGTGGTAGGGTTTTTTTCTCCCCCTCTGAAAAATGATGATTAAATCAATGACAGGTCTTGCAATAGAGAAAAGGCAATACCTTGTAATAGATGCAATGGGATCCTTGATTTTCTCTAGAAAAAGACAAGTGAGGAAAAAAATGGCTAAAGTCCTACTGCTGAATGCTTGCAAATGCCTTAGTGTGTGTGCTTCACATTTGTGCAAGGTATCAGGCAGGGTGAGGCTGGGCTCTGCGGAGGGCACAGCGCTTGTCCCTGCAGGTGGAGCCTGGGTGTGCCCAAGGCCTGAGGCAAGCTGCACAGGAATAGCCCTGCTTCATGCTTGGAGTCAGGCAGCATTTCCACCCTTCTTTAGAAGCATCAGGGATGGAAAGTCCAGCCCAGGCTCAGAGTTTCCTGGCTGGGAGCCCCTGCAGCCAGAGGGCTGGGATAAAGCTCCCCTCTTCTGACGCACTGCTGGATTTCCACAGCTTCCCTGGCCAGGAAAGCACTTTGCAGGTGGGGGAAAGTGGCAACCCTTCCTGCCTCTTCATCTTGGGTCTCAGAGAGTAAGAGCTTAGCTCAAGGGACTTTGTTTATAGAGAAAATAATATCTGCACTCCAGGAGGAGTGGTTACTGGAGTCCCCACTTACTGTCCTGATGCTCAAGGGCAGCACCACTTCTCACCTCTAGTCCAGAGTTTCTCCCCACCTTGCCAGAGAGGCTGCACAGCACAGGAGTGAGCACCATAGCCTGCCAGAGCTCCAGCCCCAACTCAACCACTTCAGAAACGGTGTTTCACCATGCCTCTGCTTCCTCATTTGGAAAATGGAGGTAATAAATAACAGCACCTCCTTCACAGGCTGTTAAGAGGGAAGTAGATTAGTTAATATACGTGAAATTCTAGGAATGTGGCCCAGCACCTATCAAGCTGTATTTAAGTGCCAGTATGGAGATTTGCTGTTTGCCTGGCAAACTACTATCCACTCTTTGAAAATTCAATCCAATAGTCACCTCCAAGAAGCCTCTTCCGACCACCCCCTCCACTGTCACATTCTCCTCTAGCCACCTCTCTTCCCCAGGTAAATATGTGGGAGTGAGCTTGGGGGAAAGGGGAGAAGGGTGCCTAGTCTCTCCATCTACTGTTTCCATCACACCCCAACTGTCTGCTTCTTTCTCTTGTTAGACAGGGAGCTTTCTAATAGCAGGGCTGAGTCTTGGTCATCTCTGTTTCCCCAGTGCTTAGAAGAGGACCTGACACCATCTACAATCTCATGAGTGTTTAAGGCATGGAGAGGGATGGGATAGGATGGGATAGAATAGAATGGGATATGATGGGATGGGATGGGATAGGACAGAATAAAATGGGATAGGATGGGATAGGATGGGATGGGATGGAATAGAATGAGACATGATGGGATGGGATGCGATGGGATGGGATGAGATAGAATAGAATGGGATATGATGGGATGGAATGGAATAGAATGAGATATGATGAGATAGGATGGAATGGAATGGGGTATGATGGGATGGGATGGGATAGGATGGAACAGAATGGGATATGATGGGATAGGATGGAATAGAATGAGATATGATCAGGTGGAATAGAATGAGATATGATGGGATGGGGTGAAATAGAATGATATGATGGGATGGTGTGGAACAGAATGGGATATGATGGGATGGATGGGATGGAATAGAATGAGATACAATGTGATGGGATAGAATAGAATGGGATATGATGGGATGCGATGGAACAGAATGAGATATGATGGGATGGTGTGGAATAGAATGGGATATGATGGAATGGGATAGGATAGGATGGGATGGGATGGGATAGGATGGGATGGAATAGAATGGGATATGATGGGCGGGATGGAATGGAATAGAATAAGATACAATGGGATGGGATGGGATAGAATAGAATGGGATATGATGGGATGTATGGGATGGGATAGAATGAGATATGATGGGATGGGTGAGATAGAATAGAATGGAATATGAAGGGATGGGATGGAATAGAATGAGATATGATGGGATGGGATGGAATAAAATGAGATATGATGGGATAGGTTGGGATTCAATAGAACAGGATATGATAGGATGGGGTGGGATGAGATGGGAGGTGATGGAATGAAACAGAGTAGTTGTGACAAAATCTCTTCAAATCACAATAGAGACACTTGCTCAAAGCAGATTCAGAAAGACAAAAATATCCTTAATGTGGAAGGCAATTCACCCATTGGTGCCCAATGTCTGTAAGGCTGGGAACGTGCAGATCTCCTTGGTGACATCAGACCAGTGTAAGCTCTCTGAGTCCTGCCTATGGAAGAAGCCTCCTTCAGAGCTGTCAAGGAGTTCAGCTGGAAGGGCGCTGTCCCCACACAGCTCTAGACACAGCCCCTCTGGCTACAGGCATCATGGCAGGTGTGGTTGTGCAGGATAAGGAGGGCAGCTGACCACACAGGGTACTGACCCCAGCCCAGCAGTCATGGGTAGCTCTGTATGCCTGCCTGCCTTACCAGGGCTGAAACAGTCCATTTTCTTGGGCCCTCAGACCCCACTGGGCCTCCAGGGAGCAGAATTACTGAGATTCCTGCCAGACCCTTTTTGAGGAATCGCTCTTCTAGCCCTCTTTCTGGGAGAAAGGTGTTGTTTGGCAGAATTGCCACAACTCTGCCACTGGGGAGTGGCAAAGCCTACTGCTTGGCTGCCCCAGGGTCTTGTCCTGCAGAGGCCCCTTGGTTCACACTTCTGCCATGGAAAACTCATTTTATTTAACCTTTTCTTTCTTTGATGGCATTTTAACGAAAAAGTCACTTAAGACCTGCAGTGAAAACTATATTTTACTAGAACAATGAATAACCCAAATACCATTTGCCTTTTCTTATCAATTCTTGGTTCATTAATCATCTTTATTAAAAATCCATGAGAAACAGCAGCAGCAGAAACTGCGAGGCGCCTTTTTCAGGGAGCTGAGAAGGGAGGGGAGGGAAAAGGGAAATAAACTCCCTCTGAGCCTAGCCACCTTCTCTTAATAGAAATCCAGGAGGCCTTTCCCTACCTTCCACTCGCAACGCCACCCAGGCAAATCCATATTCCAGAACAGAAAACCAACACTTCTCCAAATGAAGCACTGTGCTGTAGGGAAAGGAAGGGATGTGAAATCATATAATTTTGGATTCAAATGCTGAATTACCATGTATAAGCCAGGTGACCTGGGGAAGTCACTTAAGCATTGTGACACTCAGTTTCCCAGTCTGCAAAATGGGTATAATAATGCCTGCTTCAAAGGATTGTGGTAAGGATTGAGTGAGAAAGCAAATGTGAAAATGCCTAGCAGAGTCAGCTAAAAAACAGATGTCAAGGAAAGGCTCGTTGACCTCATTAATTCATCCCAAAAGTATACAGCTGAGGAAACACTTTCTGGTCCAGCTTTAGTGCAGAACTGTGCCCAGCGATCTTCCCCAAAGTCTTGCAGGTGTCATGGGTGTGGTTTCCCAGGGAAACAGGTCCTGCTTCCAGAAATCCTGGGTTCCCAAGCAGTGAGGCAGGGAGTGGCCCATTGGGCAGAGCCAACAAGGGGCAGGCTGCCTACTTGGAAAGCAAAGACGAGAACCGGGCAGGGGAATTAATAGTAATGACCACCACACACCCTCCCATTTCACCTCACCACAGATCCACAGGAGAACAGGTATTATTACCTCTGCACCCTGACCAAGTAGCAGTGGCTCACAGGGGTGAAGGGACCTGCCCACTGTCACACAGCGAGTGAATGCAGGGCAGGGCTCTAGCCAGGCCTTCCGAGCACTCCATAAACCACACTCCTAACCCTTTCTCTTTACTAAAGGTGTGGGATTGCTCCCTGCATTAGTTTGCTAGTGCTGTCCTAACTAAGTAGCACAGACTGGGTGCCTTCAACAACAGATATTCATTCTCTCACAGTTCTGGGAGCTAGACGTCCGCAATCAAGGTGCCAGCAAGATTGGTTCCTTCTGTGGGCTGTGAGGAAGGATCTGTTCCAGGCTCTCTCTTTGGCTTCTGGCTGGCTGTCTTCTTGTGTCTCTTCACTTCATATGCCCCTAGTGTGTGTCTGTCTGCGTGTCCATGTTTCCCCTTTAGATGTGCACACCCGTCATATTGGATTGGGGCCCACCCCAATGACCTCATTTTCACTTGATTTGTTCTATAAAGTTTCTATCTCCAAATAAGGTTACATTCTGAGGTATTAGGGGTGAGGACTCCAAAATATTGTTTTAGGGGAGACATGATTCAACCCATAATACTCCCCTAGACCCTGGACCTTCAAGTACACAGAACTGGGGCTTCAGGAGTTGTCCTAGCAACACCCACCACCATCACCATCAAACCTGCCTCCTACCCCAGCAACCCCATGGCACAGCACAATTTCAAGGCCCCACATGGACGTCTGCAAATAGCAAAGCAAGTCAGCAGAGGAGCAAACAAAGTATTACATATTATGAAATTCCGTAGGGAGAAAGGCTCAACCACGCATTAAGTTCCTCCAAACACAAAGTGCTCTGCCTTCAATCCCCATTTTAATGATGCTAACTCAAGGCTGAGAGAGGCTATTTAACCCAGGTCACGTGGAGGAAAGTGGCAAAAAAGACTTGAACTGGGGTCTGCCTAGCTCGAGGCCTGGGCTTTCCCTTCCCATCACCCTGCCTCAGGCTTCATTCAGCACCCCCACAGCCCTCAAGTTCACAGATCGGAAGAGACTCCCAGGAACTACATGCTTCCAACATGTGCTCTTTCTCTCCGTGCCTTCTACAATTTGCCAACTTGGTCCTGACGTTTTGTGCTTCATGGCTTCCCTATATACTTCCACCCCCACCCTGCAAACAAGACTCCTCCAGCCCAGGAGGTGACCCCCCACCACACCCCACAGAGTGCCCTCAAACAGTGGAGGAGCAGCTGCTTGCAGTGGGCCCAGCTGCCTGGCGCAGTCCAAATGTGTCCTCCCCAAGCCATAATGTGGCTGTTCACCTTGCACCTCCCCGGATCAAGAGACTTGGCTCTTCCTGGCTTTGTTCTCATAGGGCAATTTCAGCTCCATCTGCAGTCTTTTCTTTCCGGAAGCTTTGCTCCAGTCATCTAAGTAAGGCTTGTTGGTAGAGGAACAGCCGAGATCTGGACAGACAGGGTCTGCTGCCTTTAACTGCATTACTCTGAAGGTGGCTTCTGGATGCCTTCCAGCTGGGAGTCTCACCATGAAGGGCCCCACAAGTAGTTTCCAACTTGTGAGTTTGAACACTTAAGCTGAAAAAGGATTTAAATGCTCACATTTAACTGACATTCACAGTGTCTTCTAGGTGCAAACAGAGGGCTGTATCATCTCATCTGACTATCACTCCATCCTCATGTCACAAGTGAGGAAACTAAGGCTCAAAGCCTAAGGCTAGCTTGTGGTTGCTGGTGGGGGCCCCACAGCCGGCAAGTGGGATTCAAACCCAGGCTTCCCAACGCCAAGTCTAACACTCTCTCCTCCCAGCCCTGCCTCCCTAGCACCACACTTTTGTGGAAACTATTCTGAGAAATCAAAGCAGCTCTTTTCTATCCAGAACTATAAATATCCAGAGAGAGGGAGACGAGATGAGAAAACAGATATCCTTTCCCAGGATTTGGGAGCAAATTTTTGCAAAGCTCCCCAAAGCATTTTGAGTTCTGAAAGCAAGAAACTGTTGATAGAGGAAAAAATGCAGAGAGAAGGATATAAAGAGCTATGCTGATCTGACATGATGGCTTGCTCCAACGCCCTAAAAACCAGCAACGATCAACTAGATGCTGATTACTAGTGAGGCACCATGCTAAATGAATGTCAGCTTGTTTAACTCTTACAAGAGCCCAGTGAGTTACGTACTGATCTTAACCCCATTTTACAGTTGAAGGAACTTGAGCATAGAGAGGTAGAACAACTTTCCCAAGGCCAGAGAGTTTATAAGCTTCCACGCTAGAACGTGTGACTGCAAGTCCCGGGTCCATAACCACTGTGCTATACTGCCTTCACCTGAAGGCTCATCTTAAGAGATATGCACCTGACTCTCTGTCAAGCCTCCCCTTCAGGTCCTAGAATGACAGGCACATACATCCCTGGGAGTCTACATTCTGCTGGCAACTCCAGCTGAGAACCCAAATCCCCGGAAGGATTCCAGGCAAGTGCTCACTCAGAAGAGCAGAACTAGAATGCACATAAAATAGCTCCATCACATGAGACCCCCCTGGGTCTTCTCATCCATGCCTCCCTTCTTTTCTTCCCCACGGCCCTATGCATTTTATCTGCCTTATTTGAGGGCTGAAAGAGTCATTTGCCTCAAAGGCAAACCTGAAAACTGTCAGAGCTCATCAGCACGGTGGCAATGCAGGCAGCCCCCAATTCCAGAACAAATTGGTAGCTAATGATGTTGGTTGGAATTTAATACCAACTTATCTATGAAAACCCTGCTAACCCAAGAAGTATCCAGCCAGTCAACCCACACAGCACATTTGCCTAGACTATCCCTGGTCAACCTTTACTCTAGGTTGTGCTGTTGGTAGGCACTAGCCACACATGGCTATTTAAATTAAATATGTTAATTACAATTAAATAAGTCAAACTAGCTACATTTCAAGTGTTCATAAGTGGCCTGTGTCTGCTCGATACCATAGTGAACAGAATAGGTCTAGAACATCTCCCTCCCCACAGAATGCTTGCTCTATTGGACAGCCCTGATCTAGACCCTAACCCCAAACTCCAGCACTGCAGAAGATAATATATTCCTTCACAGGTTAAACTCGGGGTGCCAGGGATACACCACTGCTCCCAAGGGAAATTAGTGAACACTGCAAGTGACTGGAAAGGGGCTGTGGAACCACCAGCTCCCAGTATGTACACTGGTTCTGACACTTCCTAACCATAAGACCATCACTGTTTGCCTCCACTGCCTCATCTGGAGCATGGGGACAGTGCCCTGTTCCCAGAGGTCTATAAGGGTCAAGTGAGATGATGCTCAGCACACTCAGTGCTCCTTCTGTCGCCTGCTAATGCTACCTGCCACATAGGGGTGGCTGGGATCCCCAACTCTAAGCAATCACCAAATGATTACCACAGTCTGGAAAAGAGTGGTGAAGGGCTGGAACAGGACTGGCGGTGGCAGAGGAGCAGTGGTGGGAAGGGTTCTGGTATGCCTGTGGCTTCAGTAGTCCACCCTGCTTTCTTCCATCTCTCATTTTGGTTCCTGCATTAGATTGATCTAAGGCCTCTAAGCATGAGGGTAAGTGCCCCAAATGCAAGCACTGGGAAAGGAAGGAGCAGAAGAAAAAGGAGGCTGGAAATTCCACAAGATGGTCCTAAGAATAGGAGAGGAGCCCCTGCACCATGGAGGAATCCATTCATTCATTCAGTAAACAATGGCTGAGCATTTTAGGACCTTATATTAGGCACCAAGGAGACACAGATGAATAAAACATGGACCCTGCCCTCAAGGCCTCCACAAACTAGTGGGTGAGACTAACAGAAAATAGATCAATGCACTTGTGTGGTCAGTGCTACAACATCAGAAAATCCAGTCGGTCTTGGGAGCTTAGACAACCAGATGGTGGGTAAAGGGGTCTTGAGAACAGGAAGTTAAAAAGGTTTTGGAGGTTTCCAAGAGATGGTGCTTGCACTAAATCTTTAAGACAGTGTAGAGAAGTGTTTTGAGCAAAGGAAACCGCAGGAACAAAGAACAAGGATATGGCACCTAAATACTCATGTCACTAGGTAGTTCCATAGAGCTGGGACCTTACAGGGAATTGATGAGAGATATGGATGGAGCATGCAGAACATAGGAAACCTGTTGTCATTTGTATGTAAAGAATGTTCATAAGTTAGGGATCACATATATTTTTTTAAATTAAAAACATATGCAAAGCATGAGCCTTGATTAGATACTGGATTACACAAACGTTAATGCACAGGTTGGGAAACTTTTTCTTAAAGAGTCAAATAGTAAAATATTTTAGACTTTGAGGAATATACAGCCTTTCTCCCAAATATTCAACTCTGCAGCTGTAGTGCAGAAGCAACCAGAGACAATATGTAAATCAATGAGTGGGACTGTGCTCCAATAAAACTTTATTTATGAAAACAAGCAGTGAGCAGGATTTGGCCCAAGTAGCCAAGCCTCACTATGAAGAACATCCTTGGGACCAGCAGGCAACTCTGACTGAGGATTGTAAGTAACACTATTGTATTGACATTAATTCCCCTGAGTGTGATAAATACATTGTGGTTCTGCAGGAGAATATCTCTGCTCTTGGGAGATGTCTTTCTTGAGAGGTGTCTTCGATCTGCAGAAGTGCTTAGAGGGCTTAATGGCTGTAACTAATTCTCAAATGGTTCAGGGAGATAACAAGTATATATAGAAAGAAAGATAAGAGAAATATGGCAAAATGTTAACAATGGTGAGTCTAGGTGAAGGATATACAGATGTTCCTTGCATTATTCTTGCAACTTTTTTGTAAACTTGAAATCTTTTGAAATAAAAAGTTTGGAAAAAATAGAAATTTGAGAAAATTCAGAGGAACAAAAGGTCCTGATGAACAGACCACTTTGAACCCCTTCCATTCTTCAGACCCCTCTGAAGTGACCTAGCACCGGCTTGTTTTTCTGCAGAGTGGATGTGAGTACATTTTGATTACGTGTTCCACCTTCCGTGATTAGTTGTGCACTACCAGAGAAGGTCATTTGAATGGGAAAATGAGTGCAGCTTCCTGGATCCTGCTTAGGCCTCTTTTTGCCTGAATTCCTGCTCTCCTTACCCAACAGCCTGGAGGACAGCTTCCTTTTGACATTCGGGCCTCAGAAGCTATGGAAGAACAAGCAGCCAGCCAGTATGGAATTTCCTGCAGGAGGTAGACTCAAGAGCAGCCAGGAGCAAAAGCAAGTCCTTAAGTGGCATTTGTCTGATCAAAGGCCACCTGGAAGCCTATAGGTGATTTATGTGAAGGTTTCTGCTGAGCCAGGAGCTGCTGACAAAGGTTAGCAGCAACACTTTTCCTAGTAACCTAGATCCAAATCTCTAATGATCCCATAGAGTGGGATTTCCTGATTCTTGACTTATTAGAAATCAATACCATCAAAAATACTAACACCTCCATTAAAGAAGGCATCCATTGATTTCCACTGGGAAGGTGGAGGCATTTGGAGGCTCGGTATCTTAAGGAGATTCAGTTTTGATTTTTCATCTGTCAAAGTAATACCATAATGTACAAAACATACAATTTCTGGCAAGTGGTGAGGGGAGGGTAGTAGGAATGACCATTCCAGCTCTCCTACCCTCCTGCTTCCCTGAAAAGCATAGTCTTAAAGCATTGTTCGTCAGCGGTGCTTCTTGGGCCCCTCTGGGCCCCAAACCCAGCCAGCCCCACCAGGAGATGCCCATCACTGCCTCTGCAAGCCAGCTCAGGTGCATATCCTCTTATGGAGGAGAAAAATGCAAACAGAAGTTACCCACAAGGGATACATGGCATTGTTTGGGAATCAAGGATCTGACTTTCTCAATGTCTCCAAGACTTAGGATCCAGAATTCTTAAAAAGTCTTTCTGTCTCCAAAGACTATGTCCTAGGGAGATAAACATCCTATATACCTAGGGAGATAAACATCCTATATATCTTCCACCAATCACCCCAAAACACCCATTCTGGTACAATGCATTCGTTAACAGTTACCACCCTCACCCTGTCTTTAAGAGAACTATATAACCCATCTCCCTTGCCTTGTGACTCACAAAGGCCTGGCCCCACTGCCAGGCATTGCCACGTGACTGATTTTGGCCAACAGAGTGTGAGCAGACATGAAGGATGCCAGGTCTGAACAGAAGTTGTAAATGTGACTATACAATTTGGCTCAGCCTCTTGCTGTTCTCAACCACAATAAAACAGGCAGATCACAAAACGAGAAAGTATGTGGAGCAGAACCACAGCCAACGCACAGCCCAGGTGACATAAGGAAGAAAGAAACTGTTGCTTTGTAAGCCACTGAGAGTTGAGGTTGTTTGTTATGCAGCCAGACTTCGCGACAACTGACTAATTACCCTTCAATACAGGAGTAGCAGGTAGCTCTGGGGAGTTGGCCAGCTCTTTGCACCTATGTCCTGTGGCTCCTATCACCCACCTAACAAAGCCCAGGCCTAGTTCCAATTTCACCATAACTCATTTTCCATCCATTTATACCCTAGGCTCCTTAAGAAGTGAATCTTCCCGGCAACACCCTTAGTTCATGACTCATCCTGCCAGTGACTCTGGTTAAGGGGGGAAAAAGGTAGGTTTAATGTTTCAGCAACGCCACTGGAGATCTCAGAGTAAAAATCACCCCCTTTTCCTCTCCTGGGGAGGCTCCACACCAAGAGCCAATGGAGACTCACTGTCTAAGATAGAGAGCAAGATGTACAGGAGAGGGCACTGGACTAGGAGTCTGGAGTTCTGGATTTGGATTCAGGCTAAGTCACTGGGCCATGTGACCCCCTTAAAACCACGGAGTCTCTAAGGGCCTGGGTGACCTAGTACAAGTCATTCCCTCTGTCTAAACTGATCAGTGGTTTTCAAACCCAGCATTGGTTTCCTTGGAGATGTCTTAGCCGATAGCTGAGATGAGAAGAAGCCTGTGGCCAATATAACCTCATCCCCTGCTTCTGCCAGATGGGCTCTGTTTTGATCTACTGTACAAATTCGGTTTCTAGGTAAGATGTTGCTTAGCCAAGAATCCCATAGCTAAATGCATTTCAAAATCACTGATCAGGTGATCTCTGAGGGCCTTTCCAGATCTGACACATGCTGATCCTCCCTGATGCCTGACTTCTTGTATATTCTGTGGCCACCCACTTCCTTGCCATTGTAGTCAAGGATTTACTAACACCCAGAGGGCACCCAGTAGTGAATGACTGACAAGCAAGAATGTAACAAGGTAGATTCACAACAACTCAACCAAGAGTTATAAAACAGCTTCCTCTATTTCTCCAAGGTGATTATTAGATTTTGGAAGGCTGAAGGGAAAAAAAAAAAAAAAAGCAGTTCAGAGACACCATCAAGGAAGTGAGCTCAATGTTTTAGCTTTCTACTTGTGGTTTATCTTCTGCCTTGAGTATCTGGGTAAGACCACCACTTGCCCCCACCCCAATACCCCAAGCTGGAAAAAGGTTCTTTGGAGTGAGATTCACACTTTTAGATCACTAAATACAGCCAACATGTCCTGGAAACCATCTCATGTTTATCACATCCTCTGGGAATTCTAAGAAATTCTGATCTCAGAGGGCTTGCAGACCATGGAACCTCTGCCCAAGGGGCTGGGAGCTTTTGGTTTCCCAAAGCCTCGTTTGAGTGGACCCATATTCTATCATAGGAGAACAAGGCCAAGTTCACTAAACCAAGGGCTATGTCCCATCTGCCTGGGCAAACTGTCCTTCCTGAAATGGCTGAACAATACCCAATGTGACAGGAATCCATCCATTCTTCCACCCAGCACTAACCATGGGACCCCAGAGCAGGACTAGGGTTGACTATGACCTACGTCCAAGTTGCTGGTAAGTAGGCAAGCAGTGAAGAGATGAGACATGGAGATCACAAAACAGGGCATGAGGTCTTTGGGGTAGCCATAGGAGAAAGGGAACTGAAACAGAGAGAGAGGCCAGTCCATGGAGACAGGAAAAGCTCAGGAAAGAGAAGAACTTTGGTTCGGGGACATTTATAAAGAGGGACAGAAGCAGAGCAGGCCACTCAGGAAGTGAGGGAGTGTGGCTTGGACTTTTCCTGGCTGGGAAAACACACAGAAAGAGCCTGTTTCCTCTGCAAGCAGAGACGTGAGGGAGCTCAGCCAGGCTGGGAGTGTCCAGAAGGCGGAGCCCCGGACTGGCTGGAAAAGAGAACTCCATCTCAGGAACCATGGTTTGCCCTGGAGAGCTTAGCACTGGGCTGAGCACACCGTGTGGGATTCAACGTGCTAAAGTGAGTCACCATGGGCCACCCCAAGAGCCTCCCAATTTGTCGCCTGCTTCCTTTCTTGCCCTCCACCCGCTCTGTTCTCCATGCCGTGGCCAGAACAACCTGATAGCACTGCAGACCTGTGTCTCCTCCCTTCTTAGACGCCCTGGCTGGGCTTGCACTGTGCATATCTGCTTCCCTCTCCTTACAGCTAGCCCACCAGCCCTCACATGATCTAGCCTCTGCGCACGACCCAAGCCTCATCCGGCCGTCCGGCCCCTGCCCTGCCCTTAACTGGCCTCCCTAGGTTTCTTGAACACACCATAACATACTTTCTTTTCCTCCTGGGGGACCCTGCCCTCTGCCTAGAAAGCTTTTTTCCACAATTCACCAAACCAGCTCTTCTTCCTTTCAGATCACAGTCTCAAAGCTCCCCCTGGCCACCCCAGCTCAGGAAGGATTTATTTCCCTACTTACACCTTGTTTCTCTCACACGCTCCATTTTTTGCCTTGACTGCACTTCTTGCAATGTGTACTGACCCATTTAATATCAGGCTTCAGCCCAAGTGTTGTGAAAAGGCAATGATCTCAGGTCTCCATTGCATCCCCAGCACGAGCAGAGTCCCTGGCACATTCAGGGCTCAGCACACTGTTGAACAATGGAATGAACAGGTAATTTACTTGCCTGTAAAGAGTTACTCTCCAAATTATCCCCACATCTTCCCTCTTACCAACCAGTTAAACCCATGCTATATTAAAGACATGAGGTATTAGTAACAGTTAACATCCACTGAGTGTTTTTCATGGGCCCCAAGTTTTCCTGGGTTGAGCACACTGTGTGTGATTCAACATGCTAAACTGAGTCACCATGGGCCACCCTAAGAACCTCCTAATTTGTTGCCTGCTTCCTTTCTTGCCTTCATTTAACCCTCACAGCAACCTAATGAGGTCAGTCTTATTCTTTCCATTTTACAGATGAAAAAAATCAAGGCTTAAGATTAACTTAGCAGTTTATCCAACAGCTCCTGGCTAGTCAGTGTCAGGACCAGGATTTCAATCCAGGCAGCCTGACCCTTGGGCTGTGTGTATAGCTACCTTCAGACACAAAAGGAAAAGGTCCCAAGGGCATGTCTTTGGAGAATCAACCCCTGACTTTGTGTGGTGGAAACAGAAAACCAATGAGTCTGCAATAGGTGTCTCAGCAGGCTGGGAAATGAGGTTATTTGGTGATAAATCTAACTCTTCAAAATTAGCTCTGCTCTCTGAGTCCGGGTGCCTGTGCTTCCAGAAGCCCCCCAAGGCTCTAGTCCTCTAATGACTAGGTCAGATCAAAGTCAGAGTTCCCAGTGAACACCAGCTTTCTGGTGGGACATGCCTCTTCCTGGGCAGTGAGGCCCACTGTGCAGATCAACCGCATGTCCAGGAGCCCTTGCAATGGGCTGAGCTGGCTTTGGCCACCTCTTGTCAATTAGCCATGTCCAGGCTAATTGACAAGAATATTTTGACAAAGGATGTTTCAATCCTATTTAAATAGACTTTCTCCACAAATCCCATAACACGTAATGAGGTTATTTTATCTAGAAAGATATCCAATGACCTGGAAAAAAAAATTGGTGTGTGTTAAAGTGACCCTATGTCTGCATTTCCACAAGCTTCTCTAAAACTTACTGACGACAGTATCTGCCTGGCTACAGACTGTGAAGGTGTTTATTCATTCCAGAGTCCCTTTCCTGTCCCTCTGCCCTGGGGAAACACAGTGAGCTGTATGCCCAGCAGTGTAGACCACAGACCCCACACTAACTGGGCATAGGAATTCCCTGGGAAGCACTTTACAAATACAGATTTCCAGGCTCCCCCACTGAAGAGCATGATTCAGCAGATCTGAGGTGTGGCACAGGACTCTGTATTTTCCTGGTTCTCCAGCTCTCCCTGTGCAAGCAGGCCTGTGCCGCAGGGCGTGGGCATCATCGAGTAGTGGTGTGGATGCTGTTGGCATGTAGTGTCTTGCCGGGATCCAGGCCTAGCCACTCCTTTCTGTGGGATCCTTGACCACGTAACCACTCGGCCTCAGTTTCTTTATCTAGAAGAGGGGTACACAAATACACGGCCTGCTTGCTCCTTGGGTGGCTTTCAGGGATCAAGGGAGGTGGTATGAGTAAAATAATAACAAGAATTAACATTTATCAACTGTCAGCACCAGATGAAGCACTTTGCCTGAATAACTTAGTCTTCATGAAAATTGTATGAGTGTGTTACTGTTGCTATTTCTGTTTTAAAGGTAAATAACCGAGACAGAGTTTAGGCAGCTAATCCAAAGACACCCAGCTTGGGATGTGAACTTGGGCATGAGTCAGGGCCCTGGCTCCGCTACAGTCGCTCCTGGCCAGTGCTGTGTCTGTGTGAGAAGCTGTCTTAGATTCAGCTTTCCTGCTATGTCCCTCTCTGACAGCATTGGGATGTGAAGTTCTACACAGAGCAATGGTGCAGGAGGACCCCTGAACATTCAACATGGCTGCCCGGTGCCCTTCTGAGGAAGACAAGGAACAGATGGCCCTCGCAACCCTCGCCTTCCTGCCAACTATTAGGATGCAGAAGCAGGCGCCAGCTTCTGCTCACAGGAAAGAAGAAAAACACAATGGCAGTAACAACTCCAACTGGGGCATGAGTTGCCATTTTGAATTGCCAAGGCTGGAGACCAAAAATATTGAGAAGTCTTAAAACAATGGCCCCTTAAATTTGTACATTTGACAAAGAGGAGAGGGTGCTACCATTTACTGAGCACCTACTCTGTGCAAAACTCTTTCAAGTGGTCACTTCTCTTAGTCCTCACAGTAGTCCCATGAAGGAGGACGTTATCTTAGCCCATTTTACAGATGAGAAACCTGGGTCTCAGAGATACTAATGAAAGTAACCCAGGGCCAGCAAGGAGTGGACACTGGGTCTGAATTCACATTGAACTGGTTCCAAAACCCTGCCTTTCTGAACTACAGCGCCCCTCCAGAGAGCATGTTCATGTTCATTATGGTGGGCGGCCTTGACTCATACTTGACATGGATGTCCCAGAGATTCCCTACACACAGCTTTCAATACTGAAGATGGAGCTCTCTGTCCCCGGGTGGGGCCGCAGCATCACAGTGCCTGTGGGAAGGCTGGGCAGACTGAAATAAAAGGGATTTCTGCCTGCTCCTTCTCTTACACTAAGGTACATGTGCCCACCTAAGTATCAGCCAAGCCAAGGAGAAAAGCCACAATTAACTGAGCACTTACTTGGTGCCAGGAACTTGCTCACAAACGATATTAAAATTTTACAGCAACCATGCCAGACTAGGTCTTATTTTCCTTATTTTACAGATGCAGAACCTGATGCCCAGCAAAGGGGAAAGGATAGCAGGAGCCTTGATCCACCCAGGAAGAGGTGCCAGCTGGATCAGCAAGAGGCTGGTGGAGAACAAGAAGCTGCTATGAACCAATCTTTAGAAAACAGCAGGATCTCCGAGGAGAGAAAGAATTTCTCTCCAGCCAAAAGCTTCATGAGATGGAAGGGGATATCCTATCTCCTATATTGTATCCTCATCATGGTCTCAATAAACCCACTTGGAAGATGCCCATGCATGAGCGTCGACGGTGACTTCCCGAGGCTGGACGGCGATCCTTCCCACTGCAGAAGGCGGGGTGCTGAGCACTGTGCTGGGGCTTTCTGTGCACCATCTTCATTTGGTGCATTTTGAGGGGTCATTCATTCTATCAACATCTCATTATAGAAGGCAGAGTTCAGAGAAATTAGGATGGCTGCCCAAGGTCACCTAACTACTCTGAGAAAGAGCTGACATTCAAATCTAGGCCCCTGAGCCTGAGCTTTCCACATGACACTGTAGCATCTTTCAACAATCAGAGGACAATCTAGGCAAGTCAATTATTGTAGGTATGTGGCTCCCCATGCCCCATGGGAGAGGAAGGGTACATACTGCCTCATAAGAAGTTCTATCAGTACATGAGTGATAGAGAGGTTACCATTCCCTGAGGTTGCCTATAGGACAACTGCACACTAGGTCAGACCCAAAAAACTGGAACTACACTTTATAGATGGCACTGGAGAAAGTAGATGGCTTCTGAAGGCTACAAATGAATCCCAGCCCTGCTCAGACCAGAAATCTGGTCAAATCTGCTCCCTAGACTGGGGGAGTAGAGAACCTGAGGGCTGGATAGGTACCATGGGTGAACCATCTCCCTGGTCTGGACTTAAAGGTCTGATTTTGATATCAAAACATAAGAACCTCCCTCAATTCTTAACTACATCCAAATTCTGGCTATGCCACATGATGTCCTATCTTCCAGGAAGAAGCATCACACCTGGCTTCTAGCTTGGGCTTTCATCCACTTAAAGGAATCCACAGCATCATGGCCATCATGACGTCACATGAGGTTTATTTAGGTTTGAGGCCTGTCTCCTATCATGAAAGTCCATCTACCAGCACCTACCAGATGGCTAAAAGGAAGCAAAAGACACTCTGGGTGCAGGCAGGAGCTGATGTCAAGGGGAATCCCTTCTGCAGGACAGCTAAGAGATCCACACAAAACAGATGGAGCCAATTTAATATCTCTCCCAGCAAAGGAGTCGTATTAGGAAAGCAAGGACAGAGCAGAAGCATTAGTATAAATTACTCTGAGCGTTCATAAAGGTTTGCTGCTCAACACTCCCCGGAGGCTAAAGAATTGTTTGCTCCAGCCTCTCAGACCCAAAGCATGCAAATTAATAGTCATGATTTATCAAGAGGTATTTTTCATTGGTGTTCTTGGACCAGGTTTCTTTAAGTATTTGGGTTCATCTATCTAGCATGTGCCTGGCTGAGTACTGCTACTATTATGCAAAATGCATCATAAATCCAACATTTAAGAGAGGTTTATTTAAGCCAGTCTAGAGCTTCCAGGGTCCAAGCTCATTACCATGAACACAACTAATTCCTGGCAGGGTATGGGGCAGTGGAAGCCAGTCCATTGCATCTGTAAGCCACTGAACGGTCACAGTCTCTGTGGGTGGGGTGTGGGGCTGGGAGGAGGACCAAGGCACCTTTGTCCCACTCCAGAGCCTGCCATCCCTGGTTCAGCCTCTGCTTTGAGGCTGCCACATCTTTGATCAAGCTATTACTTCCTCCTGGCACCCCCTTCCTAACCCCTACATCTTTCTCTTCTCAAACTAAACAGCTGTAGGCCCACTAAAGCTTTTCCTGATCATCCAAGGCAAGGCCCACCCTCTGACCTCTCAGGAGGAGAGAGCCTACAAAGGAAGCCTGTGAAGGAGGGTAGGCAAGGAGGCTGGATGTGAGCCTGCAGGTTCTGGGCCCAGGCCCTCCTCCCTTTGAAACCTCAGTCTCTTCATTTGGATAAGATGACTTCAAAATTCCTTTCGGGCAAACGTTGAATTGAGTTCTCATGCCTTGGAACTCCTGCTCTCTGTTTTCTGTTATATGAGGCCATGAGTTCCATGAGGATGTAAGCTGCTCCCCTTCCTCACATCCTCCCCAGAACCCAGCACAGTGTGTCTGAAAAACAGCAAATGCTGTGAAAAGATGAAAGGGAGGAGAAAGGAGAGAAGAGGAAAAGAAGGGAGGAAGGAGGGGAGCCACTCAGCTAAGTGAGGACCTCACTGATAAGTCATCAACCATTCTAGACAAAACAAATTATCATCATGGCCACTCCTTTGAGGACGAAATGCGACATCTGCTTTAAATATTGAAAATAATAACCATATATATGGAAGACTTACAATAGTCACAATCTCACTGCTGGGGAGGGGAGGTGACCTGATCCCCAATTTCGCAGAAGAAACTGGTTCAGAGAGGTGCAGCAACAAACTCAAGGTCACATAGAAAGAGACAGAGCCAGGGTTTCAGGCACTTCCACTGAACCACTGGGCTACCTATTGTACATTTGTTTCCAGAAGGCAGAAGCAGCCTGGCATGTGTGAAATCCCTAGGGCATAAGGGAGCCCAGGCTGCCCTTCTCTAGCCAGAGTCCTGCTCCTGCACCAACTGCACCTGACCAGGTTCCCAAGCACTGACTCCAGGGCAGGACCTTGGTCAGACCCTCATCGCTGCTCACCAGGCTGTGGCTCCAGGCAGAGCCATCTTGGTTTCACAGCCTGGGTTTAGGCTGATTAAAAGAAACATCTAAATGACAGAGTATCATATCATTCCAGCTATAGTAATTGCCCCAAAGAGATCAGCCACAAGATGTGGGTTTAACCAGGTGCAGATATAAGAGAGGACAGTGGGGTTGGAGCAGGGGTAAGGAGGTATTAACATTTGTTGAAATGTTCACCTACAACATGCAGGCATGTACTCTAGGTCATCCCAGGCACTCTGAATGTGCAACTTTTGTGTAACTTTCATAATGACCATAGGAGGAAAGATGATTATCCCGTTCCACAGATTAGGAAATTGAGGCCACACAGCTGGAAGGAAATGAAGCTAGGACTCGACCCTAGACCCACCCAACTCTGAAGCTTGGGCTAGGGGCTGGGCCTGTTCCCTTAGCCGGGTTAGTGCATGGCACTAATGAGATCGGGGTCTGCGTGTGGGGCCCACATTATCTGACATGAGAATGTGCTTTTATAAACTGAACTCTAAACAATCACTTTTTTGTTTTTGCCCTCGCACAGAACAAATTTCTCTCCTTTGGCCATGGCCTGAGGGCCAGTTTCATGGTGTGAACGCACACCTTTAGTGCCACAGAGACAGAGCAGATGGGGTGGCTGGCTGAAGGCAGGCCTTCACGACTGTTCAGGACAAGATGGAGGCCAAAACTCAGACTTCAGCAGTTGTTTAACTCTTTTTCCTGCCTTTGAGACTGTCAGACTGTCACCTCGATGCAGGCTCACGTATCTGCAGCGCTGGCTGGCTGTGTGCCCTGAGCTCAGTTTCCTCATCTGTGAAAGGGGGATGATGATACTTACCTCACACATCTGCAGTGCGGATGAAATGAAATAACGTATGTGCTGCATTCAGCAAGTACCTGGCCCATTCCAGGGGCTCAGTAATGGTAGCCATTATTCTGATTATTGTCATCATCTTTCAACTTCACACCCACCAGACCCTGGTGGACTCAGCAGATGAGCGGAGACGACCACTGTGGGAGCCACTGAATTGCCCCAGGCCCCAGAATGGAACCTGGCACCAGCTGGAGCAGCCCTGCTGTCCAGCCCTGCTCCTGGGCAGGTCAGCTCTGAACCTTCTCCGTCCACTCTCTGAAAACTGCCTAGTATATCAGCAGCTGAGTCACCACTGTGTGCCAGAAAGGAAGCCACTCACACACTGCATAGTGCAAAAACCCCACCCCTCCAATTTCCGTTTTGTTAGAGAGAATGTCACTGGTGAGGGCCTGCATCCATTCTCTCACCCCTAAACAAGGGGGCCTAAGTAAAGCCCAGAGAAGCTGGGCTGGAGCTTTTGAAGAAGCACAGAATCCTAGGCTCAACACCCCAAATCGATTCAGAAGGGCTGGAGGATTCGGGACCATGCCCTAGGAAAGAGGGAAGCTCTCATCTTCTTGTCAAGAGGAGGCAGACAAGCTCCCGGCTGGCACTTTGAGGGAGAGAGCATCTTCATTAGGAAGATCATTGGTTTGGGAAGTGATTAAATAGAATTAAGAAGACAGGGCGTGGGTGGTTATTGGTGTGGCCAAGGCTTCCAGGAAGAAGAAACTGTTTCATATAATGAGAGGGAGGAATACAGATTGGCAGGGGCATTTGGCAGGAAAAGGGCAAGAAGCAATTTGATAGGAGAAGGAGAAAGCCAGCCTCAGCTCCAAAATGTGACTGTCCCCAGGACCCTTCCCTAAAATGAAAGTGCTCTGAATGTCTCATCCAGAACTGCGAGAGGGAATGGTTTTCTTGCCAGCATTGACCTGGGGCAAAACATGGCCCACAGGCACACGAGCCTCAGCCAGACACAGAGGAGACTGTGACACATGTCCCAGAAGGTGCTGAACTCCCACGAAGGCTGACAATGTCCCATGGCATAAGGGCAGGGAGGAGGTGAGTCAGGAGAACCCCAGCAGCCATCAGGTTTGTACAAGGATCTGGGGCTGACGCTCCTGCAGGTCACTGGCTAGCAAAAGACAGCCAGTCATGAGAAGGAGCCGAAAAACATAAAAAGAACCAAAAAAAAAAAAAAAAAACTCAATAAGCCAAATAATCCCCACACTTTCTCCTTTTAACTGGTCCCCAAAACACCCTTTTCAAGTAAGAGAACACTGGCCCAATGTTCAGCTTTCCTGCAGGTAAAAAGAATTTTAATTAAAAAGTAAATTGCAGTTTGAGTGCACCTGGTAATGTGTGCAATGGCCTTAAGCCAATTAAGAAGAGGTTTCCCTTTTATCCTTTCCTTCACCAGGTTGAATGTATTGCTTGGCTTTTACAGAAAGAAGAAAGAGAAAAAGCAAAAAGCGACAAGGCATCTTCATAAGAGACCCCACCTCCCGGGTCAGGAGATGAGGCGGGATGTCAAGGTTGTGCGTCGCAGCAGCCGGGCCTCCTGTGCGCAGGACAAATGGGCAACGTGATCCCCTTGCAGGCTGCTGCCTTCCTTCGGGACTCCTGCTGCATTAGCAAAATCAATGAAGGGGAGAAGAAAGGGAGGTGCAATCCCAGCCAACCTTTCCCTAACAGCTCTTTCCTAAAAACCACCTTCTGATGCCTTGTGCCTTGTTAGAAATGGAAAGGGCTATGTCAGCAGCGAAGAACTTGAGGCTTGGACCAGCTGGCTCCCTGGAAACCCAAAAGGGATGGGGTGGCCTCTCTTGCCCCCTGGCTTCAGGAAGGAAGGAAGGAAAGAAGGAAGGGCAGCATCACAGGGCAGCCAGGGAAAAAACAAAGACAGCCAAGAGGGCGGCTCGGGTTTCCCAGCCAGCAGCACCCCAGCAGACACATAGGTTTGGCTGGGAACTGGCTGTGGGCAGACACAATCCCACTGGAGAAAAATGTGAATCTGGACATTTGTTTAGCTGAGTGGCGGTGATGGCAAAGGAAGGCTCCAGTCCTGCAGCCGTGGCATGGCGCCAGCTCTCAGGAACTTACTGAGCCACCCTGGTCTGCTGGATCTAGGGAGCCCTGAGTCGAGCCCCACCTGTCACCATACTCTAGGTTTGACCAGGACTAGAAGATGACAGACAGCAGGCTACTCGGCTGGGCTATATGGCTTGCTCACTGGCTTGCTCACTTCAGGTAGTGATTTTCAAATTCCGTCATTTAATGTGTGTCCAAATAAACTCCTATGCAAACCTCAATATATAATACAGATGGAATGGAGCTGCTCGGATTAGGTGGGGGTTGAGGTGGGAGTTTCTATCCCTGTCCTACCCATCAGGCCTCTAGCCTCTGGAACCCCGCCAGGGTACCCCATGGGCATCGCAGGCCATCATCAGAAACCGTGAAGATTAGACCTGGGCTTTGGGACTGACACCTGGAGCTCCTTGTGAGGAGGGGCAGTGAAAGAGCAGGTACGATTAAGATTAATTGATAACCTGTCTCTTTCTGAATAAATGATTAAGCCCATTCCTGTGTGCTCTAAGGCCATGCCAACAGACAATTGTATAAATCAATGTGCTAAGCCCTGGAATGCTCAAGAGCTAATTTCCACATTTTCACTCTGTTTCAGTGAGGAGAGAGCCCTGGGAGCAGGGGTTGTGAAGAATGTGGCTTGAACATTCTGTAGTCAACCTCTGAGTTGTGACTCAGTGAGTTCTCCTATAAAATGCCTTCAGAAAACCTGAAAACTCAACAAAAGATGTGCCCCAACCCCTCAGTGTGGTGGCTTCCTAGAGGATGAGAGGAAGGCCAGGTGGAGGGAGTCTGGACGGTGGAAAGTTCTGTATTATTCAACTTCAGACAAAAAAGCAAAATGGAAATTGAGTTAAAGAGACAGACAGATATCTCTGTGAAACAGACTCTCTTTCACAATCATTTTGACCCTGGGGTTGCCACTAACTCACCATTGTGACCTTTGGCCTGTCACATTCCATGTTTGGGTCCAGGTTTCCCAGTTTGTTCCCAAGATGCAAACCCCTTGGTGAAATACCTCGGCAGACTCAGGGCAAACCTCATGTGTTCTCAATCCGACAGCAAGGAAGGTGCCATCTTATTCCTTCTCCCTCCCGCCACCCCCAAAGACTAGCCCTGGGTCCTCCTCATCAAATTTGCTTTCCTAAGACCGTCCCTGAGATGTAGCCATGAACATCCCAGGCTTCTCATGTTTCCCGGCTTTTGCCCAGACTGTTCCTCCACTTAAAATCCCTCCCTTCCGCATCCTGCTACTGAACTCTTCTTCCTCATTTTTCCAGTGCAAATGTCTACAGTTCTGTGGCCAGGTAGCTCAGCCACTGGAGTTGTAGATTAATGAGACCTCCGCACAGAAATACTATTCAAAATACTTAACAACTGGAACAGATGGGCACTGCCCATGCAGAACACCCAACCAATCTGAACAGATGTTGGTCAAGACAGCCCATATGGCCATGCCAGCATGTTCCAGTGACCATTGGCCCTGCCCACACCAAGGGTCATCACACCATAGCAGGGCTGCCTCCATCCCTAACTCACTCCTGGGCTCAGCAGGGATTAGGGCAGAGGATGGACAGCTCTTTACCAGCTGTGAAGCATCTCCAAGGGCAGTTCTGTAGCCACAGGATCCAGGGTTATTTCTAACCTACCCTGGACTAGGCAGTGGCATTGTGACTTTTGTAATCTCCACCGTCCTCCGGCACAAGGCACTTTAGTGAAAGGTTGCCAAAGACTGTGTCATCCTCCACGGTGCCACCCTGAAGCCTGCTTCACAGCTCCCTGCGGCCGTTGGAAAGAGGGAGACAGTGTGTGTTGATAAGGACAATTTATGTGCTGCATGTGTTTTGTCTATTTGCTGGTGTCCCGAGAGAAGCCGGCTTGCTGAGCCAAGGCTGCGGCAGCCAGAGAGACTTCCAAAGACATGAGACAAAAGTGCCCTGAGGCCTGAGGTGGGGCAGGGCTGGAGTAGGGGCCCCGACAGCACTGTCCATGCTGGTGTTGATGAGTATAAGTACAGAGCAGAAGAGAAGGCCAGTACAACAGGCAGGCCTCACAGAATCACCAAGGAGCACTGGCTGTGGCCAATGTGACAGATTCATTTTCATCCGGGTACACAAAGACTCTAAACAGAGCCAGGTGCTGGTCATGTGTGATTCCTGCCTTCTGGGGATGCCTGCCAGGATTTTCTGCTTCCCTCGCCCACCTGTAATAGCTGCTGCATTTCCTGCTATTTTTGAGGTAAACACTGATCCAAGCAAGGACAGGGGCACGCTACAGTGAGACCCCAGCTGACCTCCCCTCCTCCTCCCCTGCCCCCTCCCCATGACACCCCCAGCCCTTGGCAGGACTTGGTCACCTGCTGCACTCACAGAGCAGGGCTCCTGAAGGGTGCAGCTTGTTATTAATTCAACAGGGGCTGCCGAGTGGGCACTTTATCCCGCCTGGCTCCTGCTACCCACTCCTGGCTAAGCTCACAGACGAAGAGAAATTCTCCATCCAGGGGCCTAAAAAGAATGCATGTGGCTGCTGCATCTTTAGCAGGATAGAAGCAGCCAGGCAGGGAGAGGTTGTGCTTATTCCTAAAAGGGTGGTCACTCTCCACATGCTGGGAGCCTCTTTTCTTTGAGACCCACAGGTGACCAGCCATTCACATTCAACATCTAATTATTGAAAGTCCACCAGATGTCAGGCATCTGGTATACCAGATAGGGGGCTAAAGAGGACAAAGTCCCTGCCCCCAGGATGTTTACAGTTTACTGGAAGAGAAAGACAACAAATGAGTAATCTAGTATTTCCTAGTATACATGAGGTTCCATGTATACTGTGTATTAGGAAAAACCAAGCAGAGGCAGTGGGAAAGAGTAGAATGGGCTGCTAGGGAAAGCCTCCCTGGAGAGGTGACATATGGGGAAGAGGGCTGAACAAAGTGAAGAGGGCATTCCCGAAAGAGGAAAGAGCAGGCAAAGGCTCTGAAGCAGGAACAAAGCTGATGTGTTTGAGAACAGCACAAGCTGATGGGTCAGAGCAGAATGAGAGGCTTCAGAGAGTGGAGGGAGAAAAGGGCAGGGAGCTGGGCATGGCCAGGAGGCAAAGGGCCTTTGTTCCCAATCATTCACTGCCCCTCCCTATAAGAGGGCTATGCATGCCTGTCCGTTGCCCCGTGGCTTGCAGTGCTATCCAGTGGGGGATTCTGTGTCCCATCCCACAGTGACAATGAGTGACTGTCTCACTTGCTTGGACCACTGGAATAGGAGCAGAAGTGATAAACATGCACCAATTTGAGAAGAAGCTTTAAGAGCCATTATGACTTACAGCTATTGTTCTCTTTTCCTCTGCCACAAGATGGAAACAATAGCTGCTCCCTCAGCCCAGTTCCTGGATTGTAGATATCGTGTGAAGCAGCGCAGACTTTCAGTATGCAGTAGAAATACACATTGAGGGCTAAAAGCCTTTGTGATGTTGCTCCAGCATAACCCAGTGGAAACTAACCAACACAGCCTTTCAGCCCTCATCAAAGGTGATGCAACTTATTCTTCCTACAATTAATAATCATTACAGGGCTTTAGGAAGTAAGCATTTTTAAAAGATTACTCTAGTTGTTGAGTGAAGAACGGACCCACATCAGCTGCACCTCTTTCTCCAACTCCTCACCACAGCCACAGAGCACAGCCACTGCCACACACACCCCACAGAAGTGGTTGTCATGGTCCTGCAGAGAGGAAGATCTAAGATTTCCCTGAACCATCCTATTATCCCCCATGCTATTTTTATATCCCAAAATGAGAGGCATGGGACTCTAAGTCCTGCCAACACTCAACTCAGGAAGGTCGTTCATGTGCTCTTCCATAAAAACCAGGAGGGCCAGCAAAGCCTGGTGCTTTCCAGCTCTTTCCTGAGAAGTTACACTCAATTTGTCCCTTTAATGAGGTTTTTCCACAGCAGCACAGAACCAGTCTCCTGCTGAGTTATTGGTCAGGGAACACAAAGCCAATTCCACCCTGGTCTCCTATTTCTGGCAAGACCATCCTGGGGCTATTTCTCAAAGCAGCTGGTCCTTCTAGATGCTAGCCCTCTGTGTGCACACTTATATCTCATAATGGATGGTGACCTATCAGATGCCTTTGGGTCCTCCAGAGCAGCTGACCAGTGCCAAGTACATAGGAGGAGCTCAATTCATACATTCTGAATGAATGAAGAAATGTAGACTATCTGAATCCATAGGTGAAAATAAAATCCACGGGGTAAAAAGGTTTCTAGCTCTGTTTCTGGCTGGAAAGTGCACGAAAGCTGAGTTTAATCAATAAATAAGAGTTGTAGCTACTAAATTCCTCTCCACCTGGCCCCAGCAAAGGATACATTTACATCTCATTCCCCAAATGTAGGACATCCAAAGACCAGAGGTCCCATGAGACGCCACTTCTTCAAATGCCGACATTTTGAAGAACACACACCAAGATATTTCCAAAGCCCTGACCACATACGTGGTCAGGGAAAATGCTTAAAGCTTCAGCTCCTTTCAGAAAAGCAAAAATCAAACCAGACTTATAGCACTATCGGCCAGTAATGGTTAAGCTCACATGATGTGCAAGGCATTCACTGGGCTAGGAGGGAGAAATAAAGAAATAGCCCTGTCTGCAAGGAGCAGATGATCTCAATATCATTATAAGGCCCAAATAAATGAATTATGGTCTTAGACAAGTCAACGGCTCCCCACAAGATGAAAGCACAAGGTCACACTCAATGAAATAGAGATGAACTGAATTCTTGTGAGGACATAGGAATTCGAAAAGGAATGGCATCATGAGCTGGGCTGGCTGGAGACAGATTTAAGCTTTGAAAACTGTGGTCAAGCAGAAAAGAGATAAGAGGACATACGGAGAGAAGTAAAAAGGGGAAGTAGAAGAAGCGGCCCCTGAGATTCCAGGGAACTTGGTTCCAAATGGTAGGACAAGTGGGCCAGCGGCAATAAAATTAGAGCAAAGTGTCCTTCCAGCAGCTGGGGACAGGAAGCTCGAGGATAGACACTGACCTATGCCAGGAAAGGCCTGGAAGTTATGTCCAGGGAAGAAGAAAAATAAATAAATAACACCTTGCAAACACAAGGGGACAGTTTGTATTTTAAAGTCTTGGAAAAGTAAATCAAAGTAAACAGGAACCTTGGAGCCATCAGGTTACTGTTGGAAAGCTGATGGGAGATGCCGTAAGAGAAATGGGTTCCTATTCTCCAGTGCATTTCAACTGGCCATATTCTCAGCAGTGAATGATGGAGGCAGAGCTCAGAGAAGCACGTCTGAACACGTAAGGACCGAGAGGCGAGTCTTCAGTGAAACACCCACAGAGAGCCGTTTGCCCCTTGAGATTCCTGAGGAGTGTGGAGAGCAAAGAAGCAAACCCAATGAGTCACAGTGTAAATTATTCCTATTAGTCAGTGCTATCTTATAAGCACACATACACATAAAGCACTTCTGCTGCAGACTGAAGTATGAAGGTTGTCTCAAGAGAAAGAGCTTATACAATCGAGGTGGACAATGAACTACGTACTTTTTTCATGAAACACTATTTTCACTTAAAAGAACAACTGATGAACAAATCATAATTATTCATACTTGGGAATTTGGTGAACTTTTCTCAAAGTCTTGTCACTCCAAGGAAAATAAGTGATAATATTTTTCCCCAGTGATAAAATCCAAGCTTTTAAGGAAAATTTATAATTATGGAAAACTTGCCTCCACCACTATGAGCTTGACGGCTTCCCAACACCTAAAGACTTCTGATGATATAAATGGTAATATTAATGGAAGTGATTTTTCACACTGTATAATAAAATATGTCCACATTTAGAAGATCTGCCTAACTCTGTGAGCTTATCCTTTCCAAATGACTAATGTATAATATTACAAAATCATGCTTGGATAAAAGATATAAGCAAAGTACAAGGCAGACCACAGATTTTGATGTAACAGAATATAAAACATTTACTGATGTGGTTTCAGATTTCACTCCAACTTCTAGAAACTTATCACTTGTCCAGTTTGGGTGTAGTATCAAAGAAGAATATCCATAATTATCTGAAAATATTAAAATACTCCTTCTTTTCCCATCTACATATATCTGTGAAGAAAAATCTTTTTTTTTTTTTTTTCCGAGATGGAGTTTTGCTCTTATTGCCCAGGCTGGAGTACAATGGCGTGATCTTGGCTCACCACAGCCTCTGTCTCCCAGGTTCAAACGATTTTCCTGCCTCAGCCTCCGGAGTAGCTGGGATTACAGGCATGCGCCACCACGCCTGGCTAATTTTGCACTTTTTGTAGAGATGGGGTTTCTTCCATGTTGGTCAGGCTGGTCTCGAACTCCCGACCTCAGGTGATCCGCCCACCTTGGCCTCCCAAAGTGCTGGGATTACAGGCATGAGCCACCGCGCCCGGCCGAAAAATCTTTTTCATACTTCAACCAAAACAACATATCACAACAGGCTGAATGCAGAAGTAAATGTGAGACTCCATTTTTCTTCTATCAAACCAGGTATCAAAAAGATTTGTGAAAATAGAAAACAAGGCCACTCTTCTCAATAAGTTTTTTTTTTTTTTTTTTTTTGGCTGTTGCTTTGGAAACTGCAATAGACTGAATGTTTGTGGCCCCCCACCCACACACAAAAGAAGTCACATGCTAAAATCCTAACCCAGGGAGGTGGGGCCTTCGGGAGGTGATTTGGTCATGAGGGTAGAGCCCTCATGGGTGGGATTTGTATCCTTACGAAAGAGAGCCCAGAGAGCTTTCTTATCTCTTCCACCATGTTAGGATGGAACAAGAACGTGGTGGTCTGTGAACCCGGCAGTGGGCCCTTACCAAATGCTGAATCTGCTGGCCCCTTGATCTTGGACTTTCCGGCCTCCAGAACTGTGAAAAATAAATTTCTATTGTTTATAAGCCATGCCATCTAGGGTATTTTATTATAGCAGTCTGAATGGACTAAAACAAATTGTACCAAGAGTCTGTAGTTCTTTTTCACAAAAAGTGTGCTACTTATGTTAATTTATGTAATTGGGTTTATTATTGCCATTGTTAAATAAAATAATTATTTTGAAATTTTCTCAGTTTAAATTTCTATTGTGGCAAATATTAACTGATACAACCTATAGCAACAAAACTCCCTTGGGGTTTTCAATAATTTTTACAAGCATAAAGGAGTCCTAAGACCAAAAAGTTTGAAAACTTCTGGCTTAAACTATAGCTAAAAGATAGGAAATTCTACCTGTTCAGGGCCCAGCATCCATAACTAGCCCCAGTTTCAGCCTCTGTGAAGTGAGATCTTCCCTGTTGACAGGCAGAAACCACCAGGAACCCTTTTGCTTAGGCTGTAGTCAGGACATAGTTGATCTTTTAAAAAAAATAAAACGTTTCAGCATTTATATTTAGCTGGTATGCACTGGTTCCACCATATCAGTTCTTAAAATACTGAAATAGGCCGGGCTTGGTAGCTCATGCCTGTAATCACAGCCCTTTGGGACGCCGAGGCGGGCAGATCACCTGAGGTCAGGAGTTTGAGACCAGCCTGGCCAACATGGTTAAACACCATCTCTACTAAAAACACACACACACACACACAAAAAAAAGCCAGGTGTGGTGGCGGGCGTCTGTAATCCCAGCTACTCAGGAGGCTGAGGCAGGAGAATCACTTGAACCCAGGAGGCGGAGGGTGCAGTGAGCCGAGATCGTGTCAAAGCACTCCAGCCTGGGGAACAAGAGTGAAACCCCATCTCCAAATAAATAAATAAATAAATAAATAAACTCAAATTTCCTCCCATTTTAGAAAAAGCTGCTTTCCCAAGTTACTTGAGAGATGCTTCCAGCACCCATTATCCTGACCCCTCCCCCAGTATCCAAACCTTCCCCAAGAGCCAGCCACAAAACAGTTACTGCCTGGCACAGCAATTTGCTCTAGCACTATATGACTGGTTCTGATTGGACACTGCCAAATGCCACATTAGCTGTTTATATATTTGAATATCAACCTTCACTGGCTCACTTTCTCAGAAATGAGGAAACTTGGAGGCAATTTGAGACTTGGGCTGAAAGGGGAAGCATTCCACAGAGTTGAGCACTGGCTGGAAATGCCATGATTCCCATGTCAGTACGCCACGTATGCTGACCCCATCAGCAAAGCAGGCTTCCCTTCAAGGAATCCGTTACACACCAAATCAGTGAAGACTGCATCCCAGCTTTTCTGCAGGTTGCTAATGAGCAGTGAGCATATCCAAAGCCTCGATCTAGGAGGAAGCACTCTGGAGCTCAGCCTAGGATTTGAATACAGGAGCTTTGCAAGACCATCAGTAGTCAAGCACGGAAAATACCCTACAACAGAAAAGCTGAAGTTGATGTTTTACATGGAATGCCCTCACCAATGCTGTTTCCAAAGTTATATCCTAGAGAAGTAATACCAGTCATCAACATCAAAACCAACCTATAACAAGGAAAATTAACAGGCAACATTTCCCCTTGACTTCCCCTGGTAGGTGATCAAACTTAAAGAAGAGGGAAAAGTCAATGGTTGGTAAAGCCCACCCCATCTCTAGCCCCCACCCTTTCATTTCATGAACCTCTTCTATGGTCCAAAGAATAATAAGAACACAAAATATAGAAATCCGAAAGGAAAGAGAGAGGCAGGGGGAGAAAGGAAGCCTTTCTACTAATTCACTAAGAGTGGCATGTCTCTACCAATAAATTACAAAATAGGCATGCTGTTTCCAGCTTCCACACTTTTATACACACAAGTCCTTCTGCTTGAGGCTCCTAACCCTTTCCCCAACTTTCTGCAGTTGAAATCTACCCCATCTTTCAGTGCTCAGTTCAAATACTTCTTTCTCCATGAAAACTTCCCCAAACCTACACACCCATCTGCTCAGCTGGAAGTGAGCCATACCCCCTTCCTGGTTTCATCCCCACCAACCTTCCCTCACACTTTCTTGTCCTTTTCTTATGGCACTAGTCACTTTTCACCTTGGGAATGGATTACTTCTGTCCATGTCTCCACTCCCCTATTGGACTGTGAGCTTTTTGTAGGCAGAACTACATCTCCCCCTTTGCATGCCTCCAGTCACCTAGCAAAGAATCTGGCATTTAGTGAGTACTGTTTAAATGTCTGTTGACTAAACCAATGGATGCACGGACAAATGGAAAGAAGAAAGGAAGAGTAGGAGGGAGGGAAGGAATAATGTTACACCTTGATTCCTGTGAAGCGAGTCAATTCTGGCCTCTGTCTACTAGTCATGAATTCTCTCCCTAGATCAGACAGGTGCTGGGCTCCACAGTATCCTTTTCTTCCTTATCACTCAGCATGCTAACCAACCTCATCCTCTTCCCAAATCTGGATGAAGACTCAGGGGTGCTGTTAAGCAAGAAGAGGCTTATCCAGGTCAGCTCCAGGCTCAGAGGAAATGTTTAGCTCTGTTTCCTCTATCCATAGAGGAGTACTGCAAACAGGTAATCTGGCTTCACTGTGGATCTCAAACGCCAGCTCCTGCATTTATTGAGAGTGACTTGTGATTTGTACTTTGCCACTCTACCTTTTGATGAGAACAGATGTTATTTGTTTCTAACTCCCAGACATCTGGAACTGAGGAAATTCCCAATACCCAGTTAATTACCATCGAACAAGCAGTGCCCATTAGAACTCTACTAAAAGGGCCTGTTTTTGCCCAGGCCTGATGAAGCAGGGTCAGTTGCATCAGCAAGCAGAGTGACTGAAGTCAAAGCTGGCACAATACACTAAGCCCTATCTTGGGAAAGATTCCATACAAGGAATCCCTATGCATAGAATCACCTTCCCAACTGATGGAAGAAAATAAACTGACTCTGAAACCCAGACAAAAGAGATAATGTGTTTGGACTCTGCTGGTTAGCTCTCTGCCCCTCCCCCTGATGACCCCCATAGGAGTGGAGGGAGAAGCCAGGAAGGAAAGGGGGCTGCGTTAGTTTGCAACTTGAGTCTCCTGCCACAGACCAGTGAGGAAGTGGGGGGAGAAGTGGCTAACTCTAGCATTTTTTCAAGAATAGAAGCACATTTATGAAACCAACAGATCCTTCTTGCTTCTCTGAATAAACAAGATCAAGAGCTGTAAAGAAAAAAACCAAAACAGACAAACAAAAATACAAGCAATCTCCTTTGTCAAAGGTAACAAATGCCCACATTCCAAGAGCATCTTCACATTTTGCCGTATTGCTAAAAATGACTCCAAATATGAATCAAAAGGAAAACACTACACCATGGCTCCCCTTTTGCTGTTCAGCAGTCGTGGGAAACTGTTAGCTCCATACTCATAAGAGCTTCAACCACGAGAGGCATTCAGCAGTTTTAGGGGTTTTTTTTTTTAAGGCCTTTAAACAGCTGATTTGTACAACAAGACTCACAGCCTTGCTGAATGCTAATGACAGCCCAGCCCTCCTGGGGAGAGTGACACAGTTTGTCTATCGCCCCTCACTCCCAAGAGAGCCACTGAGCACCACATAAGCCAGGAGCTTCACAGACCTGATCCTGAGTTGGCTGCTCACAAAAATTCCCAACAACCTACTCTCAAATTTGTAGCCCAGATAGTCCATGGAAGGGAAAGGGAGAGCAGTCACATGTTTTATAGAATTGTTGGTGCCTGGAAAGAGAGTCCACATAGGCAATCACAACACCCACTGCATCCAGAGGTGCAGAACCTGAGCCAGCCATTAAAGGAGTATGAGAGGCCCTGCAAAGAATCCAGATCTGAGGTTACACAGACCTAGGTCCTACTCCTGGCTCTGCCACTTGCTACCTTTGTGACTTTACCTAGGGGTGATATTCAAATATGTAATAACCAATGCAGCATGGTCATGTGGCAGACACTGCTGTGTGTTCACTAAAACCACCTTCCTTTCTTCCAGGGAAACCAGGTAGACTACATTTCCCAGCTTCCCTTGCAGTCAGCGGCTGCTACATGGCTGATTCTGTGAATAAAATGTGGTGGAAATTAGGTGCTCCATGCGAGTCCTGGCTCATGGGCACCTCCATGCTCTTTCCATGTTCTCTCTCCCCGTATCTGCCGATTGCATGCAAGGGGTCACGCAGAAAGCGACAGGGCCCAAGCCTATGTCCTTGGATGGAAGGAAGGCTGCAGGCCCACAAGGAACTTCCACATTGCTTGTTGGGTAAGTGAGGGATATTTTCATTGTACTGGTTAAAGCCACTGGTTTGGAAGTTGACATTAAAATTAACTTTCCTTACTCTACCTATATTAGGCACCAACCAATCAGAAGGACACTGGCTGTTCTGCTGCATCAGTGCAACAGGGATATACTAGTGAGATATCACTCCCAACTTGCTTTTGAATCTGTTTCCTCATTGATAAAATGAGCATGTTACTGTCTGCTCAACAAGGATGCTGTGAAGATTGACTTGAATCTTGTACAGTCACCCACCGCATGACGTTCGCTCAATGACAGAACACATATACAATGGTGGTCCCGTAAGATTACAATGGAGCCCAAAAATTCCTATTGCCTAGTAACATCACAGCCATCCTTATGTCACAGCACAATGCATTCCTCAGGTGTTTGTGGTGATGCTTATGTAAACAAACCTACCGCACTACCGGTCATATAAAAGTATAGAACATACAATTATGTACAGTACATAATCATTGATAATGATGATCAACAACTATGTTACTGGTTTATGTATTTACTATATTATATTTTTACTATTATTTTAGAATATATTCCTTCTACTTAATTTTTTTTAAGTTAACTGTAAGACAGTCTCAGGTAGGTCCTTCCTGAGATATTCCAGAAGAAGGCATTATCATCATAGCAGATGACAGCTCTATGCATGTTATTGCCCAATGGGACAAGATGTGGAGGTGGAAGACAGTGACATTGATGATGCTGACTCTGTAGGCCTAGGCTACCGTGTGTGTGTGTGTGTGTGTGTGTGTTAGTTTTTAAGCCTTTTTAAGGCCTTTTTAAGGCTTTGTAAGGCTTAAAAGCTAAGACACACATACACACATTATTAGGCAATATTATCGTTGTGCAAACTTTATGAAGTTTGCACACTGATAATACTGTGTTAACAATGCATTTCTCAGAACATATCCCCATCATTATGTGATACATGACTGTATAGATAAAGCATCTAACACGGTCCTTGGCTCATGGTTGACTTTACTGGATGAGCCTCACTGCGTTCCTTCTCATCCATGTTTCTCAGGCTCCTCATTTGTAAATGCAAATTATTCCAATCACATCCTTCCAATTTTATAGGCAAGTGGGGAGGGAGACCATAACAGCCTCCATTTCTCTTCCTACTTTACATCTCCAACTACAGTCATTCTGCCCACAAGGAAAGCAGCCCCCCCAGTGAGTCCTGCTGTCATTTTAAAACAACTTTATGGAAATGCTCCCTCCTGGGTGAATGTATGTGGTTAAAGGAGGCTGAGATAGTAATAGAAGTGCATTTTCTTTAGTGCCAGATGGAAATACAATGAGCCCAGCCATACAGATGTGCTCCCATACCCTTTGAAGGGACAAAAATACACACATTATCAGATTTGGGTCCTGAGAACACACCTATAATCTTGAAAGCCAATACCCAGCTGTGATTAGATGTTATGAAGATTTAAGGGTTTTGAGTTTGATGTAACACAGTCCTCAAGATCAGACCACATAGAGTCAATTCCTATCCCAACACATGCTGACTGAGTGACCTCAGATACATGATTTAATGTTTCTGTGCCTCAATTTTATAATAGAAAAAGGGGATAATAATAGCATATCTCAGTTTGTTGCTGTGAAGATAAAGTGAGATAATTTGTGCATAGCATTTAGCATGGTACCTGGCATGTAATAAAACTCAATAAATGCTAGCTATTTGGCACAAACCAGAAAAACTTTTCAGCAAGTTAAGGAGATTCCTATTTCTCTAAGCAAGTCCCTAGAAACATCATCAATCTGTCTCTGGCAGGCGTTTTTCTATTTAATGACTCTAAAGAGACAGAAAAGCTTTAATCAATGCCCGGAAGTGAAATGCTAAGAAATTATATGCACGGTTACGAAAAAAAATCAAAGATGTTTCCCACACATTGTCCAGCAGACAAAAACATATTGACATGCTGTTCCTGCAAGGAAGTGGACTGAGTTTTCTAGATAATGTTTGAGCAATTCATCCTTCCCGCAACTGTCCTCCACTTTCCAGGCAAATAATACCTCCAGCCAAATAAGGGGTTCACTCCCTCAAGTTCCTACCATGGCTCCCTGGCAGAACCATGCTCCCTCACCTTACCCCCACACACAGCACACGCCCTGGGTCTGGCACAAGCTCAAAACAACTTTCAGTTACGAAAAAGGGTATAAACCGCCATTCCTTCTTAGAAAACCAGAAAGATGGTGAGAAACAGTGGGAACATCCTTCATGTAAAAATCCCACCACTCCCCAAAGCACATTTGGGAGTTCCAACTCTTTGAAAAGCCAAAAAACAGGAAAGGGGCTGATTTATTAGGCAGTCTGGGGCCCATACTGAAAATTTTTTGACATATCTTCAAAGTATAAAGAGAAGGCAAGATATTCTGTCAATTTAACCAAGTCATTTCCTTCTTAAGGCCTCTGGTTACCTTTCTTGTAGATAAAATGCTAAGGGTCAGACCAGAACAGAGGACGCCCATGCTTCGCGTTGTTTTTTTCTGTTTGTTTTTTGTTTTTGTCTCTGTCTCCCAGGCTGGAGTGCAGTGGCGCAATCTCAGCTCACTGCAAGCTGCGCCTCTCGGGTTCACGCCATTCTCCTGCCTCAGCCTCCTGAGTAGCTGGGACTACAGGCACCCCCCAACGCTCGGCTAATTTTTTGTATTTTTAGTGGAGACGGGGTTTCACCGTGTTAGCCAGGATGGTCTCGATATCCTGACCTCGTGATCCGCCCGCCTCGGCCTCCCGCTTCGTTTTAAGTCTGTCCAATGCAGCTCCCTTTAGGCAAGACGTACAGTCTTTACTTCTCTACAGGTTATAACTGTGCCCTGTTCTATCATAACAAACCCATACCACCCATTTACGTTGCCTGCCTAGCATTTCAGTTTGCGGACCCTGGAATAGAGGGTCTCAAGCCATTCTTGGTACTTTGTCAGCTCATGAGTCTAAAAAAATCTATGAGGTGAGAAGCCCATACTAAATCCTTTCCTCAGTTTTCCCAGTTTCTGAAAGGTACTATGAAGCTTGGCCTTCCTTCTCTGCAAACAGACACTGATGTTAACAAAGGGGCTATAAGATGCGTGAGGAACTTTGTTCCTTTTTGTCCACGTGTCCAAATGTTAGCAAGATGCTTTATAGCCAGACCACATCTAATTTTTTTTTCTACCATTTCCAGAGGCTTCTTATAAGTGATTGTCACCCTTTAAAAATTTCCAGGCTTTAGTCCAATATGGTGGCTCATGCCCCTAACCCCAGTGCTGTGTGAGGCAGAGGCAGGAGAATGGCTTGAGGCCAGGAGTTTGAGACCAGCCTGGGTAACACAGCAAGACCCCATTTCTAACAAAACAATAAAATAAAGTAAAATAAAATAAAAATTTCCAGCCTTTCTCAATTGCACTGTCAAGTTCCAAGATGACCCTTGGAACATAAAATTTTCATATGAGCCTCATGCTCATTGGAATATGATTCCCCTGCCTTGCATTTGGCTTTTCAAAGAATTGGTCTTCATGTTTGTACTTTGTGGATTCATAGAGATTTAGATGAAGGATGCTTTTCTCTTGCTTCTCAGCTCCTTTCTGCTTTGCTAGGCTACATAGTAGATTCTCCGTTTTGGAATTGAAGGTAGTTTTCACTCTGTGCCAGACTCTGTGTATGTGCATTTGTGTATCTATACATGAGAGAGAGGAGAAAGCACAGTATTTTTTTAGAAGAATGTCAGGTCCAGGTGGCCACAGTTCATTGGTATCTGTGCTTCCTGTCCAGAGGGACCTCATTCCAGAAGTCTTAAATGCAGAAATGCTTTCCTCCATCCACTAAAGTTGGAAAAGCTCTAGCCTGAGTCAGTTCTTCACATTAACAACCACACATTATTTTTTAAGCTTTATTGATATACAACTTTCATACCATAACAGCGACGCACTTAAAAGGTACAATTCAATGGTTTTTAGTTGATTCACAGAGCTGTGCACTCATTACCACAATCTAATTTTAGAACATTTTCATCACTCCCAAAAGAAACCCTGTACCCACTAGCAGTCATTCCCTATTTCCCATCCCCACACTCAGACCCAGCCCTAGGCAACCTCTAATCTACTTTCTGTCTCTATAGACTTCTCTGTTCATACAAATCAAATGATACAACATTTTGTGTCTGACTTCTTTCACTTAGTATAATGTTTTCAAGATTTATCCATGTTGTAGCATGTGCCAGTATTTTGTTCCTTTTTATGGCTGAATAAATATATCATTCCATAGATATACCATATTTGTTTATCCATTCATCAGTTGATAGACATTTGGATTATTTTCACTTTTTGCCATTATAAATAATATTGCTATAACCATTTGTGTACAAGTTTTTGTGTAGATATGTGTTTTCAATTATCTTGGGCATATATATATATATATATATATATACACATATACATACATACACACACATAAATATATATATATAAAAAATCTACATATACACACAGATACAAAATATGCGTGTGTGTATATATATATATAATCTCCAAGAATGTATATGTGTATATATACACAAAATATACATATGTGTGTGTGTGTGTGTGTATATATATCTATATAAAATCTCCAAGAATGAATATATACATATATATTCATTCCTAGAATTGAAATTACCTGGTCACATAAACTTTATGCTTAAAATTTTGAGGAACTCCCAAAATGTTTTCCAAAGTGATGGTACCATTTTATATTTTGCTATGATCTGAATGTTTATTTTGCCCCAAAATTCATATGTTGAAATCTAATCACCAAGGTGATGTCTTTAGAAGGTGGGGCCCTAGGGAGGTGGATAGGTAATGAGGCCTTTGTCCTCATGAATGGAATTAGAGCCTTTTTATAAAGAGGGCTCAGGGAGCTAGTTAGCCCCTTTTACCATGTGAGGACACAGCAAGAAGTCAGGAGGCTGCAACCCAGAAGAGAGACTTCACCAGACAGAACCCCATCAAGCTGGCACCCTGATCTTGGACTTCTCACCCTCCAAAACTGTGAGAAATTTCTGTCGTTTAAAAGCTACCCAGTTTTGTTTATTTTGTTATGGCAGCCGAGATGAACTAAGACACATTCTCTTCAATAGTGTATGAGGATTCCAACTTCTCCACATCCTCACCAACACTCATTATCCTAGTGGGTGTGAAGCCATATCTCATTGTGGTTTTGATTTACATTTCCCAAATGGCTAATTATGTCCAGCATCCTTTCATGTGGTTACTGAACATTTGTATATCTTCTTCAGAGAATTTGTCTATTGAGATGTTTTGCCTATTTTTTAATTGTGTCATTTATCACCTTTACTATTGCATTATGAGTTTTTGTAAATTCTGGATATTAACCCCTTACCAGATAAATGACTCCCAAATATTTTCCCCAATTCATTGGATTATCATTTCAAGAGAATACTCGTTGAATAGTATTCTTTGATATACAAAGTTTTAAATTTGATCAAATCCAATTTATCCATTTTTTTTTGTCACTGTGCTTTTGATGTCATACCTAAGTGGCCTTTGCCTAATCTAAAGTCACAAAGATTTAGGTTTGTCTTCTTCTAAGAGTTCTATGATTTTATCTCTTATATTTAGTTCTATGATCCATTTTGAGTTAGTTTTTGTGGATAGAGTGAGATGGGGGACAACTTTATTCTTAACATGTAGATATCCAGTTGTTCCAGCACCATGTGTTAAAAGACTATTCTTTCCCCCCTTTAAATTGTTTGAGCATCCTTATCAAAATAAAATTGACCATAAATTTAAGCACTTAATTCTGGACTGTCAATTCTATTCTGTTGATCAGTGTGTCTGTCCTCATGCCTGTATCACACTGCCTTAATTACTGTAGCTTCACAGTACATTTTCAGATCAAAAAAATGTGAGTTGTCCATTTTGTTTTTGTTTTTCAAGATTATTTGGCTAGCCTGTATACCTTAAATTTCCATCAGAATTTTAAGATAAGCCTGTCAATTTCTGTGTAAAAGCCAGCTGGGATTTTGATAAAGATATCTGAAGTATTGCCATCTTAACAATATTAAGTCTTGCAGTCCATGAACATGAGATGTCTTCCCATTTATTTAGGTCTTCTTTAACTTTTTCAACAATGTTTTGTAGTTTTCAGAGTATGAGTTTCTGCACTTTTTTCTTAATTTCTTCCTAAGCATTTTATTCTTTTTGATTCCATTATACATGATTTTTTATAGTTTGTTTTCAGATCGCCCACTGATAGTGATAGAAATACAATTTGTTTTTTTATATTGATCTTATATCCTGTAACCTCACTGAACTCACTTACTAGTTCTAACTGATTTTTAGTGGATTCCCTAGGATACATGATTATGTCATCTGCAAACAGAGATAGTTTTACTTTCTTTAAAACATCTGGTATAATATTAAATAGGCGTGATGACAGCAGATATGCTTCTGTTGTTCCTGATACTGAATGATCTTAATGGTCATTCAGTCTTTGACCATTAAGTATGATGTTAGTTGTGGGATTTTTTGTAGATGTTCTTCATCAGGTTGTTGAAATTATCTTCAATTCCTAGTTTATTGAGTGTTTTCATCCAGAAAGGGTAGATTTTGTCAAATGCTTTTTCTGCATCTTTTGAGATGATCATGCGGTTTTTATACTTCATCAATATTTTATGTGTAACACTAATTTTTAGATGTTAAACCAACCAGGAATTCTTGGAATAAATCTCACTCATTATGGTGCATGGTCCTGATTATATGTTGCTGAATTCAGTTTGCTACTGCTTTGTTGTAGATTCTTGTTTCTATATTCATAGGAGATATGGTCTGAGGTTTTCTTTCATTATGACATTTTTGTCTGGTTTTGATATCAGGGTTACACTGGCTTCATAAAATGAGTTGACAAGTGTTCCTTTTCTATTTTTCAGAAGAGTTTATGAAGAACTGGTATTGATTATTCCTTAAATGTTTAGTAGAAGTTACCCAGTAAAGCCATTTGGACCTGGACTTTTCTTTGGGAGAATTTTTTAAATCACTAATCAATCTCTTTACTTGTTAAGAGGCCTATTTATATGTTCTATTTCTTCTGTTGTTCACTTTGGTAGTTTGCATCAGTCTAAGAATTGGTCCATTTTATTTAAGTTGCCTAATAATTTTTTTGGTATATCATTTTATTATAATCCTTCTTTATTTCTAAGGTCAGTTGCAATGTCCTCCCTTTCATCCCTAATTTTAATAATTTGAGTATTCTTTTTTTTTTTTTTTGAGACAGAATCTCACTCTGTCATCCAGGCTAGAGTGCAGTGGAGCGATCTGGGCTCACTGCAAGCTCCACCTCCCAGGTTCATAGCATTCTCCTGCCTCAGCCTCCTGAGTAGCTGGGACTACAGGCGCCTGCCACCACGCCCGGCTAATTTTTTGTATTTTTAGTAGAAATGGGGTTTCACCGTGTTAGCCAGGATGGTCTCGATCTCCTGATCTCATGATCCACCCGTCTCGGCCTCCCAAAGTGCTGGGATTACAGGCGTGAGCCACCGCGCCTGACCAATAATTTGAGTATTCTTTTTGCCTTTGTCAGTCTATCTAAAGTTCTGTCCATTTTATTGACCTTTTCAAAGAACCAACTTTTGGTTTTATTGATCTTCTCTATTGGCTTTCTATTCTCCATTTATTTCAGTGCTAATCCTTACCTTTCTTCCACTTGCTTTAGGTTTAGTTTGCTCTTCTTTTTGCAGTTTCTTAAGGTTGCAGTAATCTATAACAAATTACTATAATCTATAATAAATTACTATAATCTATAATAATCTATAACAAATTATAACTGTAATCTATAACAAATTATTATAAACCCAATGGCTTAAAACAACAGAAACTTATTCTCTAACAATTCTGGAGGCCAGAAGTCCAAAATTAGTCTTACTCGAGGCAAAATCAAGGTGTCAGCAGGGCTATACTTCTTTGCAGGCTCTAGAGGAGAATCTGTTCCTTGCTTCTTCCAGCTCCTGGTAGCTGCCAGCATTCCTTGATTTGTGATTGCATCACTCCAAAATCAGCCTTCATTTTCATGTGTGTGTAACCTTCCTCTGCTTCTCTCTTAGGAGGTTACTGATTATCAAATTTAGGGCTCATCTGAATAATCCAGGATAAACCCATCATCTCAAAACCTTAACTAATTCACATTTGCAAAGAGTCTTTTTTCAAATAAAATATTTACCAGTCCCAGGGATTGGAACATGGATATCTTTTGGAGAAACTTTTGTCAACCTATCACAGCTAGGTAATTAAGATATTTTTTCTTTTTCAATATAGACATTTATAGTTATACATTTCCCTTTAAATACTACTTTATCTGCATAAGTTTTGTATGTTGTGTTTTCATTTTCATTCACCTCAAAATAGTGTGCAATTTCCCTTTTCTTCTTCTATCCCTTGGTTATTTAGGAGTATGTTATCTAATATCCATGTATTTTTTAATTTTCTAGATTTCCTGCTGTTATTGGTTCAATTACATTTCACGTGGCCAGAGAATGTACTTTGTTCATTTTAAAGGATGAGTTCAATCCTTTGAAATTTATTCAGGCTTGTTTTATGGCCTAGTGTATGGTGTATTCTGGATAATTTTCCATATATGCTTGAAAAAAATGTGTATTCTGCTGTTATTAAATGGAGTGAATTATAAGTGTCTATTAGGTCTAATTGGTTTATACTTTTGTTCAAGTCTTCTATATCATCATTAGTACATCTGCCTAATTGTTCTACCCATTATTTAAAGAAAGTATGGAAGTCTCCAACTATTAATGTTGAATTGTATATTTCTCTGTCAAGTTTTTCCATTTTTTGCTTCATGTATTTTAGTGGTCTGTGGTTAAGGTGCATATGTGTTTATAATTTCTATATCCTCCTTATGGATTGATCCTTTTATCATTATAAAATTTTGCTCTTTATCTCTAGTAACTTTTTGGTGTTTTAACGTCAATTTTGTCTGATATTAAATATAGCCCCTCCAGATTTCTTACAATTACTGTTTGCATTGTGTATCTTTCTTCATCCTTTCTCTTTCAAATTATTTATATCTTTGAATCAAAAGTGTGTCTCCTGTAGACAGTGTGTAGTTGCATCTTGTGTTTTCATCCAATCTGACAATCTCAACATTCTAATTGGATCATTTAATCCATTCATATTTAATGTTAATATTAATATAGTTGGGTTTATATCTGAAATTTTACTTTTTGTTTTCTATATCTCATATATTTTTTGTTCCTCCTTTCCTTAGTTTCTTGTGCACTAAGTCAATATTTTCTTGTACATTTTAATTTCCTTAATAATTTTTAACATTTCTTTTTTCCCAGCTTTACTAAAGTAGAATTTACCAATAAAAATTATATATATTTACAGTGTATGATGTGATGCTTTGATATATGAATACATTGTAAAGTGATTCAATCAAGTTAACATACTCATCACCTCACATACTTATCTTTTTTGTGATAAGAACATTTAGAATATCTTTAACTCTACTTCTTGAGTTATTTTCTTAGTGGTTGGTCTGAAGCTTACAATATACCTCTTGACTCATCCAAGTCCATTAACTTAATTCTAGTGAAATATAGAAAATTTAGTCCTATATAATTCTATTCCCTCCTCCATATTTTTGTGCTTCCTGTTAATATATATTACATTTCTATATAAGCTCAGCAGTACAATAATTTGCATTTTTATGCAATTCCTTTCTAAATCAGTTAAGAGAAGAAAGGAGGAGAAATATACAAATACGTTGTTTTTTATAATGGCTTATATAATTACCTTTAGTGGTGCTCTTTGTCTCTTCTGTGAATTTGAATTACTGTCCTGTGTGACTCACATTCAGCCTGAAGAACAATCTGTAGTATTTCTTGTAAGATGGACCTGATAACAACAAATTCTGTTTTTGTTTTTCTGGTAATGACTTTATTTTGTATTCATTTTGTCTTCAACTATTCTTTTGAAGAATAGTTTTGCTGTGTAATGATTCTTGGTTAACTTTTTTTTCTTTCAGCACTTTGAATATATCATCCCACTGCCTTTTATCCTCCATTGTTTCTGATGAGAATTCAGCTGCTAATCTTATCAGTATTCTCTTGTAGGTGATAAGTGGTCTTTCTGTTACTGCTTCCAAGATTTTCTCTCTCTTTAGCTTTCAAAATTTCAACTATGATGTGTCTGGATGTGGCTTTGTTTTTATCCTATATGAACCTTGTTGAGCTTCTTGGATATAAAGATTAATATTCTTTCTCAAATTTGGGGAGTATTTGGCTATTATTTCTTCATATATTTTTTGGCTTCTTTCTTCTTTCATTCAAGTATTCCCATTAAACTTAACATTGCTGTATTTAATGGTGTTCCATGTTTTTCTAAAGCTCTGCATATTTTTATTCATTCTCTTTTTCTCTTTTTTTCAGATGTGGTAATCTCTATTGATCTATCTTCAAATTTGCTGATACTTTCTTCTGCCAACTCAAATATATTTTTAAGTGCCCCAGTGATTTTTTCTTTTCATTTCTTAAACATTTCAAGTCCCAAATTTCCACTTAACTATTTTCATAACTTATATCTTTTTATTGGTATTACCTATTGGTAAGACATTTTCATGATGCCTTTAATTTTTTCAGCATAGTTTCCTTTAGTTCTTTGAACAAATATATAATAGCTACTTTGCTGTCTTTTTCTGGTAAGTCTCACATCCAGGTCCCCTGAAAGACAATTTCTATGATCTGCTTTGATGTCTCTTAAATTTCTGTTGAAAACCAGACATTTTAGATACTATATTTTAGACACTTTGAATACTGATTAATCCCCCACCCAAGGACTTCTTGTTGTTGCACTATATACTTGTTTACTTGTTTACCGCATTGGATGGGCTACTTCAGTGAAGTCCTTTTCCCCCAACAGTGTGTAGTCTCTAATACTACTTCTTGAAGGTGAAACCTTAGGCATGTGCACAGTGTCCTGATTCTCCCTATCGAACCCCCTAGGATGACAGTGATTTTAGCAGAGCTCCTTTTAACTGTCTCTATTGCTTATCTCCCTGTTACATTTCTGGCTGGACTGCCCGATTGGTTTCACCTCCAGCTGTTAGCCTCCACTAGTTGCTACCTGATTGCTCTATTATTTTCAACGGTGCCTTTAGGCATAAATTGCTCCACAGTCTGATCCAATTAAATTTGGGTTTGGGGGTTCTTTTGGCAGGGATTTTCTTTGAGGCCAGTTTTTGAGGCTTTCTTTGACCATAGGAAATGTCTCTTTCTTTGATTATGTCTGTTAAACTACAGTAAGTCCTCACTTAACATCATCAATAGATTCTTGGAAACTGTGACTTTAAGCAAAATATAACATATAACAAAACCTGTTTTTTTCTCATCAATGTTATAACAAAACAACATTGAAGGAAATGACGTTATTTGAGGACCTGCCTGATTTGCTTAAAGTCACAATTTCTAAGAACCTATCAACAGCATTACTGTGTTGATAGGAGAACTTACTGTGCTAGGTCGTCTAGCTGGCCTACTCTGTTTGTTTTGTTGCTATTATGGAGCTACTAACCTCCTCTTAAATGCTCGGAAATTGCTTTTATGCTTGGACCTCCTCATACTCCATTCCAAATAAAGTCAAAAGCTACAAATCTCTGTGTTCCTACAGCCTGCCCCTATCCCTGGGCAGAATATCTATACCACTGCTCTGGAGTTGTAAGTAGGAATAGCAGCCTAATTCTTTCTCCCAGAGTGACATCCCTGCTGTATGAGTAGGGTGCTGGGTGGAGATGGTAGTCACTGATCTTCTTGAATTGTCTCTCCTGTTATGAAACCTCCACCCTACATGTGAGCCAGGGATAGGGGCAATCAGGGCCTAGTATTCTCAACACAGGGTAAAGCTTCCACCCTGTAAGTAGGGGCAGCCCCAGACCACTCAACCATGCTCTGCAACACAGAGCTGGGAGACATGAGAAATCCTGGTGGCCTGGCCCTTCTGGGAGAGAAATATAGCCCTAGAGTGGAAGTTGTGGGAAAGCAGCACCCCGTCTTCTTGTCCATATCTGTCCAGAGGAGAGCTTCTGTTTTATTGAGCTGGAATTGGGGGAGGAAGGGCAATTATGGCTCAAATGTCCCAGACTCTTGTTATTACTAAAATTTAGTAGATTTTCTTGAATAAGTGTTTCTTCATTTTATGTATCTCATCAGGGCAATTTCCAGGGACTTTAGATGGGTGTTGTTTAATAATTTTTACCAGTTATGTTGTTTCACTGGGCAAAGGACCCACAGAGCTCCTCACACTGCCATTCCAGTTCTTCCCTAACCCCCTGTGATTTGCACTGCAAAAAAAGAGAGAATCATTTAGAGAACAGCTGGCTCTATTGATCAGTGCTCTGTTTACTTCACTTTGACCATATTTTCTGAATTAAAAATAAGGGTGTATGGTCTGGCAAGAGCTTTGTGCTGCTTCCAGGTACAGGAGTCAAAATGGGTGGTAAACTTGGGAAATACTAGAATTTATGATTCATTTACATGGTTTCTAGGGAAAATAGATCAGAATATTTAAAATTGGGTTGTCCCATATAACCTGAGAATATTAAATTGCTAAAAACTCTGGTTATCCTGAAAAGTTCAAAGGGACTATTGGCTGGTACAAAGTCTTCTTTGAAAGGAGGCAATTCTAAGTTATGTCTTCCCATCAACTACTTCAATTTGTGTTTGGTGCTTCTCCCAAGACAATTTATTTCTAATGAGAATTCAACATGGAGAAAACTGGGCTGTAAACAAATAATACCCAACAGCCAAGACTAAGTGTTGCCACATAAGAACCGTCCTCCAAGGCTGTAAACAGATTGTTTTGCTCCAACACTGGCTCAGTTACCACCTCAGCGTTCAGAATCTAGAGAGTTTTCTAGATCTGAGCAGATTTCTCAGCTAAAGCCTAACTGTATGTATGTGGCCAAAGGGAGTGTGGCCTGCCAAAGGTGGGGGAATGTATAGGGCTTTCTCTGAGACTTCATTCCCATATTTTCCTAAAATCAAACTTTGAAGTCTGCAAGGAAATCCAGTTTTGAAATGATACACAGCACCCACCCCCTCAACCATCAGAGCAACATACCCTCCCTGGAAATATGCATCTGCCTAATTGCTTGAGATTGTGTCCAAACTGAATATTCATAATCTTCATGTTGCCACAAAGGCTATATTTTTAAATGTTTCCATTCCATATTTAAAACTCATTTTCTCTCCCTAAAAAGATCTATGGATTTTATTGGATCCAGTGTTATTTGAGACATCTGGCTAGCTGGGGACTGCATGGACTAAGGTCTCCCAAGAGGGGAAAAGGGGGACAGAAATTACTGAAATCAGAGTTATTACAAAGCATAACATTTGCTATCATAAATAAATGTGTCTTATGCATATATGTGTAACCACTTGCCATGATCTAAATGTCTGTATCCCTTCCCCAAATCCATATGTTGAAATCCTAACCCCTAAGTTGATGGAATTAGGAGGTAGGGCCTTTGGGAGGTGATAAGGCCATGAGGGTGGACCCTCATGAATGGGATTACTGTTCTTATGAAAGGAACCTCAGAAAGCTGTTTTGTCTATTCTACCATGTGAAACACAAAGGTGCCATCTACGAGCAAGAAATTGGGCCCTCACCAAACACAGAATCCGCTATGCCTTAATTTTGGACTTCCCAGCCTCCAGAACTGTGAGGAAATAAGTGTCTGTTATTAATACACCACACAGTTTATGGTATTTTGTTATAGCAGCCCAAATAGACTAAGATACCACTTTTCAAAGATTGTGTTGGTTTGGTTAGTAAGTTAAAAATCCATTAAGAGCATTATTGAATGTCTTATTCTCCTTCATTGTGCATGGTCTCCATCAGTGGCACTGTGCTGACCACGCCATCCACACAGCTGGGTCTCAGTTTCAGAATCAGTGAAGTGAGGCAGGCTCACTATTCAGGTAGCCCATTCCTGATCCCACACTGCTGGAGAGTGGGGAAGGACAGGGTGGACAAGCGATCTACATCCAGCCCTAGACACCCAGGCAGCTTCTGGCAACACCAGTAAGAGGCAGCACCAGGATTTGAGGCAAGTCCAAGTGACTCCAGACCCCGCCTGGCACCAAGTCTGCATGGCGGAGAGAAGGGTGATGTGGATCAGAATGCAGCCTTAGCAACCAGAATGCAGAGCACCATTTCAGAGCTTTGAGAAGCTTCCTGGATTTTGCTCCTGTTTTCTCAAACTGGCAAAACCCAAAAGGCAAAGAGAAAGGGATAAGGAATTTGGGAAGCTTTTCTGCCCCAGGGAAGAATCAGCCTCAATGACAGTTTGGTATTAACTAGCTCAGCCATGCAGGGAGGCATAATTAGTTTCCCGGCCCATAGCTTCATTCCACTGGTCCCCCACACCCCAAAGGCTACACAATCTGTTTGAAATGAAAAGGAAAATAAAATCACTGCTCTCCTCGGTTGACCCACTGGCTATTGCTCCTGGCCGTGAGTCTGCGGAGGTAAAAAAAAAGAATGGAATAGTCCTTTTTAAATGACATTTTCAATTTTTCCCCTATGTCTACTATGCCCTCTTCCACGCTACTGCCTAAATGACTCTTCTCAAATTGAAAATATCAGAGAATAATAGGAAAAGAAAAATCATAGTTGTCTGAGGCTCCGGCTAATGGGCTGTGCTGTCCCGACAGGCAGAGTCTGAGGAGGAACTTTTACTGTGTCCGTTTCCTGTCTGGGGAAAGTGGAGAAGGGTCTGTGGTGCCAAACTCAGACCCACACTCATGGGTGGGTGATTCCCCAGGTGGCCAGCAGATAACTTGGAGTTCCAGGCTGCCCACCTTGACACCTGGGCCATCTCCTCAAGGGATTTCCACAGGCAAGCAAGAAACACCCTCTTCTGATCTCCGGGTTGCCCTCTCTCAGCTCCCTCTCCTCACTGCAGACCTTTCCCGACACCTGTCTCCTGAGTGCGAAACAGCAAGTCCTAACTTGCCAGGCCGCCAGTCACCGCCACCCTGAAGACACAGGTGGTGGAGTCCATTCTGAGGTTCTCACAGACCTCGGGGTGAACAGGAGGCCCTCTGTTTCTGCTTCAGAGGGAAAGCCAGAGGCCAACTTCCCTTTACCTCTGGGGTCCCAAGCACTCTGTTTCCTTTCTTGAAAATGAAGCTATGCTTTCTCCTTTCTAGTGACTCTTCAGGTGTCAATTAAAATGACTTCAATGCTGTCTCTCCTCTTGAAGCAGAAATGCCCTGCTTACCTGCATCTTTTCTGGCATTATTCTCTGCTTTTCGTGCAGTTTACTTTTTACCTTCTGCACCCACTAGATTGTTTTAGTTTGAAAGTGACCACAAGTGACAGCTTTATTAAAATGAAGATGTCGAGGGTCCCTTGAAGGCTTCAGGCTTCTCTCACCAGCTGATCCCTGGGAGAGCTCAGTGTGGAAAGCACACTGCACACACGCTCATGCGCACACACACACACCACTGAGCTTCAGCTTCCCTTTGATTAAATCTTGACACAGTAATGTCAGCTGTGAGGGGCTATGAGAGAGACCCCAGAAGCATGAGCGTTCCTGTCCCTGACCCAAAAGCATAGCATAGAACAGCCTCTCAGAAGCCATCCCCAAAGCCAGAATGAAAACCAGCTCTTCTGTCCCTGGGCTTCCCTTCCAGGCAGTCTTAAAGCCAGAGGTCTGGATGTGAATCCTAGCACCACCTCTTACTGAGAGGTTTTAGGCAGCTGGTTTATTTATTCATGTGTTTACTCAGCAAACTCCTACCTAGCCCCTACTGTATACCTGGCACTGTGTGACAAACTGGAAAACAGGAAAAACCGGACCCAGTCTCCACCTTTAAGTAACCCACAGTCTAATGAGAAAAGCAGACTAATAATTACAGGACAGTATGATTTTCTCATCTGTAAAATGGGGCTAATTATCTCACAGCCTTATTTTAAGGATTAAATAATATGAAGTGGATTAAACAGTGCTAAACATCTGGTACATGGCTGATAAATGTGAATTTTCTCTCTTTTTTCCTCTCCTTGACATAAAATATCTGCCCCTCCTCTATCCGAATCATCACTCTGGTTTGAGGGGCTGAGAAGAAGCTCTGTTCCCAGATACGGAGGCAGCATCACTAGGAGCTGTTGGACCCGAAGTCAGGCTCTGGTCAGCAGGCCAGGGAGAGGAGATCCCATCCAAGGGAGACCCTGAAAAGCTGCCCACCTCTTTGTCCCATAAGCACCTGGTTTCATCTGAGGACAAACAAGTAAGGATTTTCCTTCCTGGTGCACACGTTTCTCCTGAAGTTGAGGGAAGTAACTGGATGTAGAGGAAAATTGTCTAGACTTCAAATCAGGATCCCTAGACCCTATCCAGGGCCTCCAGGACCCAGTAGAGGCTCCTCAGGGTAGTCCTCAAGTTGCATTGGGTCTTGGATCCTTCAGCAAACAGTTTGAGGGTGAGGATGCTGATGTTATTTGCAACTCTAACATGGTCTGATTTTAACTAGAGAGCCTTCAGACAAGAGCCTTCACCAGTGGGATATGATGTGAGAACTGCAAAAGTAGGAAGGTTTACCCTTCTTTGTTGATATGTGAGGAAAGAGAAAGCAACTGCACTGAGCTGCGCAACACAATACTAGAAGTTTCCACTATTGACCAGAGTGAAAGAAGACATTTAATTTTCTGTTTACAAAAATCAATGCATACTTTCTGTGCTTCTAAAGTAATTACAAACTCGAAAATACTTATGCCTATTTTGCTAAAAACAGCTGGCTCTTGTTGAAAAATAAGCAAAACTCACAATTGCTCCATTTTGGTAAATGAAATAATTATTTTTATTGTTTCATTAAAGACGAGTATCTTAACAAGTGACCAAAATAACCCCTGTTAATCAAGAAATGGTTTATTGCCTGGGAAGTTTCAGAATGATTTGCTACAATTCTCTCTAGTAAAGAAGCAAAACCATCCCTCAGTTTTCTGCTATCATTAGAAAGAAATCTTTTTTAAAAACACTTTAAATAGATAAGTGCTATAAAAAAGTATGGAATGTACCTTCCCAGTGTGAACTACATCTATCTCTGAATTGTAAAGAATGTATATCAAAATTATATCATGCAACAAAATGCACATTTTGTAGAGGGGGAAGAAAGAAAAGATTAAATTGAATCTTCCTGACAATTGTCTTAAATCACACCTTCCTGCCTGCAATTGAAATTATAAGTCACATTGCTCTGAGTTAAATCAAATTCATCCTGGCAGGAAGATAGGCTGATGTGGCTTCAATTTGGTTTGAAAGTTGAGTTAGAAGAGAGGGAAAAATCTGTCCTCAAGAAGACACTCTCCACCAAGGAGCTAGGAAATGAGACTAACCCACCAGGTAACCAGACACCCTGCATGACTCTTCCACCAGCCAAGGTTTCAACCAACATAGCACATTCCTGGCATTGTCTGCTGCCCACTGCAATGCCAAGTTTCTACAAAAGATTTTACAAAACAAATCTGTAAAGGTTTTACAAAACAAATATTTCTCCACAAACAAGGGCAGGTCCCCAGTCTGGAGGGCTCAGAACTTCAGAGCAGCGGTCAGTGACACCAAGATGCCCTGGAGCAGAACTTCCAACATGTCTCAGCTGAGATGTGACCAGCATTAGTCTGGGCTCCCCTGGAGCCTAACTTATGACCATCTGAGGCTTGACTTACGTGGGAAAGTCCCAACTAATTGCAATGAAATGGGGCTAAATCTGATATACTAGGTGTTACAACCAGAAAATATATTCCTGACCGTATTTTCTATGTGAGCTTCAACAAGGATGAAGGAAAGAGGGAATGAAGGAAGACTGAAAAAGGGAACTTGTTGTCCCCGGTAGCTCCTACCTGATACACAGGGTGGGGGTGCTCGCCTGTCTTTTTTGTTTTTTGGTTTTTTTTTGAGACAGAGTCTTGCTCTGTCACCCAGGCTTGAGTACAATGGTGCAATCTCGGCTCACTGCAACCTCCGCCTCCCAGGTTCAAGCAATTCTCCTGCCTCAGTCTCCTGAGTAGCCAGGATTACAGGCACCTGCCACCAGGCCCAGCTAATTTTTGTATTTTTTTTAGTAGAGACAGGATTTCATCATGTTGGTCAGGTTGGTCTCAAACTCCTGACCTCATGATCCACCCGTCTCGGCCTCCCAAAGTACTGGGATTACAGGCGTGAGCCACAGCACCTGGCCGATTGTCTTCATTTCTATGCTTGGGGAAACTGAGGCCCTGCAAGTGAAGAGACTTGCCCAAGGTCACCCAAACTGTAAATAGCAGCACTGATTCTCATGACTGCCTGCACACTCTCTTCCACCACACTCACTGAGACGCTCAGGCTTCCCTCTTGAAGGTAATTTTTGGTTTTATTTCATAACTAAACTTGCCCTCTCCAAATCTTTCTTACTCCACTCCCTTAAATCCTCCTCATTCTTCAAAGATGTGTCATTAGTCCCTATTCCTCCATGAAGTCTATTCTGACAATTCGCTCTTCTGGAATTCAATTTTAACCCTCATTACATGAGTTAGCTTGCAAAAGATCCTTAACTGTTTCTTGTTTTGTCTTCTCAGCCCAATTATGAGCTCTTCAAAGAAAAGGAGCATGTCACATGTTTTCTATCATTTTCCACCATACCTGGCACAATGCCAAGCCCAAGAGAAGTACCCAGGAAGCAGCCACAGAACAGCCTGCACTGATGCCTCTCTGCTCACCCCCTCTGGTAGCTCCCCAGTCCTTCCAGAGCATTCCATCTGCAGTGGCCTTTGAGGCTGCACAACCAGCTTCCCAACCCGCCCCTCTCTGGCTTCTTCCCCTACCCCCTTTTCCCACCATCACCCTGCTCTAGCCGCACTGGCCACTGTTTCTCAAACACTTCAGGCACACTCCTGCCACAGGGGCTTTGCACTGGCTGTTCCCTCCGCCTGGCACTCTCTTCCTCTAAGATACACAAGGCGCACACCTCACCTTCCTCAAGTCTTTGCTTATAGCAGAGCCCCTGACCACCTCCTCATGTAATTGCAGTCCCTCGTATTTTTGCTCTGATTCCACTGATACATCCCCAGCACAGGTGCTCAATAAACGCTTGTTCAGTGAAGGAGGGGAAGAATCTGAGCACATACCAAAAGAAGGCAGCGGTACACCCCAGGTCACTGTCAAACTTCCAGCCAACACTGAGGAGAGTGGGAACTTGGAAGCACATCTGCAATTTCTCCCAACTCCTTATGGTGGTTTTATTTCCTCCCATTCCCACACCACAATAAACAATGCCAGCCTTGGTGTCCACCTCCTATAACTGCCCAATAGCTAGGGGCCCACCATTTCATACGTTTAACTCCAAATATTCCATTCCCTCAATTAAATGGGAAGTTCCTGGAAGGGCTGGCCATGTCTGCTATTGACTTTGTGTAGACCAGTCCCCCTTTTATGGTCCCCTACCCCACCCCATGCCCTGAGCCTAGAGGACCCCCAAAATAAAGCTGTGGCCTGAGTGAGTGGAGGAGATGATCTTGTTGATGCTAAGCCTGCTCCTGGGGGAAAAAATGATGCAGCTGGCTGCAAAATGCCATACCTAGAGTTTCTCTCAGTCTTCCAGAGAGCTGAGCCCAGGTCAGCTCCTGGCATAGTCTTCCTGCCTCTCCAGGAAAGGAGGCTGCCAAAATAATCACTTGGTAACCCACCTCAGGGCTTCACAACTCTCAAAAAGTTTTCTTCCAGTCTCAACGTTTCTGCTAAAAGAAAGGATTGAGCCTATTTTCTCTTGATCAACATTACTGGAGCAGAAAAACAAGAGGGCCCTTAGCCCCTTGCTAAGGAGCTTAACAGTGGTAATGGGCTTTTATCTGTTACTAGCAGCTGAACCTGGGATAAGCTCATTACAGTCACTAAGCCTCAATTTCTTCATCTGTGAAATGGGGATAATAACACCATCCCACAGGCCTGCTTATGCGGTTAAGGTGAGGTGACAGGTGTAAAGTATTTAGCACATCACAGGTGCTCAGCAAACATTAATTCTCTTCCTCTTCCCATTTCTTCTCCAGATGAATTCAGACCTATTTTTCTATAGTCCTTCCTCACTGGTTTTTTTTCCCATTCTTGATTGATTGATCTCTTCTATGCACTTTCCATTGGATTCTTCTTCTAATATAAATCCCCAGGTTCTCATAAAATAAAATAAAAGGCCTGGCCCAGTTATCGAGTTGGACATTCTATGTCATAATTCCCACGTTATACCTTCCTCCATTTACTCTTAGAAACTAATGCAAATCAGAGGATCCATTTATTATTAAAAATGAGATTTAGAAGTGGAAGAAACCAAAATGTTAAAAGACTCACTTCTCCAAGCCCATGAACTGACAGGTCTGAAGCCTTCTCAAGACCCTCCCTTCCTCTGCAGCTCCTTCTCTCCCATCAGGGAAATATGATGATTAATTAGACAAAGCCTGTCCCGCTTGTTGAAATCCTTTGAGGCATGAACCATATAAACACAAAGCATTATAACTGCAATAGAGAAACCAGAAAACCCCTCTGCCTTGGGATGCTAACCAAGGCACAGCTAAATAAATCTGTAATGGAAGATCAAAAAGGATCTTCCACTTGGATAATAGAAAATGTCACCAGCATAAACAGAAAGAGAGATTAGTTCAATAAAGGAATAAAGTTACATTTGTGGGTCTCAAGTAAGATTTTTGCTTACTTTTAACTTCCCAGCATATAACTCACAAGGTTATTAATATGGACTCCTACTGTTTTGGGCAAATAAACAGCTGCTGATGTTTTGTGCCCAAACCACTTTATTAGAGCTTTCCTTTACAGCAATTGTTTCTTCCTTTCCAAATCCTGAGAGGCTCAGACAGTTGAAAACCAGAGAATGCCAAAGCGGAAGGAATAACAAAAAAGAGAGGAGGCAGCCTGTGTGGGCAAGGAAAATGGGGAAGGGGCTGTGGACCCTCACCTTCTTCTTTGTAACCTTCAAGCAAGTCAGCGTTCAAGAGCAGAGAGCAAAGACCGGATGCGGCACCATCAGAAAGGCTATTTTTACCCCGTTGCTAGGAGTTATCATGGAACAGAGAATTCACCACTGTGAGAAGCCTCAGATGACCAACCATCCAGGCTTGCCCAGGGAATTGGGTGCTTCCCTGGACCTGGGACTTTCAGTTTTAAAACAGGGAAAGTGTAAGGCACATCAGGATAAGCTGGTCACCCTGAAAGACACGTGACTATGCCAGGGCACAGGAAAGCACTCAGCCCGGTGCCTGGGACATTTTGGGTGCTCAGAAGTCACAATGAATCTGAAAGAGCTCTAGTCTGCAGCTGGAACACTCCGCTTTTTTGACAAGGACCAGTTCCTGGAGGCCCCACAGTGACCTAGGAGAAAAGGCTGTCCACAGCTTTGTGGTGGCTGCTCCCTCACCCTTCCAGACCAGGGCCTTCTACTGCTGCCCACCCTACCCTCCAGGTTCCTTGTAGACACAAATGTAAACCAAGCCCCTGCCTGGCCTCCCATTTGACCTGAGGCCTCTGAGCTTACACTCAAACACCATGTTTGATAAGATGATCTCCCATTCCTCTCTACGAGAAACATTCATCCTCCTTCCTATTCTGTAGAGAGCATTGGTTTTGTAGCCAGTTTCCCTTCTTGGCTCTACCACCCATCAGCCCTGTGACCTACCTTGAACAAACTCTAAGTCTTCATTTTCTTACCTCTAAAAAGGTAAGAAAAAAGGTAATCTTACCATGTTGTGAAGATGAAAAGGAATCACTAATTTTAAAAATTACAATTTTATTTGTTCATTGAAATAAATAAATAAGTAATCATGCCTGGGCAGCACCTGGGCCAGTCCCTGACCTGCTAGCATACTGTAGCTCTCTTCCTCCATTCCCTTGATACAATCAATCTTTAATTCTCTATATGCCTGTTGCTCTTAAAATAAATCAAGGGTTTAGCTAGGATTCTCATTTGTCGCTTCAAATCTCTCCTTAGCTTTCTAACTCTCATATCCATTGGCCTAAGCAATTTTGGTACTGTTCTCCTAAATCCCCAGATGCCGCTAGCACAACATTTATTAAGCCAAGCTTCGAATCCTGTCTTGCCAGAGTCCCTGAATTACCTTCCTGCTCCTCTGGGATCTCAATGGCCTTTAACTCCAAGTTCCCAGGGGACAGAGATGGATGCACAAGTCAGACTGGCGAAGCCCAACAAAGCACCAGAGCTTGTTAAGATGCAGCACTCAACAATCTTAATCAGGGAACTCTGCTCTGAGACTTAAACTCAGTGCATTTGTAGAATGAACCTATTCACGCTAAAGAACTGGCCACAAGCCTCCTTGTAGGCATCATTTTTCATTGTTCTCACCTGTCCCAAGGTGAAGAGTGCAGATGCCACTTCTCTGGATCTTCCCAAACACTGTATTTCTGTGAGCTCTTAAAGGATGGTGGCAATGGAAAGTAGCCCAGCAAAGTATGCCTGTTGGTTCTAAAACCATTTTAGCAGTGGCTCCATAAGGGAAGCCACTGAATGTTTATGGTGGCTGGACACTCAGGGGTTTCCACTAGCATCATTAAGGACAGCTTCATCTCCCAAAAATAAACCTTCCAAAAACTGAAATTGAATGTCAGGCAGTGAAAGAGAACTACATCTCAGTACTGCATCCCCACTGGGACGAACTGTCTAGCAACATATTTTAATCCATAATCGTGTAGTCAGAAAAACCACCAAAGCTTAAGTGTTCATATAACAAGGAATCCTCTTGCTTAAAGTTCCAGTTGGCTGCACTGGAACTACAGGGGATCTATAAAAGGTATACAGATCCACAGAGAAGATTCCAGAACAGCAGTCATTCCCAATCACTGCCACAACATACTGTGCTGTGGAGCAGTTGTGAGGTAATTAGTGAGTAACAATAATTTAAGTACCAAAGCTTATGAATGATTAGCTTTAACTCTAATAAATTAAAGGGATTTCAAGGTTGTTACATTCCCTTGCATACTAATATGCCTTCTCAAGTAGGAAAATAAAGGGTGGAGTAAGAATGAATGCAATGTGTTAGGAGGTGCATCCTCCTAGCCCTGCCCTAGGGCACATGCCTTGTATGTAGGCCTATGTGTGAGGAAGGGGGAAACATCAAGGACCCCTGGGCTCAAGCATTGCATTACAGATGGAGCTGACTCTAACCCCAAAGGCAAGTGAGATTCAATAACAATTGTAGGAGCCATGAAATGACCACATCCCTGCCAAATCCAAGGCAGAAGCTCCACCCTTCAAGAGACATTCCAGGCCAGCATAAACAGCATGGTCCACCATTCATTGATGGTGGCTTAGCCACCAGTGGACCTCAGTCACTCTGCCTCTTGCTCCTGACTTGAGTGTCATCCAACTTGTATGGCTTCTGCCCTTCCGCTTCATGCATAATTCCATCTCTCCCCAAAGCCCACCATGCTGCCTTCTGGTTACATTTATCACTCACATTCAGCCGGGTTTTCCCTCCAGGAACTTTCTGTGTAACATCACCTCCAGCTGTACTGCTTGGCAATGTGCTTCTCCACAGGGCAGCCTGTCTGTCCCCATCTCCCAGATAGAACCCAGCTAACAAAAAGCCAAGCTTGGCTTTCTGCCACAAACCAAAGGAGACCCTCAAGACCCAAATCAAGACAATAGCTTTGTATTAGTCCATTTTGCATTGCTATAAAGGAGTACCTGAGGCTTGGTAATTTATAAAATTATAAATTTATAATTTGGCTCATAGTTCTGCAAGCTGTTCGAAGTCCAGCATCTGCTAGGCTCCTGGGGAGACTCCAGGAAGCTTACAATCACAGCAGAAGGTAACAGGGAAGCAGGTATGTCACATAGTGAGAGAGGGGTGAGAGAGAGAGGCAAGAGAGTGAGGAGAAGAAGAAGAAGAGGAGGAGGAGGAGGAGGAGGAGGAGGAGGAGGGAGGAGGAGCAGCAAGGCTCTTTAAACAACCAGCTCTTGAATGAACAAATACAGCAAGAACTCATTCATTACCAGGAAGACAGCACCAAGCCATTCATACAAACACCTCCCACTAGGCCCCACCTCAAACACTGGGGACCACATTTCAACATGAGATTTGGAGGGTACAAACATTCAAGCATATCAAGCACATTCAGCTATTCAAGTGAAGTGAGGTCAGAAATCCTATACGATGGTAATGAAGACGCTCCAGTAACCCTGTTTGTGACTCTGAATCCCATAAATACCTTTGGGAAAACATAGGCCAGCCTAACCCAAGTGACTAAAGCTGAACTTCAAGGCCCTCATAAATGACAAAACCAGACGTGGCTCTCTGACACTTTTCATTCTGAATTCTCCTTGAGATTCTCCACCAACCTACTTATCAAGGGAAAATAACAATTTATGTCAAGTGAGTGGGAAAGAATGTGGAATTCATTTATTTTACAGCCTACACACTTCTGGCTAAAAATGAAGATTCTTTGGTCACGGGGAAAAGTTGTGTCCTTTGGCAAGGCTTTTCTTCTTCATAAAGCTGTGGTTCTGAACTAGTAACAAAGGTAATTAGGCTCAACTCCTAAGTCCTGCTATTGAACTCTCTCAAAATGTCAATCACTGTTACTAATATAATTTCACATGCAACAGTTCATTCCAGAGGACAAATAGCTTTACTATTTAAATGACACTCTTTCCTCAAATAAACTCCATGCACTCAGCAAACATCATATCCTCTTCTTCACAAACGCTGCCAAGTCAAAGCTCAGATGAGAAGAACACGAGCCAATTCTAAGTAACATCCATAAGCTATAGGAGACAGAAAAACATCCAAGCTCAGGACATCTGCTGATTCTTAGCAACCATAAATGATTTGTAGTCATGGCGAACAACCTGCTGTTACTGACCTGGTATACATTAATATGCACATAATATGACTAACAAACTTTCAGGAAACAAAATGCAGTTAATAACCCATTTCTCCATTGTTGGGATGATCTTGACTCAATGAAGTAAGATAACGGATTTAGAAATTAGTCACATAATGTAATACATTATTAATCATGGTATTCAGAAGGGTAAATAGATGTTACAAGAACACCACCCAGAAATTCAATTTCCTTTTAGATTTATTTACTCTCCTGAATTTGTTTATACCACCATCATCCCTCACAAAAATGTAACAGTCTGATCTTTCCTCTTTTCCTGAAACAGTTATTTTCAACTTTTTTTTTAAAGAAGTACAACTTTTTATAAAATGAAATATTTTATAGAATGCCAAATAGAAAACAGAAGACAGTGGAGTTTTGTTGTTTGCAGGGAGGGGAGGGAGCACCTACAGGCAGAGTCTGGGAGACCCCACTTAACCCTTTTAATTCTCAGGCCCCAGATCAAACCTTCTACAAGTTTAGGTCTCCTGGGTACACAGTTTGAAAACCACTGCCCTAAGGCATCTATGTAAAATTAAAATTATGTATGTAACATATAATACAGGCAAAATATTTATGTATCAAAAAAATTTGTAAAATACACAAATCACAAACACTGAGTCTTTTTTTCTTCTTCTTCTTCTTCTTTTTTTCTTTGTAGAGATGGGGGTCTCACCATGTTGTCCAGGTTGGTCTTGAACTCCTGGGCTCAAGTGATCCTCCCACCTTGGCCTCCTAAAGTGCTGGGATTATAGGTATAAGCCACCACGCCTGGCCAAACACTGATAGTCTTAGAGAACAATAAGCAAGGACACAAATAGTCCCACAAGATAAAACAAATACCAGGGGTGGGGGAGGATATTAAGTTCTAGAGTAATCAAAGGAGTACAAATCAAAAGAATAGAGCATTTGACAGGGATTACATTTACTCGGAAAAATTTGAATGATAACACCCAATGCTGGCCAGGCTCCATGACTTTGGTACAATAAGACACTGTTGGTGGCTGTAAAGAAAGCCTTTCCTTCTGAAAAAACAATCTTTCATAAAAATGTTCAGACTCTTTGAGTCAGTACTAATCCCACTTCTGGAAAGACATCCTTAAACATAATTCAAAAAACAGTGAGGTGAAGATGTTCATTTCTGCTCTAATTATAATAGCAAAACAAATGTCCAATAATAGGAAAGTGGTTGAATCAATAATAGTATACTGATGACAGAATACTATGCAGTCATTAAAAATACAGTAAAAGTTCTCTTTAGAAACTCTCCATTTAATCAATTCTCCAGATTAACTATGCTTGCCATTCCCTCTGTAACAAACCCTATTTGTCTCTAGTACCACTGCCCACAGCTCCTGCAAATAGTTGAGTTTTACACTTACCAGTGGTCCACTGGGTTTGTTCTCAAACGTGTTTACACTATTTGTACTTGTCACTGTAACGGCATAACCTAATCACGTATTATATAAACCAATGAAATATGACGGCTAAAAAGATGAGTGTTGTTTCTAAGAAAATTACTTTAAGTTCTAAGTGCTTTGCAAAGGTTTTATAAACGGTAGTCAGTTAAAGAATAGCAATCAAATTACATGTGAGCAAAATCATTGCAAAAGATCAGACAAAAATCGTAACAATTTAGGCTACTACACTGAGACTGCTTCATAAGCACCTTTAAGTTTCCAATGAATTTTAAAGAAAACAGAACTATGGGATATTATGGGAGTGGTTTGTGCAAGGAAGATGAACAGGACGCCAATTGGCAGATGCATCCCAAAGACAGAACTTTGGCCTGATATCAAAAGTCTAGCAAATGAATGTACATTTTGGAAAACATTAAAATAAAAATATTTAATTGTATGTATGTAATACTTTGTTGTACTCTCCTCTTTAACCAATTTTTCTATTAACTAACTCAAGCCCTGACCACGTTGACTAAAAGGGATTCTTTGTCCTTTGAAAACAAGTCCGCTATGACAAGGACCAAGAGTGCCCATACTCCTGTAGAGTGTCTCTAGTATACAGTTCACCACTGTAATCACTTTCTCAGTGCAGTGTCTGGCACACATTAGGTCTCCAACAGATAAATGTTAAACCAATAAACTATGTAGCAAATATGGAAAAAATAGTGCTTCGTTAACAAAAAGAAAGTGAACAAAGCAGAATATAAAATTACATGTAAATCATGACTACACCTTCATTTTGAAATATGGAGGCAAATGAACAAATCCAGAAGGAAATGCTCAAAATGCAAACTGATTTTTAGGGTAGAATGAATTATGGGCAATTTTATGCATTTTTAAATATTTTCTTAAACATTGGCACATTCTTTTCCATATTCAGAAAGCTACTAAGAAAAGAAGAAAGCTATCTTTATTTTTACTGAATTTCCAAAATAAGAACTGAATCAACATTTCCATTTCCTGCACTCTCCAACACTGAGAACTCCTTTAGCAGATTCTTGCTTCATCCGCCTCACCGTGTCAAGCCATCAGATCTTTCTACTCCTAAGATGGAGAGAACCTGACCCTTACTAACATTTACTTTGTGTTTCTAAACCCCCAGGATGCTTTTTTTAAAAACTCATAAGTTATCCACCCTCTCATTTAACGTCTATTTGGTCAAAAAACTTCCCAAAACTGCAATTTACATTCCCAAGAGATTCCCAAACACCATCTAATTAAATCATTCAATCAGAAAACAAATTAAAATGAAATATCACTGCAACTCCCAAGACGAAAATAAACTTTTCAGTCATGACTAGAACAGACCTCTGGGGTGATGCTCCAAAGCCTCTTCTAATTGCAAGTCCTATGGAACATCCTGCAGAACATTTTGTGACATTTGCAGCTTCAAGGAGACTTTCCTTCTAACAAAAAGAGGAGCCTGGACAAGACTCCAAAGCAAAACACCTTTTTTGGAGAGTGGTAACACTTTCATTAATAACCAACGTGGCCATAGGCATCAGCACTCATCCATTCATCCACGCTTCCACCCCACAGCTACTTTCTGCAGAATGTGCCAGGGACTGTCCTGCATGTTCAGTAAACATTAGTTAAAGGACTGGAACCTCTGCCTCTTGGCATGAAACAAAGCAAAACCTGAGTTTATCTATGGAGTTTCCAAGTGGGAAGGCTGCTGACTCCCTCACCCCTCAGCCATCCTCTGACACCCACTTCCACCACTGTCAACAGACTCCAAGGGACCCTGGGGCCCTCCTGGGAGACAGTTTAGTACGTGGGTAAGAACTTAGACTTCTGAAGCCACACTAGCTGAGCTTACATCCCTATACTATCATATACCAGTGTGTGACCCTGGACAAATCATATACCCTCTCCCTGCCTCAGTTTCCATATCTGTAAAATGGAGCAAATATTACCTACTTCATAAGGTTGTGAAGATTAAATAAGTCAATATATGTAAAGTGTTTAGAATAGGGCCTGACATATCCTAGGTGCTATGTTATTTTAGCTCTTATTATTATTACCGCTTATTCCCTCCAGTTCAGCAAAGTAAACTGGATTGTTCAAAGGGCTATGCTGACTAGAGGGAACTTGACAGTGGGTTACACATAAACAGCTTGTACCATCAAGCACAAGAGCTTGATCTTATTGTCCTTTACCACCCTCTGCCTTCAGAGAGCTGCACTTGACCAGCCCCAAATTTTATAGGCCCTTTACCTCTGTTTCCTAAATCCCAGCTCAGGATGGCCCCAGCATGGCAAAGGGAACTGTTGGTCATTGCTACACCATCATGGCACAGCCAACCTGGTAACCTCTGCCCCTGCCTGCCTCATTTCCAGTCTTTCCAAGTCACTGACCCTTCCCTACCTTCCTATAGGTGGCAGCTTTGGCCCTCTGTCGAGATTGTGGTTATTTCTGAATACCCACAGGGGTCATTGCACGTGTACAAGTGGAACAACACGTGTTTTAGGGACCCTGTCTCCTATTTTTTTAACCTATCTTCTCCAATTTTTCAGGTATAGATTTGAAAGTGCTGAACAACACATAGTTATAAAGTTTCCGGGGAGAAAAATCACAATGCTTCCTTTCAACTTCAACATCATGCTTTTCCATGTGGAACCTTAGAAATCATGTGACATGGTCCACATTCCACATGACTGGCACCCACTCCGTTACAGGCTCAGGGGTTAATGGCATCCCCTGAAAGCATCCCCAAAGCAGTACCTTGCTCACCTCCTGCCTGACCAGAAAGAAAAGCACAAGAGAATCATTTTCCAGGAACACACACACACACAGAATCTGTGAATGAAAATCTCAAAATCTGTCGGCAAACTAGAAATGTCAAAGTAAGGCATGGCTTTGTGTCTCCTGGGGAACATTCTGAATCACCCTGGGGGAAACACTGTACTTCTATTGCTGATTAATAGTCAATCAAGACCTATGGGATGGAAAAGGACACGTAAGAAATAACAGCAACTGGCACCCACAGATAGGTAAATTGGTTTTCAAGCCCAGTGCCAGGTTGAGAGGCAGAGGCAGGTCTGAAGAAGAAGCTGTCAATGTCCCTCTTTTCTGGGAAGGTGCCGAAGCCATGGGCTTGTTTTGAAGTCATTAGTCAGGAAGCACTATGGATGTGGATGCCTCTCCTGCACTCACCTGAACCTCCCTGAACCTTCCCCTCCTGGAAAGGAACTATTCTGGACACCTGGGGAAACACCAAATTCAGACGGAGGAGCCATCTCTACTCTGGCAAGAGCAGCAGGTGCAAGGATTGGAATTCAGACATCCACGTGTAAACAAAAGGGAGTGCTCCTGGCGGGGGGGTGGGGGGTAAGCCTTCAGTTCAATTCGATTTTGCCAAGGTCTGCCATGCACTGGCCCCTGAGCCTGGTGGGCCTGCTAGGTTTACAGGGGAACCAAGCTCGGCCCTGCCCTTAAGAAGCTCACACACCTGGAAGAAAGCAGGGGGCGCGGGGAGGGGAGGAAGTGTGGACGTGAGCGCGCGCGCGCGCGCGTGTGTGTGTGTGTGTGCACACCCGGCACCAGTGCTCCTGGCGCCCGGAACTCCATTCCCTCCCATGACAGCTCATTGACCAGGTCGCCTCGGGAGAGCGCCCTGCAACCCCCACCCTCCCTTTGGACCCCCGCGCTGGTCTGGAGCGCACCCAACCAGCGTAACCTTACACTTCAGACCCAACCCAGGTCTGCTCAGCCCCGGCTGCTCCCAGGGCCTGAGAGTGGAGCTACAGTAGGGATCGGCCTTCACCCGGTCCCGGGCGGCTCCGCGGGGAAGGCGCAGCCCAGGGCGTGTTCTTCCAGTCTTGGGCGGAGTCATCACCACAGTGGACAGAGACTCCAGCGCTACTTCCCGGCGTTGACACCTGCTCCTGGAGAGGGTCCTGGACCCGCGGGCTGTGGTGGGGGTAGGGACTGCTATAGGTTCAAGCGGCTTTTCAACCACAGAGGGCTCCTTGCATTCCCTATCGCCTACCAACGGGATCACAGCAAGACTGGGGCTGGGGCTGATACAACGCAATTTTCCTAGCCTCGCTTGTCCGGCAGCCTGCGGGTCTTAACTGCCAATAGTCAGGGCCGCCGCGCGGGCATCTCGCCTGACGCCTACAGTGGCCAAAAAAGCTCGTTTGCCCGCGCGTTCCCTCTTGTACACACACAGACATTCACATGCACACACACTCTGAGCCGGACTTGTGTGCGATCCCGAGAGCCCGCGAGCAACCAGCCCAGAGTCACACGCACATTTGGACACGTGCGCAGCGCGCCCCCATACCGCCAGCTAGCTGCACACATCCGCTCGTGCAGCCCTGCGCACACACGTGTGCCCCGGGGAAGAGCGCACGGCCGCAGACAGAAGGTCCCGAACGCAGGCAGGAGCTCACACGCAGGCCCCACGACTACCACGCATCTGCGGCCCCAGAGCCCCGCCGTGGCTGAGTTGATGCGCACCAGCCCCAGCGCACCCCGCGCCGCGCGGGGCACTCCCGGGCCTCATGGGCGACCCAAGTTTCCGGGGCGCCCGTACCTTGAATGTGCTGCTTGATGACATTCTCCAGGTGGTCCAGCCGCTCAATAATCTTCAGAGTGTCCCCTTTGTCTTCCTCCAGCTTCTTGTCGGGCGCCGGCTCCTGCCCCCGCACATACACGCTGGCGATGTAGTTGGTGACCCAGCCCACGTAGAGCAGGCAGATGATGTTAGTCATGCCGCTCAGGATCACGCAAGTGGACACCAAAGTTTTGGTCTTCCTGGTGCACACCATTCTGGGCTCCTTCCTCCATATAGAGCTCCCGGGGGCCCTTCCTTGTCGTGCGCCCCGAACTCCCCCGCGCTCGCACCCCGTAGCACGTCCGGAGCCGCTGGGCACCTCAGCACCTGAGTCCCGAGGTTCTCCAAAGCCCGGTCCGCTGCCGGTGTAGCCGCCGTGCCCAAGTTTGCAGCTCCTGCCGCTGGCCACCCGGAGAGACCTTGACAAAGGAAACCAGGTGGATTTTTTTCCAAATTAAAAATCCCTGAACCCTTCCTAGAGGGGTCACGGGTAGCCGGCAGCCGCGCGTCCAGATGTGTACGTCTGGGAAACTTTGCCACTGCCTGTGTCGGCGGCCACGCCGCTTCCCATCGCCAGCGCCGGCTGCCTTGGCGGTCCGACCGGCCCGCGCTGCTAGGAGAACAGCGGCAGCGGCAGCGGCGGCGGGGAGAGCCGCGAAGCAGAGCGGCCCGGCCCCCTCCGAGCGACAAGCGCTGCCACCAATCGCGCTCCGGCTCGGGAGAGGGGCCGGTGCTGAGCGGCAGCGGACCAACGGGGAGGGAGCGGGGGGCGGAGTCCAGCTCCCAGGCCCCACCTGCTGGCCGCCCCTGGCTCCCGCCCCCAGGGACGCGCCCGGGCCTCCACCCGCGCCTGCACAGGCTGCCCCAGACCTGAAGCTCCCGGAGAGGGCGCGCTGCCAGTCCCAGCCCTTAGGTCGGCAGCTTCCTCCGTTAGGGGAATTCCATCTCTTGCTCTTGGGCAGGAATCTCCTGGTTTTGTGGAGGGGGTGGGGGGTTCGCACGGGTCAGCTTCTTTCATCCGCCCGGGGCTTCTCGCATTGGTGCCACCAGTCGACTCCTGGAATCTTTTCTTGGTTGCCAGGACGCTGAGAAGCCAAGGAAGTGCCAGCCCCAGCGGCATCCACTCCTTCCTTGGCCTCACTTGGGCCTCCACCCTGCCCTCTGCCCTTCAGCCACCGGCCTCCTGAGTGTGTCCAGACCTGGCCCTAAACCTGGCTGAAAGGAGCCAACCCTCCGGCAACCTCCCAGAAGCAACATTGGTGACCTATTAGATGACTCTCTCGACCACTTCTTCCCCCCCCCCACCCCCCACCCCCCACCCCCACCGCCTGCCCCAATTTTTGCCCCTATCTAGGTTTTTCTTTAAGTCTGTACAGCTCCCAGGACATGGATGTGTCCTTTAAGCCCAGTTTTCATTTATGTGGAACCAGGGTCATCCAGTGCATAAAGAAACCCTGCAAGGAAGTGCCGCTGAGGGGAACTGAGGTCTGTGAACTGTAAAGCCCTTCTACATGTTGTTTATGATTGCTATCATAGAGGGCGGTGGGAGAGACCTGTGACTGAGCACAGGAGGAGGCCAGACGCAGACAGTGATACTGCTGTGTTTGTTCTTACTGCCAATGTTTACTCATATTATCCTCTTCTGCTGAACACCCCGTTCTCAGCACCTGAACGGAATTCCTTTAAACAAAGACTTTTTACAACATAGATTTCCTGCCTCTTCTCCATCTCTGAGTTGCTTTATTTTTTTGGCCTAAGCCAGGGAGGCAGCCTGCTGCATGCCCACTTTGTTGTGTGCCAGCCTTCCAACCAGCCACAGAAATACTCAGGGCAGCTCCATCCTGGGATATCTTCTGGATTCAAATGACTGGCCCCACAAGAGAGGGAGAGCACAAAACCAAAGAAAGGGCACTTTATGGCCCCATCAGCCAAGGGCCCTTCTACCAATGCTTTGTTTACAAAACCTCCCCAAAGATGCTATGAAAACAGATACCAACTAGGGACCCGGGAAGATTTCCCTTGATCCATAGCTGGAAGAGAGAACAGTGGGTGTGGGTTGGCGTGGGCTGGGGTATAGAAGGGGGAGAAGAATCGTGTGTATGGTATGTAGGAGATACATACATGAGAGGAGAGAATGTACACAATTTCTGAAAAAATCAAGGTAGAGAAATCTGCCTCCAGGAGGGAGTAAAACTTGTCTCTCCCTTTTTTCTCTTCCAGAGGTATAATCCAGCTCACAAATAAAGGATCTGAACTTTCTTCTGGTTGGACAGACTTACAAGCAATGCCCTTGAGTACAGGCTAAGGTGTAATCTTTCCTTCTGTTCTGCCCCCTCTCCCAGGAGGAGCCCTGGAAGTTCAGCCCTTCTTGGGATCTTCCTAAACCACCACAGGACTAGAAAGAGAAGGCAATACTCATTCTTTTCACATTCTTAATGGAAAAAAATTAAATCCCAAGTTTAAAAAAATGAGGGTCAAGAAGAAAACAAAGTGAATTGTGTGATCTTAAATTTTGTACAGCTGATCCTCTAAGATAATGTGTAACTGTAGAGGGGATGAATACAACAAAAGAAGAATGCTGAACAGGTTCTCCTCTCTGAAAAGTCACAGGTTTGAGTTGACCTGTTCAAAGAATTTTCTCTGGAGGTGCAGGCAGACTCCAGGGTTCTAATCCCAGATCCACCATGTATTAGTTATGAGAGCCTGGACACATTTCAAAAAGTCAGTAGGGCTCAATTTCTCCCATGTATCAAATGTAGGTAGACAATACCTTACTGAGGACAGGCTGTGAAAATTAACTGAGAGAATGTTCCAGAAAGGGCTTTAATTAGTGCAGGACACATAGTGAGTGGTTAGGATCATGTGAGTTTCCTTCCAGATATGGTCACTCCCTTTCCAGGCCAGAGCTCAGCTCCGTGACCTCCATCCTGCTGTTTAGCAATACTTGGTTTCTCTACCTACCAGTATCAGCCCTCTCTCCCCTAATGGAAGCTAACAGGAACTAAAGCTATGAGCACCAAGGGGCTCATCTCATCGTCGCTAGCTGGGCTCCAGCACATTGGCTTTCTATTCATAATGTCTGTCTTCACCATCAGTAGTACAATGATCTGCATAGGTTGATAAAATATTCAAAATGAAAGGCTGGTTTCTTCAAGGTACTGGTCACCCCCAGTACCTTCAACTTTTCCACTCAAGACCCCTAATCCCTTGGTTGCAAACAAAGGAAGTGGGAGGGGGCATAAAGGCTTTGCTCACAAAGATTTTGCAGTCACAGGTCAGAAAAAAGTCTCTTTGCAAGCTCCCTCGTAAACAATACCTGGGTAGCAATTCATACCTTTAGTCCTGAATTCAGTTACCATACATCCAATCCTACAAGTAATGGTTGTGCTCCTGAGGTTTTGTGTAAATGACCAGTTGTCCTAGCCTCTGCCCATTTTGCTCCAGATAGGTAGATCCAGTCTGAGTTTCATTGTGTCAATACGGGCCTCTTTTCTGAGCTCAGGAAGCTGCTAAAAATCATCCTTGGATTGTAAGGATGTTTCTGATTCCCAAGTTCGGTCATTTATCTAACTCCTAAGTGTTTCCTCTCCTTTACTTTAAATAAATCCTGCCTCCTGCTGGGGATCATTGTGAGGAGTTAATCAGATAATAGGTGTAAGCAGGCCTAGCAGAGACTCCAGTACAACGTAGTTCTTCAAACTTATCCTGAGAGTTAGAATCTAGGGTCTCCTTTAACTCCTGCCACAAGAGGAGAGTGAGTGCCTTGAGGCATATACAATGGGGCTGAAGATTCTTGATAAAGCTTATCTACTACAGCCTCTGGATTTCACCCATCTTTTACATTGGGTAGGCAGCTCTTCTCTTGATGTGACTGAGGGCGAGCTGAATAGGACTTCCTACGCATAAGTACCACCACACTGTGACTCCCCCAACACTAAGCCTTCATTCAAAATACCTTTGATACTAGAGTTAGAGAAGGCCAGTCACTAATGGAATTCAGCCACCAACTGATTACATTCTGCATAGGGTACCCTGACCTGAGGTTTAAAGACGAACAGTGAACCAGTCTTGGCCAATGGCCATTCACTCTTCAGAGAGGGTTGTCAGTGGTCATCTGTACCTTCCAGATGGCAGCACCATGCAAAGCCTTGGGGCCAGAGTGTCAGGATTTGGGGGTGCTAAAGGATAAAAACAGGCCTGGATCATGGAAAGCCTCAATCCCTGTGCTGGCTGCATGGGAATTGGGGTTGCCAGGTTCCTAGGAGAACAGGGATTGTTGGCACTTCCAGCAAGGATGGATGTATGGTTCAGAGACAAAAGCTACAGAGGAAAAGTAGGGCCAAGATTGGATTTTGCCAAGCTACAGGTCTGAGATATCATTAACAAAAAAGGCACACTTCTTGGGGAGGGATGGTAAATGAAGAGAGAAACGTTTGTTTAGTGCCTACGTTGTACCAGGCCTAGTGTTTTTCATGTTCTCTCTTGAGCACAGATTACGGAGCCAGACAGCTGGGTTCATATCTCAGTTCTGCCGTTTATTAGCAGTATGATCTTGGGAAAATTCCTTAACCACACTGTGCCTCAGTTTATTCATCTGTACATGGAGATAATACTGATACTGCTTACCTCACGGAGAAGTTGTGAGAATTCAATGAATTAATGTGTACAAAGCACACTAAAGGCACTACATGTATTGGCTATTGTCATTATTGCTGTCTCTGAGCACCAGAGTATCTAACATGCAAATGAATGGAGGGAAGACAAGCCACCCAGAGGGCACTTTCCTCTAACTAGGGGCAAAGGGTCCTCTTGCTCCTCTTCTGTCACCCTATTTAAGGATCCAAAACAACTCCTAGCTGAGTTACAGGGCAAACCCTGGCCGGAATCCAGCAACAAGACCCATCTAACCCTCTGTCCATTGATTCATCCACTAAATATTTTCTGAGTGCCTGCTCTGTGCTAGACCCAAAGCTGGGTACTGGCAATACAGAGGTGACTCACAGACCCTCATCCCTGCCCTCAAAGAGATCACTGTTGAATGGATGAGGCCAAAAAATAAACAACCATAATACAGTAGGATAAGCTCTTTTCTGAGATATTCTATTAATATGAGAAAGAAGGCACAAAAAGTCAAGGGAGGTACCAAATTCCTCCCTAGCAAGTGGTTATGCAACTTCTGAACAGCTTCACTTCCATTCAGTCACTGGACAATGCTGCTGGGTAAAAATTTCTTCTTTAGACCCGGAGGAAAATATTTGCAAGATAGTTAACAGACCAAAGATTGAAAACCAAAATATATAAAGAATTCATATAAGCCACTAAAACAGAGGGGCAAGAATATCCAAATGGAAAAATGAGTCAAGAATATGAACAGACAAGTAGAGAATGTATAAATAACCAATGAACATATAAAAGAGTGAAAAAACTTGTTAAAAAATAAAAATACATTTTAAAACCATAGATATCACAGTTCACCTATCAAATTGAGAAAAACAAATTAATAGGGAAATTTCCAAGTGTTGGAGAAAACGTGGGAAATAAGTACTACTCCCATATTCTGTTGGTAATTGATACAATTGCTTCAGAATGTAATTTGGCAGTAACAGTGAAAATAAAAATGCACATTGCCCTGTGACCTTGTACTCATAGCATGGTCCATGGACCACTGGCATCAGCATCACTTGAGTGCTTATTAGAGAGTCAGTAGATCAGGCCCATCACACACCTACTGAGTCAGAATCTGCATTTTAACAAAATGTCCAGGTGATTTAAATATACATTATAATCTGAGAAGCGATACATATGCAATTGTTAACCATAGCCTTTCCTTGGAAAAAGAACCAGGATTAGAGGTAGTGACCAACTTCTGAACTTTTTATCATGTTTAACTGTAATTCTGAATTTTTACAACAAATATTTCTTAATGTAATGCTTTTGAAATTAGAATTTGTTTTTATTTCAAAAGCGATTCTTCTGGTTGTAGTGAAATCTGCTTTGCATTGCTTGCAATCCTGCTTTGTGACTTGAGCTAGTCTTGTACTATTTTAAGCCTGTTTCTTCACCTGCAAAATAGGGATAATAATCCACACCTAGCAAATAAACCAGTCCAGCCTTACACACCAATGGGCTTTGAGCACATCACACCAAGCACAACTCAACATTTGACATTCGTAATGACTATTCTCATTGGCAGGAAAATGGCCATTCTTTATGCTTTATGGCCATAGAGAAGAGAAAAATACTGTGGGAAGAAGATTTCACCAAAGGGAACAGATACACATGCACACATACACACACAACATACAAGATTCTTGAGCTACTTATGCTGCCCAGAGAAGTGTTTCCCATTGAAACATAAAATAAATCATCAAGGTATATAACCCTGTAGTGAGAACAGGGATGTTATCAGCCACCACTTTATTCCTCACTCGGAGCCATTGTTTGGTTTCATGTATTTGTACATAACTTTTTTTCTTTTCTAGACAGGATTTCAATCTGTTGCCCAGGCTGGAGTGCAATGGTGCCATCATATCTCACTGCAGCCTGAAAGCAATCCTCCCGCCTCACCCCCACAAGTAGCTGGGACTACAGGCACACACCACCATGCCCTGCTAATCTTTTAAAATCTTCTGTAGAGGTGAAGTCTTGCTATATTGCCCAGACTGGTCATGAACTCCTGGATTCAAGTGATCCTCCCACCTCGGCCTCCCAAAGTACTGGGATGACAGGCATGAGCCACCATGCCTGGCCTTACATAGTATTTTTATAGGGTTGTCTGCTTATTCAGATGCAGTGAAACATTTTATAAGAGTTTGGCTTCCTTCTCTTTAAAAGGATGTTGTGTAGGAGATAAGACATGTTGAGGAGGAAAGCAGTAGAGTCCTCAGGTTGCACACATGTAACCAAAAAGACTTGGGTTCAAATTCTGGATCTGCTATTTACTGATTCTGTGAGTCTGGGCAAGTTAGTTAAGTTCTTGGATCTCAATTTCCTCATTTGTACAGTGTAGCGTCTTCCTTATAGGGTTGTTGTGACGATTATGAAATGAAATTTGTAGAGCTTGGCACTAAGTTGTGGTAAGCATTCAACAAATGTTAGTTTTAATAGGACTTAACATATAGCATTTTTTTATTCTCAATCCACAATTATATATATTATAGAGCATATATATGTGGCCTAGGGGTTACATATGTATTTTTAAATGTTTTATTACTTAAAGGATTATCAGTTTCCTATACAATAGAAACTGGGCATGCCGGTACACAGGCAATCCATGAAGCACTGTTCACACGTCTTGATTTTCAAAATAACCTTACAAGGTAAATTAGTAATATGCCCAATTGATAGATGAGCAAACTGTATCTAGTGGCAAAGCATTGATGAATAAAAAGAATAGAGCACTCCTAAGTCCAGTACTCTTTCTATTTACCGCCTCCCTCCTGAGTAGCTGTTAAGGGACATCTATCTTCAATGAGGGAATTAAAATGCAAAAAGGGAGAGGCCTCTTGGAATTATTTGCACCTGCAAAGGAGATTGTTAAAAACAGAAGCACTTTCAAGCCCTAATTAGCTATTGTCCTCCGAACAAGGAAAAGTGCTATTAAATTCCTCCCTTTCAAAAGAGAGAATCTGGTTGGTGAAGTAGGGGCAAAGGAATGGCGATTTCTTTAGCCCCTACTGATGGCAGAAATAGTCACAGATTTCCTCAGACTCATGGAAGGTGCTTCCCTAAAAACTCGTATGTGAGTTTCAGGAAGGCACGAGAAGGAGCTGGATGCTGAAATGCCCCTCTTCTTAGGAAAACACCTGGTGACCACCTTGATGCCTGGGTAAAAAGGGCAGAAAGCTCCCTCCACTGCCTTACATCTCCCATTCCTAGAGCCTCAAATAAATAGCAAGGACCCTGTGTGAGGGACTGCGGGTGCCTGCCAGGCATGGGGAGAAGCAAGTGACCTTTTCAGGGTTAGTATACACTGGTCCAGGACATTATTGGCCCATAAGTATGTTCTCCGCGCATCACGACCAGCCAGATGGTAAATAAAATATTCAGCAGACACACAAACCTCTCACAATAGTGAGGTGACTGGCTTGTTCAGAACAGAGTGATTTCTGTAGAAAGCACAAATTGCAAGTGGCAAGAAGCAGCTGGGAGATGGTCGACAATCTGCTTCTTCTGACAGAGCCAGAGACCAAAGCTTGGGACAGCTTGCATTTGCAGCGGGCCCAGAGCCCATCCTCAGAGAGCAGTGGAATTTGTCATCAAAGGACTTGTATAAACTTAGTTTCAAGACAAACGGCAGATGCACAAAAGTACAAAGCACTCAAATGATTCCAGATAAAACAGCTTCAGCAGGTGCCAATGAATAGGCTGATGTCGCACGATGTATTTCCAGAGACCAATATAATCACCCTCCTAACATGGCCCAAACCCACTGTGTCTAGGTATTTGCTAATAATTCTCCACTGTGCATAGGCTCTCTTATCTAGGCATCTGCAAGCATGATGAGAGAGGTGACAGACTTCAGAATAGAGCGTTTAAGACTCCATGTCCCCAAGTAGTTTGACAGACATGCCAAATCCTCGCCATCCCACCCTAACTTCATTGCAGGGTCTCCAGCAACTACTAAATAGGTTGATCCAGCATTTTAAGGTTGTGCTCAATGAAACTTACCATAAGCCTTAGTAACATTCTTATTTGTGATGTGTATTCTAAAACCAAAATACAATACAGATTCATTTATTTCCTAATACATTTTCAAAACATTTCTCACTTCCCACTCACTCTTCAACCATAATAATCCTCTCCAAAATAGCTCTCAATAATGTTGCCAATTACCACAATGTAGTTGAATCCAATGATATTTCTCAGTCCTCACGTTATGTAACCTTCCAGCAGCTTTGAACATTAACTTTCTCTCCTTTCTCAAAACTTTCAATTATTTTACCTTCTAGGACAGTATGCTCTCCTGGATCCTTCCTCTTGCCTCTTCCCACTACCAACCTATACTCTTCTACCTGGCCAATCAGAATTGAAGCTCAAGATTCCATCCAACTCTCTCTCCTCTTCTTAATCTGCTCTCCCCAGGCCTAGCCAATTTCATCTATATCCAAACCATCAATTACTCTGTATAAACAGATGATTCCAATCAGGTTTCTCCTCCAAAGTCCAGACCAGTATATCCAATTGCCTGCTACTATCCCTCCTCATATGACTCAAAAGCATCTCAAAATCAAAATAGCAAAACCAAAGTCATTCCTTTCCTTCCTACCCCTCCAAATCTGATCCTTTTTCAATGTTCCAGTCTCGATAAATGACAACATCTCCCTTCAGTTGTGCAAACCAGAAGTCCAGAAGTTATTCTTGACAGTTCCTTCTCCTTTGTGCCTCATTTCCAATCCATGACCAGGCTGTACTGGTTTTAACTACTAATTACATCACAAATATATCCACATCTCTACTACAACCTGCCTTCATCTCTCACCTGACTACTAAGTGGAAAACAACCTTAGTCTATTGACTCTTGGAGGGCAGAGATGGATCCCTGAGTTTTACTCACAATAAAAACCTCAGAGCCTACTATAGTACCATATAATTATTTAATAAATTAATGAATAACATACTTAAGAATTGGGAGACGAAGGCAAGAGGATCACTTGAGGCCTGAAGCTGGAGAACATTCTTGGCAACACAGTGAGACCCTATCTCTACACAAAAGTTTTAAAAACTAGAGGACGTGGAGGCATGTAGCTACTCGGGAGGGTGAAGTGGGAGGATCCCTTGTGCCCAGGAGTTCAAGGCTGCAGTGAGCTATGATCGTACCACCACACTCCAGCCTGGGTAGAAGAATGAAATCCTTTCTCTAAAAAATAATAATGATGATTTATTTTACTTAAATTACATATTATCTAATAATGTCAGAGAACAATAAATTCTACATATAAGAAGAATTTCCAGATAATTTAAACTCAATTTCTTTTTCTGCTCCTTTTTATTTCAGTTTGGACAACAATCTTCCTTGAATATACTTTAAAAAAAAAAAAAAGATAAAATCAAACTGTCAGCTGGGCGCAGTAGCTTACACCTGTAATCCCAGCACTTTGGGAGGCCGAGGTGGGCGGATCACCTGAGGTCAGGAGTTCGAGACCAGCCTGGCCAAAATGGTGAAACCCCCATCTCTACTAAAAATACAAAAATTAGCTGGGCGTGGTGGCAGGAGCCTGTAATCCCAGCTACTCGGGAGGCTGAGGCAGGAGAATTGCTTGAACTCAGGAGGCGAAGGTTGCAGTGAGCCGAGATCGCACCATTGCACTCCAGCCTGGGGGACAAGAGCGAGACTTCATCTCAAAAAAAAAAAAAAAAATCAAACTGTCATTATGATTAGATGATATTTAGAGAACTCCAAATAAGTGTCAATTTATTATAATTGACAAGATAGTTTAACAAATTGCTGGTTATATTATTAATCATATATGAAAAATCAATTGCTTTTACACTCCAACAAACAATTTGAAAACAATTAAAAAATATATTTACACAGCAACAAAAAATATACTTAAAACTCAAGTTAGAAAAAGTTGTGCAAGAGACATCATGGCTTCAGCAGTTATCCTTCCAATGGTCATAGTTCCCAACTGGAATGGTATAACTGGGTAACAAGCCTCTCAGACCTTCTCAGTTGTCTTCTATTGAAGATTTTCATCTTAATTGGCTTCCCAGGTGGAATTCTAATGTCTGGGGTAAATCAGTGGAGACTGACATTCCAGGATTGTTGGAGGAGGCAATAAATACATCTAAATCTGTACAGAATTGACACCCCAGAAGCCTCCCCACTCTTCAGACAGTATTTTGTTTTCCTACTTCAGCTTCCTAGATCTTAACCAAATAACACAAAAACTTTACTTTTTAGTCTGTTTACTATACTTACAAAAGCAACAAAATAAGGCCCCTGAAATAGAAGAAGTTGCACGGGCGTCTTCCATTGGCCCAATTCCTGATCACACTTGTAACCATCCCAATCAGATAACTGAGGAAACCAGATGCAGCCTGGGGCTGGGGCCCGACGCCCCCAGCTGTGAAGGATCGAGGATGTCTCTGAGGGGGGCTGGTTCGTGCCTGCATGTCTGATTGCATGGGTGCCGAGGGTGTCAGGCTGGGAGTCCAGCACGCTCCAGCCTATGAGAGCCCCTGCAGATTTTTTGACTGGAAATTGACATTCATTTATTTATTCATTTAGCAGGGAGGAGCTGGGGGAGCTGGCAGCTGAAGTCTGCGGTGGCAGGCCAAGGTTGGGTGGTTCCCACAGCCCGAAATCCTGCCCTGGGCTGGCTGCAGGTAGGTACAGTTAGACCCCTACCTGCACACGAGAGCAACGGTTCCTCCACAGGAAATAAGTGAACCAATAAATGTGTCAACCCCTTGAATACTTTATTCATAAGACAGTCCCTCAGCCCCTTGCCCAAAGCCTTTTTTTCCCTCATTTACATCCAATTCTAATAATACAGGTGCTTGTTTTCCCAATTTATAACAGACTAACAATTTAGAAAAGAATTTGGGAATGCAGTGAGTGTTCAAGGCGGAAAGACACTGGCAATTACAGTTTGATTTCAAGGAAAGACACACACAAAAAACAACAGCAAGGGAGGACACCAGGGAAGGGGACTGCGCCAACCCTCGGATGGTCAGATCCAGAGTCCCGCACAGAAAGATTTACTCTTGCAGTTCCCAACATTTTTGGGACTGGTTTGGGGGCGGGATAGAGAGAAGATGGTTTGGGGATGAAACTGTTCCACCTCAGATCATCAGGCATTAGATTCTCATAAGGAGTGCACAACCTAGATCCCTGGCAGACGCAGTTCACAATAGACTTCGCACTCCTACGAGAATCTAACGCTGCAGCTGATCTGACAGGAGGCAGAGCTCAGGCGGTCATGCTCACTCATGGCAGCTCACCTCCTGCCCTGCAGCCCGGTTCCTAAAAGGTACTAGGTTTGGGGACCCTGGTTTACTCCCTCTGCTTCTCTTTGGAAGCCCTCTAGCAGCAGGGACCTTTCTAAATCCCTAAAAGCCTGCAGTGGCCTACAGAATTTTCCAGCCCAGCTTCCGAAGGAGGCCCAGAGCTGCCATGGTTGCTGTGGTGGTTTTGCCTCAGCTCATGTTCCGGGCTCACTGATGAGGGGCTGGAGATTTTGACCAAGCTCCATTCCCCCCACTTCAGCAACCCCTCATGCAGGGGGAGACAGCTGGCCTTGGAGACTGAAAGGGAAACGCACGGTTCCAGGCCTCACGGCCATCTTGGGTTCATTCCCACTCACACCCTGAAGGGCCACTGGAAATGTGGAGTCGCTCTTTTTCGTTCCTGTCTTTTTAAACAGAGGTTATTGAACATCACATTTTGTCATTGTTGACTCATTTTTTTGTTGTTGTCTCAAATTAATCACTGAAGATATCAAATATTAGCCTGAAATGGGAGGATGACATTGGATAGGGTCATTTGCCTTTCCACTGAATAGTCCCACCCTGCTGTGCAGTTGGTTTGTTTTAATATTTTAAATGTTTTTCATGTCTGTCTTTCCTTAAAATCAAACTGTCACTTTTCATAATTGCCAGTGTCTTTCCCCCTTCAACACTCACTGCATTCCCAAATTCTTTTCTAAATTGTGACTCTTAATCTGCTATAAATTGGGAAAACAAGCACCTGAATTATTAGAATTGGATGTAAATGAGGGAAAAAAGGCTTTGAGCGAGGGGCTGAGGAACCCTCTTATAAATACTCAAGAGGTTGACGCGTTTATTGGTTTACTTATTTCCTGCTTCTCAACTTCCTCACTGTTCCAGCAGCTTGCACTTCTGGCCCCACCAATCAATTCTCCACAAAGCAGCCAGAGCAATCTTTTAAAAATGCAAAATCGACTCTGTCACACATACTCTCTTCATCCTTCCCCTCTTAGAACCCTTCAGTGGCTTCTCATTGCCATTGGGATGAAGTCTAGCCTCCTTGACAGACCTCCAAAGACCTGCCAGATCTCGCCTCTACCATCTTCCTCCCACTTCTGGGACCTTGTACAAGCCACTCTTACCCCACCACATCGCCCCAGCTCATCGGGTTTCATCTTAATTCCTTTCTCAGTAACATTTCCCTGGCCCCCTGAACAGTCAGTCATGTGTCCAACACTGGTCCACAGCCTCATATACTTTCCCATCCAAACATTTAGCCCAAATTATAACTGCATAATTGCAGGATAGAGTTCTAACTCTACCATTTACTAGTTGAATTCCCTTGGGAAAATTACTTACCCTCTTTAAGCCTCAGTTTCTTCATCTGTAAAATGGAGATAATTATTTCACCTACTTCCTAACCTTGTGGCAAAGAATAAGATGCAAGTCAAACACTCAGGAAAACAAATGTGGTGGCTATTTTTTGGTTATCTGTCTCCCTCACTAGAATATAAGTTCTTTGAGGCCAGAGACCTGTGTGCAGCGCCAGCACAGAATCTGGAACATAGCTATTCAATTATATGTTGAATACTTGCTGAATGAATGTCAATTTCCTGTCAAAAGATCTGCAGGAGCTCTCATTTCAGCTTCAACAAATTCCCATTCTTCTGCACAGTGTTCTTCAACCTGCACCCACCACCAGCCTTCTCAACTTCTCTCCTGCTACCCCTTAATAGCACATCTAATGAAATTCTCTCCACCTCATCTCCCTTCATCAAATCCTGGGTCCTCCCTTCTCCAAGAAGCTTTCCTGGGCCCACTGGTCAGGCCTTCTTGACACTCCTACTTAACAGCTCTCACTTCGTTCTTAACTTTCCCCAGTTCCTTTCTGGCTTCACCTGTCCTCCAGCTCAGATGGTGCAGCTCCAAGGCAAGCTCTGCTCTGCTTCTCCTTTTGTACCCCCTCCCCACCCCCAACCTCCTCATCAGACTCAGCCCACACCCAGCCAGGGTCCCTCTGCCTCCTGCTCTTTCCGAAGAGCCACTGCTTTTGATAATGTTCTCTCCAGAATTACATCCTCACAGTGTTTACCTCTGAGTTCTGAAGCTTCACCATGCCTCACTTAAGGTATTGACATTTCAATTCATGATAAATTATTCAGCAGCTCATTTTCAGCCAAATTCCTCTTTTCTTCAGGCCCCGTTCTCCTCCAGCCACCATCTCAGGGCAGCCTTTAAGTCTAATGATGTGTTTACAATTCACGCTCTGCCAGATATTAAAGCAACGCAATGCACTTGGGGATGATAAAGCATTACTTGGAATTGTCAGCAGAGGGACAGGCCCAAGAAGAGTTCCAGTCTGTTTTTATACAGAACAAAGATCACTGTCTCCACTACAAAGGATCCATGTGCAGATGGTGGCAGAGTGATTCCGGTTCAAAGGCAGGGCTTTTGCTGGAACTTTCCAAGCTTCGCTAAAGAGCAGCCTGACAGCTGATCAGCCAGCCCTGGTTCCAGTCAGCCCTAGACAGAATGAAAGGTGTGAGGATTTTCAGCCTCCATGATGGCATCAGGTTGTCTGTTGAAGAAAAAAAAAGAAAAAAAATGGAACCAGAAATATTTTGTGATTGGGGCATCTGAGAAAGTGAGCAAACAAGAAGCAGCAGAGAATGCTTACCCTTTGCATTGACACTTTTAGATGGTACCACCTCATCCTCCTCACGAGTCCCTGTCCCTGCCCTTTATGGCTAATGATCTTGCAGCCCCGCACAAGCTGCTCTCCCTTCTTCGTGTTCCTGCTTACAGTACTTCAGCTCCTCTCCTCCTCTACATTAACCCTGCACTTCCCAGGCCCCCAGTGGAGAACCCATTTCTACCACAGCCTCCTAAACTGCCTGTGTCAGATCAGAGGCCCTCCTGACATGACCGTCAATTCAGGGCCATCAGACACATTAAGGTGTGATTTACATAGTCAGTAATGGGGGTAAGAAGAGTTAGGGGATTCCACTATTGAGAGTCATAGGAAGGGAAGGAGAGTCCTCTTTGTCTTAGATGTTACTGACATCTATAACTTCACTTTCTTCAAGTATTTTTGATCAATTAAGCTCTGCTTTAAGGTTTATTCTGACTACCCTCAAGGGATTGATCCTGAGCAGACCAGAGTGGAGGGGGTGTACATACACAATAGGGCAAGTGACAGGACTTCCTTGGATCTCATCAAAACTGAGATGGTGCTCCTGGAGGCACCACAGAAGGAATTACAAACAGTCAAAACAATAACAAAACAAGGAAGGCAGCAGTGCAGTGGCCAGAAAAAACAAAAATTAAGCGAGTCAGCATGATGGCCACTTTTGCTCTGCCACCAAATCCTGTCTTTCTGTCTTTGTTCATCTCTCTTTCACTGAACACAGAAATAATACAAAGCCCGATGGACAGGACACTGTCCCAGAGACATTTGCTATCTCCTTCCTACCCACACTCTCCTCTTAGAGAAACTGTCAGCCCTGGCAGGGGCAGCGCTATGCATTTTGCCACCTGCTTCTCCCACCACCCTGAGTCTCGAGCCTGGCAAAGCTGATTGGACAGGAAATGGAAGCCTCTCAGCCAGAAGCTAGCCCAGGAATTTGTGACTGAGACACAAATGACTAAATCTGTTAGCAATGGGGAGGAAAGGAAGACAGTGGTACAGAGCAGGGAGGTAAGACCACCATTTTAGGGCAGCCATGGTGGACTATATACAAGTAGATGGGTAAACAGAGACGCCAAGAAACCAGTTGAAGAGAGAAGAAAAAAGGAGAAATGCTGAGGGAAGGCAGAAACAGAAAGCCATGTGAAAGAAAGAAAGAGAGACACACAGAGAGACAGAGAGTTCTCTACAGTCCTACAGTTGCATTTCATGAGATTCCCCTACCACAGTTAAGTTCCAGTGAATGGGCATCCTTGCCATCAGAAGATCCCTGACTTACATAGACTTTGAATCCCTACTTCCATGTTACTCACAAGCTCACTAAAGACATAATTCACCTTGCAATGCGAGCTCACTAACTAATGAGCAGCTACTAAGTGCCAGAGTGGTGGCAAGCTATGGATCAGAACACACCAGTTCTAAACACGCTTGGTGCTGCTGTCCTTGCAATAGTGAGTTCTCATGAGATCCATTTGTTTAAAAGCATGTGGCACTTCTCCCCCACTCTCTCTCTTGCTCCCACTCTTGCCATGTGATGTGCCTGCTCCCACTTTGCCTTCTGCCATGAGTAAAAACTCCCTGAGGACTCTCCAGAAGCTGAGCAGGCATCAGCACCACATTTGTACAGCCTGCTGAACTGTGAGTCAATTAAACCTCTTTTCTTTATAAATTAACCATTCTCAGGTATTTTCTTATAGCAACGCAAGAACTGCCTAACACAAAAGCCCTGTAACTAGAAAGTAGCAGAACCTGGGTGGGAACCTGGTGAGGCTGACTGCAAAGCCACATTCCTTCCAGTGCCTGTACTGCCCCTCCAGGGACATATAGAGATGTGTGTGTGTGTGTGTGTGTGTGTGTGTGTGTGTGTGTGTGTGTATGTGTTCACAATGAATGACAAAGAATGGAGCATGAGTGCAGAAACGTTACATATGGTGCTATATATGGGATAGACCTGCCCAATAAATTGTCTTGCTCTGAATGCCCATTGATAAACTCTAGAAGAAGAGAAACTTAGGAGTCAGTCTAGAAATTATTTTCTTTCATCATGACCCACCCCTCAACACACACATACTAATAGTCTCAAAGTCCTGTGGCTTTTTAGTCCTCCCTAGCACTACGTCCAGGTCTGACCATTTCTTCTTTTCACCATGTGCTATTTGTCTTCGGCTTCCTGGCACCTAACACTGTGCTTGGAGCAGAGTGGGTGATTGCTAATGTTTGTTGAAACCAATGGAACTGCTTAATCCTGTGGGATAAATGCTCCCTGTACAATGCCCTTGCCTTGAATGAAAACAGTTGATGCCCTCCTTACTTGTGATCTCAACATGAACATTTCCCCCAGGTCCCTGCAAAGTTGGTGATTGCTGCTTGGTTTCTTCACTCCATTAGGAGCACCACGCTTCATCATCAGTTGCTGTTCTCTTCAGAAACTCTTTATGTTGCCCAGCATCCTTTGGGTAATCAGAACAAATATAATGTCTTTACTGCATCTATTTGTCACTTGGAATGCATGGGGAGCCTTCACGGAAAATTTCCTCAGGTTCACATTTCCCTTCAGAACCAGTCTATTCTTCATCTACATTTAACTCTTGAGTCACCACTCTCTCTCTCTCTCTCTCTCTCTCTGTCTCTCTCTCTCTCTCTCTCTCCCTCTCTCTCACACACACACACACACACACACACACACCACATTCAGAGCAAAAATGGGAGGAGCCTTGGACTGAGAGCAAAGAAAACCTACATTCTGGCCTAGGTTTTGATATTATCTTACCTTAAGTAAGTAAATTGACCTCAGTTTTCTTCATTTATGAAATAAGGGAGCTAATTTAGTAGTTTCCAAATCAGTTTTCATGGAGCCTAAGAGTTCCTTGCAGGTACCTAGGGATAACACTGGGCATGAGTGAAAGCTCACACACACACACACACACACACACACACACACACACACACACAATGCTAGTCAACAGTGGTGTTCACTAAATATTTTCAGTAGGAAATAGCTTCTGGGCATATGGTAGGATTGCGCTTCTTGGCCTCTTTGTGGTTATGTAGGGCCATGTGACTGATGTTGACCAGGGCAACCTGGGTAGAAGTACTCTGTGTCACTTTTTTTAAACTGGAGCATTTAATTGCCAATGCAACATTTGTCAGAGTTGTACTTTTCTTTCATCATGGTAACCATCAGTGATCAAAATGGGAGCTGCTCCATCAGCTTGGGACCCGAAGCAGGGAACTGTAGAGTTGACCGAGTCCGTCCATGATAGACATACAGCATGAACTGGAAAAGTCTTTGTTGTTATAACAGCTGATAAAATGTTTGGATTGTTTGTTACTGCACATAACCTAGCCTATCCTAATTAACATGTTCTCTCTGTCTCTCTCTCATTCTCCCCAACCACAGCAACTCTGTATTTGTTTTACATGTTAGCTTTCTGCATAAGATTTTGTTTGATAGAAGAGTCCAAGAGCTTAAAAGAATTTGAAACTCTCCATCAATGTGATTTTTGAGGCCCCTTCCAGTCAGAAATCTATGGTTCTATACAGATCCTTCCAGCACTCCAGCTATCTTCCCTATCATCTTTACGTATTTTGACTTTATTTCCTCTCCATAAGCTTCTGTTAATTTGATAATTATCTCTCACAGAGATTTACCTTCACGTACAATTTTATGTCAATTTTTGGATCTCAAAATGATGACCCACTTTTTCTTCACCACATGTACTTTCACTTATCACAACCATCAGAACAGACTTACCTGCCAAAGTTGACGGCTCCACTCTGACAAGGTGGAGACTTTTTGTGAGCTGTCCCCATACTGTCTTTGTTTCCCTGAGATGCAAATGAAAATATGTGCCTTTACTTTAGAATTATAGCTAGTCTGAGTGTTTTAGTCAACTAGTATCCCCCACTGGGCCTACTCAGAAGTCTATGTAAGAAAGATTTCTAATAAACTTACTGATTTTTTAATATAGTGAATACACATAATATCAATGTTTCTTTAATAGTCTGGTGGCTTCTGAAATCTCCCTTTTTCAAGAACCACCTAGACCAGAGGGGTTGCTATGGATAGCTTAAATAAGATACCAACTGAAACCTGGGAGATAAATTAAATCAATAGTTATCAAATTTTCTGGTATCTAATAATCAATCTAATAATCTCCCCCTACAGCCCCCACCAAGTTTCTAATTCATTTGATCTGAGGTGATGGCCTGGAATCTATATTTTTAATAAGGGACTCTGATGGAGATGGTCACAGAACCACAATTTGAGAAATGTTTAGGCTTGATCTTTCAGCTGTTCTTAACCATAGGAGTCTGTGGTTAATTTCAAATTCCAGTGTATACAAGAGATTCAAAACATTCAGCTAAAAGTACCGCAGGAAAACCACTGGTCATTTCTAAATATTTCTTCCTTGGTAGTGGAACCAAGGCATGGGAATGAAGGAGCTGAGATTTCACCCAGTAAGTAAGGGATCTACTGGAGATGAGGGGGAGGTCTCTTATCTAATGGTACCAGTGATGCCAAATCAGAGCCCAGAGCTGGTAAGTTGCTATGGTGGGAGAACCAAGATGAGGAAGACAGCCAAAGCAGGTTCTGAAAGTGAAGCATAAAGACAGGAAGACGAGGAGGTGAACATAAGAGTGGCAGATGCAGGCAGTTTCTGGAGGAGAGCACTCAGTGAGTCCTAGAGACAGGCACAATGGCTTAGATGTAGAAAACTAAGGCAAGCCAATAGGAACAAGCCCACTCAAGTAATTCACTCCCTGGGGTAAAGAAAAGGAGTTTCTGGGGACCAGATCTCATGAAAATTGGCCTGGGTTTTAACCCAAAGTGACCAGGAGTGGGAGGAGCTGAAAGATAAGTATAATCCATCACTCAGGGAAGAACCAAGAGTTAAGCCAAATAAATCTGGTGGATAAGTTAAAGTATTAACTTGATGGAGCTAGGAATAGGAGACAAGCTTTTAGAAGCTAAAAATTTGGGGAGCTGGTAGAAACCAGATTGGGGTAGAGAGTACAACACCAGAGCGGGAGTGAAGAGAGAGGTCAAAGGCAATTGCCCTATTGCTGCTATGAGGCTGGCCTCTCGTTTTGGTCCCACGTGGTGTGGAGTGGGTTGGCCTGGTTTGAAGACAAATAAGCCAGGCAGTGACCTGTCCCCACTGGATCACAAAAAGCATGGGGCCCTTGTACCCAAGGCCTCTTTTCACAGCCAGAACTTGGCTGAGGTCTATTCATCCAGCTTGGCAATGCAACAGGCTGAGCTATCAGCTGCCAAGCTCAGTATTGAGGAGTCGGAGTAGATGGTCGGGATTACTTGGGGCATGCAATTTGCCAGGCTCATGTTTGGCAAACAAACACAGCCTAATAGAGAGACAAAAGGTTTGAGAACAAAGAAGGTCTGCATTCTCTCCTTCCTCATCTTCTTTTTCCTTCCCTTATAGGATGCCTTTGCTGAAACAATGGGCCATGGCCCAGTAATTCCACTGAGGCTGTGTTCATTGTTTCTCATCACAAATTTGGGCACATCCTTCCCCAATTAAAAATTCTTTGTGCTAAAGGAGAAAATAATTTAGGGCTCATTACAGTTTTGTTTCCAAAGCAGTTAATAGAATATGGTAGATAATGGAGGGAGAAGGCAGAACTGGGCTGGAAAACTGGAAAATTGACTCCAGTCCCAGTTCTGACATTCCCAGTTCAGCCATGTGATTTTAGGCAAATCACTTCATCTCTTTAGGCTTTTGTTTCCTTGTTTGTGAAAGGAAGGCTATTGAGTCATAGTTTCTAAATGTCCTTCCAACTCAGACATTCTCTGACGTCCATGATTTGAAAAGCCTGGATTGCACTTCCTTCCTACCTAACAGGAAAGCTTAGAAAGATGGAGCTGCCTCACCTTGCACAAATAGGTGCTTAATTGTTGGATGAATGAATGGAAGGATCAGAGAATAAGTGACACCCAATGACACACATTCTGGGACATCTTCATGAAAGGGTTGCCAAACCAAGATGAGAAAGACACCAAACAGGTAATGAACATGAAGCATAAAGTAAGTCAGGGAAATGGGGAGGTGGACACATGAGTGGTAGAAGTAGATCCACCTTTGACCTCCACAAGTGGGAGCTCCATTGATGCTAAGTCATAGAATCATAATTACAGAGGTTCAGAACTCAAATGAACCTGAAGACCACTGTCATGTCAAGCCAACCCATTTAACAGGTGGAGAAATAAGACTAGGAAAAGTGACTTGCCTGTGGTCCCAGAGCTAGCTCACAAAAGAGAGCTAGGAGCCAGCTCTTCTGCTTCTCTCCCCTGTGCTTTACCTCTGCACTGTGCTGCCTCACATTTTATGAAAGAGCAGCAAAAAAATGGAGCTGAAGCTTTAGGTAAGGGCCCAGAGTTGATAACCCAATGTGACTTTAATGGCAATACTGGAGAAAAAGACCTCCCAGAATGTTTCAAGAAAATACCTCTTATCCCAACCTATGTTCCTTCCTCCCATCCCTCAATTACAACTGAATAGGGACATAGAGCAGCAGGTTCTGCAAAATGCATACCCCATAAGAGAAGATGACCAGAAGTAAAGACAGAAAGAACTAATTTTAGTGGTATTCTGGGAATAATTCAAACAGATTTTGTTTTATTGAGAACAGTCATGAGCAGTGGCAAAAGTTAGAGCCTCCTTCTCTCTCCAGAACTGCGAAAAACCCCCTTACCATCTGGCCAGTGGCTTTGTCAGCTGACTTTCTCATGAGACATCCAACTCCCTAGACTTCAGGTTTTCCTTCTATGAAACAGAGAGGGACAGAGCCAGTAATATTCTAATGAGGTTCATAGATAACCAAACACCAGATTCATCCACTCAAAACTGCCTTTATTACATTCTCCCTGCTTAAAAAAATCTCTTGTGACTCCCTGTGGCCATGTTCATTCTACTCAAGAAACTTTGCTTATTCAGTTTCCTTGCTGTCTAAGTCCATTTTCTGTTGCTGTAACAGAATATCTAAGACTGGGTAATTTGTAAAGAAGAAAATATTATTTCTTACAGTTCTGGAGGCTGAGAAGTCCAAGGTTGAGGAGCTGCCTCTGGTCTGGTGAGTTCTGGTGAGGAACTCGTGCTGCATCATAACATGGCGAAAGGCATCACAGGACAAGAGGGGTGCGCTGAGAGTCAAACCGGCTTTTGTAACAGACCCACTATCGTGATAACTAACCTACTCCTATGATAGCCCATCAATCCATTAGCCCATTAATCCATGCATGAATTGATCCAGTCATGAGAGCAGAGGCCTCATGATCCAGTCACCTCTTAGAGGCCCCACCTGATAATACTGTTACAATGGGGATTAAGTTTCAATGTAAGTCTCAGAAGGAACAAATATTTAAACCATAGCACTTGTCTAATATGAAGAGTTTCTTGATCACTCAGAAGAGGACGTTCCTTCTTGCTTTCTGCATTTGTGGTCTATAATACTCATTTGGCACCACGTACATGATACCTCGAATTATAATCTTATTGTTATTTCCAGATGAGATCACTTACTATCTGTGGTAGACAGAATAATGAGCCCTTGAAGATGTCTACATTATAATCCCTAGAACCTGAAAACATATTATGTTACATGGTGAGGGGGAATTACAGTAGCAGAGGGAATTAAGGTTGCTAGCCAGCTAACCTTATGATAGGGAGATTATCCTGGGTTATCCAGGAAAGCCCAATATAATCAAAAGAGCCCTTAAATGAAGAAGAGCGGGGGCAGAAGAGCCATAACTAAAAATATAGCATTGTCATAAGGACTCAACCAGGTATTGCTGGGTTTGAAGATGAAAGAGATCACCTTCTTGGAGGTCTCTAGAAGCTGGGAGGGGGAAGAAAACAGATTCTTCCCTACAGCCTCCAGAAAGAAGACAGCCCTGCGAACATGTTGATTTTAGCCTAATGAGACTCTTCAAACTTCTGACCTCTAGAGCTACAAGATAATAAATTTGAGTTGTTCTAAGCTACTATATTTATGGCAATTTCTTACAGCAACAATAGGAAATTCATATGCTGCCTGTTATATCCTACACTTTTATGCTAAACTGTTCGATGTCATAGACTATAGTCAATATTTTTTTTTTCTAGCTACCAACTAGTACTGGACACAAATTAAGCAACCAGTGGATGTTTTTCTAAGCAAGTGAATAAATGAATGAATGAATGATTTGGAGTTAAAACAACTTGAATATTACTCAGTCAATCAAATAATAGATAGACCCCAAAGTATAAAAATCTCTTGAAAGCAGACTCAGATGTCTGGGTAAAATATGCTATTATTTCATGGGTATTTCTTATGTGGGTGATTTAAAAGTCTCATTATTGTTATTATTTTTCCAAAACCATATGATACTTTGGGAATAAGTTTGGTCTTGAAGTCAGAAGACCTGGAACAAAGACCTTCTGTTGACACATATTAGCTGCATGACCTTGCATAAGTCATGTAATTTACCGGGCCTCAATCACACCATCTGTAAAAGAAAGATGCTGTCCACTATCTTGAGAACCCCCCAGGGTTGTGGTGAGGACAAATGAGACAATGCAGAAAAACAGGGCTGTGAAAACTGTCAAATGCTGTGCAAATGGGTGGAGTTGTCATTTGCCACACTCCTCTTTAGACTAATTTTTTAGATAACAGGGATTTTTATTAGTGCCTCTTCTATGCTCACTTTGTTACATGAGTCCTTGTTGGAGAAATGTAAGAAATAAAAGCTTGGAAGAGTTCATGGTTCAAATGAGAGACTAGGAGGGAATAAGACAATTCATTCAGTTTGTACTCTGGTCTATAAGCCCACCTGCACCTGGTTTGGCCCTAGGCACTGAGGGACCAGGTACTGCTGAGAATGGGCAATGAGCCTCCTGGGACAAATCACAGTTCAGTGAGTTGACACCCAGAATCCAAAGTTAACCAACTAAAGAGAAGGACGTTTCTTCTGGGGGAAGCTTTATCAGGTAGCTGGTTCCATTCCTGATACAGAGTGTTTTAGTTCATTTTCTGTTGCTATAACAGAATACCACAGACCGGATAATTTATGAAGAAAATGAACTTATTTGGCTTACGGTTCTGGAGACTGAGAAGTCCAAGAGCATGGCACTAGCATCTGGTGAGGGCCTTCTTGCTGCATCATAACATGGTGGAGGGCATCACATGGCAAAAGGGTAACAGCAAGAGAGCAAGAGAGAACTCACTTTTATAAGACATCCACCACCAAAACAACAAACCCACTGTTGTGATAGTGACATTAATCCACTCATGAGAGAAAAGCCCTCATTAATCTATTAATCTATTCTCAAGGGCATAGGGATTAAGTTACCAACACATGAACTTTTGGGAAACACATTCAAACTATAGGACGGAGCACTCATGGAGCAACTTCTACCTGCTAGAAAAGCATTGCAAGCTTTTTCTTTATTATCTGGGATCTCCACATACCCATGGCTCAATGGGGCTGGAATATGGAAGAAGCAGAGGACTTGAGCACACCCAGACACAATCCCTGGAAGATATCTGGCCCTCAGAACTAATGCCTTTTATTTCCCAGGGAAAATTTTATTTCTTTGAGAAGTTAAGTCATTTAGGCTGACAACAGGGTCTGCCTCAGGCAAAAAGCTGAGGATGGAGAAGTTGCTCTTGTATAACACCTTACTTCTCAAAGAAAAGTGCTCTAGATGCCCTCCCCATCCCCCATTTGCTTAAAGAGTCAAAAGCATTTATAATCCCATCACTCTACAAATAATCTCATTTAAGAAATAAAAACATATGACACAAAGCTCTTCATCTCCATTCCCATTAGCCTCGAATTCTCCTTACAACTCTTCCCAGCTTCAGAAATGTGGGATAAAGTCTCCTTCTAACTATTTAAATCTAATTTCTTACTTGTGCTTTTGATCCTACACTAATCCATAAATGCAAAAGGAGAAAAATGCTACAGGCACAAAAAAGTGTTCATTATAGCAATATCAATAAAAATTATGTAACCTAGAATTCTGATTACAGATGGCAGTTTGCTAGCATGTGCTTATTGCTTCTTCATTCTGTGTTCCCACTAATATGATAAAAAGAATAATTTAAAACATACACACACACATAGAGAATGAGAAAGGAGACATCGGCATATAACAGATTTCAACAAATTTTTAGAAGATTGAAAGTTGTTGGAGGAACAGTTACTGATTTGGCAAGATGGAAGACACCAGAGGAGGAACATGAAAAAGAACCAGTTTGCTCCATGTAACCCTGGAAAGGCTAAGCATGCAGATAAATCAGAACACTAGAATCAGAAAGTATTTTGTACTCAACCCACTCACCTCTTCTCCAGGCAGGAGATCTGCATTTTCTTCTCTAGCAAAATTAACTAGAAAAACTCAGGGTTTTCAGAGGCAACAAAAGAGGTGACTTCAAGGAAAAGTCCAGTTTCCTTGAAGTGAAGCCATCAGTTGAAAAATACCACCACTTTCCACCTAAACCCACACACATTTTTACACACACACACACACACACACACACACACACACACACACATTTTGGCATCTTAAATATGAACAGACAACTAAGATTAAACAAATAATTGAGAAAAGCCCTAACATGAAAGGTTTTCATGTGAGAAATCAAAACAAACAGGAAATAAAGATCTTTATTTATCAGAGATAATGCAAGACAGAAGGAAATAGTTCCCCCTAATTATTATCCTCAGTTACATATGAAAAAATGCATATGTTAAGCAGCAGGAAACTAAGAAAGAAAAAACTCAGAGACTAAGAAAGAACTTTTGGAAATTGACATGCCTTAGAAACTTGAACTGGATGCCTGAAAAAGCAAGTCAAGAAAATCTGAAGGGAAAGAGAACAAAAAGACAAAAAGAGGACCAATGGGAAGGGAAAACAAACATTTAAATAGAAGGTAAACCCAAGAACTCTATCATACAAATTATAATGACTATAGAAAGAACAGAGAAAGTTGTGGAAATGGGACTAAAAGGAGGGTATTGTTATTTTCTCAAGACAAGTCTTCATATTGAAAGGACACACAGGATATCCAGCACAAAAGTGAAAAAAGAGCCACATTAAAAGTTCATGAATATTAAATGTCAGAAAACAAAGGATCAAGAAAGGATTATAAGATATTCTAAAATGAAAAAATAAAAAGTCACAAAGATGGAATAAGAATTAATATGACTTCAGGCTTTTTCTTAGTAACACTGGATGATAGAAGCCTATGGACCAAGGTCTTCAAAATTCTAATAGAAAACTTTTTTAACTTAAAATTTTACACATCATCAAACTATCCATCAAGTTTAACAGAAGAACTAAAATGTTTGAGGCATTTCAAATTTGAGGAATGACTCAAAAAAATTACCTCCATTTGTTAGGAAGCTATTTGAAGATACACTCCAGCAAAAAGAGAGAGTAAATCAAGAAAGATGAAGGCATGGGAAAGAGGAGGCAACGGATACAACTTAGGAAAGTTGTGTTGGGAGATTCCAGGGTAACAAATGTGTAACTTTCCAGCATCACAGAAGACCCCAGGAGGGCCACCTCTAATAAAAAGAAAGAGATGGGGTCTCCATAGAATCTCTTTAAAAGTAAAGTATTTGGAAAATATTAAGAACACATGAATGGCAAAGTATGCATTTTTTTTTAAATTAAGCAATTATAAATCCCAAGAATAATAAAAAACAGAATGAGAAATAAAATGAAATCATAGTATTTTATTAGGCTCTGAAATAAATAATATTTGCACAGTCATAATGATATACAGCTGATTATTTATCATGTAAAAATGGTGGTACAATTACATTAGGAAGGTGAAGGATGGAAAATTGGAAAGTGGTGTAAAAGAGCTAAATCCTTTTCTAACATAAAAGAAAATCAATAGATAATGTCAAAAACAAATAAATAGAAATTATCAGTAGAGGCATATGACAGTTGACCCTTGAACAACACAGGTTTAAACCATGTGGGTCCATTTATACATGGATTTTTTTCAATAAAACTTACACCAATGTGCCTGCCTCTCCTGCCTCCCCTTCTACCTCCTACATCTCTTCTGCCTCTGCCACCCCTGAGACAGCAAGACCAACCCCTCCTCCTCTTCTTCCTCCTCATCCTACTCAACATGAAGACAACAAACATGAAGACCTGTATGATTATCCACTTCTACTTAATGAATAGGAAATATGTTTCTCTTCCTTATGATTCTCATAACATTTTCTTTTCTCTAGCTTACTTTATTGTAATAATACAGGATACAATACATATAACATTCAAAATATGTGTTAATTGACTGTTTATGTGTCTGGTAAAGTTTCCAATCAACAGTAAGCTATTAGTTAAGTTTGGGGAGAGTCAGAAGCTATACACAGATTTGTGACTCCACAGGGGTTCAGCACCCCTAACCTCCATGTTGTCTGAAGATCAACTGTATTCGAAAATTTGGAATTAGCTACAAAAAAAAGCTAATTAATTAAAAAGGGGTTATTTCTACATAGTGGGGCTGAGGTGGAGAGGCCTGGAGTAAGGGAATGTTTTTTATTTTATCTTAAATCTCTTGGATATATTTAATGTTTCAAATTATACACATATATTATTTACTGGTGAAGTATATTTAATTAAAAATGATTATATAGAAAATTCACTTCCAGATATGATTCAGTCACAGGGATTGAATTTACCACCTAACTTTGAACACTATAACTTTGAACACTATAAAACCAGAAAAAAACATACGAAATAGCAATTTTCAGACATTGGACAAAAGGCAGCACAAGACCATGACCTCTGTGAGAAGAGAAACAAATATGCTGAGCCCCACAATTGCCCTAGCACACTGCCAAAGGCTGCTTCCAGGCTGCATGCAAAAACAAGGATCCCAAACAGAGCCTGGTGGCCTTGATTAGTGGCGAAGACAAAAATCAGAGTTCAGAAAGGCCACTTTGTCTAGAATTTGTCAGAGACAGTATCAGAGAGAAGGAAGTTGCTTAGACACTTTTCCAGAGATCTGCAGTGAAGGTCCCTTCTGTCTTTGGCTGGGTACTAAACTGCACATGCATAAGATGAAACTGCCTGATGCTGGTGAAAGAGCCACCAGAAAGCAGTAGGCTAACAACTCTCAAAGCTCACCCAGGGCTGAGAATAGTTCATGTTGCTACCAGCCGTAGTAGAAAGACCTCAAAATGCAAAAGACATCAGCTAGAGTCTTCAGAAGGCTATCACCTAAATTTACCCTATTCCAAAGGCTGCCCTGAATCTACCTTAACAGAGCTTAACATCAGACCTGGAAAGGATCTACTACCAAGGAATATAACTGCATGACAGAAAAAAGTAAGCCCAACATCATTTTTTAAAAATACAATGAAATCCTATACTCAATGATGTAGAAGTCACAATGTCTGTCATTCAATCAAAAATCACCAGATGTGAAGAGAAGTATGATAATATGGCCCATTACCAGAGAAAAATCAATGCCAATAAACCCAAGAATGACTGAGATGATAGAAATACCAAGCAAGGATATTAAAATGGCTATTCCAAACTGCTTTATATGTTCAGGAAGGTAGAAGAAAACATGACCATGACAGAGAGAGAACTAACAAATATATAAAAGATCCAAATGAAACTTCCAAATATAAAAAATTTAATTTTTAAAAAATATCATTGGGTGAGACTGAGAATAGATTAGACAATGCAGAAGAAAAAGACATAGCAATAGAAACTATCCACACTGAAGCACAGAGAGTAAAAATATTGGAAAAAAATGAGCAGTGTCTCTGTGACCTTTGGAACCATTTCTATCCATTCTATTGTGGTTTAACAATGTGTAATTGGCATTCTGGAAAAGGAAGGGGGATAGAAAAATATTTAAAGAAATAATGGTGAAAAACTTTCCAAATTTTATAACTATAAATTATAAGCATGTGTAAAATGACATCAAGGAGAATAAACTTTAAAAAATTCAACAGGCCACTTTATATCTTTATAATCATATTGCTATAAATGCTGATAAAAAATTCTTACAAATAGAGAAAAAAGACACATTATGTACACAGAAACAAATATATGAATGAAAGGAGATTTCACATCAGAAAGTGTACAAACCAGAAGACAATAAAACTCAAATAAATTTTTATGCCCAGCAAAAGTACATTTCAAAAATGAAAGATGAAATAGATACTTTCTCTGACAAACAACATCTGAAAAAAATGTGTTACCAGCAGAGCTTCACTATAAGAAATTGTAAAAAAAATTCTTCAGGCAGAAGGAACATGATACCAAATAGAAATCTGCGTCTAAATTTGGAATCAAGAGTGCCATTAATGAGAAATATGTGGGTTAATATAAAAACACTTTTTCATCATTGAATCTCTTCAAAAGAAAATTGGCTATTTAAAACAAAAATAATACTAGCATGTCATGGGATTTATATCATATATAGCAGTAAAATGTGACAATAGTATAAAATATGGGAGAAGGTTCTTGTACTATACATGAAGTGGTATAATATTATTTGAAGGCAGACTGTGATAAGTTAATGATATATATTATAAACTTTAGTGCAATTAATAGCAAAATAGAGGTATAGCTAATAAACTGACAAAAAAATGGAATCATGAAAATAATGTAAGAAAAGCAAAAAAGAAGGAATAAAAAATAGGTAGGAAATAGGAAAATAAATAACACAGTAGATTTAAACCCAGTCATATCAATAATTACATTAAATGTAAATTATTTAAACACCACAATTAAAAGCAGATTGTCAGATTGAATAAAATGGCAAGATGTATTAGGCAGGCCTCTTTGGTTGTAAGTAACAGAAACCTTATTCAAACATTGATACTCACACAGTTGAGAAGTCCAGTTCCAAGAAAATACAAGCATTCAACCAATGTAATTATATCCTTTCTCTATCTCTTGAGTCTGCTTTTATTTGCTTGTTGGCTTCACTCTCCCAGAATAAAGAAGGCTTCTCCAGGTGCTGAAGACAATGGCCACAAATGGGTGTGGTTTATACTATTATTACAGCTCCCAACCTCAGGCAAGAGAAAGAACCTTTCATTAATAAGAAGCTTATCTCAAAATTTAGAGAAGAATCTGTTTGTCCCACTTGCTCACCTTTCATCCAATCATGACCTTCGTGGGTGGAGTAATCTAGCCAGCCTGTGGTCAGGGAAACTGGACACCATGATGAACACTCTGGACATGGTGAACACCAATGGTAAAATGCAATACATTGCAAGTCAAAAACAGAAGGGATGTTTGATTGGCAAATGCAACAGATGCTCAACACACCTCCCTTCTGTTCTATTACCTCACCAAGTTTCCATCCCAACTCTCCTCTTCTCCTCTTTGTTAAACACCATCCAAAGCATGGATGCAACAGGCCTGTCTCTACTTCAACATCAGGCATGCATCTCCTTCAATTCGTTGTAAATATATGTTGTAAAATAAATGTTCCATACAGCCTTCCCTATCTACAGCTTCACATACATATCCCCTTCTAACCAACCTCCACCCAAAGAAATGTGCACACACACAGCTAGGGATGAATTGAAGTAGTGATGACCACCTGACCCAAAAGTAGCCAATGTCAGTTGACTAGAAATCTGATTTTGTGTGACCTTGCACCAAGAGATGAGCAGGGCTGAACAGATTCTATCCTAAGAACTTGATTTAAGACATGAGATTGCCAACAGTTGGTGGTGAGAAGGTCCTGTATATTGAAAGTAATGATAGCCATTTTCAAGTTGATGAGTAAAGGGAGGAAGCTATTCTTCTGAAAAAGGAAAGTGGAGCTGACAATAAGTAGAGCGGAGAGACGAGCCTGTGGCCCAGGAGAGGGAAATAGAGGTAGTAGCCAGCTGCTTCTGTTTCTCTCATCTCCCCTGGTGTTCAGCTGCCCTGATTTCTTGTCCTTTCATTCTGTGAGAGCTCTATATCCTTGCAATAAGCATACTTCCTTACTTGAGTAACTTTGAATGACTTCTGTTTTGTTGCAACCAAAGGAGCCATAACTTGAACAATTGCGAGTGTCTTCTTAATTGTCTCTCAATATTGCACAGTAACTTCTTTAAGGGTAAGCAGTGTGTTTTATTTCATCTGTGTAACCCAGCTCATGGTAACATGACTGAATTATACAAATGTTGATAGAGATAATAATGAATTAATTAATCTGGTTACTTATACCTCTACCACTACCAAAATAGCAAATAGTTTGTTTTGCCTCCTCTACATTAATTCCTTTGTGAAATGGCTTTTTCTCTACTCACTGTGGCTCTGATGGGATTAGGAATCCCAGGCTTCCACCCCCAGCCCAATGAAATAGGAATACAACCCACAATACAGGTCAGTCTCTCCCATGCAGGAATTTTTAATATAAGTCATTAGATAGTAGTTCCTTAAAAAAAGGTTGATAAGTTTCTGCAGCTGAGATCCTTGGAGCTCCCCTGGTTTCTAGCCTTCCAGGGGTCTGATTTCCAGCTCTTTCTTCAGTCCTAGGATTGTTGACTATCCTTTCAATAAATCTCCATTTCTTGTTTAAGTACTCATAGTCAATTTCTATTACTTCTAGACTTAGAATTCTCTCTGATGTAACTTGGTTCCCAGGGAGGCCAGTTTCTCCCCTGCCCATTTAGAATAACTAGAATAAATCCTTCTTTTTGGAAAGAACAAAAACATACTATCTTGGAAACAAATAAAATATTCCTTTATCGATCAGTTGCTCTACTCCTGATCCAACCTTCTGGGCTGCCTTTTATGCAAGAAGCACCATGGGTTCTGTCTTGTTTTTATATTCAACCTCATTCCCATCTTCTTAGGCTATCTCTGAGAGAAAGAGTCAGGAACATGATTCCTTAAAGAGGTATGTATATTTGGGAACCCAGGCAAACAGAAGCTACCTTCACTTAGCCAAAGAACCCTTTTTACAGCAATATAAAACAGACTTCATTCCTTGTGTAAGAAGGGCCTATATTCAACCTAACAGTGTATCTCCCAGGCTTATGCCTGGTGTCCCAGTTTCTAATGATGGACTTACTCTCTCCCCTTGGATCAGCACTCCTCTTCATAGAGAAGCCTTACTGAGGGTGTTGTTCTTGATTCTCCCAAGACCTTAAGTTCCAAGGCATTTATCTCCTCTCAACGCTCTGACTCATTATTCTATTTTACTGAAGTACTTAGAATGAGAGCTTTTGGGAAGAGCTCTATACAATTATATAAATGAATAGGCACATTTATTTGAAATGTTTTCAGATTTCTTAGAATAAAATTTTATGTTCTTTCCTTGGCACTAATTTCTTAAAGTGGGTAGCAGTCCTGGAGGATATCCTTGCCCAATTGAGGGGCATTTATAAGGCAATCTAAAGACAAACCAATAGATATCAGTTCATTTTGCCAATAGTTGTTAAGCACCTACTCCACACCGGGCATTGTGCTGAGAGCTGGGTACACAGTGGTGAGGAAAACAGACACAGTCCTACCTTCAAAGATGACACAATGTAGCAGAGAAGAGAGAAGAAAATAAGTCAATAAACTCAAAAATAACCATAAATGAGTGATTAGTGCTATGAAAGAAATGAACAGGAAACAATGATAGGCAATAATAGGAGGGAAACTTCTCAAATGAGAGAAGGCAGATGAGGCTCTCTGAGGCCTGAAGGATAAGGAGTGAGTGGTACAGGAACCAGCTGGATGGAATAGCATAGATGAGACCTGGAGGTAGGAAAGAGGTTCATGTGTTTAACGAACTAAGTGGAGCAGGGAAATGGAGAGGAGAGATGAGGGGGAAAAGAGAGTTGGGGCCATGTACAGAGTTTGGATTTTACATTAAACATAGTGAAAATATAGTAACTTTGGAAAACAATGTGACAGTTTCTTTAAAAGTTAAATATAAATTTACTACATAGCCCAGCAATTCCACTACTATTTACCCAAAAGAAATGAAAACATGTGTTTACACAGAGACTTATACATGAACATTCATAGCAGCATCATTTATAATAGTCCAAGATTGGAAAAAAAATTAATTGTCCATCAATAAGAGCATAGACAAATAAATAGTGGTATGTCCATAAAATGGATTACTGTTTGTTAGGCAAATAAAAAAGGAACAGACTACTATTACAAGACAGCCTTGTGTTCACTAGTGCCTACTTGGGTGTATATAATCATGAAAACTCACTGAATAGACAAAATAAGATTTGCACATTTTATAGTATATAAATTATATTTCAATATGAAAAGTGTAATGGGAAGTTGCTGAAGAGTTTTCAAAGTAAGGAAAAAATGTAATTTGATTTTTTTTTTACAGATTCCTCAGATCACTTTGTGAAAATAGATTTGAAGGGAGCTTAAGAACAAGTAGGGTGACCAGTAAAGGGGTTAATGCCATAGTCCAAGAAAAAGATTCTGAAGGCTTAGACTAGTGAGGAATAACAGAAGCCAACAGACAGACTTAAGATATACTTAGGAGATAGAAATGACAGGATTTATTGATTTTTTAAAAAGATGAGGTGTAAGAATCACTTGAACCCAGGAGTTTGAGACCAGCCTAGGCAACATAGCAAGAACCCCTCTCTACAAAAAAAAAAAAAACAAACCAAAAAGACATTGAATTAGCCAGGCAAGGCGGTGTGCATCTGTAGTCCAAGCTACTTAGCAGACTGAGGTGGGTGGATCTCTTGAGCCCAGGAGGTCAAGGTTGCAGTGAATTATGATAGCACCACTGCACTCCAGCCTGGACAACAGAGAGAGATTCTGTCTCAAAAAAAAAAAAAAAAAAAAAACAACAACAAAATGAAGAAATAAAGGATAAGACTTACATTTTTGGCTTGAGCAAGTGGGTGGAGAGTCTTGCCATTTACTAAAATGAATAGGTAAACTATGAGAGGAGCTGGTTGAAGATACTACAGGGGAAAGAAAATCAAGAGTTCTGTTCTGGCATTGAAAACACATGAATATAAAGATATGAACAACAGACATTGAGGACCACAAGAAGGAGGAGGGAGTGAGGGCAGCAAGGGCAGGTAGAAAGTTGGATATGTGTATCTAAAGGTCAAAGGAGAGATTGATCTGGATATATAAATTTAGACAACATCAGCATGCAGATGATATCTTGGGCCATGAAAATAAATCATTTAGGAAGAGAGTGCAGACAGAATAAGCACTGTAAAAAAAAAAAAAAAGCAATATGTAGACATTGGTACAGGAAGAGCACCTATAAAAGAGACTGGGATGAAATTGTCAGAGATCTAGAGAAAGGAAGAAAACCAAAGGTGGACTGTCAAATAAAGGAGTGGCCACTGGGATACAACTCAAGTGAGAAACTGAGCAAAATGAGAGTATAAATTGTCCATTGGACTTGGCAACCTGGAGATTGTTGGTAACCTTGACACAAGAAGTTTGGGTGAAGTGTTAAAGTCAGAGACCCAACTCGAGAGTCTGAAAACTAATTAAAGGCTTAAACCATGGAACAAGTATGTAAACAGCTATTTTGAGATGTTAAACTGTGAAGCGATGCAGAGAAATGGGCAGTAGCTGAAGAGGGATGAAGGAATCAAAAAAGGACTTTTAGGCTTAAGGGAATGTCAATCGTGTTTGTGAACTGAAGAGACTAGCCCTAGAGAAGAGGGTAGGATTGGTAATTTAGGATGAATAGGAGATAGCCAGAGGAGTAAAACCTTGAGAAGGTAAGAAAGGACAGGATCTAGAACTCCAGGAGTATCCAGCTCCAGGAACTGGGGTGGGAACAGCATATTTTCACCTTTATACCAGAAGGACCAGAAGCAGAAGACCCAAATGAACTCAGATGTAAGCTAGGGGCATTTATGGCTGATGGTTCTAATTTTTTTAATTAAATACAATTGAAACAGGATAATTAGATCAGAGTGAAGGGTGCAGGAATGGAGTAGGGAATTTGAGAAGATAGGCAAAGGTAGGAAATAGCATCCTAAATGATGGAAAAGCAAGTTTATTAACTACAGTTTGAATACCAAGTGGTGGGTTGAGATTATGCATTTAAAAAGAAGCTTCTCAGTTTGTGTGATTTTCTCCAGCAACATACAGTTGCTCAAATTCTGGCAGGTAATGGGTTGAGTACATTCAGCTTGGAGTTTTGCCAAGTGAGTATGACAGCTATAGAGAGAGACACAGAATGACTGAACAAGTGATGAAAACTGTGGACCATATAAAGAATGCTCGACAGAAGGAACATGTTGACAAAAGGGCAGGTTCTCACTCGATTTCCAGTCTCTGGATCTGGGCTTCCCTTCCCTTCCATCTCCCCACAACCACACACACTGCATTTGGATACATGTATGCCTCTCTCTATTCTAACTGGAGGTTGGAAGAGAGATTTAATCAGCTCCCAGCCCAGCTTCTGGAGTGAAGTCTTGGTCTCCTCTGACTTACAGATGCAGATTCAGCATACAGTACTGAGCACCTCTGAACCCATCCCCGTGCCCAGATTGAAACTTCATGTGGTACCCTGGTTCAAAGAACAGGGCTATCATCACCTAGAACCCCTTTCTCAGACCTATGCTTCCATAAAGTAGAGACCCTCAAACTAGTGGCTAGAGTTCTCCTGCCTGCCACCAACCTTCTCACATCAGGGCCTCCCCACCATGGTCCTTTTTCTGCCTCTCATGTCACCAGCTCTCTCTAAAGGAGAAAACACTGTAACATGATTGGTCAGAACCCAAACAATCAATGGACCATATTTTACTAATAGGCTTGATCAGTTTTGTAGGTGGTGTTTTGTTTCCTATTTGACCATTGTTCCTTGTGGGCACCTTCCTTAGAGAATAATCTAGTGGGAAGAAGGGTTGGCATCTAGGCAGGCCTGTGTTCCTGGCCATCATGTCATTATAGCAGAACCCAAAGCTCACTTTGACTCCTCAACCACCCAACAACCTACCAGGATTCCTGGTTAAATGCACCGTAAATTCCCCATGAATTAGCCCTACCCTCTTAATGATATCCCCAAACCTTCATTTTGACACCCACTACAACATTACTTATTATAAATCGAGTTGGGTCCCCAAAAAAGATATGTTGAAGTCCTAACCCCCAATACCTCAGAATGTGACCTTATTTGGAAATTGGGTCATTGCAGATGTAATTTCTTAAAACAAGTCATACTGGAGTAGGGTAGGCCCTTAGTCCAATATGGTTGGTGTCCTTGTGAGAAGAGAAGAGCTGCAGAGACTCAGGTACACAAGGGAAGAATACCATGTGACAACCGAGGCAGAGACTGAGGTATGCAGCTCCAAGCCAAGGAATGCCAAGGATTGCTGGCAAAGCACCAGAAGCTAGGAAGAGGCAAAGAAAGATTCTCTCCTACAGGATCAGAAGGAACATGATCCTGCTATCACCTCAATTTTGGATTTCTGCCTCCAGAACTATGAGACAGTAAATATCTGTTGGTTTAAGTCACCGAGTTTGTGTTGTGTTCCAGGAAGGGTCTACATGACATGTGGCCATGACATCTATCCAGCTCAGGAAACACGGAGTGCTCCAGCCAGCCCAGGAGGAAAGCACCTGTTTCCTTACTAGCAGCGCAAGAAAGAATTCTGAAAGAGAGCAAGAACGGCTCACATTGAGCCATCTGCATAGTGACCCAGGGAAGCCAGGGCCCCTGGGTGCCATGTCTCTGCACACTAGAGCAGAGACCACACTCCTCAGGCCACCCAGCATGTCAAGATGTGTGAGGGCGAGATGCCAGGACCCTAGAGGGACTAAACTGTCAGCAAAATGAAAGAAAGTCTGTTTAACTTCCTCTCAAAAATGAATGACTAAGCCAGGTCCAGTGGTGCCCACCTGTAATCTCAGCTACTCAGCAGGCTGAGGCAGGAAGATCTGGAGCCCAGGAGTTCAAGGCTGCAGTGAGCTATGATCACACCATTGCACTCCAGCCTGGGCAACAGAGTGAGACCCTGTCTCTAAAAAAATAGAAATAAATAAAAAGAAAAATCAAAATTATCTTCTTTAAAAAACTATTTACTATCAGAGACAGAATAAATTTTTAGAAGCCTGCTTGATGTTTGAATATCATGAAAGATTCTTGGTCTCTGTAAGGTAGACTAAAAGAATCACAAATAAAGACTCAGCTGAGTTAAAAATTGGAAAACAAAGGGAACTGGATGAAATTTAAAAGACATAAAGTTACAATGGAATAAAAATAAAGTAGCAAAACATTTTAAATAGCCCTAAAGGACAATAAATGACAATGATTAGCAAAATTGACCCTCCAAAAAATATCATCTGCAATATAGAGAGCACATTTAGGAAAATCTCCAAGATTAGTGATGAAAGAAAACAGGAGCTGAGAAGGATGAGCGAGGAGGCGATAACCATGGAAACAGATATTGAACATCAAATCACAAAAAGTACTCAGAAAGCAAGAAGCACATCCTGATCTAGCATCTAAGGGATTAGTCCAATGTACAAGGCCACTCTTAGGCCAGAGGGGTCCCTGCCCTGGCTCCCAGATTTTAGAGAGTCCTGCTTTGGCCCTTCCAGGCCATGCCCCTCTCCATGAAGCAAAGTCATGGAGCCAACACGATGAGCCCATCCCATTGTCCCTTCCCCCACACCCTCCATTCAAACTATACTCTAGGTATCCTGGATTAAATTCTTTGCCCAAACAGTTTGAGTCTGCTTCCCAGACTTGTGATGGCCTCTTCCCTGGACTTATCCTTCAAAAATTAGACCACTCCAATAGTGTGCACATGTCTAGGCTTGAAGTGGGCAAGAAGCAGCTGCTTGCAGGACCTACAGGCAAAGCTTCAACATGCAAGCTGAGATGTCTACCTGTGTGCATGCACTGGCCCCTTGCAAAGCCTCCATGGGTTGCAGCCAGGAGCAGGAAGAGAAAGTGAGGCAGTCTGGAGTCTGGGGACCATGCACTCGCTCTCTCTGCAATGCGTATTCTCAGAACTCAGAGGAGAATGAGGATTCTAAATTCAAACCAGCCTTCCAGGTGCTTATGCAGGTATATATGTCCAGGTAGGAGGACAGAACATATTTTATTCAACAGTATGTTAGCATGACTTATGATGCTTCAATATTTAAACATATGGTCTGTGGTCCTCCATTTGTGCTGTTTCCCTGGGCCCCACAATTGTGGGGGACAATCAGGGCTTGCCAGTTACATTCTCGTTTGTGACAATCTGCTCCTTCAGGTCACCTATATTAAGAAATGTGACATTTTACCACCGCCTGTGCAGAGAGCAGCAGCCAGCTTCTTTCATAGGCAAGGAGATAAAACACTTTCTGGAAGAGCACCTTGCTACAACTAGAACCAGGAGCTGAAGCATCAAAACCCAACAGTGCTCTCTCTTTGGAGTTGAGCCCATGAGAGCAGGACCCCATAGTGGAACCCAATGCCATGGATTGCTGACTGAGGTGGCAGCCAGGGTAGAGGTCCTCACTGCCACTGCTGCACTAGGTGTCACCTCAGGATTGTTTACCTGCTTTCTGCTGGTGAGGCTCAACTGTTTAATTCCTAAATGACATTGTACACAGCCAGTGACATTGTGCTTCTAGTTTCACAGGTATGCCATGGCAAAATTTACCTCCTTAGGCCTGGGAATTTTCAGATCTTTAATCCAAACAGCCCTGATCAGTTTGACCACGTACCCTCAACCCAAGCATAATGTTTGGGGAGAGCCACTACTGCTATTTACAGTGACATCTGTGTGTGGCCACTGGGGGAGCTTTTGTGCATTAGGCCATCCCTAATGCATCTCAAGGAGCTTTGGAGGGAACAGATTGGACTTCTGGACCGGCTGCTGCTAGTCACAGATGGGTACTTATGACAGTTAATTTTACATGTCAGCATGACTAGGCTATGGTACCTAGTTATTTGGTCAAATACCAGTCTAGATGTTGCAGTGAAGGGTGTTTGTTTTTCAATGTGATTTACATTTAAATCATAGACTTTGAGTGGAGCAGATTACCCTCCCTAATAGGGATGGGCCTCATCCAATCAGGTGAAGGCCTAAACAGCAAAGACTGGGGTTTCTCAAAGAAGGGATTCTCTTCAAGATTGCAACAGAGAAACCCTATCTGAGTTTCCAGCCTGCTGCCCTGTGGAATTCAGACTCATGACTGCAGCATCTACTCTAATCTGAGTCTCCAGGCTGCCAGCCTGCCCTACAGGCCTATAGATCTCTGATTTGTCAGCTCTTACAATCACGTGAGCCAATTCCTTCAAATAAATCAAACTCTGTGTGTGTGTGTGTGTGTGTGTGTGTATGCATATATATATGCATATCTCCTGAAGAAGCCTAACTAATACAGTATTGAAACACTGCATTCTGGAATGCAATGGGAATGGGTGAGCTGGGGATTTTGTTTGTATCCAACCTGTATAGACAGGCACCTTGCTTAACTAAGATACTTTCAAATCCAATCAAAGCTCCTGATCAAAGGCAGAGGCAGGGTCAGTCTCCAGGCCCGCTAAGCCCTAGTAATGTAGGAATTGAATTTCAGTGGTGTCCTGGAATCAGACCAGGCTGGCGGGGGAGTCAGGAAGGGAGGCTGCAGCTCAGTGCTCCTGCAGCCACCTCCTGCTCTGCTCACTGGTTCTGAACAACCTGGTCCCATGAGGCAGCAGGCCAGCCCCAGAAGTCACTCTCTGATGGGGAGGGAATTTACACTGTGACAGACCAGGCTCCCATGGGCACAGAGCCTAGGCAGGACTGAGCCCAACGGTGGCTAGTGCTGAAAGCTGCCAGCTGGGGAGGCCTGGAGACCATGGGCCGGCACAACTGGATGGGGTTCCCACTAACATCCACACATGGCAGACAGAGCCTGGAGTCAGCTTAACCCAGAGTGGCTGCCCTGTGAGTGACAACAAGCAGGATAGCTGTGGCCAGAATCATGACATGACTTCTGATGATTCTCTCTTTAAGACTTGGTTTCCTCATCTGGAAAAGGGGGCTAATAATACCTGGGAGCTGTGCAGTGAGAATTAGAAAGGGTAACATCGTGTGGAACCACCAGGCCCATAGCTTATGCCCAAAAGTGTTCGATTCCTTCTTCTTTTCTTAGGAAGAAATCAGAGATCCTATCATGAGGAGTGACTTCAGCAGGCACTGGAGCCATTTAACTCTGTGACCTTGGACAAGTGACTTTACATCCTCCATGCCTGCCCCTTCATCTATGAAATGAAATATCTACCATAGAATTATCGTGTAGACCAGTGGAGACAGCCCATGCAGGTAGAGCACTTAGCGGAGTAAGCTCTCGGTAAGTGTTAGAAAAAGAAGGCTGTCAACCTCCTGCTCTTCAGGAGGAAACAGCAACAACCAGGGCAGATTTAATCTGCTCTTATGATATGGTAGGACAGAGGAGAAGCAAATGGCAGTGCTATGATTTTCAGGGTGGTGCCGGCTCTTCCCCTGCCTGGTCAGCGTGAGTGTTGGCCTCCTGCTGAAGCCTTCAGCCTAGAATATTGCACTTCGCCACCTGTCACCCAGGCTCATTAGTCCGAGGCAGTGAGCGGATGTGCCTAATGACAGACGCAGCCCTGTGTGCAGAATGCGAGGCCCTGAGGCTGGTTCCAAACACATGGTGCACTCAAAGAATGGAGCCAGCCTGGCCAGTCCATTCTCCAGACTGGAAAGGGAGGCCTGGGGCTCTGGACAGATGGCTCTTACCTCTTTTGTCTCGCTCAGCTTGGGAGGAAGCATCTTCCTGTGATTGGAGCACATTTTCTTGCCCTTCTTCAACAAATGGGTTAAGGTTAAGAAATCCTCCTGGTTTGGAATATGTAGGGAGGGGAGGTGCAAGTTATAAGCACATCTGCCTCCCGAGGGGGATGGGTCCTTTTCAATGACAATCCTTCATGAATAATCAAAGGTATGCAAAGGTGGCCAGAAGGAGCTCCATTGAGAGGAGAGGCCACTAAAGAAAGCAGAGAGGGGAGAAAAAGGTTGAGAAGCAATACTCCCAGTTGATGAAAGAACTAATGAACATTCTAGGATCAGGACATCTAACACCCAATTTTAAGCTATGTATCTTTCTTATTTATTCAAGTCTTCGATAGAGTCTGCTATACACACAAATCAAATCCATATGTGAATTTGTGTGTGTGTACATTCAGAAAAGGGGTGAGTTCCACCTCTGAGTAAACATGGTGCAGACATAAAGCCACAAGGGATCACAGAAACCTTAGAGAGGAACTGGACCTTCCACAATCATGGAATCAAGTCTTTCTTATTCCAAGCTTAAGAGATAAGGAGATCCCAGCTGACATCTGGTACACCAAATATGTAAACCAGGTTTAGTCGGACGATCATCTAACAGAGCGCTGGTCCTGCAAACTCTGCTCCATCTATCAGAGAGATGAAGTTTTTTAGCAGCCACTCCCTTTGCTCAGCCTTGCCTCCTTCAGTTCTTGCTTTCCAAGGCAAACAGCTATGTCTAGAAATGAAAGCATTTGTGGGGAATGCCGTGCACCCTATATTTGCAGGTGAAAATCAGACTTGTCCCCTGCAACACTCCCAGGATTCCAAGGACAGAATGCCTGGAGTCAGTCGTACCAGGCTTTCTATACCCTCTAGCCTCGCCTTCCTCTTGCAACAAAAAGACTCACTTGGAATTGATCTACACTGTTGCCTTGCAAAGTAACTAGCAGCCCATAATGTTTTTGGAATTATCTCTGTGTGGCCCTTGCTTCTCCATCCATCCCCACCACCTCCACAAGTAACACCCTCCTGCCTGCTGTGATGTGGAGGGCTGGGACTTTCCTCAGCGGGTAGTCAATTCTTACTTCCTGGTTTTAAATTAACCACATTGTAAAAATCCCAAAGCCCAGAAAGCTAATAATTATAATAATAAAATAATAACAGCAAACAGATATTGGATACCCAGTCTATGACAAGCACTTTGCCAGGCTCTTTGCCCAAACTGTTAACACCTCATTCTAACAGCAACCCTATGCAGTAGGTGCTATATGACTATTCCTATTTTCCAGGTGAGGAAACTGATAAAATTCAGAATTTGGTAATATATTTTGACCTACTTGACATCAGCTTTCACTTTAATTATTTCTTTTTTTTTCAAAAATCATTTATTGAATACCCACTGTGTGCCAATATGGTAAATCTTATTATTCCTATGAGGAAACTGAGCTCAAGGTGGTGAACTGAAATCATCCAAGAGTGCTTAGCTAGTCCATGGCTGATCCCCATGACTGTGCCTCAGGACTGGATCTATGAGGAACTCTGAGTTATAAGCCTGCCCATGGTCCACTTTCATTAGAATTTCAAGCCTAGAGGCCAGGCACAGTGGCTCACGCCTGTAATCCCAGCACTTTGGGAAGTCAAGGGAGGTCAGGACTTTGAGACCAGCCTGATCCACGTGGAGAAACCCCGTGTCTACTAAAAATACAAAATTAACCAAGCATGGTGGCACATGCCTGTAATCCCTGCTAGGCAGGAAGGCTGAGGCAGGAGAATCGCTTGAACCCGGGAGGCGGAGGTTGTGGTGAGCTGAGATCGCATCATTGCGCTCCAGCCGGGGCAACAAGAGAGAAACTCAAAAGAATTTCAACCGTAGGAAAGACTTCCAGAATGTGGTACAAACAACATTGGCAGGAAAGAGGGGTGGAAATACACCAGACAATAAGAAAGTCAGGGGCTTCCCAAGTTCCACATATTCAGTTCAAGAGAATAAAGGAATCATTCAATTTCAAGGTTTAATTAAGTTTCTTTTTTTAGCAGATTTTCAGGACCATACCAAATCCCAGGCCAGATTTCACTCTTCCTATCACCAATCGCCCTGGAAGCCGACTCCTTAATAGCTGGAAACACAGTTTCTGCATGTCTGCATTTGATCTTTCCCCCATGGCAGAAAATCAAGGGCCCTGTGCGGCTGGTGCAGTAAGTCAGCAGCCCACCTGGGCCAGGTAGGAGGAGAGGGAGCAGTGGCCAGCCAAATAGGAATGGGGATCTCACTCTGCCCATGAGGCTGGCCAAAAAGGGGTGGCAAAAGGAGCTGAACAGTATCTCAAAGCTCAGCTATCTGAGGCTCGGCAATGCTTTCCAGATACAAGAAAGACGAGCTCTCTGCCTCTATTACAGGTGGGAGGGGCAGCCATCCCCTCACATTTCAGGACCACTCAGAGGTGCTAAAGGATTTGTGGTGAGATAAAGCCAGGAGACTTTACTGCGACCTCCCCCTCTGTGCCAACCCACAGCAATGTGAGCTCAAAAGTCACAGCAACAGATCAATGACAGCTAGTTCCATACTAGTGCCGCATGCTTCACACATGGTCCCTCATGAAAACCCCACCATGGCCCAAAGAGGGTGGCCGTGTCACTGGGATAGCCCCAGCCTCATCCAAGCAATTGGAAAAACTTTTAACAGATCTTCTTTAGCATCTTTATCTATAGACACAGCTGCTTAAAGAAATCAGATAGCCCAGATGCCACAAGAGTCTCGTGACCCCTTGCAGAATGCCAGGAGTTAAGACCCAAAAGAAACCGGTGCAAACCAGAACAGGTGACCTCCAGTTACATTTAGGTCATGAATATATCATTACAGCTCTAAACTCCCCTCCCCAAAAGAAGACTGCTGCCATTTGGTGTACATGTGCTAGATGAAGAAGCACATTCAGGGACTGTGCCTGTGCGTCTGGAGTTCCACCCTGTGCATCCCAACTTGCCCTCCCCCATCTACCTCTTCAAACTCCCTGGCTTTGCATCACTCAGGGGAGGTGCCTTTAGAGAATGGGCTCCTCTTCTCCATTCTTTGGCCATTGGAGTGGCAGACCCAGGATTGGAGGCATGGTCCATCTACTGGCAAATGTTTACCTATATGTGGCTTAGCCTCCTTCTGGGCTCTGATTCCACCTGCCACCCTCCAAATCACCCTAGACACAGGAATGTGTCCCCTCCCTTAACACTTCAGAGACCAGCTCTCCCACATGTACCAAGGAAACTGTAGCTTACTCTCCTTTTTGCCCAAGGTTAGGTGTTTCTCAGCCTCAACAACTGTGTCAAATACCTAGTTTTTACAGGCAACTTCTGGTGTCCTCCTCCATTATTGAGCATGAGGAAAACAAGATTTTTTTTTTTTTCATCTGGGGGCCCAGGAGGTAAGGCTTCTCTCAGTCTCAGCTTCTCTGCTCTGCAATGCCATCGGTCCCCAAATTCTGGCAAAATAAGTCCTGCTGGAAGAAGCCTCTGCTCCTTACCTCCAGCCAGGAACTGCCCCTGTGTGTGAGACCCATGGGTTGAAGAGACCCCTGGCAAATGGTCCTCCTGACCTTTCTCAGGAGTGAGAAGTGATACACTTCCAAGGTGAGCTCCTGGATAGTGAATTCACACCAAGGTGACAGGAAAAACTTCCCAGCTGTGGAAAAGAAAAATAATGCCTGTGGCTTGAGGGATGGGGAGGCAGTGATGGAAGCTCCCAGAATGCTGTCCTCACTGGGTAGACTTTTGCTCTAAGTGCTCCTTCAGTATGAAGGTGACACAGGAGGCAGGACTCTACTCTGGAGGCAGGGCTCGGACATGGGACCAAACTGAGGAATAGCTAAAACAGGATCAGGCTGAAAGCAGTTTTCCATAAGACACACCCACCAGTGTGCCATGTCAGATTACTATTGTCATGGCAACATCCATAAGTTACTGCCCCTTTCCACAGCAATGACCCAGTGACCTGGAAGTTACCACCCTCATCCTAGAAATTTCCACAAAACTACCCCTTGGTCTTCATATATTAAAAGTGGGTATAAATATGACTGCAAAACTGCCTCTGAGCTGCTATTCTTGGCACACTGCCTATGGAGTAGCACCACTCCACAAGGAGCAGTACCTCTGCTGCCATACACTGCTGCTTCAACAAAAGTTGCTGTCTAACACCACCCGCTGGCCCTTGAATTCTTTCCTGGGTGAAGCCAACAACCCTCCCAGGCTAAGTCCCAATTTTGGGGCTTGCCTGTCTTGCATCAAACAGATTTAGTATGCACTGCCAGAGATTGGGTGGTAATGAATTCCTTCTCCTAGCAGGTGGGCTACTGTTACACTGGCATTTTAGGCATTTCCATTAAAATGTTGCATCCACTAACAAATACTTCCCAAAATGTATCACTTGCAACCACGTGAGCTCAGGGGACAGAGCTGAGAAACCTGGAGCCTTACAGATGCCTGACTTAGTACAGCCACCAACTATCAGCCCAGAGCCAGACCCAAACTTCTCAGAGCGGCCAGCAGAAATTCAAGAGCAAAAGAACACACAAAAAAATTCTGAGATCTTTTTGAAGAAATGATTCTTCAGAATATAGGACAACCAAAAGCTGGATAAAGAAGGAAGGTAGTAAAGGAAGTTCCATTGTTGGGACAAAGAGGACGTCTCTGATGCACAAATAATGCTGCTGATATTTGTGTCCTAAACCAATGGAGAGCTACATTTTTATTTTTTGCACAGACTAACACGGGGGGTTTGGAGGGTTATTAAATATTTATGAATTTATTTTTTCACATTCAAAATGAAAATAGCTCTCTTGAATCCTATGGGAAAGAATATATATCTTCTCATTGTTGTGCAGAAATGTGTTAGTGTGAGAACTGTGCTTTCGACCATTCAAAAAATATAATATCTGGGCATATTTGAAAGGGAACAACAGAAACAGCCTTCATATTTGTTATGCCTTAGAATTGTTTAGGGCTGTAGAGTTCACATGGTGCATTCACTGCTCTTTCTCCGCATGGGTACCTACGGAGCCTAGGGAAAGCACAAGATTAAAGACGGAATTTTGCAGAGATGTGGAGGTGGGACTCCTTTTAAAATGCAAGGATCCTTGAGAAGGAACAAATGAACAAGTTCAGCAAGCTCTTCTCATATCCCGTAGGTGAAGCTTCCGGTCTTTAATGCCTTGAGCATGGAGGGATGGAGATGGGAAGTTTGAGGGAATGTTAGGAAAACACTGCCTACCTAAAACAATGGGTTTGAATTTTGAGTTACTCCCTTATACTTATCCCACCCCTAGGCATTGTAAATAAGGGGTCCAAGAACTTTTAAATGATGGTAGCCTTTAATCTGCAGATGTATACTGGTGATGCTCATGTATTCATTTTTTCATGTGTGTGGTTGTTGAAGTAAATTATCACAAACTCGGTAGCCCAAAAGAACAGAAATTTATGCTCTCGCAGTTCTGGAGGTTGCAAGTTCATAGTCAGCATCACTGGGCCAGAATCAGGGTGTTAGCAGAGCTCCCTCCAGAGGTCTAGGAGAAAATCTACTCCTTAGCTTCTCCTACTACTTCCTTGGCTGCTAGCATTCCTTGGCTGATGGCCACATCACTCCAATCTTGGGTTAACATCCCCAAATCTCTCTCTGCTCCGTCTTCCCATCTCCTTCACTTCTCCACCTTTGACACCAGAGGATGTCACATCTCCCTCTGCCTTCCTCTTGTAAGAATACATGTGATTGCATTTCAGACCCACCCAGATAATCTAGGATAATCCTCCATCCCCAAATCCTTAACTTAATCACACCTGCAAAGACATCCCCCTCCCCCGATTTTTGCCATATAACATTCTTAGGTCCTGGGGATTAGATATCTTTTGGGGGAGCTATTTTCAGCCAACCACACCCCAGTTGGTTGTGGTAGAAAACATTACTTTAAAAAAGGAGTTAAGATCCCTTTTCTACTCATGTTATGGAAGGGAGGAAGGAGAGACAGAAACTGGGGAATAGGCATGTGCTGGCAGTACAGTCAGAGGCCAGACTCTGTAAATAAGAGAACAGGAGAGCTGGATCCAGGGAGAAGATGGAGAATCAGACCTTCTAAGAGAGTTCCCATTCAGGAACCAGTATGTAAGAGGTAGATGGGAGGAGTTTGGATTCTTGGGGCTAGAGAAGCTTGGAGAGGAGGGTCAGTGGCCTCTATGCAATCAGGGAACAGGCCTGGGACACAGATAGAGAATGGATCCATTGCCATGACAGCTTGGGCTTAGATTAAAGATATATAAGAAAGAATTATATTCAACCCTTCTGAGCATTTGACACAGGTCGTCCTCACGCTTGAATCACTCCCTTCTGGCTCTCCCACTTCTCTGATTGTCCCCTCTAAGTCTCTGCCTTTAGCTCCAACTGTCCACAGCAGTAACCTGCTCCTAAGGTACCCACTGTGGGCTCTTTTTCCATCCTTGATTCACTTCCTGCACAATAAATAGGGTGAGACAGTAGGTGTTAAAAGCACTGGCACTGAAGTCCCACTGCCTGGATTTCAATTCTGGCTGTACCCACTCCTGTAGGTGTGGTCTCAGACAAGTTACTTATGGGCTGTACCACTGAGCTTTAGAATCTTCTCGTGTAAAATGAGGACAATAGGGTTGTCTGAGGAGCTAACAAGATAAAGCATGCAGTTAGCTGGCAGCTCGTGGATGGTGCCCACTGCTATTCTTGTTGGTTTTGCGTGCTGGCTTGCTTGTTTCAGCTCTCCAGCTTATCTCCCTTGTACATCTGAGCCCACAGAGGGTGCTGGCTGGCTATAGTGTGGAGATGGGCAGAACTGGAAACAAGAGGAAGGGGAGAAAAGCTGGGTGCCCAGGCTGTCATGAGATGGAAAATAAAAACATCTTTCTTCTTTTCACCTGTGGGCAGAAGAGCAAGGAGAAATGCTGGGACTGTGCCTGGTGTTGGTCAGGGGCAATAAATAGCTACTTGGGCAGCCCCCAGGCTGACTTTGCTCCAATCCTGCAGCCAGCAAGCGGCCTCTATAACTGTCTGACCCCTCAGCTTCCAAGTTCTCTGGGACCATGGGGAAGATGGAGGGGCTTCAACCAAGGCTGCACAGAGTGGAAAAACTGGACGCGTGGAGAAAAGCAGGAGCAAGAATTATTTAGTGGGAGAAGAGGCAGCTGAGGAGCAATTTAATAACAGCTTTTGAGGCTCCGAAGAGTTATTAGATAGAAATTGGTGACCAGCTGGTCCCTCTCTGCTCAGAGCACGGGGCCAAAGGAAATGAGTTTACATTCTGTAGGAGGAGATGCTCAGGTTAGATAAAAAGGAAAAATTCTTCCTGTCAAGGTGGAAATGGGCTGTTACAGGAACTGCAGCAAACACCTTGGGTGCATTCAGGCTGTTGCCAGGAAGACGGGTCTTCTGAGCCCCTAGGGATGCCTCTGTCCAGGCCAGGGCTCCTGGTAGTAGGTTCCCAGTTCCCCTAAATGAGAAAGTTCTCTTTCACTTTTCCTATGGCCAGAGAGTGCTTTTTCCCAGCCAGTGCAGTGACTGCTTCTTCTCCCCTACTCCTGACCCCATCCCACCTCCTACCCCCAGGAACAAAATCCTAGGAACTGTGTTGAGAATAATGGGCTCTCCTATTGGGAGTGTGATGGACGGTGAGTCATGCAGATATTTCCTCTTTTCTTTAATGACCAAAAGCAGAATGCCCCCAAACACCACATGAATGCACAAGAGACTTATGAGTAGCCCTATGCCTTCTCTGAGATGAGCTTTCTCTATTTATGAGAAAATGTGTTTTCTCTTCTGGAATACAGAATGACAAAATCAGCTGCAAGTGGCTGGACCTGGTCCCCTTGTCTCATTCATTAAACAGACATTTATGGAGTGCCTGGTCTGTGTTAGGCTCTGCTCTATGCACAGGCTCAGCATGGGAGCAGAAGGCAGCGGGATCAGCAGCTTGTAAAACAAATCAGCTCCGTGTAGCAGTGAGAATCAGAGAGCAGGATCGTCTCTTCTCACAAACAGAAGATGCTGGCCTTGTGCATTTTTCCCAGAGGTGCAGTCACCCACACGACCTAATATTTAGCTCTTACTCTGTGCCAGGCCACATGTTTACATAAATAGTGTCTCATTTAATCTTCAATCTTCATGAGCTCATATTGAGGTCACTGTTATTAATTCCCTGACAAAATAATATTATCAACCTCATAGGGTCATAGCAAGTTAAACAAGTTAATATAGTAAAGCTTGCCTGGCTCCTAGCAAGTCCCATATAAGTATTAGCTATTATCATTACCACTGCTGCTATTATTATTATTCAGAGACTAAATGGTCTCTCCAAGTTTGCACAGCTTGTAAGGCAGAGCCAAGTTTTGAACCTGTGCTTATCTGACACCAAAGCCCATGACCTTTCTGTCCACCTACCATACATGAAGATACCACACACAGCAGGCAAAAACACAGGCTCTGAGAGTCAGACAGACAGATCTAGATTTGAACCAGCTTTGTCATTTACTAGCTGTGTGACCTTGGGCAAATCACTTTGCCTCTCTGAACTTCAGTTCATGAATCTGTAAATGAGAATAATAATAGTACCTACGCCCAAGGTTAATTTTAAGAATTAAGTGAGGTAAGACATGAAAGCTCTCAGTAAGTGCTAAATACGTTTAATTATTATTGCTATCATCAGCCATTGAAAGGCCAGGCAAAGACATAATTCATCAAACAAAAACTCTACACTGGGAAAAAGGAGGTAGGCTGCTTTGAGCTTCAGGTCATCTAGAAACCTCTTCCAAACACATATTGATATACTGTCAAGGAACAGCTTTTTCGGGAGTTGAGAATTTTACCAAAGAGTGTATGCTTCTCTCTCTCTAAATCCACAAATGCTGGCCAGAAATTCCTGAGTGTCCAGGACACTTTAAGATCTCCAGGGAGATCAACAACAATATCAGAGGCTTCGACTCTAACGTGGCAGAGCAGCCAACACAGTTCTACGGTGGCAGCATTTCTATTTTTGAAGGCCAGAGGTGGGCTTTAATGCTGCTGCCTGCACACAGAGAGCAGAGGAAACTGCCTGGCACTACCGAGAGAGCCCCATGCCTGCGATATGTGCTTGACACATGCCTCCACTCCAGAAACTGGGAGACAGAAAGACAATATTGAGAGTCAGGAGTGCATGGGGGTGGGTTCAAAGACTTTGGCTGCTGCTGCAAGATGGCTCCTGTGTCTTTCAGCTGAGCTGCTCTGCTAAGACCCTTTCTTTGAGTAAGAAGTTATTTTAAAATATTTTTAGTTGTTTCGGGGAGTAAATACCAACAACCCACTAATTGAGTCCCTTGCAATAACCATCATCTTTTATTGAAAATGGCAGATCCCTTGCTCAAAGCACAGGTGAGAATCAAAGTGCAAAGCAGAGACCCCTTTAGTGCAGATTGTTTCTGCCTGGGCTAGAAAGCCAGTGACCACCTGCAGCCTTCTAACAGCAAATGCTTACATAGCACTTACCATGTTCTGGTACTATTTTAAGTGCTTTATGTATTGAATTCTCACAACAACTCTGAGGTTGGCATAATAATATTATCCTCCTTATGCTATATATGGGGAAACTGAGGCATGGAGCAGGTAATAACTAGCCCAAGGTCAAACAGCTAGTAATCTGCTGAGCCAGGATTTAAACATAACCATCCCAGCCCCAGAATGTTTTCTCTTGGCCTGTGAGCTGTACTCAGACCTCTCCTTCATGCCTGAGCACAGGTGTAGGCCTGAGCCCTTAGAACCTCTAAAGGAAATTGAAGCAGCACTTGGGTGGGAGGATGAGAGACGATGGGTGTGAGTGTTGCATTTGGAACTGGGCTCCGGAATCAGCTTTTTTTCCTTTCTTGTTCTTTTTTGAGTGACGGTATGGGGTTGTTGGTTGGTTGGTTGGTTATCACTTACTAGTTTCATCCTTCAAAAAGGGGATTTATTCCTGGATGCCAGTCTAAGTGTGACACTCAGAGCCATGTTTTCAGCCACACAGCAATGTGGCCTGCAAGTATCCCACAGGGCTAGGGTCAGGAGCAGCAGTCGGGGGACAAGTCCCTTGCCAAAAATGGGGTGTATGAAGGCTCATGAACTATGATATGAGGGTCTATGTGGCCCCGTAGGGGTGAGAGGCCATGTCATCCAGCCAAAGGTGACCAACCTCAAGCCCTGAGTAGGGTAAGAGCCTCAGTGGCAACTCCTCCCCTCCGCTGTAGCATGGCAACTTCAGGGCTCACACGGATGAAATGTTTTCAGAGGATTTGGAAAGATAGATAGGGGGAAGCAAAGGGTGTGTGTAGTGGGATGCATTGCTGGGGGAGACCCCAAAACTACACTGACGGACATCCCCAAGGCTGTGGTCTTGGCTCAGTCCATCTAGAACCTGGTTACCTTGGCCAGGAGTTGACCCATGGCCACTTTCAAGGACTCAAGTTCAATTCCAAGACTACCTTGGGCATCTGTGGAAGTTCCTGAAAGCCTCACTAAGGCCTACGGATATTATGGTAGCTATAGCCTAAGGCTATAACTTTGCATTCCTTGCATTCTTTGGTGACCTCACTTCTACCACCTAAGAAGCACAGCACCCACCTGCCCTCCATTTCTCTGCTCCCCATGCACCTCCGCCTTGCTCAATCAAGCTCCCTTAGCTCTCACTTCACCAGAGGAAGGACTGCAGGGCCTTTTGTTGCTTCTAGGTGGAGCCCACCACAGGCTTTTCCACAGGGTCATCTCCAGGAACACCGAGTCACGGAGATGCAGGGACAGACAGGATCTGTCCTCCACACAGATGTGACGTTGACTGGTGCCCCAGCTGGCAAGTGCAAAGTGGAGGAGAAAGAGAAAAAAGAGAAGTCAGCCCTTACACTGAGCCTTGAGGTGGAGTGGTTACACATGGGCACTGGCCGGTCAGATTGACACTAACCATAAGAACCAGGCTGTCCGTGCGGGCACATACCAGCCCGTGCCCGGAGCAGGGAGCCTTGGCAGTCACATCATTTCCAGTTTTCTTTTCTGATTGCTCTGTGCATGCGTGTTATCTTCCCCTACCACCCCCAACACATCCTTGAGCTTTTAGAGAACCTTGTCATAGGAGATGATATTTTAAACATTTATCTCAAAAAATAACAATTAGCTGAATTGACTGACGGCTTGGTTAATGAATAGGGAGAACTAGCTCGAGGGTGTCAGCGAACTCTGTGACTCATCATCTCCACCTATCAGCTACCCCGATCCAAAGCAAGAGCGCTGCGAGGGAGGAAGACAAGATTAGACTTCCAAGCACCAATTCTGAGCCAGGCCTATTGACGCATCATCTCTAATCTTCACAACACCCTTAAGAGGGAGCTTTTGCTTTTGAAAGAAACAGGATGCACGGAGCTTTGAAGTTTCTGGGGAGGCCTTCCTGGGGGACATGGCTCATCTGGGCAAATGCACCATGCCTCAGAGCCTGGCATCCTTAGCCTTGCAGGTTCAGAAAACTGCAGAGCAGAACAAAGAGCAGACCTATTTCTCAGGGATAGACTTATGTGAACCAAGCTCAAGACCAGATCTTTCCATGGCCATGGCAATGAGAAGTGCACCATCACATGGGCCTGAACAGTGCAGTATCTCTCTATCTGGATGCTGGAAGCCAAGTTGTTCAAAAACGGCTGCAGCTGAATATGGAATCAGAAGGGTTCAGTCAATGGAGAATCCACACTAGAGCTCAGAGAACTCTCTAATTCCAGTCCATTTATTGAGTCTCGACTCCAGAGTCACCTGTGGGAAGCATCCTTGGGGTCCCCACCCTCATCTCTGCTACCAAAACTATGCCCAGCACACCCCTTCTGTGCCCTCAACACACAGTCCCACACAGCTCTGACCACACTGCTTCAAGAGTCCACAGTCACACTTAGGAGTCTACCTGCCCTGCTAGACATTGCACTCCTTTGAGATATGGAGGGTGCCTTATTCCTGGTACATCCCCTTTGCCTGCCATAGAGAGGGTGCTCTGAAACTGTTTACTTAAGATGTAAAATATGTAAATTGCTGGACCAGGGCTCCATTCTCCCTGGGCAGTGCTGGGGTGGGCCTGCCAACTCAGGTTCTTTCTTTTTCAGGCTGTGTGCTGACATCAGCCTTCTATTGATTCTTTAAACAGTGTAGATACTGCTGTGAGTTAGTTTCCTACCTCTAAATTATAATGATACACCAGCGTTACCTTCCCAAGATCATACCCAAGCACCTTGACTGAAGGTTTGTGTATTCCCAGTCACACAGTCACAGTCCCACGGGATTCCCTGGGTCCCTGCATCTATGACTTCTGTTGTGCAGAGGTTAAGATTTAGCTCTTAGAGAACAACCAGAATGCCCAATGATTGGGAGTGGTTAAATAAACTATGCCTCTTTCCACTGGAATTTTGTGCAACCAAACACGATGATATACGCCAGGCAGTTTTAGTACAGCAGAGGAATGCTTATTCTATATGATGGGGGAAATAAGTCAGTGAAAAAATTGTGTATATCATGTGATTTTAACTATGTGAATAAAGGGCAAAGATAAAATGCTGGAAAAAAATATGACACTGTAAAAGTAGCTACTTCTATATGGTAAGATAATAAGTGGTTTTCCCCGGTTTTTCTTCATGCTTTTCTGTTCTTCCCAATCTAAAAATATTATGTTACTCTTATAATTAAGTAAAACAATAAACTTCAAGGAAAAAACTTATGAGTAGAATGTTTTCCATTTCTGTAAAAATATATTGCTATTTAATTACGTGTCCTCTGATTGATTTTTTTGGGGGGGAAGTGTAGGTCACAGAAAACCTGAGTTAAAAAATAGGTCTCCTCCCCACTCCCATATCTCAGGTGGAAGATCTGGATGTTGAGTCTAACTCTCTGGCCTGGGCTCTTCTCCCTTCCCCAGCACTTCTTCTCATTCACATCATTTTCCCGGCAGCCTTCCCAGAGGCTGCCTCCCCTCCTGCCAGCGAGGGAAATTTGCTGTCTGCTTGGAATGTGCAAGGATGGAAAAATACATATACTGTTTCCATTGAAGGGCAAAGTCATTGCTGGCATGGCTTAAGTGCTTTACAACTATTAAATGTTTTGAACAAATCTCTCCTTGTAGCACTTTTAAAAACTTGGCCTCACTTCAATTCCTCAAGGATCTAGAACTAGAAATACCATTTGACCCACCCATCCCATTACTGGGTATATAACCAAAGGATTATAAATCATGCTGCTATAAAGACACATGCACATGTATGTTTATTGTGGCACTATTCACAATAGCAAAGACTTGGAACCAACCCAAATGTCCAACAATGATAGATGGATTAAGAAAATGTGGCACATATATACCATGGAATACTATGCAGCCAAAAGAAAGGATGAGTTCATGTCCTTTGTAGGGACATGAACGAAGCTGGAAACCATCATTCTCAGCAAACTATCGCAAGGACAAAAAACCAAACACCGCATGTTCTCACTCATAGGTGGGAATTGAACAATGAGAACACTTGGACACAGGGTAGGGAACATCACACACCGGGGCTTGTCGTGGGGTGGGGGGAGGGGGTACGGATAGCACTAGGAGATATACCTAATGTAAATGACGAGTTGATGGGTGCAGCACACCAACATGGCACATGCATACCTATGTAACAAACCTGCACGTTGTGCACATGTACCCTAGAACTTAAAATATAATAAAAATAAGTAAATAAAATTTGGCCTCACTTGAGATTCGTATATGAAATTAACCATTTTAAAGTGAATGGTTCACTGGCATTTAGTACATTCACAATGTCATGCAGCCACAACCTTTATCTAGTTCCGAATATTTTCAAATACGCAATCAGCTATTCCCATTCCCTTCTACCCCAAGACCCTGCCAACTACCAATCTGCATTGTCTCTGTGGATTTACCTCTTCTGGCTACTTCGTATAAATGGAATCATACCATATGTGACTTTTCAGTCTAGCTTCTTAGCATACTTTCGGGGTTTATCCACATTGCAGCATGTGTCAGCACATCATTTCTCTTTGTGATAGAATAATGTTCTTTTATATGGACACACCACAGTGTATTTATCCATTTGTTCACTGATGAACATTTGGGTTGTTTCCACCTTTTTGTTATTGTAATAATGCTGTTGTGGACATGTGTCTACATGTCTGACTCCCACGTAATATTAATGAGCTTGCATTTGAATATCTGCGCTCACTCTCTCCAGGCCTCCATCTGTGGACCCCACTTTTAGGAGCCAACTTTCTGTGCTCCAAAATCTCAGCAAGTCAGCAACTTTCTGTGCTTGCAAAGTCTCAGCAAGTCAGCAAGAAGAAATGATTGCAGATTTGAAAATAACCAGTCATGATAGGGCTTGGGTTATAGGTGGGTTCCAGGATGAAAATAACCAGGAGAAAAAGGGCACATGACAGAGGAGTAACCCCTGCTACACATCCCTGCAAATTTTATTTAATTAAGCAAAATGATGGCAATAAAACCAGCCGCATCATATTTTCTCATGTTATTTATTATTTTTGCCTGAGAGTAAGTTCCGTTTGTGTCTCTAGCTTCTCATAGGGTGCAGCTCTGGCCAGGTCCCCAGACATCTGCAGAGACGGAGCGTCACACAGCTCAGCTGACCATGGGCTCCCAGGTGCTTTAAGGCTCATGAATCGGCTTCTCCAAACCGTCAAAGAATAGCAAAGTCAGTGAGCAAGACATCATCCAAATATAACGATCCACCACTACCCGTGTTCCAGTCACACTAGCCAGACAAGTAGAAATTAGGAAAAATAAGTCAGAGAAAGAGTTGAATATAATTGTTCAGAGCCAGACTCTGGAACCAGAGAGCTTCTGGCCCGCGGGTGAACTCTGGCTACACTTCTTTCTAGCTGTGTGATTTTGTACACGTCACTTAACCACTCAGGCTCAATTTCTCAAATGGTAAACTGGGAAAAGTAAAAAGTATCAACCTCATATAACTGCTGTGAAAATTAAGCAAGGAAGTTAAGACATTTCAGTGTAAATGCTCAGTAAGTGTTGGCTAGGATGGTATTAACAACGAATAGTTCCAGGACTGCAGTTACTGCCAGCAAAATCGCAAGAGCCCCAGTCCTCTATCCCTTCCGTTTGTTCAGGAAGTACCCAAGGAAGCAGATTTAAGTCTCATTGTTTCCCCAAAGAAACACTCCCTAGCTTGAGTCACACACAGCCCAAAGCCCCCCGCCTGGTTTAGGCTGATGCCACCAAAGCATAGAGCCCTCCATTCTGCAGGAGCGTGGATTATGTTGGACACCACCTGGCTGTCTGCAGCATCTAGAATGCCGCCCCAGCACAGCAAGCAGAGCCTGGAGGCCAACGTCTGGATGACTCCTGCAGGGAGACTGGGGCCAGGTGGGGGCAATACCTGTCTATACTTTTGGCTTGCTTTCTTCTTTTTAAGAATTATATCTCCATCGCTTGAACCCAGGAGATGGAGGTTATAGTGAGCCAAGATCGCACCACTGCACTCCAGCTGCGCAAAAGAGCAAGACTCCATCTCACATACATACATACATACATACATACATACAGAATTATATATCCATTTTTTTAACAGATGAGTTGACTTAAAAATATTGAGCTAATAACAGATAATACATGAATTGGTTTGGGGCAGGTTCCCAGTTGACAGTATTGAGAGGATTTGACCCCTAATCACTGAACTATTGGTTGCGTTTTGCATTTAAGGTATGTTTGAGATCTCCTCGTTGCCCTGCCTGTGCCTGTTTATATACACACAAGGCAATATTGTATTGCCTTATTGTATTGTTGTATTACAACAATATTGTATTGCTGTAATGCAACAATGTTGTATTGCTGTAATGCAACAATGTTGTATTGCTGTATTGCAACAATATTGTATTGCTGTATTGCAATACAGCAATGCATTGCAAAAAAGAATACAGAAATGAATAAACTCCAGAAAACATGGAGTCAAAGGTACCTTTTAGGCCTATGATTGTGTGATTTAAACAACAATCCCTCAAGGTCAGCTGACTTCTTTGGCTCGACCCCATATCCACTAAATAGACTTTTCCTTATTTATACTCACTCTGAGCCAGCCTCTCCCATATGTGCCGAGAGATACAAGGTGAGAAATAAATGCTCCCTGTCATCACCCCAGTGGAGGAACAGGCATACCTACAAACAGCACAAGGCTAGCAAAGGGAATTCCTTTCAATATTTATATCTGCAGAGTTTCTGAGCTGAGCTTAAAGCCCCTGAAACATCTGAACTCTGAGCCAATGAGATTCAATAAAGGAATTTGATCAAAACAGAGGCTATGGGGTTAGGACTTTGTAATATGCTAGTATATTCTCGGGGCATTGATATATTGTCGTATACAAGTGATGACATCATGATAAGGTGCAGTGGGGCTATTGCACTGCACTGTCATATTCTAATCTTACTGCTATGGTGTGGTGGTGTCATGCGGTGTTGTCTTTTGTAGAGCCAGGTTGTAACCTCACAGTATGGAGTTGTGTTGGTGTCAAGTCCCATTTTGTGGTGGTGAAGCCTCTGGTCATGTGCTGTTGCAGAGCTCTGTTTCTTTGTCTTGTAATTATGTCACAGCATCCCGATGCCCACTTGCCACAGCGGCTTAGGGCCATGGTGGCTTTGCTGTGTTCTGGCTTTGTAATCTTGCAACGTGACATTGTGGTGAGGTATGTGTGGCATTGTTTTTCTTGAGACACTGTGAATTTTCCCTAGTCCATTTCCTCCTAAAACCCCAAAGAGGGCACCAAACACATTACACACATTTCTCCTGGGGCATAAAAGTACATAGTGACAGTTACCTGGGAAGCTTAACAACTACAATCTCAGCTTTGTCTCAGATGTCTGCCTCCTGAAGCCTACCACCTAAAAGCCAGCTATCAGCCCGCCACAGAGGAGGCAGGCTGGGAGCAAAGGCGCAGCTCAACCCCTCAGCTAGGATTCACCTTTGCCTGGCATCAGTAGAGAAGGCTGGGTCCACCACCAAGGGCAGGGGCAGTATCACAGCATGGCTATGACCACCAGCTTTGTAGTTTGAGAGATCTTGAGAGTGACTGTGGAAAGTGACAAAGCATCACCATTCCTCCTTTTCAACATTGTAAAGGAGAGGTGATAACAGTGCCACCATGTAGGGGCTTAAGGCTTAACTGAGAAAAGTTCACATCAAAGACTTCGCACAGTACCTTGTATCAGAAAGAACTCAATAAGAAGCAGATAATTTTTCTTTCCACCTTTATTTCACAAGTATTAATTTCAGTGTTTGGAGCCCACCACCATCAATATTAAAGGTTCTTTGTGGTTTCTCACAGGAGTCCTAATACTTTCACATTCAAATAGGGCTTTTGGTGGTCTGCATAGAGTGCCTAAGCAACTACAGCAGGCATAGAATTTGACGTCTTTCCCCCCACCTCCAACATCGAATTTCCAAAGATGTTCGGCGGTTCTAGAAAGGTGGTAGCAATAATGATGTAATTTTTAATCTTTTTGAATCACCCAAGAAAATAGAGATTAAGACAGCAAAACCAAAATCTTGCAGACATCTATGGCAAAACAAGGAATTACCACCAGCCCTCAAATATGAGCAAGTGAGAAAAAATATCACCGTTATCATGAAGACCACCTGGTATCAGCAAGTATGCAGGAGGGAACCAAGGAGAGACAACAGGTTTTATGTTGAACTTGAGAGCCAATGCAAAATTGCCAATGGATGCTCCCAAGGGAAAGGAACACAAACTGGGGAAAATAGCCAAAATAAGCAGGGGCCTTGTAGACTTCAGTGTGTAAGTACAAGATCAGAGGGTGCTATAGCAATCTAGGTTCTATAAATGCTTAGAACTAAGCAGCTCTCCCTTCCAGGATGAAGGTCTGCACTGAATAGAAATTACTGGGAGTAAAATCAAATTTAAGCAGGATAGGACATTAAGGGCAAGGGAAAGAAAAGTTTCTGATAAAAATAAGGAAAGGTAACCCAGCTAGCAAATTTTAGAATACATAAGATATATTTTTGGACACTTTGTAATAACAACAGAATAGCTCTATGAATGGTACTAGATAGTTCTAGAACAGGATTCTATATAACAGAATTCCAGAATAGTTCTAGAACAGAATTCGAGTGCCATGAAGCCAGGGAAACAACCCTGGCCTACTCTCTCCTTCAAAGGGAATAGGAGAACTCATGCCCTTTAAGCAACAACAAAAAAGGATTGTGATTGAATCCTACACTAAGGTACTTTAAGAAAAAAAGAGAGCTGGGCGCAGTGGCTCACACTTGTAATCCTAGCACTTTGGGAGGCCAAGGCAGGTGAATTGCCTGAGCTCGGGAGTTCAAGACCAGCCTGGGCAACATGATGAAACCCTGTCTCTACTAAAATACAAAAAATTAGCCAGGTGTGGTGGCGTGCGTCTGTGGTCCCAGCTGCTTGGCAGGCTAAGACAGGAGAATCACTTGAACCCAGGAGGCGGAGGTTGCAGTTAACCAAAATCATGCCATTCCACTCCAGCCTGGGCAACAAGAGTGAAACTCCACCTCAAAAAAAAAAGAAAAGAAAAGAAAGAAAGAAAGAAAAAAAGAGAATCATGAGCAGATAAACTATGCCAGACATAAAGAATAAAAATGCAAAGAAAAAAACAAAGAAAATTCTAGACCCAAATGGTTTCCCCGAGTGAATTCTATCCAAAAAATTAAAATAAATAATGCCAATCTTTGAAAAACTCTTTTAGAAAATAGAAGATAGGGAACACTTTTTCAAACTTCGTTTATAAGACCAGAATAACACTGGTACCAAAACTCTACAAAGGCATTAGACATTACAGATTTATATCTTCTGTAATTACAGATATAAGCTCTTTAAAATACTAGCAAATAACATACAAAAATATATTGAAAAGATAAAACATCACGACCAAATAGGGCTTATCTGAGGAAGACAAGGTTATCATAATTTTTTTTTCTTTTTTGATACAGGGTCTCACTCAGTCACCCAGGCTGGAGTGCAGTGGTGTGATCATGGCAATCTCCCAGACTCAAGTGATCCTCCCACCTCAGCCTCCCCAGTAGCTGGGACCACAGGTGCATGCCACCATGCCTAGTTAGATTTGGTATTTTTTGTAGAGATGGGGTTTCACCATGTTGCTTAGGCTGGTCTGGAACTCCTGGGCTCAAGCAACCTGCCCACCTCAACCTCCCAAAGTGCTGGCATTACAGGCATGAGCCACGGCACCCAGCATAATGTAACTTTTGAAAAACAATCAATGTAACTGTACTAACAGAAAAAACATATGATCATTTCAGCGAATGCAGAAAAAAATCCTCTCATAAAATTCAATACTTGTTCATTAAAAAAAAAAAAAAAGGAGGGAGGAGCTGGGTACAGTGGCTAATGCCTGTAACCCCAGCACTGGGAGGCCGAGGCAGGTGGATCACCTGAGTTCAGGAGTTCGAGACCAACCTGACCAACATGGAGAAACCCCATCTCTACTAAAAATACAAAACTAGCTGGGCGTGGTGGCAGATGCCTGTAATCCCAGCTACTAGAGAGGCTGAGGCAGAAGAATCATTTGAACCCAGGGGGCAGAGGTTGCAGTGAGCTGAGGTCACACCATTGCACTCCAGCCTGGGCAACAAGAGTGAAACTCTGTCTAAAAAAAAAAACACTTCTCAACAACAGAAAAAATTCTTCAATCTCTTTGTTAGTAGGTGTCTTCTGAAAAGTAGACACCGAGATAGGATTAGGCTTGCAGAAGATTCATTAAAGGAGATGTTATGAAAAAAATGAAGAGAAGGCTTGAGGGAAGATGAGTTGTTAGATCATGATACAGATCTGAGTCCAGGTGAAAGAGAGAGAAGAAGGTAGTTGGTGCAGAAGCATCTGAACCTCAGTGCAGCTCCCAGAGAGTTAGTCAAGACCATCAGGGCATCCTCAAGCCAAAGTCACCCACCAGAGGAATCCCAAGTCTCCTAGGCATTGGCTGGGAGAAGTCTTTGGGAAGCATGACTGCAGTACAAATACAGTGATGGATTTCAGAATGCAGCTGCTAGGGCTGTCATCATTATGCCCCCAGAGTTGGAAATCTGAAAGGTGCATTTGCATAGCCACCTAGTTCTGTTACAGGGTGTTGATAAAATTTGAGGAAAAAAATACCAGTTACAACAGCCTCACAAAACAGGAAACATCTAGGGATACACCTAATAAAGTATATGCAAGTCCTCTACATTGAAAACTCTAAAATATCTCTGGAAAGTTAAAGAACACTTGGATATGTGAAGAGACAGACCATGCTCTTGGAATGGAAGGGTTAAGCTGTTAAGATATCAATTGTCTCAAAATTGACATAGATTCAATACCATCCTGTTATGGTGTGAATTAAGTCCCACTAAATTTTACATATTGAAGCCCTAACCCTCAGTACCTCAGAAAGTGACTATTTTTGGAGATGGGGTGATTAAACTCAAATGAAGCCTAAACTAAAAAGGAAGTCCTAATCCAGTCTGACTGTTGTCCTTATAGAGGAAGAAATTTAAACATAGAGACACCAAAGATAGACATTTACAGAGGAAAGAACATGGAGAACACAGTGAGAAGATAGCCATCTGCAAGACAATGAGGCCGCAAAAGAAACACTACCTGCCAATACCTTGATTTTGGACTTTAAGCTACAGAACTGTGAGACTATAAATTTCCATTGTTTAAACCACGCAGTCTGTGGTAGTTTGTTACGGCCACCCTGGCAAATTAATATAAATCCCAATCAAAATTGCAGAAGGCATTTTTTTAGAAGTCGACAGCCTGTTTTTAAAACTTAAATAGAATACACAAAGGTGCCAAGAACTTACAATGGGGAAAGGACAATCTCTTCAATAAGTGGTTGGGAAGGCTGGATATCCACATGCAGAAGACTAGAATCAGACCTTTATCTCACACCATACACAAAAATCAACTCAAAGTGGATTAAAGACTTAAACTTAAGACCTGGAACTGTAAACCTACTAGAAGAAAATATAGAGGATGAGCTCCAAGACATTGATCTGGGCAATAATGTTTTTGAATATGGCCCCAAAAGCACAAGCAACAACAGCAAAAATAGACAAATGGGATTACATCAAACTGAAAAGCTTCTGCACAGCAAAGGAAACAATTAATAGACTAAAGGCAATGGGAGAAAATATTTGCAAATCATATATTTGTTTAGGGGTTCATATCCAAAATATGTAAAGAACTCAATAGCAAAAAGAACAAATAACTTGATTTTAAAATGGGCAAGGTTGTCCTTGTTCTCCAAGTGATGACTATCACCATGAGATGCAATTCTGGTTCTTAAAATTAAATATTCCCTTTGAAAGATAATATCTGGAAGGGAGGTTAAGTCATCTTTCACTTAGTGTATAACTATCTGATATGGTTTTGCTGTGTCCTCACCCAAATCTCATCTTGAATTGTAGTTCCCATAATCCCCACATGTTGTGGAAGGAACCCAGTGAGAGGTAATTGAATCACGGGAGTGGTTACCTCCATGCTATTCTCGTGACAGTGAGTAAGCTCTCACATGATCAGATGGTTTTACAAAGGGCAGTTCTCCTGCACACTTTCTCTTGCCTGCCACCATGCCTTTGCTTCTCCTTTGCCTTCTGCCATGATTGTGAGGCCTCCTCAGCCATGTAGAACTGTGAGTCCCTTAAACCTCTTTTCTTTATAAATTACCCAGTCTTGGGTATGTCTTTATTGGTGGCATGAGAATGGACTAATACACCATCATCTTAGATTACCAACTAAGATACAAAATCACGTATTGTAAGTAGTCAATAAATGAACACTTGTTTCAAGCTGAAGATTTAAATAAATAATACAAATGGGCAAAGGACATAAATAGTTATTTCTCTAAAAATGACACACAAATAGCCAACAGACATATGAAAAAATGCTCAATATCACTTATCACCACAGAAACACAAATTAAGACTGCAATGAGATGTCACCTTACACTTGTTAGAATGGCTATTATAAAAAAGACAAACTATAACAAGTGTTGAAGAGGATGTGGAGAAAAGGGAACTCATATACTGTTGGTATGTATATAAACTGCTGCAGCCATTATGGAAAACAGTGTGGAAGTTCCTCAAAAAAATAAATGCAGAACTACTATATGACCCAGCAATCCCACTACTGGGTATACATCCAAAGGAAATGAAATCAATATGTCAAAGACATATCTGCACTCTCATGTTCACTGCAGTGTTATTCACAATAGCCAAGATAAGAAATCATCCTACATGTCCATCAATGGATGAATGAATAAAGAAAATGTGGTACATATAAACAATGGAAAACTATTCAGCCATTAAAAAAAGAATGAAAACATGTTATTGTGACAATAATCATCAACCAGGAGGACATTATGTTAAGTAAAATAAGCCAGGCACAGAAAAACAAATATCACATAATCTTATCTATAATGGAATCTTTAAAAGGCAAACTCATAGAAGCAGAGGGTAGAATAATGGTTACCTCTAGAGGCTGGAGGATTAGGGAGATATTGGTCAAAGAATACAAAATTTCAGTTAGATAGGAGGAATAAATTCAAGAGATCTACTGTATATCGTGGTGACTATGGTCAATAAAAATAAATATGATTCTAAAAAGTTGCGAAGAAAGTAGATTTTAAATGTTCTCTTCACAAAAATGATAAATATGCAAGGCAATGCATGCGTTAATTAGCTTGATGTAGCCATTCTACATGTATACATATATCAAAATCTATTATATACCATAAATATATACAATTTTAGTTTATCAACTAAATAAATAAAAATGGAAAGGCAAAGGGCGTAGAATAGCCACAAGTCTTATCAAAAAAAAGTTTTATATCATAGGGCTTAAATTATCTGATTTCAAGACTTATTATAAAGTTACAGTAATCAAGGCAGTATGGTACCAATGTAAGGATAGACAAAAAGATCAACGGAACCGTCTAAAAGAGATAGAAATAGACCTACATGGACTAGGAATAGTGGCTCACACCTGTAAACCCAGCACTTTGGAAGGCTGAGGCAGGTGGATCACTTGAGTCCAGGAATTCAAGACCAGCCTGGGCAACATGGCAAAACCCTGTCTCTACAAAAAATACAAAAAGAAAAAACTAGCCAGGCATGGTGGCATGTGCCTGTAGTCCCAGCTATGTGGGAGGCTGAGGTGGGAGGATCGCTTCAGCCCCAGTGGTCGAGGCTGTAGCGAGCCATGATCACACCAGTGCACTCTAAGCTGGGTGACAGCAAAATCCTGTGAAAGAAAGAAAAGAAAGAAAGAAAGGTAGAAAGAAAGAGAAATAAAGAAGGAAAAAGGGAGGGAAGGAAGGAAGGAGAGAGAAAGGAAGGAAGGAAGAAAAGAAGGAAGGAAGGAGAGAGAAAGGAAAGAAGGAAGGAAGAAAGGAGGGAGAGGGAGGGAGGACAGAGAAGGGAACAGGAAAGAAGAAAGGAAGGAAGGAAGGGAGGAAGGAAGGAAGGAAGGAAGGAAGGAAGGAAGGACCCACATATATATAGTCAGTTGATTTTCAACACAGGTATGAAAGCAGTTCAATGAGGAAAGAAAAGACTTTTCAATGAATGAAACAACTGTATAACCATTTAAAAAAACTACACCATATACAATGATTAATTCAAGATACAAACTAGAATTAAATGTAAAAGCTAAAATAATAAAACTACTAGAAGAAAACTTAAGAAAATATCTTTATGACCTAGGGACAGGCAAATTTTTCCTACATAGAACATAAAATGCACTATATACTTTTAAAAATCGACAAGTTGGACTCTGCCAAAACTAATATCTCCTGCTCATCATCAAAAGACACAACGAAGAAAGAGAAAAGGCAAGTCACAGACTGAGAGAAAATATTTGCAAAACATATCCGACAAAGCAATGGTTTCCAAATTACATAAAGAACTTCTACAAATCAATAGCAAAAAAGACTCAATAAAAAGAGTAAAATGCTTCAAAATAAACATTACAAAAGAACATATATAATTGGCTAATAAGCACATGAAAAGATGCACGACATCATTAGTCATTAGATAAATTAAAATTAAAACCATAATGAGATATCACTCCATACCCATTAGAATGACTAAAATTAAAAAGACATAATAACAATTGCTAGTGAGGATACAGAGCAACTGGACACAATTATGGAGCAAGTAATACATTGCTGGTGGATTCTTAATCATACAACGCTTTGGAAAAACAGTTGCTGATTTCTTATATTGTGAGCCAACTATTCTAATTCTAGGTATTCACCCACGTAAATGAAACCATCGTACAACAATGTTTATAGCAGCTTTGTGCAACAATAAACATTATAAAACAATATAGACAGTAGCTTTGTTCTTTATAGCTCCAAACTAGTATAATCCAAATCCATCAACAGATGAATAAATAAGCTATGGTATATCTATTATGGAATACAACTCAGAAATTAAAAGAAATTATGCACTCAAGAACACTTACGAATCTCAAAATGTATGCCAAATACAAGAAGTCAGATACAAAAGAGTACATTCCATATGATCCCAATGATATGGTATGGCTCTGTGTCCCCACCCAAATCTCATTTTGAATTATACTCCCATAATTCCCATATGTTGTAGGAGGGACCGATGGGAGATAATTTGAATCATGGGGGTGGTTCCCCCATATTGTTCTGATGGTAGTGAATAAGCCTCATGAGATCTGATGGGTTTATCAGGGGTTTCTGCTTTTGCATCTTCCTCATTTTCTCTTGCTGTCACCAGGTAAGAGTGCCTTTTGCCTCCCACCATGATTCTGAAGCCTCCCCGGCCACGTGGAACTGTAAGTGCAATTAAACTTCTTTTTCTTCCCAGTCTCAGGTATGTCTTTATCAGCAGCATGAAAATGGACAAATACAATAAATTGGTACTGGGAGTGGGCCATTGCTGAGAAGATACCTGAAAATGTGGAAGCGACATTGCAACTGGGTAACAGGCAGAGGTTGGAACAGTTTGGAGGGCTCAGAAGAAGACAGGAAAATGTGGGAAAGTTTGGAACTTCCTAAAGACTGGTTGAATGGCTTTAATACAAATGCTGATAGTGACATGAACAATTAGGTCCAGGCTGAGGTGTTTCAGATGGAGATGAGGAACTCATTGGGAACTGAAGCAAAGATGACTCTTGTTATATTTCAGGCCGGCAGCATTTTGCCCCTGCTCTAGAGATTTGTGGAACTTCAAACTTGAGAGAGATAATTTAGGGTATCTGGCAGAAAAAATTTCTAAACAGCAAAGCATTCAAGAGGTGACTTAGGTGCTGTTAAAAGCATTCACTTTTAAAAGGGAAACAGAGCATAAAAGTTTAGAAAATTTGCAGCCTGACAATGCGATAGAAAAGAAAAACCCATTTTCTGAGAAGAAATTAAAGCCGGCTGCAGGAAGTTGCATAAGTAATGGGGACCCAAATGTTAATCCCCAAGAAAGTGGGGAAAATGTCTCCAGGGCACGTCAGAGGTCTTCACGGCAGCCCCTCCCATCACAGGCCCAGAAGCCTAGGAGAAAATGGTTTCATGGGCTGGGCCCAGGGTCCCAGTGCTGTGTGCAGCCTAGGAACTTGCCCTGCATCCCAGCTGCACCAGCCGTGGCTGAAGGGGCCCAAATGTAGAGCTCAGGCTGTGGCTTCAGAGGGTGCATGCCCCCAAGCCTTGGCAGCTTCCACATGGTGTTGAGCCTGCAAGTATATAGGAGTAAAGAATTGAGGTTTGGGAACCTCCATCTAGATTTCAGAAGATGTATGGAAATGCCTGGATGCCCAGGCAGAAGTTTGCTACAGGGGCGGGATGCTCATGGAGAACTTCTGCTGGGGCAGTGTGGAAGGGAAATGTGGGGTTGGAGCCCCCACACAGAGTCCCTACTGGGGCACTGCCTAGTGGAGCTGTGAGAAGAGAACCACCATCCTCCAGACCCCAGAATGGTAGATCCACCTACAGGTTGCACCGTCCACCTGGAAAAGCCACAGATGCTCAATGCCAGCCCATGAAAGCAGCTGGGAGAGAGGCTATACCCTGCAAAGCCAAGAGGTAGAGCTTCCCAAGATCATGGGAACCCACCTCTTGCATCAGCGTGACCTGGATATGAGATCTAGAGTCAAAGGAAATCATTTTGGATCTTTAAAATTTGACTGCCCTGCTGTATTTCAGACTTGCATGGGCCCTGTAACCCCTTTGTTTTGGCCAATTTCTGCCATTTGGAACGGCTGTATTTACCCAATACCTGTATCCCCATTGTATCTAGGAAGTTACTAGCTTACTTTTGATTTTACAGGCTCACAGGTGGAAGGGACTTGCCTTGTCTCAGATAAGATTTTGGACTGTGGACTTTTGAGTTAATGCTGAAATGAGTTAAGACTTTAGGGAACTGTTGGGAAGGCATGACTGGTTTTGAAATATGAGTACATGAGATTTGGAGAGGCCAGGGGCAGAATGATATGGTTTGGCTCTGTGTCCCCACCCAAATCTCATCTTGAATTGTACTACCATAATTCCCATGTGTTGTGGGAGGGACCTGGTGGGAGATAATTTGAATCATGCGGGCGGTTTTCCCCATACTGTTCTGGTGGTAGTGAATAAGTCTCATGAGATCTGAAGGGTTTATCAGAGGTTTCCACTTTTGCATCTTCCTCATTTTCTCTTGCCGCCTGTCGCCTGTAAGAAGTGCCTTTTGCCTCCCACCATGATTCTGAGGCCTCCCCAGCCATGTGGAACTATAAATTAAACTTCATTTCATCCCAATCTCGGGTATGTCTCTATTGGCAGCATGAAAATGGACTAATACACCCATTTACACGATGTTTGAAACCGGCAAAACTAAGCTATGGTGATAGATACTAGAATGCTGTTTACCTGTGGGGTAGAGTAGCAGTCTGTCTGGAAAGGAGGATGAAAGAAATTTCTAGAGTGATAGAATTTTTTTCCAATCTTGATTAGTATTTTTTTGTACAGTATGAATTTGTCAAAATCTTCCAACTGTACACATAATATATTTTAGAGTAAGTAAATTATGCCTCAAGAAAGGTACTGCATTAGAAACAAAAAATAAAACTAATACATCTAAAAATTAATTATTTGAAAAAATGAACATAATAAACAGTGTACTAGCTAACATATTAATAATTGAGGAGACCTGGGGGAAACCATGCACATAAACTTAGAAATGACAAGAAGGAAATAATCATCAAAGCTTAGCAATTTTTTAAAAATCATAAGAGTCTACTTTGTAAAATTATTTGCAAATAAATTTGAAAAAGTAGGTGAAGTTAATAATTTTCTAGAAAAACATAACTTATCAAATTCAACCCCAGTAGAAACAGAGAGTCTAACATGTAAAATAAGAAAAAATAGAGGAAGTAGTATAGAACCTTCCCACAAAAATGCACAAGGCTCAGATTGTTTCTTGGAAAAATTTTATTTCTAAAAATCATTTTATAAAATGAGTGTGGCCAGGCACAGTAGCACACACCTGTATTCCCAGTGCTTTGGGAGGCTGAGGCAGGTGGATCACTTGACCCCAGGAGTTCAAGACAAGCCTGAGCAAAATAATAAAGCCATCTCTACAAAAAATACAAAAATTAGCCAGGTGGGGTGGCACACACCTGTACTCCCAGCTACTCAGGAGGCTGAGGTGGGAGGATCACTTGAACCTTGCAGGTCAAGCCTGCAGTGAGCAATGAATGTGCCACTGAACTGCAGCCTACGTGACAGAGTGAGACCCTATCTAAAAAAAAAAAGACTATTAAAAATATAAAATAACTGTAACATCAATCTCAATATGAAAATGATTGTATCAACAAAATGAAACTACAGATTAATATCACTTATAAATAAATACCATAATAAAAATACTAATTAATTATTATCAATCAGAATCCAATAGCACATTAGAAAATTCATCATGAGGAAGTAGTGTTTATTCCAAATCAAGGAAGAGCAATTCAGTATACTAAACTCCACTACTATTATTCATTACAGTAATAGAGCAAATTAATATAAGTATGTAACTAGAAGCTCCAAAAAGATTCAATGGAAAACTACTACAAACAAAAGAATTTAGTAAAGTAGTTTACAAAATCAATACACAAAAATCAGGAGTCTTCATATATACAAACAAAAATTTGTTTATGTTGGAAGAGAAGAACCCCTTGGTGAAAGCCAATAAAAATGAAATATCTAGGCATAAATTTAATAAGACATGTCCAAAACTTATATGAAGAAAAACTATAAAACAATTTAAAAACATACATGTGGAAAAATATACCATATTCTTGGACAGAAAGACTAATATCAAAGATTTCAGATCTCTCTAAATTAATTCATAAGCTTATAAAGTTTAATTTAATATAATTTTATATAATTCATAAACTTAATGTAATCCAATAAAAATATAACTAAGTTTCTATCTAGAGCTAGCTAAGTTTATTATAAAATTTATGTGGAAGAAGAGATAAGCAAGAAAAGTCAGTGGGGACAGGGAAGCTTAAAAAAATATCTTGGAGTTGTAGATATGTTAATTAGCTTGATATAACCACTCCACAAAGTATATATTCTCAGAACATCATATTGTATCCCATAAAGTCATACAACTATTATTTGTCAACAGTTTGAAAAAAAAGAGAGGAAAAAATGAGAGAAGAATAGCCCTGTCAGATACGAAAACATATAATGTCTCTGTAATTAAGAATGTAGTGTTGGCGCATGTATAGACCAATGGGAAAAAAATAAAAGATAATAATAAAATAAATAAAATAAAATAAAATAAATAAAAATAAAAGCTATCCTATACTAAATTTTGACATTTATATATTATATTATAAATATAATATTTATATATTATTTGGTATACTATAACTTTTATAATATATTAAACTAATATACTAATACTGTAACTATATTATAAAAGTAGAATCACTAATTAGTGGAGTAAATGGTGGTCTTTATAATCAAAGACATGGGGATAACTGAATAGCCAGACGTGAAAAGATAAAATTATATTCATTTCCCACACCATACAACAAGTTAAATTCCAAGTGAATGAGAAAATTACACATATTAAATGAGTCCATACAAGGATAGAAAAAAAACCAAGTCTGAATTATTCTGTAATTTGAGAGTGGGGAAAACTTTCCTACCTCTGTCTGACTCAATATCCACAAGCCACAAGAGGAAGATGGATGAATTTGCCTACATAAAAATAAGAACATAAAAAATAAACTTTTACCTACAAAAGTGCCATAAGGAAAGTAAAGGGACAAATGTCAAAATGGGGGAAATATTGCAACTTTTCCCATAGACAAAGAGTTAATATTTCTAATATACAAAGATTTTTTAAAAGATAAAGATCATTATAGAAGAAGGAAAAAAAGACTATGGGTATGCACAGACTTGACTGAAAACAAAATACAAATGTCCCTCATTTATATAAAAAGATCTCAAATCTGCACATAACAAGAAAATGGCAAATTAAAAATATAGTGATCTACCATTTTTCGCCAATCAATGATGAAAATTTAAAAGGTTGGCAATACACTCTTTTGACAAGGCTTTGAGCAACAGGCACTCCTGTCATTGCTGGAAGGAACAAGAAAGGTACAAGTCCTATGAAGGAGAATTTGGCAATACGTAGCAAAATAACATATGCACTGTGACCTTTTGATCCAGGAAGCCCACTTCCAGGAACCTGTCCTAAAGAAACACTGATAGAAAAGATAGGGATCAGTTCCAAGATGGCCAAATAGGAAGAGCTGCGGTCTGCAGCGCCCAGCTTGATCAACGCAGAAGACAGGTGATTTCTGCATTTCCATCTGAGGTACCTGGTTCATTTCATTGGGACTGGTTGGACAGGGGGTGCAGCCCACAGAGGGTGAGCTGAAGCAGGGCAGGGCATGGCCTTACCTGGGAAGCACAAGGGGTTGGGGGATTTCCCTTTCCTAGCCAAGGGATGCCATGATAGACTGTACCTGGAAAAACGGGACACTCCCACCCAAATACTACGCTTTTCCCAAGGTCTTAGCAACCGGCAGACAAGGAGATTCTCTCCCGTGCCTGGCTCTGCAGCTCTCACACCCACGGAGCCTTCCTCACTGCTAGCACAGCAGTCTGAGATTGAACTGTGAGGCGGCAGCCTGGCTGGGGGAGGGGCGTCCACCATTGTTGAGGCTTTAGTAGGTAAACAAAGCAGCTGGGAAGCTCAAACTGGGCAGAGCCTGCCACAGATCAACAAGGCCTACTGCCTCTAGACTCCATCTCTGTGGGCAGGGCTTAGCTGAACAAAAGGCAGCAGACAATTCTGCAGACTTAAACGTCCCTGTCTGACAGCTCTGAAGACAGCAGTGGCTATCCCAACACAGCGTGTGAGCTCTAAGAACAGACAGACTGCCTCCTCAAGTGGGTCCCTGACCCCATATAGCCTAACTGGGAGACACCTCCCAGTAGGGGCTGACTGACACCTCATATAGGCGGGTGCCCCTCTGGGACAAAGCTTCCAGAAGAAGGATCAGGCAGCAATATTTGCTGTTCTGCAATATTTGCTGTTCTGCAGCCTCTGCTGGTGACACCCAGGCAAACAGGGTCTGGTGTGGACCTCCAGCAAACTCCAACAGATGTGCAGCTGAGGGACCTGACTGTTAGAAGGAAAACTAACAAACAGAAAGGAATAGCATCAACATCAACAAAAAGGATATCTACACAAAACCCCATCTCTAGGTCACCAACATCAAAGACCAAAGGTAGAAAAAACCACAAAGATGGGGAGAAACCAGAGCAGAAAAGCTGAAAATTCTAAAAATCAGAGCATCTCTTCCCCTCCAAAGGATCGCAGCTCCTCAGTAGCAATGGAACAAAGCTGGATGGAGAATGACTTTGACGAGTTGACAGAAGTAGGCTTCAGAAGGTCGGAAATAACAAACTTCTCCAAGCTAAAGGAGCATGTTCGAACCCATTGCAAGGAAGCTAAAAACCTTGAAAAAAAGGTTAGACAAATGGCTAACTAGAATAAACAGTGTAGAGAAGACCTTAAATGGCCTGATGGAGCTGAAAACCATGGCACGAGAACTTCATGATGCATGCACAAGCTTCAATAGCCGATTCAATCAAGTGGAAGAAAGGATGTCAGTGACTGAAGATCAAATTAATGAAATAAAGCAAGAAGACAAGGTTAGAGAAAAAGATTAAAAAGAAATGAATAAAGCCTCCAAGAAATATGGGACTATGTGAAAAGACCAAATCTACATTTGATTAGTGTACCTGAAAGTGATGGGAAGAATGGAACCAAGTTGGAAAACGCTCTTCAGGATATTACCCAGGAAAACTTCCCCAACCTAGCAAGGTAGGCCAACATCCAAATTCAGGAAATACAGAGAACACCACAAAGATACTCCTTGAGAAGAGCAACCCCAAGACACATAATTGTCAGATTCACCAAGGTTGAAATGAAGGAAAAAATGTTAAGGGCAACCAGAGAGAAAGGTAGGGTTACACACAAAGGGAAGCCCATCAGACTAACAGCGGATCTCAGCAGAAACCCTACAAGCCCGAAGAGAGTGAGGGCCAATATTTAACATTCTTAAATAAAAGAATTTTCAACCCAGAATTTCATATCCAGCCAAACTAAGCTTCATAAGTGAAGGAGAAATAAAATCCTTTACAGACAAGCAAATGCTGAGAGATTTTGTTATCACCAGGCCTGCCTCACAAGAACTCCTGAAGGAGGCACTAATGGGAAGAAACAACCAGTACCAGCCACTGCAAACACATGCCAAATTGTAAAGACCATCGATGCTATGAAGAAACTGCATCAATTAACAGGCAAAATAACAAGCTAACATCATCATGACAGGATCAAATTCACACATATTTAACCTTAAATGTAAATGGGCTAAATAATATTCCAATTAAAACACACAGACTGGCAAATTGGATAAAGAGTCAAGACTCATCAGTGTTCTGTATTCAGGAGACCCATTTCACATGCAAAGACACACAGGCTCAAAATAAAGGGATGGATGAAGATCTAGCAAGCAAATAGAAAGCAAAAAAAAAAAAAAAAAAGTAGGGGTTGCAATTCTAGTCACTGATAAAACAGACTTTAAACCAACAAAGATCAAAAGAGACAAAGAAGGCTATTACCTAATGGTAAAGGGATCAATTCAACAAGAAGAGCTAACTATCCTAAATATATATACACCCAATACAGGAGCACCTAGCTTCATAAAGCAAGTCCTTAGAGACCTACAAAGAGACTTAGACTCCCAAACAATATTAATGGGAGACTTTAACATCCCACTGTCAATATTAAACAGATCAACAAGACAGAAGGTTAACAAGCATATCCAGGACTTGAACTCAGCTCTGCACCAACCAAACCTAATAGACATCTACAGAACTCTCTACCCCAAATCAACAAAATATACATTCTTTTCAGCACCACATTGCACTTATTCTAAAATTGACCACGTAATTGGAAGTAAAGCACTCCTCAGCAAATGTAAAAGAACAGAAATCACAACAAACTGTCTCTCAGACCACAGTGCAATCAAATTAGAATTCAGGATTAAGAAACTCACTCAAAACCACACAACTACATGGAGACTGAACAACTTGCTCCTGAATGACTACTGGGTAAACAATGAAATTAAGGCAGAAATAAAGATGTTCTTTGAAACCAATGAGAACAAAGACGCAACGTACCAGAATCTCTGGGACACATTTAAAGCAGTGTGTAGAGGGAAATTTATAGCACTAAATGCCCACAAGAGAAAGCAGGAAAGATCTAAAATCGACAACCTAACATCACAATTAAAAGAACTAGAGAGGGCCGGGCACAGTGGCTCACGCCTGTAATCCTAGCACTTTCAGAGGCTGAGGCGGGCAGATCACAAGGTCAGGAGATCAAGACCATCCTGGCTAACATGATGAAACCTCATCTCTACTAAAAATACAAAAAATTAGCTGGGCATGGTGGTGGCCACCTGTAGTCCCAGCTACCTGGGAAGCTGAGGCAGGAGAATGGCATGAACCCAGGAGACAGAGTTTGCAGTGAGCCGAGATCACACCACTGCACTCCAGCCTGGGAGACAGAGTGAGACTCCATCAAAAAAAAAAAAAAAAAAAAAAAAAAGAACTAGAGAAGCAAGAGCAAACAAATTCAAAAGCTAGCAGAAGGCAAGAAATAACTAAGATTAGAGCAGAACTAAAAGAGAGACACAAAAAACCCTTCAAAAAATCAATGAATCCAGGAGCTGGTTTTTTGAAAAGATCAACAAAATTGATAGACCGCTAGCAAGAATAATAAGGAAGAAAAGCGAGAGGAATCAAATAGATGCAGTAAAAAATGATAAAGGGATATCACCACCAATCCCACAGAAATACAAACTACCATCAGAGAATACTATAAACATCCCTACACAAATAAACTAGAAAATCTAGAAGAAATGGATAAATTCCTGGAAACCTACAACCTCCCAAGACTAAACCAGGAAGAAGTTGAATCTCTGAGTAGACCAATAACAGGCTCTGAAATTGAGGCAATAGTTAATAGCCTACCAACCAAAAAATGTCCAGGACCAGATGGATTCACAGCCAAATTCTACGAGAGGTAGAAAGAGGAGCTGGTACCATTCCTTCTGAAACTATTCCAATCAATAGAAAAAGAGGGAATCCTCCCTAACTCATTTTATGAAGCCAACATCATCCTGATACCAAAGCCTGGCAGAGACACAACAAAAAAAGAGAATTTTAGACCAATATCCCTGATGAACATTGATGCAAAAATCCTCAATAAAATACTGGCAAACCAAATCCAGCAGCACATCAAAAAGCTTATCCACCACAATCAGATCGGCTTCATCCCTGGGATGCAAGGCTGGTTCAACATACGCAAATCAATAAACACAATCCCTCACATACACAGAACCAATGACAAAAACCACATGATTATCTCAATAGATGCAGAAAAGGCCTTCAACAAAATTCAACAGCCCTTCATGTGAAAAACTCTTAATAAACTAGGTATTGATGGAACATGTCTCAAAATAATGAGCTATAATAAGAGCTCAAAATAATAAGTACAGCCAATATCATACTGAATGGGCAAAAACTGGAAGCATTCCCTTTGAAAACTGGCACAATACAAGGATGCCCTCTCTCACCACTCCTATTCAACATAGTGTTGGAAGTTCTGGCCAGTGCAGTCAAGCAAGAGAAAGAAATAAAGGGTATTCAATTAGGAAAAGAGGAAGTCAAATTGTCCCTCTTTGCAGATGGCACGATTGCATATTTAGAAAACCCCATCATCTCAGCCGAATATTTCTGTAAGCTGATAAGCAACTTCAGCAAAGTCTCAGGATACAAAATCAATGTGCAAAATTCACAAGCATTCCTATACACCAATAACAGACAGAGAGCCAAATCATGAGTGAACTCCCATCCACAATTGCTTCAAAGAGAATAAAATACCTAGGAATCCAACTTACAAGGGACATGAAGGACTTCTTCAAGAAGAACTACAAACCACTGCTCAATGAAATGAAAGAGGACACAAACAAATGGAAGAACATTCCATGCTCATGGATAGGAAGAATCAATATCGAGAAAATGGCCATACTGCCCAAGGTAATTTATAGATTCAATGCCATCCCCATCAAGCTACCAATGACTTTCTTCACAGAATTGGAAAAAACTACTTTAAAGTTCATATGGAACCAAAAAAGAGCCCACATTGCCAAGTCAGTCCTAAGCCAAAAGAACAAAGCTGGAGGCATCACGCTACCTGACTTCAAACTATACTACAAGGCTACAGTAACCAAAACAGCATGGTACTGGTACCAAAACAGAGAGATAGACCAATAGAACAGAACAGAGGCCTCAGAAACAACACCACGCATCTACAAGCATCTGATCTTTGACAAACCTGAAAAAAACAAGCAATGGGGAAAGGATTCCCTATTTAATAAATGGTGCTGGGAAAACTGGCTAGACAGATGTAGAAAGCTGAAACTGGGACCCTTCCTTACACCCTTATACAAGAATTATTTCAAGATGGATTAAAGACTTAAATGATATATCTGAAACCATAAAAACCCTAGAAGAAAACCTAGGCAATACCATTCAGGACATAGGCATGGGCAAGGACTTCATGACTAAAACACCAAAAGCAATGGCAACAAAAGCCAAAATTGACAAATGGGATCTAATTAAACTCAAGAGCTTCTGCACGGCAAAAGAAACTACCATCAGAGTGAACAGGCAACCTACAGAAGGGGAGAAAATTTTTGCAATCTACCCATCTGACAAAAGGCTAATATCCAAAATCTAGAAAGAACTCAAACAAATTTACAAGAAAAAACAAACAACCCCATCAAAAAGTGGGCAAAGGATATGAACAGACATTTCTCAAAAGAAGACATCTATGCAGCCAACAGACACATGAAAAAATGCTCATAATCACTGTTCATCAGAGAAATGCAAATCAAAACCACAATGAGATACCATCTCACACCAGTTAGAATGGCGATCATTAAAAACTCAGGAAACAACAGATGCTGGAGAGGATGTGGAGAAATAGGAACACTTTTACACTGTTGGTGGGAGTGTAAATTAGTTCAACCATTGTGGAAGACAGTGTGGCGATCCCTCAAGGATCTAGAACTAGAAATACCATTTGACCCAGCAATCCCAATTTATAATCCTTTGGGTATATAGAATAAATTAACCTAACTGTGCATTGAGTTGATTGTTTAATGATTCAGAAGTGTATTCTTTTAAATGCTTGGAAAATACAGTAACTCTATTGTAATCTCTAGTGAGATATACCTAAGAACTGCAAATAATAAAAATAGTAACTATTTTTAGTGATGATAGTATTGGTGTTGTTTCTAAATGCATACATATATAATAGAATAAAGCAAATAAGCAACTATGTTCTTGTCATTAAGAACCAAGATTCTCTGCATAAGAGGAAAAAATTCCAAATCAAATCAAAGTTAAGCAAAGTCTTGTAATCCTAAATTTGAATTAAAAATATCAGTATAAATTCATAATATATTTTATCTTTTAAAAGTATTTCTACAACCAAGCCTGGACATCTTTTCTTTCCAGAAAGCAGGAAACCTGTCAATGACTACCAGGGTCAGGGTCATGTCAGGACTCAGGAAGCAACTCAGGAAAGAGGCTCCCACTGGCCAGACATGGGAAAATCTGAGCATCAAAAAGGATAATAACTGCAACTGCAACACATCAAATACGTTCCCATTCATGAGTTCCTAATGATACCATAAAACAGAAAAATCTCAATTATCACTTCTGGAGGATGGAAGGGAACCAACCCACTAATCCAAATACTGGTAAATACAGGGAAAGAATCAAACATTTAACCTGTGTTTCCTGATTAAATTATATTATAAAGTAGCAGATGGTTGGTCAGATAAAAAAAGCATTTCTATAGAACTATTCTATACAATAAATGAAGAAGGGATGACAGAATTTATGGCTCTTGGCAATGATTATCAATGGCTGTTCCACTACAAAAACAGACAACCAGTCATTATAGGCTGGTGGATGGAAGTACATGATAATACTTGTAATGTAGACTTACAAGTAAATAAGTACAGCTGAATCAGACCGAGTCACTAGATCTAGCTACCATTATATAGGAAATATAGAGGACAAAGGAGCATGGTAAAGGGCACCATAGAGATGCAATCTTATCTAGAAAATAAAAAATGACCTGCTCTCCTCAACAAATGAATTACAAGGGGACAAAAACAGGGCTGAGGAAACTATACATTTAAGAGACTAAGAAATATCAACCAGTTACAGTGTGTGAATCTTATGTAAACCCTGATTCAAAGAAGCCAACTGAAAAAAATATGAAATATTGTAGAAATTTGAACACTGGACATTTAATGATATTAAAACATTATTGTCCTTTTTTTATTGTGATAATGTTATTATGATTTTTTTTAACATCCTTTTCTTTTAGAAATGCACACAAATATTCACAAGTGAAATGATATGACATTGTGGAGGTATTTCAATTAATCTGGTGGGGAGTGTAGATAAAACAAAAGTAGCTGTGAGTTTATTGTTTTGGCTGGGTTATGGGCACGTGGGGGTTAATTATACTATTTTCTTAAAATTTTGTGAATTTTTAAATTTATCTTTACAATTTCTAAAGCAAGAGATTCATAGAGTGAGTAATCATTATGCTTCGGGTATAAATAATGGTAGACCTTTGAAAGCAAATAAACGAGTGGGAAAATCCACTAAGCACGGATCACTCATCCCAAAATGTATCTTTTTCTTTAGTCACTTTGGGCAGCCTCACTTTTGCCAGGGGCCAGATTAGCTATTAAACATATGCCCCCCTCAGAGTGTGGCACATCAACAAACTCTCCTTCTGGAGAGGATGCTACTACACCTTTCCGCTGAACACTGATAGCCCAAGCTAAAATGGCTTTTCCTAAAGCTAGTCGAGGGCATTCTGCTAACTCCCAGTCATAATGGCTGGGTTGACGGTAGTGAGCACCCTGCCGACGTGTTCAATAACATCCCTCAAACACTCAGGCAGCTCAGTCACCTTTCCTTCCTCTTACCTGCCCCCTCTGACCTGGCCTATCTAGTCCATGGAGAGCTCTCCTTCTGTAGGTTTTAACACTGACTTTTTCACTGAACATTCCCTGCCTGTACTGCCTGAATCATCTCTGTTCTCCAGGCCTGTTTTTATCAAAATCACACACACACACACACACACACACACACACACACACACACACACCACAGAGTACCTAGTGGCATCTTGTAAGAATAGCCATCATATAATACTAATAATCCACTGTGTGTCAGGCACTGCTAAGGCCTTTGCATTCAAACCTCACAATAACCCTAAGAGGCTGTATTATTATCCCATTTTACAGATAAGGAAACGGAGGCAAATTTATAATCCTTTGGGTATATATTAATTAACTTAACTGAAGCCACACAGCTCATCAATGGAAGAGCTGGGATTTGAATCCAGGCCCATCTGCTTGCAAAGCATGTTCATTTAACCGCTACACTGAATTGCCTTCTTTGGCAGCAAAGTGGCTATTCATTCAGTGTTTGCTGGGAGATATATGCACATAACTGAGAAATTCGGGATCCTGCCTCATGCCTTCCCTTCCATATCTTCACTATATCCCAGTGTCTGCCATCCCCTCTGTTCCATGTAATGCAGGGGCAGAAGGATGCATTCCACTGGGCCTGTAAGAATATAAACACATCTGGAAGGAGGCTGCTGCCAAGCAAACCATATTCCCCCCCAGAGTGTGGACAGGGTGAGGTGTCTATAAATAATCATAAGAGTGTGAAGAGATTCTCTCCCCTGGGGCTCCCTTTGCAAAAGTTTGATGGTAATTGATGAGGCTACAGGGACATGCCAATCCTTCTGCTCTTAGAACCAGGTGTGGTTATTTACAGAAAGTGTCACTTTCCCAACCCTCCTCTTCTGTCTCTTCCAGAGGCTTGGAGACCAGCAAATATCAATTTACTGCTACCCTGGGGCACAAGGCAAGGAGCCACCTGTACACTCCACTGCCAACAAACCAGACTCAAGCTTCTACTCTGGCTGAGTTACTTCTTTGGAAATTTGGAGACAGCAAGAGGTTGACAACAGATTTGCTCCTTTTCTGGTGGAGGGAGGACAAGTGGCCTCTCTGGGACCATATCACAAACTACTAAATCAAAAAAATCTGGAATTCCCGCATTGCCCAGCTCACAGTGGAGAAATAAATAGACCACTGGATCAGAAGGCAGAACATATGGATTCTGGCCCAAAATGGACAGTCTGTTAGCCAATATCTGGGTTCCAGTGTCAACATTTGTAAAATAGGGGCTAATCTTTCACATGACAGACACGAAATGTTTTTGAAAAGAATGAATTAAGTGATGGAGTCAAGTGATCTGTATGGCATGAGAGAACATCATTCTTATAGTCATTATTACAACTCAGCCCTATAAGTCCTATTACAATTAATCCTGTAAGAACCATTAGGAGTACCCACCATAAGCCTCAGAAAATGCCTTATAACTGTACTGCCAGCACCCCCACAGCCTTGCTGGTCAGTGGCAACAGCAAAGTCGAAATGCAACATACACGTGTGATTTGTTGGGCATCTGAATTGTGGGTGAAGATCATTTTGTTATAACAAGGTTTACACCAAAAAACAATCAATTTCACAAATAAATAAAACATTTTTGAGAATCAGAAGGCAGAACTACATTTCAAGGTTGCTCTACTGAGCCTGAGACTCTACCCGGAGTTACTGGATCTCAGCCTGTAATGAATGAAAAATTGTCCTGCTCCTTCCTTGCTGAGGATGACGCTGAAAGACCACACCAAAGGATGCATGAGCTGATTCACGCAGAGCCAGAGGGAGGAGCAAATTATCCAGAAATAGCACTGCAGTCTGGTATGCCAGTTTTGCTCCAGGCTTCACATAGGCCGTTCTGTCCACAGTGCCCTCAGACAGTGGCTCTCCTCTGTGCTACCCACTCCTCTGCAGTGACCACAGCTCACCTTTCTCAGCCCTATAAAACTGGAACCTTGACCTGTAAATGGCAGAGCCAGGACTGGAATCCAGGTCCATCTACTTCCAAAGGATCATAACACCTTCCCAGTCTATAATTGGCTCCCGCTACAAGGGCCCAGACCCTCAGGGATCCAGTTAGAGTCAACAGGACTTTGTGTGCAAAAGGAACTATATCTTATTCTCTTTAATCAATCCTTGCCTTCAGCCACCTGGCCTTTCTGTGTTTCCAGAATGCGGGCTTGTACTTGGAAAGGGAAGCCCTAAGGCTGCCCCCAGTCTAAAGAGGGCATAAGGCTAGACTGGCCTGGGTAGTTTCACTCTTTCGTCAGGTGAAGAACCTTTTTCCTTTCCTCAGAAGTTCCAACTCCAAGAAAAAAAAATCGATTGAAAACACGTTCAAAAAAAAACTTAGTTTTATTTTTTTCGTCAGGAGATGTTTTCAAAAAAATTCTGCTTGTCTGATTTTGTATTAGAAAGTAGGAGCATAAACAATGATTTTTACAAGCCATAATAATCGGTAACGTTTATAAGCACTTTTTTAGTTCAGGTGCCATAATTTATGCTAAGTGATTTCCATAAATTGTCTCAAATAAATAAATAATCTGCATAACATTCTTCATCCCTATTTTACAGATGAGAGACTGAGGCTTAGAGTAATTTACCCAAGATCGCACAGTAGGGGGTGCAGCTGAAATTCCAAAGCCCCCATACCACTCACAGCCCCACACTGGCTATATAGGCTCCAGGATTCCTTCTCCAGAACCTACTAAATAGCCTTTTAAAAATTCCCTTTCTGAGATAAAAAAGAAATGTGGTATACACATACAATGGAATATTATTCAGTCATTGAAAGGAATGAAGTTTTGATACATGCTATAACGCAGATAAACCTTGAAGATATTATGCTAAGTAAGCCAGATACAAAAGAATAAATGTTGTATAATTCCACTTATATAAAATATCTAAAATAAGCAAATTCATAGAAAAAGTAGAATATAGGTTACCAGGGGATGAGGGTATGGGGGCATGGGAAATTACTTTTTAATTGGTACAGTTTCTGTTGGAGTAATAAAACACTTCTTGAAAATAGTATTGATGGTTGTACAACATTATGAATGTAATTAATGCCAATGAATTATACATTTAAAAATGGCTAAATTGCAAATTTTACGTTATGTGTATTTTACCACAATAAACAATATTTTAAAATCCCTTTTCTGTTTACATTAACCAAAATTTATTTCTGTTGCTTGCAACTAAGAACCTGACTGAGATGCTATCTAAGATGGATACTGTGCTCTAGGCCATGATGGTAGTGACCAGCCAAAATCACCCTGAAAAACACAAAAACCAAACAGATGAGTAAAACCTAGAATAACAGTCTGCCTACACAAAGACTAGATTTGGAGATTCTTTCGCATGGATTATAAAGGTACCTTTGCAGGATGAGAGGTTGAGTTTTAGAAGCATCCAGGAAGAATGTTTTAACAATATGGCTTTCAATTTTAAATAGAAAAATATAAGCCAGGTACAGTGGCTCATGTCTGTAATCCCAGCAATTTGGGAGGCCAAGGCTGGTGGATTGCTTGAGCTAAGGACTTTGAGACCAGCCTGGGCAACATAGCAAAATCCCATTTCTACAAAAAATTCAAAAATTAGCCAGGCTGGTGGCATACGCCTGTGGTCCCAGCCACTCAAGAGGCTGAGGTGGGAGGATCGCTTGAGCCTGGAAGGTTGAGGCTGCAGTGAGCTGCACTCCAGCCTAAGTGACACAGCGAGACCCTGTCTCAAAACATAATAATAATAATAATAAATAGATATGTCATAGAAAGAAATTCTGAATGTAGCTCTTCTAGCCTGCACTACAGCAAACTTAACAATTTCATTAGGTGGCTGCACCAGGGAGCCATAGTGCAACAGAGTTCACCAAGGGCAGGGTGGTACTTAACCCAGATTTCCTGGAAAAGATGCTCATCATGGAGCCAACAACTCCCTGGGCTAGGAACCTGAACACAGCATGGAAAATAAAGAATCTCAAGTCACCCAAGAGTCCTAACCTCTGTGCCTGGCTGATGAATTCTCTGTGCTTGGTACTGGGCTGAAGAAGTAAACCAATTTTAGCTGATATTCCAGCTGTGCTCCTCCACCCCAAGCCTTTCCTCCAAATTGTCTCAATATTGCTAACTCATCTCCATCCCTAGGCCACTGACCAAGTCAAAGCATCATCTCTCACCTGTTCCAGGGCAAGAGCGTCCTGACTTGTCTTATCCATTTGTCAAATATGTATTGAGTACTAACCATGAAAGCACTGTTCTAGACCCTGGGAATAAAGTAGTGAACAAAAGAGACAAATCCCCTGGTCCTCAGGACACCAATGTTCCTGTAAACTCCAGCATTTAATATCTTTTTTTTATAATCCATCCTCCATGTTAGCCAACAATAAAATCTTTCAAAAACACAGATCTGATCATCGTCCACCCATACCAGAAATCCTCTTCTGGCTCCTCATCTTCCAAGGATGAAGTTCAAGTTCCTAAGCATGGTCCACAAGACCCTCTACACCTAGCCTCGCCAACACATAGAGACTCATCTTCACCTTCTCCCCTGTCCTGCTGTCCCATTTGGGATGAGAAGAGAAAGACAAAGCAAGCAGCACTTGGTGCATCTGGAACTCACAGGAAAAAGAATCAACAGGTGTATCTGGCCTCTGGTTCTCTAGGCACCCTGCAGAGAGGGATGTTTGGGCTGCAACACAGCTGTGTCTATCTATATTTGTCATCAGAGGGCTCTACACCCCTTTTTGTTCTTTATTTATATGGAACAAATGTGAAAGTGGCTTTGCCCCAGAAAGTGGGGAAATAATAAACATTTAGAACTCAGGCACCAAGGGCTCTAGGCTGAAGTGGCGGGTGTATAGGGGATTGCTGATAAATGCCAGCTGACTAGCACCTAGAGGCCCTGGGAGCTGCCACTCCTTGGAAAATTAAATTCAGGCACAGTTAACTCTGACTGAGGAAGGATTGGAGCCTATCCAGGTCCCATGAGAATTGCAGCCTCTTTGGGGAGCAGAGAATTGTCCATCTGAGCTACTCCATTGCCAGGCAACCCAGAGAGAGCCCCTAGCGTCATTCATTTGTCAGTTCCACACTATCTCCAGCTACAGCCCCATCATAGTGCATGCCCCCATCTGAGGCCCCAGACACATGGAACTCTTTATCCCCCAAGCATGCCAAGCACTCTGATGCCTCCACACCTTTACACATGTGGTTCCTGGCAACTGTGGCACTTTCTCCACTGTCTACTTCCAGATGTCAAAGAGAGCATCTGTCATCATTCAAATTCTGAATCTCTGCAGAGGCCTCTGATCACCCCCTACATATACACCCTTTTATACACTGGGCAAAATTAAATTTGCTCCCTCGGGGGTCCTGCTAAACTTTGTTTGTTGCAATCTATTTCTTCATACACTATCTTTCCACTGAGCTATAAGTCCCTTAAATGTAGAGACCATGCCTTGTTCATCTGTCTTCTTATCCCGTAGCACACAGCCTGCCACAGAGTAGGCAGTCAGAGAATGTCTATGGAAGATGTTGAATTGGAGTGGAAACCTCAAGCATTTTCCTGTCATGGAGACTTAGCACATACCGTTCCCTCAGCCTAGGAATGTTCTTCCCATCATTCCAAGTGACTGGCTCCTTGTTATTCCACAGGTGTCAGCTTTTACCTCCTCATAAACCCAACATAAAACATGTTATTTTTTCATACGGCACCCTGTTCTTTTTCTCCATCGAACTTTTCATAATTTATAATATCATATTTATGGTCTATATCCCCTACTCGACTGTCAACTCCATGATACATGGAATTGTGTCTATTTTGTTCACACTGTATGGTCTACTCAGTGTCTTGAACAGCACCTAGCACATATTGCACGCTCAATAAGTATGGAAAGAAGGGAGGAAGGGAGGGAGGGAGGAAGGGAGGGAGGGAGGGAGAAAGGGAAGGAGGGAGGAAAGAATCAGCAATTAGCCGGAGCTCCTGCTGGAGTTTTGTTTAGATGTATCAGCTGCTCCCAGTCTCCCCTAAGAACAAGCACTCAACAGCTTGTGCTCAGACCCAGGGAGAGCAGGGAGCGAGGCTGCGTGGACCTACCCGTGCTACACCTGGGTTGGAGATTCACATTTGTTTCTGTTGCCCTCCTTGAGGAATCTTAGAATAATGGTACAAACCTCCTCTGATCCTAATTTTCTCACTGGAAAATGAGCGCCATGAACTGGTTTGGAGACCTCTACCCAGCAGACCCCATCATGTGATCCCTTGCTTATGAAACGATCTTGAAAAAAGGTTAAATTACCTATAGTCAGAGGGTAAACTTTCTGCGTGTCTGCCTACCTGGAGAGCGGGATGTAGGAATGGGAAAGTAGCTTAATCTGCAACCCTTCATTAAAAAGAAGCACGCCAGACCTAGAAGAAATACAGGTTTACTTCTTTCTCCCCATCCAGCCCAGCACCATGCCTAGCCCTGCAAGCAATGGCTGTCCACCTTGCTGCACACTGGAATTACCTGGACAGTTTTTAAAATTCCTGACCCTGGAGTCCCACCACCAGGCCTTTGGATTCAATTAGTCAGAGGTATTGCCTGCCATGGTCATGTTCAGGGCCTCCCCAGGGGATTCTAATGGACAGCTGGAACTGGGAGTGACTGCCCTACTCTGGGACTTGCTCATCCAGGTTTTTACTGGGAATGTGACTGCCAGCTCTGTCACCCGAGATCATTGTCACCTGACAGGGAGAAGAAGCCCACAGCTTCTCTGGCTGCCTGAGCACCAGTGCCTGAGCTACTAAGATCAGGTAACACCTGAGACATAATAAGTTCTGAGGCGCCTCCAGGAGGCTCCCCACAAGCACATGGGATTGAGTAGGCAAAGCTGATTCATCTCAGGGAGGAGCAAAGGCAGTCATTCCATTGGGAAGTGAGTGATCAAAGCAGGATGGCCGCCTAGCTGGGTCTTTGCTTCCCCTTCGTCTTAGTTTCTGTTTTTCTTCTGGCAACACTACCTTAGGCCACCTCGGTCAAAGCTTCCTCAGGGACAGCTCTCTACCCAGGTCCTCCCTGGTCCTGCAAGTTAAGAAATGAACCACAAGTCTTGTGGTTTATTCTGAATAAAATCCTCATTGTTTCAGAATAAATATTTTTGAGTAGGGAAAAGTTGTCATCAGATCCACACTTAGAAAGATAGCTCCGACAGTGGGGTTTTTATTAGTACTACAATATCTTCCAGTCCACAAACTTTTACTGCATTTCCTCTAAATACCAGTCACTGAGCTCAGGGCAGGACATTTTTTTAAATGAATAAAATGCAAGCTTTCCTCTCCAGGAGCCAGTGAGGGAAATAGGCTGGTCAACAGACCATTGTCCACAGAGGTGAAAATGTGAGGCCAAGGATGTTCCCAAGGTGTCGTGGGAGGCTGGAAGGATATATCTGGACTAAGCATCAGGGGATAGCTGGGAGCTGGCGAAATGGAGACAGGGAGGACTTGTGGGGCAGAGGGGTCAATGTGAACAGAGGCTGGTTTAACAAACAGGAGGGATGGCCTGACTGCAGAAGGAAACTGCATTGAGAGAAAAAACACAAGCTGTTGTGAAGCATAGTGTAGGGGAAAGGGCCAGCACAGCCAATGCTTATACAGGGTTTACTCTGTGGCTGGCACTGTTCTAAGTGTCTTCATTCATTCACTTATACATATATTCATTCACTTAGTTCTCATAGCAACCTAAGGGGATCAGATGATCAGCCCCATTTTACAGATGAGACAGCCAAGTCATAGGGAGAGTGACGGCCCAAAATTAGACAGCAAATGGCACAGCTAGGATTCATACAAAGGCAGCATGGCTCCAGAGAGTACACACTCTTTTTTACTTCTTCTTCTTCTTTTTTTTTTTTTTTTTTGAGATGGAGTCTCACTCTGTTACCCAGGCTGGAGTGCAGTGGCGCAATCTCAGCTCACTGCAACCTCCGCCTCCCTGGTTCAAGCAATTCTCCTGCCTCAGCTTCCTGAGTAGCTGGGACTATAGTCATGCACCACCATGCCCAGCTAATTTTTATACTTTCAGTAGAGATGGGGTTTCCTCATATTGTTGGCCAGGCTGGTCTTGAACTCCTGACCTCAGGTGATCCGCCCACCTCAGCCTCCCAAAGTGCTGGGATTACAGGTAGCCACCGCGCCCAGCAGAGGGTACGGTTTTAACCACCACGTTCCACTACTTTTTATGATGGATTACTGGAGGAAGCCATATTTTAAAAGATTGGATGTTATCAGGGAACCACTGAAGAATCTTATATCAGAGATTGTTCCCATCACATGCATATAAAGAAGGAATTGAGGTGAAAGATTTGAGAGGGCAGGAGTATCCACTGGAAGACCAGTAGTAGAACAAGAGAAAGAAAAATCTGAACCAGGGTCACTGGAGTGAAGGTGGAAAGGAAAAAACGGACTTGAGAAAAATTCTGGCATTTGAATTAGTGGGACTTGGTGCTTAGTTAGAATTGGGATCGTGAAGTCAAAAATGCCACCCAGAGTCTAATCTGGATGGAAAACAGCCTGGGAGGGGGAATGATAAAGTGAGTTTTGAACATGCTGAGTTTGGGGTGTCTGTGAGGCCCCCGGTGGGGATGCAGGACAGGCTATTGGACAGGTGGGCTTCCATGATGGCAGTGTGGTCAACAGTTTTGTGTGAGCATTATGGGGTAGAAGGGGAAGAATGAGTGCTGCAATAGGCCCCATTGCCTATCTCTCCCCATACTTCTAAGCACCTCTCCACAACATGGGTTATTAGTATCTACCATTTATCAAACTCTCCAAGGTACTGCAACATTCATTTTTAGCTGGCATTCAGCTATTTCTCTACAGATGGACAGAGTTAAATTTCCACTTATCGAACTCTATTTGTTATTCTAATTTAATTTCTCTGCAACCAGGGTTAGAAGCTTTTTTAAGATGTAAAGTTATTTTGATCTGAAAGACACAATTGCTTCATACCATCATGACAGGTCAACTTAAGAATGCAAGAGGCCAAAAGCATGACTTCCAGGCTCACTTTTGAGAGCTGCAACTAATTCTAGCAGATAGAACCCTCTCAGGCATGTTACTGAAGAAGCAAAACTCCTTTCACTGCTGCTATAGATTCAGGTCAGGACATCTTAGCCAAAATAACAGCCCCAGAATACCAACTGCTTCCTGGTGTTCTTTATAGCTTTCCCCACCTCAGTTAAAGACAGGAAAACCAGCTTTTCTGAATGTAGGAAATGCAGGGGTCCACTGGCTCCCTGCCCAAACCCTGCCCTAAGGAAGCCACTCCCTTCTACGTCAGCCTCCAAGTCAGTGCCGCTGTTCCACTTCATCTTCATCCTTCACCCGTTTAGTCCCCGCTCGTCCCACCAGGAACACAAATCAACATTAAGCATGTCATTGAATGTGCATGGCATCCCACCTTGGACCACAGAACTTCATTATTCACTCAGCCTAACATCTCCCTCATCCATTTATTTTTAAAGAGATGTCAGCAATCTCAAAGTGGTAGAAAAAGCTTAAGTTCTATTGAGTGGATGTTGCAATGACTCCTAGTTGTCTATCCAATAACCACCCTCCCTTCCTATTTTGTAGAAGGCAGAAAAGTGCCCAGCTAACAGACATGAGGGGTCTCCACAAGAGGTAAGTGGTCAGGGATTCTAGGAAAACACTTTAAAGAGGTCTGATTCAGCTGAGAGTGAACACCTTTCGTTCCTGTTGGCATGTCGATGTGACAGCTTCAGCTTCTCAGCCATAGATTGCTGACCTCTAGGCTTCTTTTTTTTTTTTTTCTTTTTTTTGAGACGTAGTCTTGCTCTGTTTCTTAGGCTGGAGTGTAGTGGCATGGTCTCGGTTCACTGCAACCTCTGCCTCCTGGGTTCAAGCAATTCTGCTGCCTCAGCCTCCAGGGATTACAGGCGTGCAATTGATAATGTGTTTAAACCACTGTATTTAAGTTTCAGTTCCTAATAGCTGTGCCACTGTGATTCCTCCCTGGGACAGTGGAAAATAAGAGACCTAGAACAGCCTTCCCCAGCCTTGGAAGATATTTCTTTGGGAACAGTCACCAGAGTGCTGCATTAAAATTACGTTTATGTGTGTGTGTCTTCTGCCCTGAATGGTGAGTTCCTTGAAGGCAAATTGACTCATTGACAGATGTAGCAGCACCTAGCACAGTCTGCCGTGGGTGAGAACTCTGCAAGTGTTTGTTCAATGAGCAAGCAGAAGCTGCACTGGGATCTGGTGCTAATGTCTGAGTCTCTGGAACTGGCTAATAGATAAGCTATACACCATCAGTCACTCTTTCTACCAAAACTCAAAATGCAGCAGGCCCCATTGTCTCCACGCAGTGGCTGTTGAGCGGTTGCCCCCTTGGGCTTGAAAGAAACCCTTCTTGGGCATTAAAATATTCTGCCCTGGTTAATCATTCACCAAAAAACCATTATATATCTTGGCAGACTAGTCCACTTTTTGCACTAAATTTTTATTGAGGATCTTCTAGCACTTGAATAATCTTAACATCTATCTGCCTTGTGAGTTAAATTTCCTCATTGCCCCCATTTACTAGTGAGAAGCCTGAGGTCCAAAGAGTGAAATGATTTGCCCAAGGTCATGTGTCATTCAGCAGTAAGGCACGGATCTGAATGCAGTTCAGCCCACACTATTCATACATTACCTTGCTGCCTTTATATTTCATAGCAGTTTTAGAACTGACACTGTGATCTTCTCAATTCCAAAAGAGAAAATACGGTGTGTTGAAGGAGGCCCACGCTTATCACCCATGATCTCTAGGTTTCTCCAATCCCAGGTAGAGAGCTGGGACTGAGGAGGAGAAGGACCGTGAGCCACTGGCAGTCTGAAGCCCCAGAGTGCCTCCGAAGACCTGCAAATCTGTGTAATTGCCTAAATTAAAATCAATATGCTGCTTCGCTGGAAGACTGCACAATTGTTTTTGAAGCTGGGTGTATTATGTTCTAAATGTTTAATCTGGCAGAGGCCATAAAAGACGAGTTCCAGGCCATTTAGAGCTTATATTGCAAACAAGATGGTCCGGGAGGCAGCTAAAACTAAAAAAAACAACAACAACAAAAAAACAAAAAACCAGAATGGCACAGACAAATTTATCTGGTTCTGACATGGATGCAAGGCAGCAATTCAGGGTGAAAGGGGCTTCTTCGTTGACAGGAGAAAGGCAGTGATAAAAGCAAAATGGTCAGCCATCAGCTCTTGCTTTTTAATGTTTGGGAGGTTTCCCTGAGATTTCAGGCAAAATCAGCATGTCTAAGGCAGACGTGTTGAATCGTGGCACCAGATGGCCAAGAAAGGCAATGCTCCCCTCTAGATGTTAAGAGATTACCATTTAGTGTGTACCGCAGCCCAAGCCTAATGCACTGTGTGCCCAAGAGGGCAGATCCTCCCACCCTGAAGCCTGAAGCTGGAAATAAGCACATAACTAGTCCTAGCAAGGAATCCTCCTATTGAAAGCTTCCCAACAGAAGGAGAAAGCATAACACAGTAACCACTTAATGTTCAGGTTTAAGTGTTTAAAAAGGTATGGACTCAAATCCTAGGTTTTCTACCTACTGACTACATGCTTCTTTTCAACCTCCCAAGGTTTTCATTTATTCATCTATTCTATGCCGCATAGGAATAGAAGGATTACTGATCAAGCAGCATTATGGTGAGAATTAAATGAGATAATTTGTCACAGTCTCTGGCATGGAGTAAGTGTTCAATAACTGTTAGCTGTTATTATTGAGGTTCTCAGCATGCAAAAGAGCACGGACGCAGTACAGCAATATTTATTTATTTATTTATTTATTTATTTTATTTATTTATTTTTATTATACTTTAAGTTTTAGGATACATGTGCACAACATGCAGGTTCGTATACATCTGCCATGTTGGTGTACTGCACCCATTAACTCGTCATTTACAGTAGGTATATCTCCTAATGATATCCCTCCCCCTTTCCCCCACCCCACAACAGGCCCCAGTGTGTGATGTTCCCCTTCCTGTGTCCAAGTGTTCTCATTGTTCAATTCCCACCTATGAGTGAGAACATATGGTATTTGGTTTTTTGTATTTGCGATAGTTTGCTGAGAATGATGGATGGTTTCCAGCTTCATCCATGTCCCTACAAAGGACAGGAACTCATCATTTTTTATGGCTGCATAGTATTCCATGGTGTATATGTGTCACATTTTCTTAATCCAGTCTATCATTGTTGGACATTTGGGTTGGTTCCAAGTCTTTGCTATTGTGAATAGCGCTGCAGGAAACATACGTGTGCATTTGTCTTTATAGCAGCATGATTTATAATCCTTTGGGTATACACCCAGTAATGAGATGGCTGGGTCAAATGGTATTTCTAGTTCTAGATCCCTGAGGAATCGCCACACTGATTTCCACAATGGTTGAACTAGTTTACAGTCCCACCAACAGTGTAAAAGTGTTCCTATTTCTCCACATCCTCTCCAACACCTGTTGTTTCCTGACTTTTTAATGATTCCCATTCTAACTGGTGTGAGATGGTATCTCATTGTGGTTTTGATTTGCATTTCTCTGATGGCCAGTGATGATGAGCATTTTTTCATGTGTTTTTTGGCTGCATAAATGTCTTCTTTTGAGAAGTGTCTGTTCATATCCTTCGCCCACTTGTTGATGGGGTTGTTTGTTTTTTTTTTGTAAATTTGTTTGAGTTCATTGTAGATTCTGGATATTAGCCCTTTGTCAGATGAATAGGTTGCAAAAATTTTCTCCCATTTTGTAGGTTGCCTGTTTACTCTGATGGTAGTTTCTTTTGCTGTGCAGAAGCTCTTGAGTTTAATTAGATCCCATTTGTCAATTTTGGCTTTTGTTGCCATTGCTTTTGGTGTTTTAGTCATGAAGTCATTGCCCATGCCTATGTCCTGAATGGTATTGCCTAGGTTTTCTTCTAGGGTTTTTATGGTTTTAGGTCTAACATTTAAGTCTTTAATCCATCTTGAATTAATTTTTGTATAAGGTGTAAGGAAGGGATCCAGTTTCAGCTTTCTACATATGGCTAGCCAGTTTTCCCAGCACCATTTATTAAATAGGGAATCCTTTCCCCATTGCTTCTTTTTTTCAGGTTTGTCAAAGATCAGATAGTTGTAGATGTGTGGCATTATTTCTGAGGGCTCTGTTGTGTTCCATTGGTCTATATCTCTGTTTTGGTACCAGTACCATGCTGTTTTGGTTACTGTAGACTTGTAGTATAGTTTGAAGTCAGGTAGCGTGATGCCTCCAGCTTTGTTCTTTTGGCTTAGGATTGACTTGGCAACGCGGGCTCCTTTTTGGTTCCATATGAACTTTAAAGTAGTTTTTTCCAATTCTGTGAAGAAAGTCATTGGTAGCTTGATGGGGATGGCATCGAATCTACAAATTACCTCTGGCAGTATGGCCATTTTCACAATATTGATTCTTCCTATCCATGAGCATGGAATGTTCTTCCATTTGTTTGTATCCTCTTTTATTTCATTGAGCAGTGGTTTGTAGTTCTCCTTGAAGAGGTCCTTCACATCCCTTGTAAGTTGGATTCCAAGGTATTTTATTCTCTTTGAAGTAATTGTGAATGGGAGTTCACTCATGATTTGGCTCTCTGTTTGTCTGTTATTGGTGTATAAGAATGCTTGTGATTTTTGCACATTGATTTTGTATCCTGAGACTTTGCTGAAGTTGCTTATCAGCTTAAGGGGATTTTGGGCTGAGACGATGGGGTTTTCTAGATATACAATCATGTCATCTGCAAACAGGGACAATTTGACTTCCTCTTTTCCTAATTGAATACCCTTTATTTCCTTCTCCTGCCTGATTGCCCTGGCCAGAACTTCCAACACTATGTTGAATAGGAGTGGTGAGAGAGGGCGTCCCTGTCTTGTGCCAGTTTTCAAAGGGAACGCTTCCAGTTTTTGCCCATTCGGTATGATATTGGCTGTGGGTTTGTCATAGGCAGCTCTTATTATTTTGAGATATGTCCCATCAATACCTAATTTATTGAGAGTTTTTAGCATGAAGTGCTGTTGAATTTTGTCAAAGGCCTTTTCTGCATCTATTGAGATAATCATGTGGTTTTTGTTGCTGGTTCTGCTTACATGCTGGATTACGTTTATTTATTTGTGTATGTTGAACCAGCCTTGCATCCCAGGGATAAAGCCCACTTGATCATCATGGATAAGCTTTTTGATGTGTTGCTGGATTCAGTTTGCCAGTATTTTATTGAGCATTTTTGCATTGATGTTCATCAGGGATATTGGTCTAAAATTCTCTTTTTTTGTTGTGTCTCTGCCAAGCTTTGGTATCAGGATGATGTTGGCCTCATAAAATGAGTTAGGGAGGATTCCCCATTTTTCTATTGATTGGAATACTTTCAGAAGGAATGGTACCAGCTCCTCCTTGTACCTGTAGTAGAACTCGGCTGTGAATCCATCTGGTCCTGCACTTTTTTTGGTTGGTAAGCTATTAATTATTGCCTCAATTTCAAAGCCTGTTATTGGTCTATTCAGAGATCCAACTTCTTCCTGGTTTAGTCTTGGGAGGGTGTATGTGACCAGGAATTTATCCATTTCTTCTAGATTTTCTAGTTTATTTGCGTAGAGGTGTTTATAGTATTCTCTGATGGTAGTTTGTATTTCTGTGGGATTGGTGGTGATATCCCCTTTATCATTTTTTATTGCATCTATTTGATTCTTCCCTCTTTTCTTCTTTATTAGTCTTGCTAGTGGTCTATCTATTTTGTTGATCTTTTCAAAAAACCAGCTCCTGGATTCATTGATTTTTTGAAGGGTTTTTTGTGTCTCTATCTCCTTCAATTCTGCTCTGATCTTAGTTATTTCTTGCCTTCTGCCAGCTTTTGAATGTGTTTGCTCTCACTTCTCTAGTTCTTTTAATTGTGATGTTAGGGTGTCAATTTTAGATCTTTCCTGCTTTCTCTTGTAGGCATTTAGTGCTATAAATTTCCCTCTACACACTGCTTTAAATATGTCCCAGAGATTCTGGTATGTTGTGTCTTTGTTCTCGTTGGTTTCAAAGAACATCTTTATTTCTGCCTTCATTTCGTTATGTACCCAGTAGTCATTCAGGAGCAGGTTGTTCAGTTTCCATGTAGTTGATCGGTTTTGAGTGAGTTTCTTAATCCTGAGTTCTAGTTTGATTGCACTGTGGTCTGAGAGACAGTTTGTTATAATTTCTGTTCTTTTACATTTACTGAGGAGTGCTTTACTTCCAACTATGTGGTCAATTTTGGAATAAGTGCAGTGTGGTGCTGAGAAGAATGTATATTCTGTTGATTTGGGGTGGAGAGTTCTGTAGATGTCTATTAAGTCCACTTGGTGCAGAGCTGAGTTCAATTCCTCGATATCCTTGTTAACTTTCTGTCTCATTGATCTGTCTAATGTTGACAGTGGGGTGTTAAAGTCTCCCATTATTATTGTGTGGGAGTCTAAGTCTCTTTGTATGTCTCTAAGGACTTGCTTTATGAATCTGGGTGCTCCTGTATTGGGTGCATATATATTTAGGATAGTTAGCTCTTATTGTTGAATTGATCTCTTTATCATTATGTAATGGCCTTGTCTCTTTTGATCTTTTTTGTCTTAAAGTCAGTTTTATCAGAGACTAGGATTGCAACCCCTGCCTTTTTTTGTTTTCCATTTGCTTGGTAGATCTTCCTCCATCCCTTTATTTTGAGCCTATGTGTGTCTCTGCATGTGAGATGGGTTTCCTGAATACAGCACACTGATGGGTCTTGACTCTTTATCCAATTTGCCAGTCTGTGTCTTTTAATTGGGGAATTTAGCCCATTTACATTTAAGTTTAATATTGTTATGTGTCAGTTTGATCCTGTCATTATGATGTTAGCTGGTTATTTTGCTCATTAGTTGATGCAGTTTCTTCCTAGCCTCGATGGTCTTTACAATTTGGAATGTTTTTGCAGTGGCTGGTACCAGTTGTTCCTTTCCATGTTTAGTGCTTCCTTCAGGAGCTCTTGTAGGGCAGACCTGGTGGTGACACAGTCTCTCCGTATTTGCTTGTCTGTAAAGTATTTTATTTCTCCTTCACTTATGAAGGTTAGTTTGGCTGGATATGAAATTCTGGGTTGAAAATTCTTTTCTTTAAGAATGTTGAATATTGGCCCCCACTCTCTTCTGGCTTGTAGAGTTTCTGCGGAGAGATCAGCTGTTTGTCTGATGGGCTTCCTTTTGTGGATAACCTGACCTTTCTCTCTGGCTGCCCTTAACATTTTTTCCTTCATTTCAACTTTGGTGAATCTGACAATTGTGTGTCTTGGAGCTGCTCTTCTTGAGGAGTATCTTTGTGGCGTTCTTCGTATTTCCTGAATTTGAATGTTGGCCTGTCTTGCTAGATTGGGGAAGTTCTCCTTAATAATATCCTGCAGAGTGTTTTCCAACTTGGTTCCATTCTCCCCGTCACTTTCAGGTACACCAATCAGACATAGATTTGGTCTTTTCACATAGTCCCATACTTCTTGCAGGCTTTGTTCGTTTCTTTTTATTCTTTTTTCTCTAAACTTCTCTTCTCACTTCACTTCATTCATTTGATTTTCCATCACTGATACCCTTTCTTCCAGATGATCACATCGGCTACTGAAGCTTGTGCATTTGTCATGTAGTTCTCCTGCCATGGTTTTCAGTTCCATCAGGTCCTTTAAGGACTTCTCTACACTAGTTATTCTAGTTAGCCATTCGTCTAATCTTTTTTCAAGGTTTTTAACTTATTTACCATGGGTTCAAACTTCCTCCTTTAGCTTGGAGAAGTTTGATCATCTGAAGCCTTCTTCTCTCAACTCGTCAAAGTCATTCTCTGTCCAGCTTTGTTCCATTGCTGGTGAGGAGCTGCGTTCCTTTGGAGGAGGAGAGGTGCTCTGATTTTTAGAATTTTCAGTTTTTCTGCTCTGTTTTTACCCCATCTTTGTGGTTTTATCTACTTTTGATCTTTGATGATGGTGAGGTACAGATGGGGTTTTGGTGTGGATGTCCTTTCTGTTTGTTAGTTTTCCTTCTAACAGTCAGGACCCTCAGCTGCAGGTCTGTTGGAGTTTGCCGGAGGTCCACTCCAGACCCTGTTTGCCTGGGTATCAGCAGCGGAGGCTGCAAAACAGCGAATATTGGTGAACAGCAAATGTTGCTGCCTGATCGTTCCTCTGGAAGTTTTGTCTCAGAGGGGTACCCAGCTGTGTGAGGTGTCAGTCTGCCCCTACTTTGGGGTGCCTCCCAGTTAGGCTACTCGGTGGTCCAGGACCCACTTGAGGAGGCAGTCTGTCCATTCTCAGATCTCAAGCTGCATGCTGGGAGAACCACTACTGTCTTCCAAGCTGTCAGACAAGGACATTTAAGTCTGCAGAGGTTTCTGCTGCCCTTTGTTTGGCTATGCCCTGCCCCCAAAGGTGGAGTCTATAGAGGCAGGCAGGTCTCCTTGAGCTATAGTGGGTGGGCTCCACCCAGTTCGAGCTTCCCGGCCGCTTCGTTTACCTGCTCAAGCCTCAGCAATGGTGGGCGCCCCTCCCCCAGCCTTGCTGCCGCCTTGCAGTTTGATCTCAAACTGCTGTGCTAGCAATGAGCGAGGCTCCATGGGCGTAGGACCCTCCAAGCCTTGCACGGGATATAATCTCCTGGTGTGCCATTTGCTAAGACCATCGGAAAAGCTCGTATTAGGGTGGGAGTGACCCAATTTTCAGGTGCCATCTGTCACCCCTTTCTTTGGCTAGGAAAGGGAATTCCCTGACCCCTTGCGATTCCCGGGTGAGGCAATGCCTCACCCTGCTTCGGCTCATGCTTGATGCACTGCACCCACTGTCCTGCACCCACTGTCCGGCACGCCCCAGTGAGATGAACCCAGTACCTCAATTAGAAATGCAGAAATCATCCGTCTTCTGCGTCACTCACGCTGGGAGCTATAGACTGGAGCTGTTCCTATTCAGCCATCTTGGAACTGCCCCAGTACACCAAAATTTAAATGCCAAGACATGTCATAACCTGTCCTCTCATTTCTGTATACCACAGGCATTACGTACATTCTTGGCAATGGATGGTTCTGGCATCTGTTGGTTACTATCAGGCCAAGGGAGTGGCATTAGGTGTGGCTTCAGAGCAAGGCAGAGCTTGAGCCATGAGGCAAGCTCACTGAAATGTACCCAGCGTTTATCAGATTGAACACTCTTTCTGGAAATATCCTCAGGAACAAGGACCATCACGGATTGCACCTTTACTACATACCAGGCACTGGGTCAAGTACCTCATGGTCATTCACACTGATTTCTCACAACTCTTGTGAACAAACTAGAGCATAGAGAAGGTAGGAAACTTGCCCACAGTCACACAGCAACCTTCCAAGAAGGCAGAAACCATGTTGGGTTTTTTTTCCCAAATTTGGATTTCTAAATCCAGTATTCTTTCTACTACATCACAGCTGTGCATTTATTTATAGAAACATAAATAAGATTGCAAAAGAAATGTTTAGCTTAAGAAAGCCAACAGTTTTAAAGAGTCTATAAAATTACTTTAATCTAACCCATCTGTCTACAGAAACTTACTGCATTAATTACGAATGTTGTTACCTGTTCACTTAACAGAGACAAATATGCATAATTGCTACTCACAAAGCTATGTAATGCCAATTGTTTGCATCACCTAGTTTTTCACTGAGAGACAACATTGTGTAGTAGAAAATATAGGAGCTTCGAAGTCAGAGAAATGGGTTCAAATCCTGGCTCTCCTGTGCACCAGCTCTGTTGTTTTGGACAAGCCATTTAACTTCACTGAACCTCAAATTCCTTATATAAAAAGCTGTTATTAACACCAATTTCTGGCTTATTGGAAAGATTAAATGAGGGAATGTATATAAGACACCTAGTACAGTGTCTGGTACCTAGCAGGTGCTAAATAATAGAAAGCTATCACTATTCCTAGGAAATAACCTCACTTCTTAAAAATATCCTCCAATTCAAATATTACTGATGAGCAAGTTCCGCTAAATACAGAAATCTGATAAGCCAGCAAGTCCACTTTCAGGAATCCAGCCTACAGAAACATTCACTTCTACAGACAAAGTTATAAGTGTGTACAATAATATTAATTACAGAATTGTTCATAATATTGGATAACGGAAAACAACTTACATATTCATCAAAAGAAGAATGGCTAAAGAAATTATGATTTATCCATATCAGGGCAAACTTTTTCTCTAAAGAGCCAGAGAGTAAATATTTTAAGGCTTTGTGGGCCATATGGTCTATGTCGTAGCTACTCAGCTCTGCTGTTGTAGCACTAAATCAGCCACATACAACATACAAAAAAATGCATATGACTGCATCTCAAAAAAATTTTTTTTTTTTTACAGAAACAGATGGAGGACCAGATCTGACCTCAGGGTTTCACATATATGGCTGAATACGATGCAACCATTTTTTTAAAAATCAAGTACACCTATAGTATCTAGACAGAAAGATATCCACAAGCACTTCTACAAATCATAAGAAAAAGACAAACAATGTGGTAAAAATTGGGGAAGGAATATGAACAAGCCACTCATAAAAGAGGAAATTCACATAAGCAGTTTGAAAAGTTGCTCATCTGTCTAATTGATAAACTTTCCAAAAGCAAACTAAAACAAAAAGATCCTATTTTCATTCATCATATCTGCAAAAACCAAAACACTGACAGAATCAAGTGTTGAGGATACTGTAGAGGAAAAAATACACTTATACACTGTTGGAAGAAATATAAATGAAGACAATCACTTCAGAAGGTTCTTTGGCAGAATCTATTAAACCTGCAAATGTGCTTATCCTGTGACCCAGCATTTCCTAGTCTAGATCCGTACCCAGGGAACCACTTTCACATGCATCCAAGAAGACTGGATAAGAAAGCTATCTGAAGCATTCAAATAGCAAGAAATTGAAAATGACCTAAAGGGACATCAATAATGGAATGGAAAAATATAATGTGGCAGAATGCAATTCAGTGACTAAGAGGACTAAACCAAATCTCTGTTCATAAGTGTAGTTAGATCTCAGAAATACAATGCCAAGTTTTAGAACAATTCTTATAGTATGATACAATGTATGTAAGAACATAGACATAAAAAATAAACAATGCTATCCATTTATTATGGGTGCATGTGTGCAAAGTAAGGTCTGGAAGGATATGCGCTATATTCAAAGAGTAGTTATCTCAAAGCATAGGGAAGACCAGGATTAAAGGTGGTGGTCAAAGGGGACTTTAGCTTTACCTACAATATTCTAACTTTTAAAAAAAATTCATCTATATAACTAAAGTAAATTTAACAAAAAATGTGTTTCTGATATATTATGTAAGCTTCAAAATGACATAATTATATTTATTTTATTTTTAAAATTATTATATGTTTTTTACACACACATGTATGTGTGAGCACATGCACATGTATACTTGTGTCTGGAAGGGTAAATACCAAATAGTTAATAGGATTGCTTGGTCATGGATTGGAATTGAGGGCTAGGAAAGGAGACTTTGCCTTTGTATTATGAGGAAGTATGGTATGGGAGCCCTGCTGGAGCTGAACCAGCTAGGTTCCAATGCCCCCTGTGTCACTTCAGAGCTGCATAGCCATGGGAAAGTCAACCTCCGTTTTCTCCTCTGAAAAATTGGGATATATAATATGGTACTTACTAAGTGCCAGGCACTCTTATAAGTATTTTAGATATATTACCTCATTTCATCCTCACTTCAGCCCTATGAGGTAAGATCATATCCCTATTTTAGAAATGAGGAAACTGAGATACAGAGAGATTAAGTGACTTGCCAAGGTCACCATACCTGAAAGGGGCAGAGCTGGCTCCAGAAACCACAGTCTTACATCATTATCACTACTCTAAGTGTAAGTTCTTGCTATTTCACTTTATGTAACATGTTCAAATATATGTAAGTTTCAAAATCTTTGAATTTTATAACTTAGAATATATATTACATATGTGTGTATGTATATGTAGCATTAGTTTCCTATAGCTGCTATAATAAATTGCCACAAATTTAGGGCTTGAAACAATAAAACTTTATTTTCCACAGTTATGGAGCTCTAAAGGAATCTAAAGCCAAAGTGTTGTCAGGGCTGCATCCCTTCTGGAGGCTTTAAGACAGCATTCATTTCCTTGCTCTTTCCAGCTTCTAGAAGCTGCTTGCATTCCTTGGCTCCTGGTCCCTTCCTCTATCTTCAAAGCACAGTTTCCAACATCTAGTTCAGTCACTATTTTTTCTTTTTCTGACTCAGTCTGCTCCCATTTCTCTCTTGTAAGGGCCTTGTATTATGTTGGGCCTACCCAGATACTCCAGGATAATCTCTCTGTCTCAGGATCCTTAAATTAATCACATTTGCAAATTTCCTTTTTCCATGTAGGGTGACATAGTCACAGATTCCAGGGATTAGGATGTGCACATCTTTGGGGGCCATTGTTCTGTTTACCATGCATGCATGTGTGTGTATGTATGTATGTATATACATACACACCACATATATACAAACACATACTTTAAATATACTTTTTTTTTTTTGAGATGGAGTCTTACTCTGTTGCCCAGGCTGGAGTGCAGTGGTGCGTTCTTAGCTGACTGCAACCTCCACCTCCCGGGTTCAAGTGATTCTTCTGCCTCAGCCTCCTGAGTAGCTGAGACTACAGGTGCCTGTCACCACGCCCAGCTAATTGTTGTATTTTTAGTAGAGATGGGGTTTTGCCATGTTAGCCAGGCTGGTCTTGAACTACTGATCTCAGGTGATCTGCCTGCCTCAGCCTCCCAAACTGTGGGGATTACAGCCATGAGCCACTGTGCCTGGCCTACCTTAAACATCTAATGGAGGAAATTAGATATTGTCCTCTTCCATTTTCTGCTGCTTTGACAGAATATCACAGATCAGGGAATTTATAAAGAAAGGTGATTTATTTGGTTCATGGTTCTGGAGGCTGAGAAGTTCAAAGGCATAGCAACAGCATCTGCTCAGCCATCTGGTGAGGAACTTCTTGCTGCCTCATAACATGGTGGAAGGTCATCACATGGCAAGAAAATGTGCACATGAGACAGAGAGAGGAAATTGGGCCAAACTCATCCTTTTATCGGGGCACACTTCTGAGACAAGTAACCCACTCCTGTGATAACAGCATTAATCCATTTATGAGGGCAGACCCCTCATGACCTAATCACCTTTTAAAGGTCCCACCTTTTAATACGGTCACAATGGCAATTAAATTTCAATATATTTTGAAGGGGACATTCAAGCCATAGCAGATATATTAATCATGACACACATACAAAATGCATACTGATCAATAGTGCATTAGATGAAACTGTATTTCTATACATATATATATATTTTTTGAGACAGAGTCTTACTCTGTCACCTAGCCTGGAGTGCAGTGGCTAAATCACATCTCACCGTAGCCTTGATCTCCTGGTCTCAACCTCCCACCTCAGCTTTCCAAATAGCTGAGACTACAGGCATGTGCCACTGTACCCAGCTAATTTTTGTATTTTTTTGTAGAGACAGGGTCTCACCATTTTGCCCAGGCTGGTGTCAAACTCCTGGGCTCAAGTGATCCCCCACCTCAGCCTCCCAAAATGCTGGGATTATGGGCGTGAGCCACCCACCCAGCCTACTTATACTTTTTTTAATGGCAGGAATCTGAGCTTAAGAAAAAGGAATTGACTGAGCCTCCTGCCCAGAAGATAAGGGGTCCAGGGAGCAGGAGGTTCAGGTGTCATGCCTGCCCACATGGTTGGGAATTACTGATCTAGCCTGATACAGCAGGGTTAGAAAATAAGCAGGGGCTCCGTAGACCGGCAGGTCCCATGGGCCCCCCAGCACAGCACAGTAGATACTTGATTTAAAACTGCAGGATGACTTAAAGAGCACCCTCTCCATATTCCATTGGATCAGACAAACAGATCCAGAGAGAATCAATGGGCTGTTTGTCCAAACTAGCCCCAGGGCTAGGTTTATATCAGTTATAACATGGCTCTCTGACACCTCCTTTCTCAGGCTTTGGCAATGTCTCCTGAAATAGCTGTATTCTAACTAACTAAGCACTAAACCCCTGCTTCTAGAAAGAAGAGAGGCTTGCGATTTTCTTTTAAAAAAATCCTTGCATCTGGTGTTCAGCTGTAAGAGCCTCAATGGTGCCACTAAGTTGATTCTGTTTCTTCTTGAAAACACTCCCTACACAATTCCATGCATTTTAATTTCCAATCAGCTATGCTTTGTCAAGGTAACCGCAGTGCTTTGAGTGACAAGTCTCAGTGGCTGCTGTACTGTACGGACCTTCAATTACCTTCCAGCTGAGCCTGTTTCAAGAGACCATCTATAGTTCCCTCCCTTGCTGTGTTGCCTCGCCTGACCCAGCCCCTGTCATGTTTGAGCCCCACCAGGATAGTCCTCTGCTCACACTTTCCATCTCTGCCAGACCCTTTTCCACTAAAGAGATAGATATGGTCACGTGGTAGATATATGGTCAACTCAATCTATCACTCTAGCTGCACTGGGGCAGGTGAACCTAGGTCGCCACCAGAGGGCACAGGGGAAAGGTCAGGAGCCAGAGAAGCCAAATTCCCTGTATACCCTGCTGCTGCCAATTGGTCAAGAGAGAGGCAGGTGACCCCGAAGTTCCATGTGGAGGGGAGCCTTGAGCAGACCAATACAATGTTCCTGTCACTAACTCTGTTGCCACACCTTAAGCAAGCTACTTCTACTCAATGAGTTCCTTTATCCAGACTAGTTTACAGGGACAACTACCATCCCTGATCAAGGCCCGTGGCACTGTCAGATATATTTATTACAGATGATTCTTAAGATTTCTGGCCAGGCGCGGTGGCTCACGCCTGTAATCCCAGCACTTTGGGAGGCCAAGGCGGGTGTATCACGAGGTCAGGAGACCGAGGGCATCCTGGCTAACACGATGAAACCCCTCTCTACTAAAAATACAAAAAATTAGCCGGGTGTGGTGGCAGGCACCTGCAGTCCCAGCTACTCGGGAAGCTGAGGCAGGAGAATGGCATGAACCTGGGAGGCGGAGCTTGCAGTGAGCCTCTCGAGATCATGCCACTGCACTCCAGCCTGGCTGACAGAGCGAGACTCTGTCTCAAAAAAAAAAAAAAAAAAAGATTTCTACAGCTGATATGGTGGTGCATGACTGTGGTCCCAGCTGGTTGGGAGGCTAAGGCAGGAGGATCACTTGAGCCCAGGAGTTTGAGGTTGCAGTGATCCATGATCTTGCTGCTATACTCATCCTGGGTATCAGAGGGAGAACCCAACTTTAAAAAAAAAAAAAAAGGTTATTCTAACTTAAAGAGCCTACAACACTTTATTGAGGTGGTTCTGAACTGTGTGTGGAAAAATGGTATCTATAACATGATTTTTTTAATCAAAATTATTCAAAATAAGAAGTTTGCATAACTGAACATTTTCAGGGTTGGTCAGTAATGGCGACTGTTTAAACATGTCTCCCGTTCCTACATCCCTACGCAAATCTTTAAAAGGAAATGGGTGTTGAAAACTGACAAAAGTTACCTTCTATCTGGAGTCAATGTAGAATTCCTTCTCATGAGATACAGCACACCTCCTGATACTATAAGCTACGTGACTACGGGTTTTTCTTCCTCATTTTAAATATGATTTAGATTCGTCAAGTGTAATAGATGTCCATGAAATCTAAGACATCACAGCATAGAAAAAAAGAAGAACTATGCATTAGGAAAAGGGAAACGGGAGTGGGGAATAGGAGAAAATAGGGAGATGTAGGGCAAAGGTGCACAGTAGCCGTTATGTAGACGATGAGTCTTGAGATCTAATATACAACATGAGAATGATAGTTAATATTGTATTGTACTTAGGATTTTTCTAAAAAATTAGATTTTAGGTGATTTTATCACAAAAAATGGGTAATTATGTGGGACATGTCAATTTGCTTGATTATAGCAACTATCTCTAGTCTATCTATTCTCTATCTCTGTCTACCTATGTAAACATCATGTTGTATGCCTTAAATATATACAATAAAATTTAAAGATGGAAATAAACATCATTGAGCACCTGTTATGTGTTAGACATCGTACCTGCCATTTTCTATGAGACAGATGTTTCCCTAAATTTTAAATGAGGAAACACACTCAGATATATTCTATAAGTGACCTCGGTCACACAGCTGATTAGGTGGGCATTGGGATTCATAATCTGCCTTTAAATTCCATGCTCATTTTTTTGCCTCATGCTATCTCCCCAGCACGTTGAAGCCATATACACTTTAAACAACTGCAAAGAAGAGGGGTTTGGATGTGACCATAAAATCTGAATAGAAAAGATTATGATAAATGAAGTAAGGCTTGGTTAATCACAAAACTGAGCTTCAGTTCTCCGAACATTTAACTGAACAACAATGAAAAATGGGTATATTACCCCAGAGAGAGAGTCCAAACTTGCAAGCATATTCTTGGAATTTGGCTGTGGAAACCAGGTTAAGATTCCATTTTTTTCCCCCAGAATGCCCAGAGGTGTTTAATGGCTCCCATAAATGTTTCTCATTCTCCACCCTCTTCCCATTTAAATTGCACAGGCTCAGCCTATGCCTTTCAGAGTCCTGACAGCCTGGAGGAACTGGGGGGATCACAAGGTGTCCAGGTGAGCTGGAGCTTTGTCTTGACTCATGACCAGGCAGCGTCATCCCCAGAAGGTACCAGGAGGTGGGAGAGGCAGAGTTTCTGCGGTTTATTGTTCATGGATATGTTTCATCACATCACCCACACTTCCCTGGCTGCCTCTCCAGGACTTACAGTATTACAAAGAATTCAGTATCACAAAGAAGGGCCCTGCTTTCTTTTCTACATTACTATGTCTTAAGCCCTGTCAAAAATGCTAACATTTGATAGATCTAGATCACATTTAAAATAAGGAAGCAAAAAACTTCGGTCAAATAGCTTAAAGTATCAAGAGACGTGCCATCTCTCACAAGACGGGAAATCCAAATTGACTCTAGGTCAAGGTTTCTGAACATCAGCACTGCCGACGTTTGGGGCCAAATAATTCTTTGTAAGAATCACAGGCGGAGTGGTCTGCATGCCTCAGTCCCAACCCCATTCCCCTGGCTAAATCCCAGTCATCTTTCAGGTTTTGTTGAATCATCATTTTGTCTGTCTGGTCTTCCCAGCTGTACTGAAGTGTGGGGTCCATGTCCTCTGGTGTGCTCCCCATGGACCCTGGATGTCCCCCACTGAGCACTGTATTGTAATCATCTGTTTACTTAGATGGTGAGGCAGGGAAGTTAGATTTAAATGCCCTGACCCATGGTCTATTCTATCTGTTGTTGTCACAGTCTAATCCCTCATTGAGTGCTGTTGTCCCCCTACATCATTCTCACCAAATTGTGACCCAGCCTCTATCTTCATACCTTAGACAATAAAGAACCTACTACCTTTCAAGACTGTCATCTTATTGCTGAATAATTGAAAGTGTATCCTAATAGTAATTCCCAATCTTTCTTCCTTTCTTGGCCCTGGTCTGCCTTTGGGGGCCACCACTTTCAGAATGACAGGTAGGTGCAAGCAGCTCACATCCCAGGCTGATGTCTCCTAACTACTCAGTCTCTTTTGGATTCATATCTTCTTGGCCAATGAGATGTGCACCTTCATAGAATATAGACCTCTTCCTTTCTGAATGAGAAATGTGTGATGAGAAAGGCAAATCCATGAGGGAAGAATAAATCTCTTCCAAGCCTAGCCTAGGAGGTTGGGTCTGGGTCTAGGACCCTGCCCCAACTCTGCAGGAATTAGGGTATTAACTATGTATTAATATCTGGAATCAGAAGGCCTCTGCTCCTGTCTAGGTTTTATGAAAGCTCCCAGAAACTAAGTGGAGGCAAACTCTGCATATACCTTTAAGAAGTCCAGGCTGGGTGTGGTGGCTCACGCCTGTAATCCCAGCACTTTGGGAGACTGAGGTGGGTGGATCACGGGGTCAAGAGAGCGAGACCATCCTGGCTAACACAGTGAAACCCCATCTCTACTAAAAATACAAAAAATTAGCCGAGCGTAGTGGTGGGCGCCTGTAGTCCCAGGTACTCGGGAGGCTGAAGTAAGAGAATGGCGTAAACCCGGGAGGTGGAGCTTGCAGTGAGCTGAGATCACGCCACTGCACCCCAGCCTGGGTGACTGAGCAAGACTCCATCTCAAAAAAAAAAAAAAAAAGTCCAAATGCTTGTACCAAGCCTCAAACCTAGCCATTTGCCCAAGGTAGGCAACCCAGAAAGAAGTTCTTGCACATGAAGGAAAGCAGCAAAGGTCAGTTGAGCAAATACATCTCTCTCTCCAAAAGATGGTTGCACCTTGGCTGGTACAGTGCCAGACTCTTTCGTCTCCCTGAGACCAACTTCAGAACTTCTAGCACCCTGTACCCCAAACATTCAACCACTTCTCAGAAAGGAGCAGTTCCATTTACCTCTGGCCAGCAGCACCTTTACTACTTGATATGGGACTTCAGGGTCTCTCACCCTCACCGAAAAAAAGTTTGTCCTCTTGAGGGACTCTCTATCTCCATTCTTATTCTCCCTAAATCATTCTTCACACTGCCATTAAAGGGACCTTTCTGGAACACAGATCTGATCCTGTTATTCCCCTACTTTTATAAAGCCCTTGCATGAGTGTTCACTACCTTCAGGGTAAAATCCAAACTCCTTGAACAAGCTCCTTTCTACCATCCCTGCCCTCTTTCTGGGGCCATGGCTGAGCCCGGGAAGAGGGCTCATGGAAAAGTAATACAGGGTACATGTGGAAGGGTACATGTGGAGAGTATGCCTTTCTACATGTACCCTGTACTACACACCCCACACATCTGGAAGTTCACCCAAAGGCCCATGCTGTCTGGGAGCATCATGCCCTCACCTGTGCCAGTCACTCTATGTGCAGCAATGCCCATCTTCGTTACCTGGGAGAACCTTTGCTGGCCATTTAAGAATGAACTGCAGAGCCACCTTGCTTGGGAAGCATGTGTCACCTACCCACCTGACTTCATATACCCCTGGGTTGAATAAGTTGCCCATGTCCATATTCCCACTATTCATATACTTACCCCAATATAAACAACACTTGTCACAAACTTTTACATCTACCTGTTAATCTGCTCCTTTCCCCCACTCATCTCTAAACCAGGACAATGACTAGTCTTCATTTGTATCTCTTGGCTCAGTACAGAGCCATTTAGTGGATGTTCAATATGTTGTTTGAATGAATGAAAGACTGGTGATAACTGAGATAATGAATAATATTCTCATTATGGCAAGTCCTGCACCCTGATTAACAATATATTAACAGCTCTTGTATATCCTCTTCCAATTTACAATAAGTTTTCAAATTGATGAACCATAGTCTAAGATTGCAATGTCCAATATGATGACTGCTAGCCACATGTGCTATTTAAGTTAATTAAAATTAAATAAATTAAAATTGTATTTCCTCAGTCGTATGAACCATTAGTGGCTTCCATATTGGATAGTGCTGATATAGAATATGCCCCTCTTCACAGAAAGTTCTATTAGACAGTGTTGGTCAAGGACAAGGCATCTGAATTGGGGATGCAAAGTAGAGAATGCATACATCTTTGCCCTTGGGAAGGCTAACCTAGCATTCCAAGAAATCTTGTCCCCAGTATTCCCTGGATCAACTGTCCTTTTGAAGGACAGCTGATTATGACTCATCAGATATTAGCCAAGCATGTCTATCTTACCTATGGTTCTAAATATTCATTTCTGAGTGTATGTAAATGAGCTCTCTGTTATGATAAACAATCATTTTTAAATTCCTTGCTCCTCAAAATTATTCTTTTTTTTTTTAAAAATAATTGCCATATGGCTCACTGATTAACAAGGATGTTAAGAGACTTAATTAATGCTTGTTTGGAGCTTTGCCTGTCAGGGTTGTTATTAGAGGATCCATTGAGATTCTGCTCATAATAAAAAGTTTGCTGGAAAACCCTACTTTATTCAAATAGGGGCACACAGACAACAAGAAGAATTCCCTAGTCCATTTTATTTTATCACTTAACTGTATTGGGTGTTTCTTGAGCATGCGCCATGTGTTTGCAGTGAATGGCAGAAGGAAAATGTGCTTCTGGAGGTTCCTGTGGGAGACTTGCCATTGCTTCCTAGTATGGAAGCCCTGGCATCCATCAAAATTGCTATCACTGGAAGTGAAGCTATAAGGAAATGAGATGGAGATGTGGATGGTATTGGCTGGTGGCTCAGACTGTTCTTATTTTGGTGCGTCAACTTAACCCTGGCTGTTAGCTGTATGGGTCCAGAACTGATTAAGCCCATATACCCAAAGGAGTTGAATCGTCATCATCATCATCACTATCATAATAATAATCATATTTCTAACACTTAGTATTACTATGTGCCAAGCACTGCTCTAAGTTCTTTATATATATTATCCCCATTAATTAATTTCTTGGGACGGACTCTTGCCAAATCAGAATTCCTAAGTATTCTCAAGTGTTATAGCATGTTCCTGTGACTAGTATTTGAATATGTTCTGGAATCGGATTACTTTGTAAACCTGATTTAGAAGCCCAGTGGTTGCTCAGTGGGCACTGCCGTAGTGGATATCCATGGAATATCTAATCTAGTACCCCTACCTCACCCTGTGCAATTTATATAGCTCCTCAGGGAGTTGCTGAATTCTTTCATTTGCTCCACCTTCTAGACACAGCTGATTGGTTCTGTGCAGACACTTAACCCAAATGGGCCAATAAGCCTCCTCCCCAGAATGATTAGCCTGGGACAGGAGAAAGGACTGTGAATCCTCCAGTGGTGCAGGTAACTCAGAAGCTATAGGTGTCTGTTTTCTCCACTATTTGAGAAAGTGTGTAGGAAGAGAGACAGAAGCCAGATGTGGCGAGAGGCAGGGAAAGTCCTAAATCATGTCCAAGCTGCTAATTCCCTAGTGTCCTGAGCCCAGCCTCATCTCTGGCCTTCTATCAGTGTGTGGTGTTCATCCCTTCCTTGGATTCCAGACAAATAAATTTCCCTTTTGACCTTAAGTTATTCAAACAGAGTTTCTTTCACTTGCAACCAAAAACATTCTGGTGAACACAGTTGTCTGCAGCATAGGTTCCAAACCCCTTAGCATACCATAAAGGCCCTAGGACCCACCTTCTTCATCAGTTTCATCCCCTATCACTCTCCCTCCCTCAATTCCTGTAACACACCATGCTCTCTCTCCTAGTGACTTTCTTGTATAACTCTATTTTCTGCTCAACTAAAAGCTTAATGAGGACAGGGCTGTATTTTGTTCATTGCTCTATTCCCAGTGACTAGCAAAGTGTCTATCATACAGTTGGTGCCCAATAAATATTTATGGAATGAATTAATGAGTCAGTACGTCAAAGGAAGTCGTATAGTCCTGAAGAACATTTCACCCAACCGTTGTGAGCCCCCGTGAAACACCCTTGCCTACAACGGGAGGATTTCTCTATGTCAAAAATACTCTGCCTAATTTTCAGGCCCTCTTCTCTGGACAATGCTGGGTACTCACTGACAAATCTGGCCATCAGGATCCACCTTGCAAGCTTATTGCAGGCCAGCTATCTCTATTGGCAAATCTCCGTCAGGCATAGACCATGGTTAGCTTTCAGCTACAGCCAAGTAAATGCACATAAAGATGTGAGATTCTCCAGCTTGACTGAGACTTGATAGACTTGGAACTCCTAAACTCCTTTTTACTGACTGCCTTTTACTAACTGCCCATTTTATTAACTCTTGGGACATTTCTATAGAGAGCTGATCTCATTCAATGACATTTTTATTCTTTCTAATTTCACTTGTAGAAGGTAATCTAGACTTAAAGCTGTAGGGTTTCAATGTCTGTTGTCACTCATCATTGAAATCCCCATCTTTGAAATAACTACAGCAGCAGCAGCAACTGCACCCACCACAGTGGGGCTAGAACCCATAACAGCCCTATGCTCACACCAGCAGTAGCAGCAGCAGACTCACAGTGGAATGGAGAAGAAAAGTTCATTGCAATCTTTGTTTTCTCTTCATTATTTAAACCTGTGCAGACTCCTCTTATCGACTCCCTTCCTCTGTGTTCTCTTTTCTTCCTGTGCTCTCAAGATCACTGCCATGATGGTAATTTTTCGTGTCAACTTAACTGGGCCATGGGATGCCCAGATAGCTAGTGAAACATTAACTCTGTCTCTGTGAAAGTCTTTCTGAAAGAGATTAACATTTGAATTGGTGGACTAAGTAAAGCAGATGGCCCTCCCCAGTGTGAGTGGGCATTATCAAGTCCACTGAGGGCCTGGATAGAATGAAAACACAGAGGAAGACTGAATTTGCTCTCTGCCTCACTGCTTGAGCTGGGACAACCATCTTCTCCTGCCCCCAGTACTCCTGGTTCTTCTCAGGCCTTCAAATGACACCACCAGCTTTTCTGGGTCTCCAGCTTGCAGATGGGAAATTGTGGGACTTTTCATCCCAAATCTTTCATTCTCTCTCTGATCTGTGTGTGTGTGTGTGTGTGTGTGTGTGTGTGTGTGTGTGTGTGTGTGTGTGTAATATAGATAGATTCTCCTATTGGTTCTGTTTCTCTGGAGAACCCTGGCTAATACATCTGCTAGGGTGGTATTGGAGGTTGTTGAGGATCAGAAGAGAGTAGAGGATGAGAAGAGGGAGAAAAGAGAGGTCACAAAGAAGGAAAAGTACCTGAATCTCTCCTCTTCTCTCCTTCACTCAAGTGCTCTCTTTCCCTGTTCCCAACTCCCTCCCCGAACTCCTGCCACCTTCCCTGAGCAGCTTGGCATGTGTCTTCTGGATTCCCTAGCCCAAGTCCACCTCCAGTGTCTTGCTTTGATGGCAGATTCCTAGGCTTTGCAGCTGATAGTTTGAAGGCCTTGGCCGGCTGCCAGGGTACTCCACTTCTCATTACTTTTCTCACTGTAATTCATTTCCCTGTGATTGGAGACAATTAGGATGCCAACAAATGACTGGCCCAGCCCTGTTCGGCAGTTACATAACCACAAACATGTGTGCACTGCCCATCGGAAGCAAGTGAGCTGCTAATGAGGAGGGTTAATTACAAAGTGAGGGTCACCCTAGGAACAACCCTCACCGCATTTCATCCACTGTTGGAGAGAAGCCAGGCACCAAAGCCTTGGCTGTAAGGTTCAAAATAATTAGCAGTGGCCCTTTTGGAGAGAGAACTGCTGAGCACTGCAATTCTCAGCATGGTTGGGGGCAGAGCTCTCTAACATGTCCTGTCCCTGCGGACCTTGTAAAACAATTCCCCAAAGTTACCCCAGAAGAATCACAGGCTTTCCTGTGCCTGCTTGCTGTACTCTTCCTCCTTAGAGCCTCCTGAGTGACTCATGGCTTTGAGTCACTACTTCTGTTTCTTGCTTCAAGATACTTCAATACATCCTAGGGATGTCTTAGATATTACTTAGTTCTCCCACACCTCTGAGAGGATCGTGCCCTGATGAACCACCAACTAGCCATACTTAATGTCCTAGGATAAAACAGTGTAGGGGAAGAGGCTCCATCCAAACACAATCTGTTGACTCCAGGCTAGACCATTTTCCACAAGACATATCTGTGCTAACTTAAAGTTTTCTGTTTTCACACTTTTCTATAAAAACCTAGGCAAAAGCAGCTTTCATGATACTTTACTTTCTGCCTCTTCAACATGCCACAGTTGTGCCAGGCATCACTTTGATATCATAAATGGGAAGACAAGTCCCAACATCAGAAGTTGAAAGAACTGGGAGAAAATATGTACTCAGAGCATGAGATGACTTGGGCACGCGGCTCAGTTAAGGCTATAAACAATGAGTCAACTGGAGGTCCACTTTGTGGTGTAAAAGCAATTCTGATTGTAGGAATCCATCAGAACTAGATTCTGCTGGCATTTCTTGAGGGTTTTCTCATATCGTATACATAGTAAAGGTCTTTTCCTCCAGTTTATTTTTGTCCATTTCTTTCTTACACATGGACAAAATGAGACTAATACCTATATAAAGTTTTATTCTTTCTCATCTTCCAAAGCTATTTCATCCTCCAAAGTGTTTGTTATGTACTTTTGAATGAATCACAATATACCAATACCAACACATATTTTCATTATTTCATATGACTATGTCTATTTTCATCAAATGCCAAGAAATCTATTTTTCTAAAATACTATAAATGCGACTTATTAGCGGTATTCTGATGGTCCCATCAAATTTCCCTTTCACTACTTATTTTCAGTTTACAAGATGAACTTATTGTCTTCTCCCACAAGGATAGGACCTCTGGCCTTGGAAGGAATGATTTACACATTTCAGTTATCTTTCCTCAAAACCCTTATCTGTGAGAAATTAAACCGCTACGAAATTGAGAGGAAAGGATCAGAGAGTATAAGGTACAAGGCCAGGAGTGGCAGAGAATGGGGCTGATGGGGTAAGCAGATGCCAGACAATGACAGCTAAAGGGTTCGTATCATATCTCACAGACAAGTGGCAATATTTAACATTTTTTCTTCAGACAAGTGATCATATTGTTCATATGCACACTGCCAAAGGAATACAGAGATTGACGCAAAATTCCCCTACTGCTAGCTCTAAATCCCCTCTTCTATCCCCCATCAAGAAGCAGCTCACCATACAAGTGATTTAGGATAATTTTATTATAGAAATAAAATGCATCCACCATAATAGTCAAATTATTCACGATCTTGAGGGCTTTAACTCTTGCTAGTATCAAGTTTCTGGCAATATGCAGAGATTTTTGTTTGTTTGTTTACTGGTGTACCCCCAAACACCTACAACAATAACTGACACAGAGTAGGCGTTCAATAAATAGTTGTTGAATGGGTGGATGGATGAATCTGCCTCAGAATTGATATGACAAACAAGTGTGTCATGACACCAGAGGCGGAGAACAACTGCGGTTAGAAAGCACATTGACACTGAAGGCTTTTCAGCGAAGGCTTGACAGGATCATATGCATGTTTCTGAAAGATCACTCTGCCTGCTGTGTGAAGGATGGAGCGGAGAGGAAGAGCTCAGCAGTGGGGAGACCCGTTAGGGGGCCGAGGCACTGATGCATGCAGGGGATGATGAGCCTCTGAACCATGACAGTGGTGACGGGGCTGGAGAGAAAGGAAGACATTCAAGAAATATTTAATAGAACTGAACAGAACTTAATCAAAGAATGTCTTTCCTATCAAACCTTTGAACTGGATCAATTATCAGTTCAGGACAGAACCAAAGACCAGGAATGCTCATTACAGAAATCATAGTGGCAAAGCCCAGCTGCCATTATATGTAGGCAGAGTAGAAAGTAACCTCCATATTATTATGTCAGGAGCACATAGAGGAGCCAAAATCCAAAAATATCTATGCCACCCACTGCCTGAAATTACACCATTAAAGCAGCACTTCTTGGTTTTAATCCTCACCCCTCCAGATGATTTTAAAACATGTTAATATGCTTGAGAAGGGGAAAAAAGAATGTTTATTGAGTTCAAAAGACACTCTGCATACATTTATTGAATCCTCACAATGACCTTGCAATTTTACTGCTAAGAGAAAAAATAAACGTCAGAGAGATACACAAGTAATAAGTGGGAAAGCTGCGATCTGAACGCAGGTTGTTGTGATTTCTTTTTTCCTGGGTGAATCCTGATGGATACCACCATTATTATTGTTACTACCACTTATTTCTATCTTGTTCTTTTTATAAATATGAGAGTAGTGGGCCTAAGGGAAGAGGAATTGGTGGAGGTTCTGAGAGTTGTGTATGTTGCAGACAAGATAGTGTAAGTTCATAGATAAGACACATGTTCAACTTCATAACTTTACCTAAGATTATGCTTATGCTGCAGGGATTAGGGGGTGGCCAGCAACAATCTGAGCCACAGACTCATGTGATCCATGGTTCTGAGCACTCTTACTCTCATGAGCCACAAGTTACCAGATCTCAGCAAACTCTCCCAGTAGAAGGTTCCTCTGGTGTTGGAATAATGACTCAACTCAGACCAGGGAACTTAAAATGGAGACCAGAAAGAGTAGCTTTCTCCATACTTTCCCAGAATAATGGAAGGAAACTAGTTGGCCCTGACCCTGAGAGGAAAACTCCCCACATTTAGAAGTTTACTTCCCTTTTGCAGACTTCTCATTGTGTTAACTATATCTTGTCCTTCTCTTCAAGAGATTAGTGTTCTTCCACATCTGGGAAGTCCTAAGTCCCAAGTCACAGGGCCCAGAATTTTGCTTCCTTCCTTTTTTATTTCCTGGACACTTACAGCACCCAGCAGAGCTGGGTTAGAATATCACACTTCAGCAGCAGGAGCTACCAATCAGCCCATAATCATGCCAAACCTAAACACGAGTTAATTTCTGTTTATTAATATAAAGATGTGCCCTGGCTTACTGGTTCTTAAGTTTGAAATCTATGCCCTGAGTTTACTATCTCAGGGTATTCAACAGGGAGAAGGGAGATGGTAGAAGTTAAGCTGAGGGGAAGAAGAGCCAAGGTCAGAAGGTAGTTAGGAGGGTAGACCAGAGCTGAGTACCTTAAGGGAGAGGACAATGAGAGCTGTGTCAGAGGCAGTTGGTCAACCACCAGGCTGAGCACCAGTGGGAGACAATGGTACATCAGACCCTCAGCTGATTCAATTTATCAGCTTTCTCAAAACTGATTGGGTCCAAGGGCTCTGCTTCATGCTAACCAAACTCAGAAGACACTGATTGATAAATCAAATGCTGAGCCTTTAATATCCAGAGAAAAATGTAAGCGCTAACTTGTCTGGAACCCAGGTCCTCCCCTGGGCAGTGCTAGAGACAAACTGACCATATCTTGGCCTTTGGCTCTCAATTTCTCTAGGCCCTTTGAAACACTTCTCTTTGTGAGTAATACCAACAACATACTACATGCCAATATAGCTGGTTAGGTTAAAGCTCTTTCTAGTTGTCAGAGTATAAGGAAACCTTCCTAAGACTACCCCGAATTTTCCCACAGCAGTTACATCCATCTATTCATTCTTTTAATCAATAAATACTTATTGCCTACTATATGCCCAGCAATGTGCTAGCAGCGGGGGAGGTAACTGGTAAATGAAAGAAATGTGGCCTCGGGTCTTATAAAACTTAGCTAGAGTAGGAAGACAAACTACCAACAAGGAAACAAACAAAATCACTGCAGAGTGAAGCCTGATCCCATGTGGGTGAAACCTGATTCCATGTGAATGAATCCTGGTTACCGTGAGTGAAGCCTAATTACCATGTGAGTGAAGCCTGATCCTACAGGGTGTCTGGGGGAGGGCGTGAAGGCATAGGACACTGTGAGAAAGGGTAGAGGACCTCCTTAGACAGGGTGGAAACATGACATTTAACCTCAGACCTGAAGAAGCCAATCTTACAAAGAGAGAGGGACCGTGGGGTTGGGGCAGGGATTCTGGCAGAGGTGAGGCATATGCAGGGCCTATGGGTTGGGAAACAATTCAACATGAAGATAATCAGTGTTGCTGGAGTATAATGTGCAAGAGGGAGTGTTGTGTGAGATGAAGTTGAAGAGGAGGTAGGGACAGATCATGCAGAGCCTTGTGTACTATCACAAGAAGTTTGGGTTGTATTTGAAGTGAAATGAGAGTTGTGGAAGAATTTTAAGAGGCAGAATTGTATGATATAAGTTGAGTTTTTGGAAGACCACCCTGGCTGCTGTGTGGAGAATGCATTGAGGCTCAGGCATGGAAGGTGTCAGTCTAGATAGAGAGAAGTACATTGACTTGAGAGACATTTAGGAAGAAGAATTATTTACAGACTTCCTTACTCACAGAATTATTACAGACTTACTGAAGGATTGTCTAATCCCATGAAAAACGTGGGAGAGAATTTCCTGTAGATTTGCATCTATGTACTACTAGAGATGCTCTCAACAAAGAATCTCTGGATCTGTTAACAACTGAAAAAGGCCAAATATCAGTTCAAACAACAATGTTAAAGACCAACTCTCTGCCATCTTAATGTTCTTCGTATGGTTGAGCAATGCAGCACATTTTAATTTATCCTCTCAAATCATAATATTAAGGTCACTCTTTAGACACTCAGGCACAACGTTATTAAATCCTATCCACTTATGATTATTATTGTTGCTCTTATTAAAACTTTATAGGTGTCTCCGGAGAGTATTTGAATGAACAGCAAATTTAGAGGAAATTAAATCTTACTTTCATGAAAATAAATTTTGCCTTCCAAGAACTATAATTGGATAAATTGACCATAAAGAACAATTTTCAATATTTTTTTTACTTAGCTATAATTTGTTGATTACCTACTATGTGCCAAACACTATTAAATCTTTACAATTACCCCACGAAGTGGGTGTTGCTGTTCTCACTTGAAGCCTGGGAAAATCAAGGCTCACAGAAGACGTGGCTGGGCTAAAGTCATGAGCAGTGATCGCCACTGGGGTACACTGGACACATAGTTGTGCTCCTTTTTGCTATGCTTTTCTGAATGTGCTTGTATTTATTATTTCCTAGGGGTTATCAGCAACCTCATGCATAAATGACTTCTTTATAGGCATCAGGAAAAAAGCCTATATCCCAGGAATGGCAAACTCAAATGCCTACTGGGCCCAGGCAGATGCTGTAAATTAATGTATCATCCTGTCAGAAGAAAATTAAGAGTCATAGCAACTGTGGGAAGCTGAAGGGCACAAGTCCCTTCCAAGGAGGTCAGCCCCTACTCAGCCCCACATGACTGCCACTGCTGGGAATGTGGCCCATGTGGCCAGATCTTCTGCCTTATCAAGGAAGCAGGAAATCCAGACAGATTTCCATGTAAGTTTTAAAATCTGCGACAAAACTCAAATATTCTTTAAAATACTGAGTGCCAACACCATGCAAGCTTAGCTAAATGGGTGTGTGGGCAGAATCCAGCCTACAGGCTGCCAACTGTTGACCTCTACTGTACAGATCATTGAAGCATTATTTATAATTTGGAAGAATTTTAACCAACCTTAATGTCCAGTGATGTGGGTTGGCTCCGATAACTGTGCTGCAACCATCTGATTAAATTTTTAAAGCTTTTAATAGTGAACAGTATGAATACCATGTAGCACACTAAAAAATTCTTAGGATACACAGCAGGGTAACATGCTGCTGAGATGACATTAAATTTAAAGAGCAAACTACCAAAATGATACCCAGGCAAATGTTTTATATCTTGAACTACAGGGTGGTTACAAGAGTGAACAACTGAAAAATAATCAAGTTGTATAGATTTGGGTACTTCCCAGCATGGAATGTCATACACCAGTAAAAATAATAATAATAATAATAATAATAATGATTCCCGGGCTATGATTACCATTCTGCACACTTTTGAATGAATATGAACAAGAAATTTCAAGGAAGCATGGGCAAAGAAAATAATTTGATTGTGTTGGTTGTAGGGTAATAGGAGATTCTTTTTTCCCCCTTTCCTATATGTTGGTTTCTATTACTGTTACTGCAGTACAGTATTTCTGCGGGAGAAAAAATATTCCTCAAAATATATTATCTAAGAAGAGCAAGAGTAAAATTTAAGCTGATTTTTAAAAAAAAATCAGTAGTAATTACCTTCCCATTTTAATGCAGATTGAAAGCTCAAAAGAAGGATTCACCATTTAATGTTTGTGTCACTTTCTGCCTTTTCCCAACTGAGGCCCCCACCTGCTGCCTCAGCTCCATCCTGAGCAGGTCAGAAGGGAACCTGGGAGCCCCAGTGCCCTACATGGTCACTGAGAAACATGATGCTGCCTGCCCATGGTCCCTGTGACTGGAGAGCCTCCTACAAGCCAGAGGCACTCCTGTGCCCACTGAAATACCACTGTCCCTCTTACATTAGTCAATATGATCTCTGCTGCAAGTGACAGAAAATTCAACAAAATGGCTTAAAATACTGGAAAAAGTTCATCTCATATATCCAGAATTCAAGGTATGGGGGATTCCAGAGCCCACTACAACCAGCAACTCAGTGATGTCAGCGAAGGCTCAGGTTCTTTCCACATCTCTGCCTTGATGTCCTTTCTGGGGCTGTCCCCCTCCAGCCTTGTGCCAGTAGTCATCAGAGATACAGTAATCAGACAGCAACTTCTGTATTCACATCCAGCAATGGCGTGATACTGTTTCCCTCCATGGTTCTCTCTGTGAGGGGGATTTCTTTTTCCCCAAAAGCCCCCATTAGACTTCTTCTCATATCTCAGACTAGAATATAATTGAGACAAATGATCATTTAAAATTAATCCCTATAAAATAGTATGATGAAATTAACATGAGTAACTTCGACTAATCATCTGGATTGAGACTGATGTGGGATACTAAACCCAATGTCCTTAACATCCTTAACAATTTTAACTCTTAAAAAATATCTTTAAATGTGTCTGCCTCACTGGTTTCTAGGTTATGATATGATAATCTCTTACCTGAACCACAGCAAGAACCTCCCAACTAATCTACCTAAAAAGGCCTGGCAGTTAGAGGTCATTTTACCACTAGCTCAATCAAACAGCCAGAGAGTTAAGTCAATCCACCAAATACAATGTTGGGAGTAAGGGGGCAGGATGAGAGAGAAAATGAGCTAAAAATGGAAGGGAACTTTCCTGTGAATGTTGAGCTGTGCTTCTTTGCATGTGATATTGCACCAAGACTAGACCATGTGGTACCTGGACTTATATGGGTTATAATGTGATCCTCAGAGCTCAGCAAGTTTATACTGGAAATGCCAAGTTTAAAATCTCGGAAAGAATGATGTTCACTCATCCCATATACTTTTTGAGGATGTATATTCCAGGCAATGTACTCAACACTGGATGTACAGCAATGAAGAAGGCTGATGCAGTCTCTGCTCTCTAGAGCCAACAGTATAGTGGGAAAGGTTGTCATTTTGCAACTAATTACAGACTCATTATTTAATTACAACTTTGACGAATGCTGTTAACCAAAAAATACAGGAGAATGAGCCCAGGTAATGATACAAGGTGGGAGGCGTGAAATCAGAAAATGCTTCCCCAAGGAAGTGGGGAAGTTCAGCCCAGAGAAAAGGTAAGGGGTTTAGCCCAGAGGAAAGATAAGGAAAGTGTATTCCAGGCAGAAGAAACTGTATATACAAAGACTCCGAGGCAGCAGAAACAAGGAAGGACTAAAGGAAGGTCACTGTGCTTACAATGTACAGAATGAAGAGAAGAACAATACAAGATGAGCTGGAGGGGGGCACGGTGGAGGCATGGTGGGGGCATGGAGAGCATGTGCAGGCAGGGTTAGATTCATTAGGACCTTTTGCACTAAAGGGATATAAGCAAGTGACGTTGATCAAAAGCCAGAAGATGACACCACAAGCAATTTGGAAAAGGTAGTCAGAAACAGAGGAAAAGTAAGCTGCTCCCAAAATTCTCGGAGAAAGGGGGGTACCCTTCCCTGTGAATGGAGCTCTGATTAATCTGGCTTCTTTGTGTCTAATTTACCCTTTCCCTAGTGTTACACCATGGCCACCACAAAGTCACACCACAAAGTCACATCTCAGTGAGTGGCATAACCTTCCCTTTCCAGAGCCTGTAGGGCTGATGTGGCCCATGTGCAGACTGGTGATGTTCCCAGATACCTGGGACATGGGCCTCCCCCTTCCTCTGATGCTGTCACCAGCCTCCTTCTTACCTGGAGAGTTTGCATTACATGCAGGAGCCCTGCCTATTCCTCCAGGCTAGCTGTGTGGAGGGTTAATTTGCCTGTTAATTTTCCACATGAGGGGATATGCACAATGAAGCACAAATAAGAAGCAGGACATCAACACTGCCTCCAGCTGAGAAATCAATTTATACTTTAAATTACTCTAGGTGACCCCAGTCGCCACTGGGTTCCTATTGCCATCTATCCTGATTTGTAGGAAGTTGTCCTCCTGGAGCATGAAGCCCCCAAAAATGCCCTGGGAGGCTTTGCTGCTGCACCCCAGTGACACACTAATGGCTCGGTGAGGAGGAGCGCCAGGATTGGAGGCAGAGCATCTCCAGGGCAGCCAGACAGCACTGCATGAGTGGAGAGGCCTGCTGGGCCCATGCTACTGCTCAGTGTCAGCAACCGCATGGGCCAGCCTCAGGGCTGGCAGGCTAATACCTGGGGTTCAGGGCCACTCCCTTCCCCGCTGCCACCGATAATTCAGCTGATTAATTGCTGGGATCATTCAACCATTTCACAACACATGCATGAGCGTCAGATACTCTGCTTGGTTCAGAGAAGAGAAGAACTTGAAAAAGAAGTGTTTTAAAACACTGGAGTTTTTTAAAAAATGAAGCAACATGGGCTTACACCCCAGTTCTTTGACTTAATGGATATGTGACCTTAGGCCAGCTCTATGACCCCTTTGTGCTTTAGGTTCCTTGCCTGTGAAATGGCTACAATATCCATTTTCTGAAGTGGTCGTCAGGGTTACATGGATATAAATAAAATTAAGTTTCCATGTACTTGTTTGTGCCTGCATCATACAAACTTGGCTGACTGGATCCTCACCAGATGTGGAGATTATAATTGGGCCAGACTCACATAAAATATAAGCCACATGAAAAAGCCACACATTGTATGATTCTATTCCTATGAAACATTCAGAATAGGCAAATTCACAGAGACAAAAAATAGATCTGTGATTGCCAGGGGCTGGGGGAGGGGAGAATGGGTACAAGATTTCTTTTTGGGCTGATGAAAATGTTCTGAAATTAGATGGTGGTGATGGTTGCACAACCTTCTCAATATACTAAAAACCACTGAATTGTACACTTCAAAAGGATGAGTTTTATGGTATGTAAATTATATCTCAATAAAGTTATTATCCTAAATATATATGTGAATATACACATATATCTGTGTGCCTGTCTGTGTGTCTATATGTACACCATATGGCATATTGAAATCACTATAGGGGTGTCTCAGGAATAGAGACATGCAATATGAATCAAGATGATGGAGATGGAGAAAACAAATGGGGGATGTAGACATGAGCCTAGAGCAAGAGTTTCCAAACCAAATAATGAGGCTTGCAGGTGTTCATATGCAATCATGATGCCTGTCACATAGTGTTAATAGCTACATGTGGCTAATGGCTAGCATATTGGACAGCACAATTCTAGAAGGAAAACTGGGAAAAAAAATAAAGGCAGGAAAGGCACACTAGCTAATCAAAACCCTGTGAGTAGGCCACGCTCTCCTATACTACCTTATCTATCCACCTCACCAATGCTCAGCAAGGTAGTTGACACTGTCCCCATTCTGACATCTGAGCAAAGCAAAGCTTAAAGAGGTCAAGCAAGGTTAAGGAAAACAGAGTTTTATTCATAAATTGAGAAAGAAGATGCCTGAAGAGAGAGGACAGCTAAAATATAAAAGAGGGAAAAGATGATGGGTGAAAGAGGTCCCAGAGGATGGACATGGAAGGTCATTTAAGACGGATAAACTCCCGCAGGGTAAAAGGTGTCTTTTACACATCATAGCTGACAGTGTCAGGTTAGGTTCACCTCATAGGATTCTCCTCTGCTGGAACCAGAAGGGTATGTAGAAGGCCATTCAATTTTTCAGCTGGGGACAACTTGAACGTGACCATCAATAGATGTGGGTGTCGGTTCAGCAGAAGCTGTGATCCCAAGTCCAGGGTTTGTAACCATGACAGACAGCAGCCTACATCATTCACTCGGCATCTCCCAGGCTGCCTTCTCCCCCGCCCTTACTGATGACCCCACCTGTACCCCAACAAACAGTAACAATAGCCCTTGCCTCTTTCTCTTCTCCCCCTCCCCAATCCCTTTCTCTCTTCTTTCCTTTTGCATCATCAGGTTCCTTTTCTCTACAGGTCTTTATTTGGAAGCCTCTTTCCTCTCCATCTTCATAAATAATCCAAAACAGGCACTTTCAGCAGCTCCTCTTTCATGCACGTAATTGAAGTGGGCCTCTCTGAGATAAGACATCTCTCTAAATCATTCATCAGATAAGGAAACACACAGAGAGGGGCACTATTCCTTCTCCTGCAATATTCTGCCATTAGACACAGTACAACCTCGCGTGTCCTGCAGATGTGGCAGGACTCCACTCAGGAGCAGGACTCCACTTGGGGGCTCCACTCTGTCCCAGTGACCGACTCAGCCAGATTCCCCGAATTGCAGGGAGGTACTGCCCTCCCCAGCTTCTTAAGATGTTTTTGACACCCTGAGGAATCAGAAGGATGGAATAAAGCTGAATGCTAGTTTAGCTACCAGGTCACAGTACACGCCAACCAGAGCAAGTTTGGCAGCAAGGTCCTGGGCTTCAGATATTCAGGCTTGGGTTTGAGTTCTGGCTCTGCCACTTCTTAGCTGTGTGACTTGGGAAAGTTACTTAACACTTTCTTCCCCCAACCTCGCCAAAGTCTGTTGTCTCATGTTTTAAAGTTAATTTTTTTTTTTTTTAAGAATGAGCGGATAAAAGAAACTACCTGTCCAGTTGCACTAAGGATTAAAAGGCATAGGGGCAAAAACAAGGACCAGCTGTTCAGCTTCTTGTGGCTATTACTTTCCTCCATTTCTTTCTCTGGGTATAGTATATCAGGCTAACTCTGCAGGCCAGGGCCAACAGGGGGTTACATGTTTGCAGGACTTGCCACGCTATGCACCACTCCATGCATGCCCCATGGGTCAAAGTCTCATTCACTTGTTCAGGGTAACAACCAAGCTGGTCCAATGTGACCCCAGCCTTTTCCCTGATCCTGCATCTTCCATTCGCAAGGCCAAAAGGCCAACCTCAGTCCTAAGTGTGCAGACAGGGTGGCCTCTGTGATTTGCTCTATTAATGAAGTCTTGGTTCTTTTGGAAACCCCAGCTTTAAAACTCTGATTAGTCACACATGAGAATCCTCCTGGGGGCAGCTATGAGGAAGCGGATGGAGAGGAGAAATCAAGGGATGCATTGATTTTGTGGTTCAGCCGACTTGGACATTTGGCTCTCTCTATGTTCACTACCTAGAACAGTGGCCAAAACACAGCTTGCTCTAAAAAAAGGGAAAAAAAGGAGTTAAATAAATAAATGAATTGACATTCTAGACAAATGAAATTAGATGTGAGATAGTCAAATGAAGAAAGATGTGAAACAATACAGAATGTTCAGGAAGGTGCATACTATTTGGTTTTGCAGAAATGTAGAGTGTAAGAGAGAGAGTGGGGAATGAGGAGATGAGAAAGCAAGATCTAGTTAAGAAGGGTCTTGATTGCCTTGCTGACTTTAAATTTCCTTCTCTAGGCAATAAGGAGCCTGCACACTGATTTTTAAGCAGGGAAGGCAAAGGGTCTGATTGGCATTTTAGAAATATCACTCTGTGAAAAAAATATATATATAAATCCAAGGTATAAAATGTTCAGAGATTGACTTTGATCAGAGGTAATGACAACAGGGGTGAAAATAAAAATAAAAAGACAAGAGAAACCAAACAGGTTGAAACAGCCTATTGTATATGGAGCAGGAGGGAGTGGGGAGGATCTGGGATAACTATCAGGTCTGCGGTGCTGGAGACTGAGCATATGGCATCAAGAAGCAGGTTTTAGGAGAAAGACATTTGGGCCTTCAGAAAGAATAATACTGTCATTGTCACCAACAGGAGAAACAGGCTCAGAGTCCACGACTGACAGTGTTCCAACAGCAAGGGCACGTGAAAGTTTGACCATCAAGTGCCCTAACTGTCATACAGTCTCCGAAGAATTACTCGTCTTTCTGTGGTTCATTTTTCTTAGTGCCAAAATGAATGTAAAATTAAATTTAATGAGCAAAAGATTTGAACAGCCACTTCACAAAAGAAGATACATAAATGGCCATAAGCACATAAAAACATGTTTAACTTCATTAGTCATCAGGGAAATACAAATCAAAACCATAACGAGAAACACTTTATATCCACTAGGATGGCTATAATTTTTAAAAACCACATAATAACAAGATAATAAGAGGATGTGGAGGAATTGGAATCCCCAGGCACTAATGATGGGGAAGGTAATGACTGATTATATTAGAATATATTAGAATGAATGAAATGTAAAAGATTGACAAAACCAAGGGTTGACAAGGGTGTGGACCAACTGGAACTCACACATGTGCTGGTGAGAGTGCAAAATGGTACAACCACTTGGAGCACAGTTTGGTAGTTTCTTATAATGCTCAACATACTCTACCATATAAGGTACCAATCCATTCCTAGACATTTATACAAGAAAAGTGAAAACATGTCATTACAAGATTTGTGCAGCCTTATTACTAGTAGTCAAAAGCTGGAAACAACCCAATTGTTCATAAATGGATAAACAGATATCAAACTATGATACATTCATACAATGAGATATTACTCAAAAATGAAAAGAATAAACAACTAATATACATAAAAACATAGATGAATCTCAAAAACATTATGCTGAGCAATGGAAATTACAAGATAATGAAATGCTTCATTAAAGTGCTGAATAAAATAATTGCCAGCCTAGATTCTATAAACAGCAAAAATATCTTCGAAAATTATAAGCGGAATTAATAAATTTTTAAATTAATAAAAACTGATTAGTCAGAAATCATAATGGAAAGTTTAAACACTTTAAACTAAATGAATGCATCTGACATAACAAAACCAGTGGGATGTAGCTAAAACTGTAGAGAGAAATTATAGCCTTACAATGCATATGTTAGAAAAATAAATTTGAATAATCTAAACATTTATTTCAAGAGTTGGGGGTTGGGGGGAACAACAACAAAATAAGTACCAAAAATAAAGAAGAAGGAAGAAAATTATTTAAAGATGATAACTAAAGAAATAAACATATAACTATGCAGCCATAAAAAAGGATGAGTTCATGTCCTTTGCAGGGACATGGATGAAGCTAGAAACCATCATTCTCAGCAAACTAACACAAGAACAGAAAACCAAACACCGCATGTGGGAGCTGAACAGTGAGAACACATGGACACAGGGAGGGGAACATCACACACCAGGGCCTGTTGGGCGATAGTGGGCTAGGGGAGGGATAGCATGAGGTGAAATACCTAATGTAGACGACGGGTTGATGGGTGCAGCAAACCACCATGGCACATGTATACCTATGTAACAAACCTGCACGTTCTGCACATGTATCTCAGAACTTAAAGTATAACAAAAATAGGAAAAAAAGAGAAATAAATAAACATAATAGGATCAATAGAGCCAAAAGTTGGTTCTTTCAAAAGGCTAACAAACTTGATAAATCCCTATTAAACTGACCAAAAAATAAGAAGAGGCTGGGTGCAGTGGCTCACGCCTGTAATCCCAGCACTTTGGGAGGCCGAGGCAGGCAGATTGCTTGAGCCCAGGAGTTTGAGACCAGCCTGGGCAACATGGTGACATCACATCTCAAAAAATACGAAAATTAGCCAAGAATGGTGGCACATACCTGTGGTCTCAGCTACTCGGGAGGCTGAGGTGGAAGCATCACCTGAGCCCAGGAGGTCAAAGCTGCAGTGAGCTGAGATCATGCCACTGCACTCCAGCCAGGATAACAGAGAGCAAGACCCTGTCTCCAAAAAAACCAAAAAGACAAAAAGAAGAAAAGAAAACACTAATAACTGAGAGCAGAAATAAATAAGGGACATCACTACAAATTATATAGCCATTAAAAACATTATAACTACCACAACTCACCTAATATGAAATAGACAATTTGAATAACCTTGTAACTATTAAAGAAAATGAATTTGTAATTTTACAATGCCCTCAAGAGAAACCTACAGGCCCAAATGATTTCACTGGATAATTCTACTGAACATTTGAAGAAATTTTAACACAATTCTACACAATCTTTGTAGAAAACAGAAGAGAAGGGACTACTTCTAAACTCTTTTTAAGAGGCCAAGATTACCCTGATGCCAAAACTAGACAAAAAAAATACAAAAAATAAAACTAAAAACCAATATTCCTCATAAAATAGACATAAAAATTACTAACAAAATATTAGGAAATAAAATTCAACATTTTAAAATTATATACCATGATCAAGAAAATTCATTCCAGGGATACAAAACTGGACAATATTCAAAAGAGTCAGAATCAAGCAGTGTCATCCATCATATTAACAGCCAAAGGAAAAAAAAAATCACGTGATCATAGCAATGGATTCAGAAAAAAAATCATGTGACAAAATTTAACATCCATGCATGATTTAAAAAAAAAACTCTTACATAACTAGGAATAGAAGGGAATTTCCACAAGTTGATTAAAAAACAGCTAAAAAACCTCTTACACTATTTATACTAAATGGTGAAAGACTGAATGCTTTCTCCCTAAAACTGGGAAGAAAGCAAGGATGTCCACTCTTACCATTCTTAACACGGTACTGGAAGTCCTATCCAGAACAATAAGGCAAGAAAAAGAGTTAAAAGGAAAAATAAATTAAAATATAAAGAATGGAAAGGAAGAAATGTATCCCTATTTTCAAATAACATGACGGTTTACATAGAAAATCTCAAGAAATCTAAACACAAAGAAAATTCTAGAACAGGTAAGAGGTCAATAAGGTCACAGGATACAAGACCAAAATACAAAAGTCAATTGTATTTCTATATACTAGCAGTAAAAATGTAGAAAATGAATTTAAAATAAAATGCCATTTACAATCACTAAAAAGTACAATAAAATACTTAGGTATAAAACATGTAAAGGACTTTTATGCTGAAGACTTAAAACTCTGAAAAGGAGACTAAATAAATGAGGAGACATACCGTACTCATGGATTAGAAAACTCAATGTAGTAAAGAAGTCAGTTCTCCCCAAAATGATACATAGGATTAATACAGTTTAAAATCCTCGAAAGGATTTGGAGGATATAAACAAGCTCATTCTAAAATTTATATGGAAAGCCAAAGGTATTAAAGTGGCTAGAAAGATTTTGAAAAATATGAATAAGGGAGAAATCACTCTACCCAATTTTAATACTTATTATACAGCAACAGTAATCAGGACTGCATGGTATTAGCAAAGGAATAGTCACATAGATCAATAGAACAGAACATAGAACCCAGAAATAGACCCGCAGAAATAAATACACCCAATTGATTTTGACAAAGGTATTTTCAACAAAATTCTAGAGCAATTGGATATTCATAGGCAAAGGAAGGAAAGAAGGAAGAAAGAAAGGGAGGGACAGAGGGAAGGAGGGAGGGAGGGAGGAAGGGAAGGAGGGAGGCAGGGAGGAAGGGAAGGAAGGAAGGAAGGAGGGAGGAGGGAGGGAGGGAGGGAAGGAAGGAAGGAAGGAAAGAATGAAGGGAGGAAGGAAGGAAGGGAAGGAAGTCCACCTAAAACCTCACACCTTATATAAAAATTAACTTAAAATGAATCATGAATTTAAATGTAAAACTCTAAAACTTTTAGAAGAAACAGGAGGAAATTTTCAGGACCTATTTTTTTTCTAAAAGTTTTATAGTTTTACACTTGATTGAATAACTGGGAAAATATAAGTAGAAAAATACTACACAGTGGCCATTGCCTTCCTTCTGTGCCCCAAATTTCATGAAGAATGTCCTTGGTAGTCCACCATAATTGGTGGGAGCATACCACAGAGGAAATTCTGGAGAATTATAGTTCAACCAAGCCAAGTTCACACATCAAAAGCCATCACAAATACATATGTGGAAAATTTTATGCTGACCACTATCTCACATCATACTCCCCCAAAACTAATTCTGAATGGATCGTACATCTAAAAGTAAAGGGTAGAGTAATAATTCTTCTAGAAGAGAACATAGAGAAATATCTTTATGACCTTGCGATTGCCAGTGAGTTCTTCAACAGGACACAAAAATTACTACTAACAAAGAAAATGATTGACAAATTAGACTACATTAAAATTAAGAGATTTTATTTATGAAAAGTTAGGACACAGACTTAGAGGTTTAGGAGCAGGCATGAAAGTCTGAGGTCCTTAGACTGATGAAATATGTTTGCAGTGTGTACAAATAACCCACAAAGAACCATACCAAGAATATAGAAAGAATGTCTAAAACACAGTAAGAAAGACAGATAATCCAATCAAAAAGGAGAATTTCCAAATCACTAATAAACATATGAAAAGATGTTCTTCAAGGAAATGCCAATTAAAAACCACCGTTAAATACCATTGCCCACCCAACATAATAGCTAAAATGAAAAACAAAAACAGTATCAATATTGGCAAGGAGGTGGGGCAACTGGAACTTTCGGATCTTGCTGTGTGGAGTGTAAATTTGTACAACCACTGTAGAAAGCTGTTTGGCAGTATCTACTAAAGTTAACTGTAGTACTCATCACTTAGCAATTTTACTCATCATAACTCATCACTTAGCAATCTTATAATTCATCACTTAGCAATTTTATCAAAAAATAGAAACCATCTAAATGTCCTCTGTATTAGCCAGGGTTCTCTAGAGGGACAGAACTAATAGGATAGATATATATATGAAGAGGATTTTATTAAGGAGTATTGACTCACACAATCACAAGGTGAAGACCCACAATAGGCTGTCTGCAAACTGAGGAATAAAGAAGCCAGTCTGAGTCCCAAAACCACAAAAGTAGGGAAGCTGACAGTTGGCAGCCTTCAGTCTGTGGCCGAAGGCCCAAGAGCCCCTGGCAAATCACTGGTGTAAGTCCAAGAGTCCAAAAGCTGCAGAACTTGAAGTCTGATGTTCGAGAGCAGGAAGCATCCAGCACAGGAGAAACATGATGGCTGGAAGACTCAGTAAGTCTGCTTTATTCCAGCAGTGCTGGCAGTTTATTAGATTTGCCATTACTTTTAATGGCAAAAACCGCAATTACCTTTGCCCCATCCTAATATGGGCAATATCATGGTTGACTCCACAACATAACATTGAGTCAAAGAAGCAAGGCACCAAAAACACTGAGTGATTTTATTTATACAGTTATAGAGTTCAAAACAAGTTTTTAAAAATCTGTGATGCTAAGGTTATGTTTACCTTAGAGAAGGAGAGTGGGGATAATGACTGAGAGGGGGTAATGGGTATCTGCAGGGGTGTTGCTAATGTTCTATTTCTCTACCTGGTTAGTAGTTACGTGGGTGTATTCCCTTGATGGAAATACACGGAGCACATTTATGATTTATGTGCTTTTCTATATGAATGTTATCTTCCAACAAAAACTCTATTTAAAAGTTAAATTTGAAAACTGATAATGATCAACAAATATAATACACAAAGGGGGCTGAAAATTTCAGGTATGGACTGCCTTAAGGAGAGCACCAGAAAATACCAACCACCCAAGGAGCAAGATGCCTGGAACTGAGGAACTTATTGGGAGTGACTGCCAGGAACCAAGAGCAGGTAGAGCCAGGGAAGAACGCCGAGATACCAGACCAAGAAGAGATGAAGCCAGAAGGTCCCTAAAATACAGTGACTGAAATATGAAATCAGAAGTTGAAATGCACTTAAAAATGAAGGAAGTGGTACCCATGTGTTCCAGGATAGGTACATCCAAGACAAGCATTATAAAGCGATGAGATAATCTGAAATAGTGGCTTGTTTTGACCATTTGTCCTAGTCATTCTTCAGTTGTGCTGTGCAGTACTTCTTGGTTCCCAACCAACTCAGGTCACCTTGCAATCTTAGACTATAGAACTTAACTTCTATTCAAGAATCCCCAAAGGATTTCAGTGGAGGAGATGGAAGGGAGTTGTCACTATGAATATGCTAAATATTCAAAACCACCCTTTCTCTCTTCTGCTTGGTCTTTGAAAAACCAAGAATGTTTATAATACAATAATGAAATAAAAATAAAGTCATTCATCAAGAAGCCTGTATTTATTTTCTTCATGTCTGAAGGTTGTTAAATCCTAATTATCCTGAACTATTTTCATACTGCTGAGCAGCCACCACTTATGAAGTCAGTAAATAATATTCAATTTGCCTAGAGCTTTCAGATTTGCATGTTAATTATTGATTTCTTAATCACCAGGATGGGTGTTTGAGAGCTCTAGAGAACACTGACATTTTGGTAAATGTTACAGAACAATCATTTCTATAGACTGGAGTTTTTAAGAAAATATTTCGCAATCTTTTATTTTCAGATTCCCTCTTCACCTGCAGCTCTGATTCCTTTCCTGAGGCATCTGCTCAGGTTTCAGACTGCTGTTATTGATAGAATTGTGAGTTTGAATATGGAAAGGGGCAATGTCATCCTTTATGGCCTCAGCCTGGGCATCCCTTCTTCCAGTGTCATTCCTCTGGCAGAGGGAGAGGAGGATGCATAAGGAACACTGGCAACACAAACAGAGTAAAGGCAGAGAATGGAGAGACTAGTTTGGCTAGGCATTGGAGAACTGACCTGGCTGTAATGGTTGGTCTAGTTGAAATATCTCAGTTACCCAAAACACAGAGCTCAAAGGGACGCTAGCTGGGGAATAAGAAAATTTATAGGAGAAAGTTCTGATGGCAGGTGACACTTGAAGCCCAGGTAGGCAACAGCATCAAAATCATGGTCAATCTAGTCTTTCACAACAAGACTCCAGCCAGTCATGGGAGGACACAAGGAATGTGGTCTGTCCAATTCCCAGGGAAAAGAAATTGACAAGAACTGAACGTGTTATGAATTTAGCTGACTGTGCTAACGATCAGATCAGAGCCTTCGATCGAGTTAGGAGCCTAAGTATCTTCTAACCACGGTCCTTCCATGGATGGAGTCAGAGAAGCAACACACAGATATGAGCACCCCCTCCCCACCCACCCCACACACATACAGGCACACATGCCTTACCAAGGACTCATTCTCATGGAGCAGTTCATGGAGTGTTTCATGAGTGAGGGTCCTAGAACAAAGGCCAAGATGCCAAGTTCATCTGAGCCATGCTTAAGTCAGTCAGGAGGAGACCAGCTGAGGGCCAGGAGAAACTGGGCGTGGCCACACTGGAAGAAATGGACTGGAAGGAAAAGATACTGCAGTGATGTGAGAGGTTGGAGAACAAGCATGGATATGGAGTAGGGCAGCTTAAAAATAACTTTTGAAAACAGAACTGCCAAATCCTTTTACTTGCTGTTTGACATCATACTGCCCAGCTCATGAACAGAGGCTTGAAATGAAAGGCTCCCACTAGACAAGTATTAAGATGGCCAGGGTAGGAAATGCTATGGCTCAGGTGCTCCCCATCAAGCTATCACCCTGGAATAGTAGTTCTGCCACAACAGGTTATTAATGAACTCTATCCAGAGTGGGGCCAGTGTACTTCCTGCTATCAGAATTGGCTAAGAAATGCAGTGGGCCTGAGTCCACAGAAAGTAGCAGCTTGAAGGAGTTGGAAATTAGAGGATGAAAAGAATGAGGCTTTACAGAAGGCTAAGGCTACTATGGAATTCCAGGCTCTTAATTTATGCTGACCACCGCATTGATTCTACTTAGTGAATTGATCCAAAGAGGACATATGGACATATCTCAGCAAGAAATATAGCCAATAAAAGAGCATCTAAATATAAATGGCTTATATATCTTTCAGTACCCAAAAGTACCTTAATGTGGCTTTCAATAGATTGGTTGATCATTCTTCTGCCATACAAGATAAATGGATTTGGAAAACTGAGTTACAGCTAGTATATTTTGAATTACCTAGGTTGGTAAACATGAATCCATTACTTAAGCAACTTTACGCAAGATTTTCAAACTTGGGGAATCATGTCAGCAGTTATCCCAAGGTATTAAGAAATTCAAGAGAAAGCCAGATGTGTGGCCATGTGTCCATCTGCCATCCCCTTCAAATTCTGCTCCACCCTTTTCCTGAAACATTTCTGCTCCATACTGAGCTCTAAGCCTGGCATCCAAGTAGTACATCATAGCTTTAACATGGCTCCTGCAATACCCAGTTTTGACCCTCTTCTCAGCTGCTGCGCTAGATGATATTAATAGCTCCAATTCTTCACCCTCGCTGGATCCATCCCCTTTTATTGTGACTTTCCTGTTCCTCCTGATGCAAACATACCCAAAAATTGGGGCTTAGCCCTAGAGGATTCTTGGCTTCACTCAGGAAAGAATTCAAGAGAAAGCCAACAGTGAAATAAAGCATGTTTATTAGAGCAAAAGCGTATGGCAAAATGGCTGCTCCATAGACAGAGGAGGGCTATCCCATATGCAGAGCTGCCCAGAGTGGAATTTTTGGATTGCTGGCTGGCTATATTAATACCCAATCTAAATTATATGCTAATTAATGGGCAGATTATTCATGAACTTTCTGGAAAAGGGGTGGGGCATTTCCAGTATCATATAAGTTAATCTCTAGATGTTGCCATGCCAGCATTTGTAAACAGTGGTGGCAGGTATGTCTTACAGCATGCAACTGCAAATGAGCAGTGAGGGTTACTGGAGGTCACTTTCATCACTACCTTTGTCCTAGCTGGTTTCAGCCGATTTCTTTACTGCATCCTCCTTTGACCAGATCTTGTTTGGGTTCACGCACAGAAAACAAGTCCTGCTGATCTCCTACTTTGCTCCTACTAAAAAAAGCAAAGAATACGCCTGTGCAAAGACCTTATTCTGCCCCAGCTTGGGTTCATCCATGCGACTTGCTTTGGCAAAATGGACATGAATGGGCATGAGTGAACAAAAGTATGCAAAGCACTTTTTCTGTCTTAGCTAAGAGGCACCCTCTGGGTCTCTGATACTCTTTTAGCCAACTCCCACTCCAGTCTCAGGACCACAAGTAAGCTCAAGTGCTCTCCCATTCTTCTTGGGGCAGCAGGAAAGCCAGTAGGTTGTCTAAGGTCCTGTCTGCCCCAATATTCATACAGTGATTTTCTTTCCCTGATCCCATACCACACAGCAGGAGAAGTGCTACAGAGCTGCTACCTCCCAGGATTCCATCGATTGGCAATCCCCTGTATTTTCTGGAGGATACACATTCTGCAGCCAGTTTAGAGCTAACACTGGAGAGCCCCTTCTCAGTGACCCTCACCTGCATACGCTGTCTTCCTTCACTCTCACCTCTTTTGTCTCTTCAAATTCTCTTTTGGTAGAAATAGGGAGGAGAGAGAACTGGTAAGCTAACTATTCTACCATACCAGTTTCTCACATCAGGATAATTACTTTTGTCTGATTTTCTTTCCATTCCTGCCATTCCCTGAAGTGGTGAAGGTCAAGGTCTAATTTGAATAGTAGGAATTAGGAATGGCAACAGAACAAATGAGAGAACTGAGGCAGCAACAAGAGCTGAGCTGACAGCAATTACTACCCCACTGGATATCAAAGGAATAAGTGCCAAATTTTAGAAGGTTCAGGTAAATATACAAGTCACCTGAAGTATCAAGCCAAAAACAGGAGCTTGGAAGGAGTATTAAGTTATGGACACCAAAGTAGGAGAATGCCATTGGTAGAAACACCAAGCCATAGTGATGTCGAAAGAGCCAAGTTAGAGAAGATACCATAGAAAGATCCGTGCTGTGGCCAGGGTGCAGGATGCAGGGAAATGCAAATCAAGATGTGGGTCATTGTGCATGGGCCAGGGCATGGCATGGCTTGCTATTTTGACAAGCTTATGCCTCAACTGTGCTGTAACCACACAATCCCTGTCTTAACGTAGCCACGCTCAGGAACCACTGCCTAAAGACCCTGAGAAGTCTGGAGAGGATCTGCTTTTCTCTCCCAGATGGAATATGGACCAGTGCTCACTGCTTTTTTGAGTCCTGCCACACTCACATGTCCTACGGATGCTTTGGTCATATCATTATAGATACAAACATTGCTACCCCACTACCCTCACCTGCTGTAAGTCCCCTCCACGAGGTGACTTCAGTCTTTAACACAGCCTGATATTTCAGGGTTCAAATGATTCAAACCAAAACATTTGAGGTGTTCATGTATTGATTTGTCTTCCGTCAAGATGGTAAAAGATGGAAGCAAAGCCACATCTGATCTCATAAGGTCCAAAACATTGAAGGATAAAATATGATCCCCTGCCCCTTCCAAGTCATCCTTCTACAAGTAGTAGAGATTCCTCCTTCTTTTTCTGCTGTCTCTGGATTTGTCCTTATTCACTATTCCTAACTTGGACCTAATGACCACCCATCCCCATTCAGGCAAGGCCAGGTGCCCCTTTCCAACGCTCCATGATGCATCAGGCATTTTTCTCTTACTATATTTCCAATTATTTTAAAGCTCCCTGTTTATAAACCTCATTGAATTGAGAACTCCTACAAAAAGGAATTAGTTCTTTAATTCCTTCTGTATCTCATTCATGTCTGTATTCCCATGATCAACCTAGCACAGGACCTGGTATGGATTGTACATCAGTAAACACATAACGATAGCCAAAGCACACTGGAAAGGAAAGGAAACATCTCTAATTCCAGTCCAAAAATCTAGACCATGACTTTGGTGACCTCCCTGGGCTATACAATCTATAGTCCCCTGTTAGAATCCTGGTGGTTTCTGGCCAGGCGCGGTGGCTCACGCCTGTAATCCCAGCACTTTGGGAGGCCGAGGCGGGCAGGTCACAAGGTCAGGAGATCGAGACCATCCTGGCTAGCACAGTGGAACCCGTCCCAGCTACTCGGGAGGCTGAGGCAGGAGAATGGCATGAACCCAGGAGGCGGAGCTTGCAGTGAGCCAAGATCGCACCACTGCACTCCAGCCTGGGTGACAGAGTGAGACTCCGTCTCAAAACAAACGAAAAAAAGAATCCTGGTGGTTTCCTGCTGTTGGCCTTTACCCATTACTCTGACCATGAACTAAACCATCTTTATACTCAAGTGGTTCTAATATTGACCTGGACTTGTCTCTACTCAGCCTGGAGTCACCAAACCTAGAGGAAGTATGTAAAGAAGAGGTAAAGGGAAGTATTTGAGTAAATACAGCCTGAACACCAATCAGAGATAGGCTTTGGAAGAAAAGACGTCCTCCCTCTAAAAATGATGTGCAAGCAGTCTGTGCTGCCTCAGCGGTGAGGCAAGTGCGAGCTGCTGTCTGAGTCAGGGACAATCATTATTTCTGCTGTCTGGACCACTGGAGACAGGATCCATGACCCCAGTGCCTCTTTTCCGTCTTTGACATCTATTATTCCATGAATTTTTGATGTTTCAATCTGCGTACTTTGGGGGCAATAGTGGTGATTACAAAAGAGTACTTCCCGTTCTCTCCTGGGCATGTGAGAAAGGGCTGGTTTCCGAGCATGTCTGCAGCAGGGAGAAGCCAGGGAGGCATTATGCTAGTTGTAGCAGTTCTTACATACACCACTTTTGAAAGGCAGGCAAAATCTTTTCAAGATAGAAAGCGGTGGGTTTGCCTCTTTCCCATTTCAGCAATTATCCTTAGGCTGCTCTGTTTCATACATTTATGGAGTGGTTATTTGGGATTAAAGGAGCAATTGAATCTATATCAAAAATAAGTTCGAGATTCCTCGCCTCCCCGACAAATGTGTTATTACTGCCTTTGCAAAGGGGCATTTACCTGTCTGTCAGAAAGATACTTTGTTTTCATTTTGTGTGAAATCCTCTTTTACTTCCAAAGACACATCTGTGGAATAAAATGAATGCTTCTGACAGACACTTCCCAAGAGAAAGCACGAGACTTTGCCCTGCCCATGGTGGGCCCTGGCCTTGAAGCAGCACCGTTTTGCTGATGAAATGCAGTCATGGACCTGTGTGCTCTAAAAATAGAACCCCATGGAGTTGCTTTATTTCCAAGGTCTGCTGCTGCTTCCCTCATTCATATGCTATTTAAGAGATTCCAATTTTCCTGAACATTCTCCCATTTTTTCCATAAATAAGTACTTTGCATCTAAAGGTGGACAGGGAGCAGACTAGCTCTGTGGCTATACAGTCCCTACCTAGTTAAGACCCTGGGACCTGGGTTCCCTCCTGTTTCTTAAATGCATTCAGATTCGGCAGTCCATCACCCTCTAAGGTGAGTCATGTCATTTCCAGGCTATCATTTCTTACACTTAATGAAAACCTTGACAGTGTGTTGTCAAGAGCCAGCTCTAATATTAGGGGAAATACCTGTCTAGAGCTTTAGATTTGCAGAACACTTCCCCGTTCACTACCTCTGTTGAGTCTTTCAATAATCCTAAGAGGCAGGTGTTTTCCCACTTAATAGATGAGAAAACAAAGCCTCGGTGAGAGTCTTGCCAAAATCAAAGAGCTCTATGGATGGCCTGACCCAGCTTTCCTAAGATCTCTCAGTTTCTTCTACTGGCAAATAAAAGCCATCACCAATTAAACCAAAAGTTCTGGACCTGGGTGTACGTTGGACATGCCCACAGCTTCCTAGGGGACTGTACTGTGCAGGCAGGATGGAGAACAGCTGTACTCCCAAGACAGCCCTCCGCCAGAGTCCAGACTTTTGTCCCACAATGACAATGGCAATAAGGGCTTTTCACTAGTAAGACGCCAAGGCAGATGGGTGTGCTTGGGGGAGGAAGTATCTAATCTGCATATGCACCTCACTCTGAGAAGTCAGGCTAGTCAGGGGCCCAGTTCCTTAGATATCTTATGCTCTCAGGGAGAAGTGGTGAAGGTGTTTTGGAGAAAGGTGGGCAGGCCATAGCCACAGATTTAAACCTATCTTTACATGTTATACATTTACTTTATTTTATAGTTTTCAACCGCTACACCATCCACATTTTGGGCCAGATAATTCCTTATTGTGAGGCCATCCTGTGTATTATGGGATGTTTAGCAGCATCTCCAGCTTCAATCCACTAAATGTCAGTAGCAACCCCCCCCCCGGCCCCCCCCCCCCCCCACACTACCAGTTGTGACAGCCAAAACTGTCTCCAGACATTTCCAAATGTCTCCAGAGGACAAAATGATCCACCTGCAGTTGAGAACTATGGCTTTATTTTATTGCATTTAATGTGTATTTATCTGTACCTCCCCCACTACCTGTCAGCTCCTTAAAGGCAAGGCCATGTTGTACTCGCCTCTATAATCCCCAAGCCTAGGGGCACACTGTAGAAACCTTTCAACTCACAATGGCCACTTAAATTGACCTGGTGTTCTCAGGAGGTTTGTCTTTCATAGCCGTGGTCCTCTTGTACCTATTACACAAACCAACAGCAAAGAAGACCAGTCTTCCAAGAAATAAGAATGAAAGAGATGTTCAAGCAGAGACTAGGGACCAGATGAGAGCACGTCTGGGTTCATGATGGTTTTTCAGAGACTGTCTGGTGATTTTTTCCAGTCCCTTCCTGAGGTTTGGCTCCATTCCTGTCCTTGGATTCTATGAAACACCCCTGCATCCTTATGACAAACTCCCTTATATGTAAAACAGTTTTGATTATATTTTGATAGGTACAATTAAAGAACCTGCACCAATGCATGGGACCTGGCACTGGGTAGATATTCAATAAATTTTGCTTAATTAATTGATTAATTAATGAGCCACCAGCCACAAACAAGAGGTTGTGAGAGCAGCAGGGCTCTGTGGATGCAGCAGCAGCAGCAGCAGCACTGCCAGTCACCTGGAGTCCACTGTGAACAAGAAGCAGCTCCTCCTCCTAGACAGTGACTAGCCCTGCCTAGAGACAGAGGCAGATTCAGCCACTGGGAGAGAAGGAACTGGGTACTAGAGTGGGATGTGCAGCCATAAAACAAGAGGCGGTGTTGACAAGAATCCAGTCCTCTGGGATTCTTATGAGTCTTTCCAAGCCAGGTCCAGCCTAGGGTAATCAGGCTCCGACCGGCCTGCAGAGAATCTGATTAGTCCCTCAGCCACAGCTGGTGCTCCTAAAAGCATCTCAAAGGAACTCCCATTTCTCACCCAGCTACAGCATCATGCAATTTTTTGGGAAGTGGGGGCTAAGAGCTTGTGTGAGGGGACAAAGGCCAGCATGACAGCACGGCAGATAAAGCGAGGTGGGAGCTGGCAGGAGCAAATCCCCTCGCTTCCTGGCACCCCTGTTCTGGCTCCCTGAGAGCCTCCCAGGATGAGCTGGATGCTTGCAGATGTGAGTCTGCAGCAGACTGGGCTTTGAGGGAAACTCTCCAGATTCTCCCCTGGGCACACCAGGATGGTGTTCAGTTCTAAAAGGCAAAGGGCTCATAGTGAGGGGACCAAGCTGAGATCCCTGTGGGGTGTCCTGGGTGAGGAGGTACCACCCGTGTGCAGCCAAGCAGAGAGGCGCAGAGGGTCCTTGGGCTTCGAAGAGATAAGTAGATGAGTCTGGATGAATTCCAGTTGTAACTAGGAGGCCTCTGTATCGTTAAGTAACAGCAGCAACTGACGTGGCATCAAACAAGTGAAATCAAAACCACAATGGCCAAGAGTGGCACCAACATACAAAAGCTACAGAAAGCAATGAACTTGTGCATTCACAGAGCAGAGAGCTCTGTGTGAACAGCTTGTAGCATCAGGTAAATAACCAACAACTCAGAGCTTCAAGCAAGGGATTTCTCTGCCTGGGTAGTTTCTCTTGGATGATATCTCCTGTAAAACCTCCAAGGTATTGGCAGAGCCTATTACTGGGTCTAATCTTGCCAGTCTATTGTACCATCTAGGGCTGTCTGGGGAAGCCATGATGCAAACATAACCGAAAAAGCATATGTAATCCTCTCTGTCAGCCTTGTCTCTACACACCAGAGGGTCGGCAGGGTTGGGGTTGCAGAGCAGAGAACAGATGGGTAAAAGAACTTGGACACGGTTAGTGCTGGAGACCACTGAGACACAGGGTATAGAGGCAGATGCTACCATTGCTGCATATTGGAGAGATCCATTTTGGTTGTGAAAGCAACCACTGGTGTCTTAAAAGAGTAAGCTGTAAGGAAGTGCATGGTCAGGAAGAAAATGCCTCCTTGGTAAGGACTCTCATTCAGACCCAAGATGGTGGACAGCCAGGGCATTAAGTCATCACCCACAGCCCCACTGAACACTAAACAGAAGGCTCCCTCTGCAAATCTGTCAATTCCTCCACTGCTCTGCCTTGCAGGGACACCACCACAAGAGCCAGCCCCTACTTCCCGGGGATCCCAGCTCTTCCAAATGCTTTCCGAGTTCTACTGCGCCTGGCTCGATCCTCAGGTGGTACTCCGGAGGGCAGCAGCAACAGGCACAAGCTCTGTACAAGTGTGCTGCAGGAACAATCCAGTGAGGAATGCCAGTCCTGACAGTGAGGGACAAGCCATGGGGGTCTCTGTCCCCTTCTCCAGCGGCCACAGAGGAGACTACTCCAATCCAAAGGCCAACAATGCAATTTTGAAAAAAGAATTTCTAGTGTGATAAGTGATGTATAAAATGTAGCATCTGCAGTCCCAGCATTGAAGGCTAGAGAATCAACTGTTAAACCATGCCTGGCACAGCAAGTCTCTGCTTTCCAAAAGAACTATGTCCCCAAATCTTTATTCATCAAATAATACATCCTACAATATTAAGTTTGAGACAGACATTGTGAGAGATGCAAGGAAACTGAGGGTTAAAAGGTAGAGATGGTCTTTGATGTCACAAAGCTTACCTTCCTAAGAGGGGAGGAGGGGAAAACATTCACCTATGGGTACATCAGAACACATTGTTCCACTAATATGTGACTGAATCTGGGACACAGATGCTCACCATCATTACACAGGGGGCTCACAATCCCCTCCATGACTTTGACTAATAAAATGGAACCTGAGCACCATGCCTTTCTATAAAGAGGGCTATAGCAGGCCCGTGTTTGAAGAATCAAGGGCTCCTGGTAAAAACATGAAGACCCTCCATCCCCTACCAAGGATCTATCTTTCCAATACAGCGTCCTATGAACCCTCCCGGGGAGAAAAGATGAGTCTCCCATCCGGATCCACAAGGAAGCTGGTCCTTTCATGAGACCAACCACAACAAGGCCATACGTCACATTGGCTCAAAGCAATGACCTTCAGAGTCAGACAGCTTGATTCCACTACTTACTGTGTGCCTCAGTTTCCCTTTGTACAAAATGAGGATAATAATCCCAATCTCCCTGAGTTTCTGAGTACATTGAAAGAAGTCCTGTATTTAAAGCACTTGCCCCCAGCCTGGCATAAGAGACTCTCATTAAATTTCAGAGCCTTGCCCTCCTTCTCTGGGCTGAGTTTTCTTCTCCCGCCGCCAACCCAGTACCCGTATATTCTTCTAGAGCACCTGCACAGCGTTTCTTCTCCTACTAGGCTAGTACTTGTCTCATCCAAACTCCCATTTCCCAGCTGCTGTCCTCCAGTAACAATCAGGACCTGAAGTACCCTTCAGATCACTGGTCTGTGAGTCCCCGTCACTCACCTGCGGACCCCATATGTAAGGAGGAATCACCTGAGGGAGAAGTCATGTGGTGTGGAACTCTGATAAGAAAATATTTGAGACAAGGAGATATTCAAGGGCCACCCCAACCACCACCGCCTCCCTCTCCACCCCCAGGTGACCTCCAGGACAGTCACCTATTCTATAAGCACATCAGGACAGCTTTTTTTGCAATTAGGCAACAATTCAAATTTTTTCTGCTCGCAGGGCAAAGTGATAAATTTTCCTTGAATTCCCCCCAACACCCTCACTTCCCTTCCTCCTTCTTCCAAGACAGCACTTGAGGGTGGATGAGTTGCTATTTGTACAGTAGTGCCTCTGGTTTTATTGCAAATTAAACATGCACACATTATAAACAAACAATAGATGTCTCTAGAGAAAATATACAGCTTTCAGGCCCCTCATAAATTCTTCAAGAAGAGCTCTTTGCAGTTTATAGCCTTAATACATTTTGAGTGAGTTACAGCCTTGTGTGTCAAGAAGGAAGCTTCTCACTTAGGGGGCTTCATAGCACAACTCTCCACTCTCCCGTTTTTCTGCAAACTCACTCGGGGTTGGAGTTTGATAATGATGTAGTCTCACACTGACCCACCCTCTCCTTTCCCCCATGCTTTTTGATTTTTTATAACATTCTCTTTTTCTAACAAGCTCAGAACTTCCCACTGCTCAATCACGGAATTCTGGAACAAGGGAGATTGTACCCATCCACTCACACTTTCTTCCTTAAAGTTTGATATAAAGAGACTAAGGCCTAGAGATGTTAAGTGGGAAACCCAAATCATTTCCTACTCTGGCACACTTCCTGCTGTCACACACTCAATGCTCAACACATCACAGAGCACTTCTGTGCCCAGATGTGTGGGATCTGTTCCACACACACTAATTCTCCAGCAGACACTGGGCATCCCGTAACTCAATTAAATTCTGATGCCATCTACCTGGAGATCACATCAGATCCCATCCCACAGGTTAAGGGCTCGGTCCCACAAGACTGCTATCCACATCAGAGGCCAGTCACAAGTCCCAGGTTTTGACCTCTACTTCTGATCCACCAGCTATAAACTGTGGGTTCCTATGACCCCCCTCCTCTGGTTTGATTAATTTGCTAAAACAGCTTACAGAACTCAAGGAAGTCTTAGATATGTTTACCACTTGTTATATTAATAAAGTATATGATAAAGGAGGTAGATGAACAGACAGATGAAGAGATGCAGAAAGCAAGGTATGTGGGAAGACCCCGGAGTTTCCATGCCCTCTCTGGGCACCACCTTCCAGAACCTCCACATATTGTGATCTAGCAGCTCTCTGAACCCTGTGCTTTAGGGATTTTTATGGAGGCTTCATTGGATAGGCTTGACTGATTATCAGCTCAGTCTCCAGCCCTTCTCCCCTTTTCTAAGGATAGTGGGATAGGGGGCTGAAAGTTTTCCAAGCTTCTAATCATATCTTGATCTTTCTGGTGAGCAGCCCCCATCCAGAAGCCCACTGACAGTCACCTCATTAGAACAAAAGACACTCCTTTTGCCCAGGACATTCTAAGAGATTAGGAACTCTATGTCAAGATCCAGGGTCAAAGACCAAGTATTAGAACAAAAGATTTCCTTGGCACCCCATCAGTTAGGAAATTACAAGAATTGTAGGAGCTCTATGCCAGGAACCAGGAGCAGAGACCAAACATATATTTATTATATCACAATATCACATTGAGAAACTTACCAGAGTAAGTGCCACAAGAACACAGGTCTTCTAACCTCCAGCTCAGGGTTCTTCCTAACACACTTTGGGCCCAAGGAACCTGACTTAAATTAAAGGACTCCTATGGGCTTGGAATACTCCAAACTCTGGGTAATTATGTGCTGTAAAGGGCAGGACATCAGAGAAAGAAGCTAAAGGGTAGTCGAAGTCCAAAACCAAAATCAGGTGCCAAATGGAAGGAGCAGAATGGGGCCAGTGTGTGATCAGATTCTCATTCCTGAGAAAGGACAGAGGAGACACACAAGCATGCAGGACAGGTCATAGTGGGGAGGTGGGCCAGAAGCACGGGGATTTCCAGGACTGAATCTGGGAACAAGTTTGCCTTAGAACACTCCTCTTTTCCATGGGGCAGGTTTAGTGAATGCCCCTTTAAAAGATCTGCCTCATACTGACTCTTTGTTCTATATATTAGGGCAAGTCAACAGGGTAACATTGAGCAGGTCCTGGGCTCTACTGGGTAATTGGCATGTCAGGAGACACTGGGAGAATATCCCACCCCACATAGCAAATGTCATCTCGGGGTCTCCTTGCAGGCTCCCTGTGGCCCTGGCAGGAGCTGTCTCGAACAGAAGTATGTGCTTGAATTTTAGCTCCTGCCCTGCCATATTCAGATGAAAAACTGAGGCTCAGAGAGGCTGGCTTCCAGAAATGACATGGGTGGTAACCAGAAGACACTTTATTTAACTCTGGCCTTCACTATCCCACTTCGGTGCTCCTGCCACCCCATCAAGCTCTCCCCTAAGCTACCTCCTGCTTTTCTAAACATAAGTATTATAGGTGATGATGTTTTGATTTGTTTTTTTAAATACTTGAGATAGGGTCTCGCTATGTTGCCCAGGCTGGTCTTGAACTCCTGGGCTCAAGCAGTCTTCCCACCTCAGCCTCCCAAAGTACCAGGATTACAGGTGTGAACCACCACGCCCAGCTAGCTATGATTTTGTTTAAATACTTTCAAAATTCTTGTGTTTTTTCATTTTTTGTATTTTATTGATATAGTTGTACATGTTTGGGGGTACATGTGATATTTTGATACATGTATATAATGTGTAATGGTCAAGGTGATTATGTTTTTTTAATTAATTACACTTTCTTTCTTTTTTTTTTTTTGCAAATGCTGTAGATGTCATGATACCCCCTGAGATATTTTCGAAACTCAAAGATCTCAAATCTGGAGTTGGGAATCAGAGTTAATTCAGATGGTTTGGCCCTTGAAGCTTGGCTAAATCTTTTCTAGGAAAAAAAACACATAATAGAAAATCTGTTTTTATTTTTAATTAGTGTAAAAATTTCCAGATGATGGACTATATATGCAATGAACTCTAATCCACTGAAATAAGTTCATCCTTTTTTGATCAAATTTTCACAGCTGGAACATAAATGACTTGCTACCAGGAGAGGAGGAATTCACCCTCCTTGCTTGAAAGGCAGGTGAGGAGGAGCTGTGGGTTCAGTCTGTGATGATCCAGCTGCCAATCCTCACTGCTTCTCCAAATGTGAGAGAACCCAACAAGCACCTGCCTCCACGGGGTATAGTCACTGCCCAGGAGAGATGACTAGCTGGTCTGTTTTCCTGCAAGCCCAGGAAAATGCGATACTCCTGAAATGGCCATGAGCCCTTTGGAGATGAGGACCTCTCATCCCTAGGAAAGAAGAGGAGGAGGATCTTTTCCCATAGATCCTCATATTCTCCCTCTCTAAGCTTCACACTCAGAGCCTGGGGAGGAGTAAGAGAAAGCGGTGGTGGTGAAGAGCAGCCTGTCAAGATGTGGGAGTGATGTTTCCATGCATGGTGATGGCAGGGCAAAGTCCCTAAGCCTGCCCCCACTCCTCATGGGATTATTTCTTGTGGAAAAAGGCAGTACCACGAAGATAATCTCCTTTTTCTCTCCTTGTCCCCTTCCTGGATATCCTCATTTAACTCTAGAAAGCCAAGAGTATCTTTCTTTTAAAAAAAGATCTGAAATACTGAAAAAAAGCAAGAAAGAAAAGATTCTAAATGTCCATCAAGAGAGGAAGAGTCAAGAAGATCATGTTGCATTCATTAGCTATGATAATATGTAGCAGTTATAAGTGACATTTATCATGTTTCTAAAATGGAGAAGTGCAGTCTGCGAGGTCTTCCCTAGAGAATTATCACAATCCTACGAAAACTCTGTATGAGGAAAATGCTTCATAGAAATGTAACTGAATATTAACCACAGATTGTCTGAAAAGTAAGACTATTGGTGATAATTTTTCTCTACTTTCTATGTTACTTGAGTTTTCAATTTTTTAATAATTCATATAAATTCCCCAAACAGAAAAAGTAAACTTTTTAAAAAAAATATTCTTCTCCAAACAGTGACAACTTTTAGAGAAAATAGTGTAGGGTAGCAGTGGTTGAGACTCAGGCTCAAATAGACTTGAGTTTGAATCCCAGCTTTGCTGTCTTACCAGCAGTGCAACAGGGTTAATTGTTTTATACCTCTGTGCCTCCATTTCTTCTTTTGTACAGTGTGAGTAATAATATCTACTTGACATTGTCATTGTGAGGATTCAGTGGGATAAAGTATAAAAAGTACTTTTCCTGGCTGGGCACAATGGCTCATGCCTGTAATCCCAGCACTTTGGGAGTCCAAGGCGGGCGGATCACGAGGTCAGGAGATCGAGACCATCCTGGCTAAAATGGTGAAACCCCATCTCTACTAAAAATACAAAAAACTAGCCAGGTGTGGTGGTGGGCACCTGTAGTCCCAGCTACTTGAGAGGCTGAGGCAGGAGAATGGCATGAACCCAGGAGGTGGAGTTTGCAGTGAGCCAGGATTGCACCACTGCACTCCAGCCTGGGCGAGAGTGAGACTCCGTCTCAAAAAAAAAAAAAAAAAAAGTACTTTTCCCAACACCTGGTACATAGAGGGTGCTTCATCAGTGTTAACTATTTTACTCTTGTCATTGCTGCTATTGTTGCTAAGTCACCTGAAGTCCACTGCATGAGCTGATGGTTAGGACTGCATACACATAGATTAACAACTTAAATGTAAGACTTAAAACTGTAAACTACTAGAAGAAAATATAGGGGGAGAAATCTTCACATTGGTCTTGGCAAAGATTTTTTGGGTATCACTCCCAAAGTACAAACAGAAAAAGCAAAAATGGGCAATGGGATTGCCTTGAAAAAAAATCAACAAGTGAAGAGAAAACCTACGGAATAGAAAAAAAAAGTTTGCAAACCATATGTCTCATAAGAAGCTAAATCCAAAACATATATAAGGAACTCGTACAACTCAACAGCTATAAAACAAATAACCTAATTTTATGTATTTATTTACACATTTATTTTGGGACAGGGTCTTACTCTGTCACCCAGGCTGGAGTGCTGTGGTGTGATCACAGCACACTGCAGCCTCAACCTCCAAGCTCAAGCAATCCTCTTGTTTCAGCCTCCCAAGTAGCTGGGACTACAAGAGTAAGCCGCCAAGCCCAGCTAAATTTTTATTTTTTATTTTTTGTAGAGACAGAGTCTCACTATGTTGCCCAGGCAGGTCTCTTACCCCTGGGCTCAAGCTATCAATTCTGCCTTGGCCTCCCAAAGTGCTGGGATTACAGGTGTGAGCCTCCATGCCTGACTGCCTGATTTTAAAACAGGCGAAAGACCTGAATAGACATTTATCAAAAGATGATATACAAAAGGCCAACAGGTATATGAAATGGTGCTCAACATTACTGACCATCAGTACAACATTACTGACCATTAATACCACAATGGGATATCACCTCATACCAGTAAGAATGGCTTTTACCAAAAAGAGAAAAGATAACAAACATTGGCAAGGATATGGAGAAAAGGAAACCCTTGTGTACTATTGATGGGAATGTAAATTAGTACAGCCAGTATGGAAAAAAGTAAGATCCCTAAAAAACTAAAAATAGAACTACCAAGTGATTCAGCAATCCCACTTCTGGGTATATACCCAAAGGAAGAGAAATCAGTATGTTGAAGAGATAACTGTATATCCACTTTCACTGTGGTATTATTCACAATAGCTAAAACATGGAATCAACCTACATGTCCACAAATGGATGAATGGATCAAGAAAATGTGGTATGTATACACAATGGAACACTACTCAGCCTTAAAAAAGAAGGAAATTCTGTCATTTATGGCAATATGGATTAACCTAGAGGACATGATGTTAAGTAAAATAAGCCAGGCACAGAAATACAAATACCACATGATCTCACTTATATGTGAAATCTAAAAAAGTCAAATTCAGAGAAGCAGAGAGTAGGATGATAATTACCACTGACTGGAGGGTGGGGGTTTGGGGAGATGCTGGTCAAAAAGTACAAGTTTCAGTTAAATAGGAGGAATAAGTTTTAGAGATCTGTTGTACAGCATGGTGACTATAGTTAATTATTGTTACTTGAAAATTGCTAGGAGAGTAGATTTTAAATATTCTCATTACAGGCTGGGCGCGGTGGCTCACGCCTGTAATCCCAGCACTTTGGGAGGCCGGGATGGGCGGATCACGAGATCAGGAGATTGAGACCATCCTGGCTAACACGGTGAAACCCCGTCTCTACTAAAAAAAAATACAAAAAAATTAGCTGGGCGTAGTGGCGGGCGCCTGTAGTCCCAGCTACTTGGGAGGCTGAGGCAGGAGAATGGCATGAACCTGGGAGGCGAAGCTTGCAGTGAGCCGAGATCGCGCCACCGCACTCCAGCCTGGGCAACAGAGCGAGACTCCGTCTCAAAAAAAAAAAAAAAAGAAAAAAATTCTCATTACACAAATGATAAGGATGTCAGGTGATGGATATGGTAATTAGCTTGATTTAGTCATTTCATAATAGATACCTATATCGAAATAGCATGTTGTATACCACAAACATACATACTTTTTATTTGTCAATTTTAAAAAGTTGTTTACGTAGATGGAATCAAACAGTCAAAAACAAAAACACAAGAATACATAGAGAACAGTCAAGGTCCTGCCTCTGGATGGGCTGGTCCCTAAGGATACTAAATGAAGATGGCAGTGCTGGAGGGAGTCTTGAGCTTTTCAGTTGCTGAAAAGCTACCGGCTGGTCTGCAGTGAAAGAAGTTCCTATGGAAAAGACCAGAAGAGTCACTGCAGCTGAATGAGCCACCATTTGGCTTCACTGTGAGATTTCCTGGCTCTAGACCTTCCCGAGACAGATCTACACTTTCTTGGGGGCTCACTGTGTATAAACTTTCCTGAGGAGAAAGACTCTAATTGGTTTCCAGACTCATATGTATTCTTTTGGTTGGAACCTAAATTCTTACATTACAAGGAATGTTTCTACTACCAAAAGCATTTATTAATACATGAGAGAGACTGAACAAGGTAACAATAGAATTCCAAATAGCAATCAAGTTTCTCTGAAAAATATGACTATTTTATGTCCAAGAAGTTCTGTTAGCTCCTTGGCATTGATGTGATTTGGAAAATATCACTAATTTTTCTGAAGTGACAGATTTCCTTAGCCAAATGAATGGATTCCTTTTATCCAGGTCCTTAGAATCCTATCTCAGCAGCTTCCAGTCCACCCCTCTGGCCTGAAAATTGTATTGTTCATTACAGACAGTCTTGGACTATCAGTTGCAGAGAAAATACTCCATACAGAAGCCCCTTACTGCTGCTTACAGACCTTAAATATGAAACTGGTATCCAGAGTGAAAATGAAATCAGAGGACTTCTACCAGTAAAGCACCTTAGCAATGCCTGCGGAGTCCTCTGGGACTGAAAGTTACTGTTTGCAAGCTATGTTGATGATATACTTTTGGTTTAAAATAACCTTGAGTCCACAGAGCCCAGTGTTTGCTGCCATTTTTTAAGCTTGATGGTGAAAGGATCTGTTCAAATTAGCATGCCTTCCTTCAGAGGTGTCCAGGACACTTTGTGTCTATGTCAACCAGTGGCATCTCTTACACATCATTAGCTTGGTCAATCCCTGTAGAGAAACTGAGGGATCTCAGTACAAAGAACAAGAACTGGATATATTAACTCCTTATTTTGTGTTACCATGTGGTAGCCTTTCCTAATACGTACTCCCCATCACTTTCAGCCATTCCCAGTGCTGATGGAATAAATGTTTTTGAAGAGTAGAATCAGTTTTATGGAGTGCATGTTTTAATGAATACAGTAATGTGTTTACCTCCCAATTTATCTTCTACATTTTGGCCATAAAATTTAACTGTATCTGAAGGATAATTTAATAGTTCTGTAAAGAAAGGCAGCTTATAGCATGAAAAGCTTATAGCTTTTCCAAGTAAGAGGAAAAATTTAAGCTGGAGGTGGTTTTAAAAATCTTTCTAATATCCCTTACAAGAAATACCATCCTATCCATGCCCAGGGTCTTTGAGATTTGTAGATGGGAAATACTCCTAGTATTGGATGATTCCATTTCCACAAGGACTGGAACGTGTCAGAAGCACAATGAATGCCCTTTTTTTTTCTTAACTTTCTTTCCAACTTTATCATTATCATTGTCATCACTGTTAGGTTACGCACTGGTTTTGCCTAAAGCAACAAACCATCAAAAATTCACAGCCTTCAAGGCCGTCCCTAAGTTATCGGCACACATAGAATAAATCTTATATTAACATTATTGCATATTTCTATCAGACTATGACTATCCAGTGATCTGACCAACTCCCTCCACCTTTGTAAGCAGAAAAGCTCCATCGATTTCCCCCAGACAAATGGAAATATTACTTGGAGAATTTCAACCCCAGTGTTGCTTCTGCCTGAACTAACAAGAAGATTTCATCCTACATTGCATTCAGTCTTGCCTCCAGCTGTGAGAAATTCTGCCACGCTGGAATACGGACTTAGATGTGATACACAGTGGGCCATGAGTGATGTGCACCAGCCAGCAGAGGGACATTTTTCTAGGCAATGCTGTGGACTCCTAGAAGTAGGAACTGAGGCATACTTGGCTCTCTGTCCCCTAGCACATAACAGAAGATCCATGAATGCTTATTGAATTTCAACTAGCTCAGCTGAAGAGGCTGGTTCCAGCAAAGACAACTGGATGGCTCAAGACACAAAGTCTGACAGGTACAGTTTGTTCTGCACTGATTTAGGCAAGGCAAGGCTACTGGTAGGGTGCAGTGGGTGGGAGACAGAAGACAGGTGATGATGGAGTACTGAAAAGGGAAGAGCTCAGGTATTTGGAGAGATGTATATACATACAGGCAGGTGATGCCAATTCAAGTGATGCATTCATTCTTAGCAGGACCTCAACCAGTAACTTGAGAGGACTGAGTTCAGGTAGTAGATTTCAGCACTTCCCCACCACCATCCCAGCATGGAAGAAAGAAACTGACCTGAGTGTAAGTCCCAACCACAGAGATAGAGTTCAAGTTAGAACCCATTCATAGAGAGAGAAAGTATAATGCAAGACATAATCAGCAGGCCACCACAGGGCAGAGATGGTAGCAAATGCCCAGTTTGGCAAAGTCTCATCCTGAGTCAGGAAGTCCCAGGACTGTGGGGCACTCAAATAGTCAGAGTTCATTCTTGTCATTAGAACATCAAGTCTGGGAGTGTGACTTCACTCCAGGCTGTCCAGGTTATGGGCACCAGGCTGCTGTTGTAAGCTATGTCCTGATCAGGAATGGCTGGAGGCTTTATGAGGTCCCAAATCTGCAGATAAGAGGAGCTGAGTGAGGCCAAAACAGGTAGCAAAGAGCCTACAGATTTTGCCCAGCCTGTTTCTACAGAAGGTTCAGAAACACAGTCGTTCAGGCTCCAATTGAACCAAGACAGTGTAGTCTGACAGAATAATTATTTAAAGATGATCTTAGCCTAAATTCGTTTCTTTGGTATGATTTGAAGGAAAGTAGCAGGTTATACAGTGTCTTTTTCTAGGCAGCAAATCCAAGTTCTTGGCTCCATAACTGTCTGGCAGAAGGTTTGGGAAGGTTGGTGAGTAAGCTAGATGTGTCTTGTTTTGGAGAATTTTGCCCAGTGTCAGCTCTACTCCCTTGATGTAACCAGGCAACTGGGTGATTTTATCAAGAATGAAAAAGCAGGAAAGGTGCCCAAGTTCCATAAATCAGTGCTCTGGGAAAAGGTACACTGGGGGCTTCTGGAAGATGGTGAAGACAAAATAAAGGAAAGAAACCACTCACAATGACCATGGCACAGGGAGTAAGAGAAAGAGATGACAGAAGTCTGATGGGAATAGGAAAAGAGTCTCATTTCCTCAAGATCCATGGTGTCCAGAGATTAAGAATGTTCCTCCTAAGGCCAACTGAAGCCTAGAAAAGGACACAAAGAAGCTCTTCCCTTCCTTCTCCTCACCATCATTCAACCCTGAGTTCTTAAAAATTATACTCTATACCCATTGAATTAGTTAGAGTTTAATCAGAAAAAGAGACCAGACCCCCTCCAGGTTTTCCAAACAGGAAAGATTTTAATATAAGGAATTACACACTTATACAACCATAACCATTGGAAAGACTTGGGTAGCAAAGATTAGGGCCAGAGGTGCTGCAAACTTCAGATATTGCAGGAAAGCTACAATCTCAGCTACCTGTAGCATTGAAGCAGATGATTCATAGGAACTAACCCGACAGCTCTGCAAGCCTCTCCTTTCTCCCGCTTCCCATCTGCCCACAATTGCTGTCAGAGAATAATGGCTTCTGCTTCAACTTTCACAAGAGTTTACAGAATCTAACAGGGAACCATCCAGTAAAGGAATTCTGGGTAATGTAATTGCAGATTTCTCTATAATGATGATGTAATGATGAAGATGATGTAGAAGGAGGTAGAGAAAATGCTGAGTCAACAGCAAACAATCTGGCACCCATTGAGAATGGAGGGTTCGTGATTTCTTTTATCCTTAATGTGTGATTTTTAGATTTGAAGTTTGTTATTGATTCTGTATTGAGTATGTCTCTTTTCACAGGCTTATCCTGAGTGTTTACAAAATGGCAAGAGATTGCTAGCTTATTTATTCATGCATTCTCTGAATACTTGCTGAGCTCTTTTTATGTGCCAGGTGCTGTTCTAGGTGCTGGGGACATATTGGTGAATAAAACAGACAAGATCCCTGCCATCATAGGCTTACATTCTAACCAGAATGTAAGACAGTAATAAAGAGGAAAATGAACAGGGTAATTTCTTTTTTTAACAGCTTTAGTAAGGTAAGTTTCACATATCATAAAATTCACTCATTTTCAGTGTACAATTCAATGACTTCTAGTAAATTTACTGAGTGGTACAACAATCACTATAGATAAGTTTTAGAACATTTTCATCCCCCTGGTAAAATCCCTCAGGTCCATTTACAGTTAATCCCTGTTCCCACCCCCAAGCCCAGGCCACCACTAATCTACTTTCAGTCTCTATAAATTTGCCTTTTCTGGGCACTTCATAGAAATGGAGTCATTCCAGTAACTTCAATTTGAGATAAATATGATTCCAGTGAATCAGAGAGATGTGACAGAGCTACTGGAGCAGCAGAAGGACTCCTGCTTATTTGGGACAGTGGAAGAAAACTTTCCGAGAAAGACCAACATTTGAGCTGAGATACACCTTGTCAGATATATGAGACATATATTGTCAGGACCATGAGGTAGAGAATGGGTTGCTCCATATTAAATACACTAAAATACACCAATACACAATACAAATCGTGGCTTGGAGATGATGGGAGAGTTTCCTTCCTTCTCACCAGTCACTGTGTTATGGCAACAGTCATGCCCAAGGAAGGCAGTCTCGGGAGACCTGTGGGCACCTGGAGGAGCACAGTCTTGTGGAGAGAACTCAAAAAGAGATGGAAGACTTGGAAGAAAGGGATAAAGGCCTCTGTCTTCCCTGTAAAGAACATAGTCCTCAGACTCTACTGACAAAGCCCAGTGCCCTACCAGAAGACCCAGCACAAGAAGAGATGGTACCAAACAAGAGCATCTACTTCAACTCCTCCCCTGGCCCAGAAGCTAGGCCAGAGCACAGCAAACTTTCAGCCATCAGAGCAGTATCAGGGAGGCAAGGGTTAAGACTTTGGGATCAGACAGTTTTTCAAATTCACTTCCTTGTTATGACCTGAGTTGCCATTTCTCCATCTGTGAAATGGGAATAAAAACTCATCTCACAGAACTATTTTGAGGATGAAATGTGGTAATATATGGAGGCAATTGATCCAGTGCTTACCACACCATAAGTCCTCAATATGTGACACTATTTGTTACTTTGAAGGAAGGAACAGCACACTCAAGAACTAGATAGGTAAAGGAGAACATGAGGTTATACCCTATTTGGTAGATCAGTGTTAACTACTCCAGCGGCCACATGCCTTCTAAAAAGAAGGCTACCAGGGCTGCTACCAGGCAAATAGAGTAAAATGACTTGTCTCTCAGAAGCAGCCAGGGACAGGTAAGACTGAACCAATTCTGCAAATGCAGGAGCTTAGAGTACAAGGTGACTATGAGGTTAAGAACCACCACCCCACCCAGGGAATGCACTAAAATCTTGGGGAGTCTATTGGCTATCTACTGAGATGCAATGTGGGCTAGGCCCAGTCTTATCATAAGGAGCAAGAAACTCAACAGAAATCAGAGTTAGGGCAGCTATGATTATTATCACCCACACAGCCCAATTTGACAGATGAGAAAACTAGCCATTAAAGAGCTAAGCAGATAAGGAGGATGAAGCTGTGGGCCTTCAAAAGCTAAAAACATGAAGTGAGGGAGGGGACAAAACCATGACCTGGGGACTCTGCAGTATTCTCATCACTATCTCTCCAAATTCCTTTTCCTGAAACCGAGACAAAAACCCTAAAAGGATTGTCTTTAGCTAGTAAAACCCATTAACAGGATGAAAGTAGCACCTGCAGTGTCTGCATGGGTCATTGCTTGCATAGAGTTTCATTTCAGAATTCAATTCAGTAAATAATTCAAATGAAATACAAGGAAATTCACCCCTTAGTCCTGGGGCTTTCAAAAGGTGATATTAATTAATACTGATGAAAGTCAGCCAGCAACCAACTATCTTTCTCTGCCATCTTCCAAGGGGACTGTTTTTACTTCTTTTCAAAATCTGTAATAAAAGACTTTTGAAGAGGCCTGCCATGTAAAATTTATTCAACTGAGCCCAGCCCTAAATGAAGATAGCATTGGCCTTCTCTGACAGAGGAGATAACTGAACAACACTCCATGATTAGAAGACAGAGAGGCGCATGTTACCACTTTCAAGAGCAAAGTCTCAGCAGTCATCAGAGCCAGATTAAATCCTGGCGCTGCCACTTAACCAAGTCATTTAATCTCTCTGTGCCTCAGTTTCTTTCTCTGTAAGAAAATGGGACAAATAATAGTTCCTACCTCATAGACTTGTTATGAGAATTAAAAGAGATAATTCATGCAATGCATTTTGTAGAGTACTTGTCAAGTTATTAGTGCAATAGATCATATATTCAAACATAAGTGGTTGCCATGGACCATGCTGGGAGCTGGGGCACGGGCATTCCTGGTGTAAAGGAACAGGTGTGGGGCTAGGAGAATGCATGCCTGAGTTTCAGTCCTGGCTCTTCCCTTGACTAGTTGTTCAGACGTAGTTGAGTCCCCTCACCTCCTTGAGCTTCAGTTTCCTCACCCAGAAAATGGGAGTGACAGTACATAGCCCAGGCTTATGATGAGGAACAAACAAAATCATGATTTTTGTAAAGCACTCTAAAAGTACAAAAGATATTATTACTGACTTGTGGATTACTTGGGCATTTTGTTTCTCTTCTTTTTCTCATTTGGTCTGCTCCTTTTGGGCCTATTTTCTTTTCTTCATGTTACCAAACCAGGAGTGACTGAAGGGAAGGAGGGCAGATTGCACATACCTCAGTCTATTTCATCAGAGATTGTTAAACTGTATTTTTGGTGAGAGAAGAAGTTGAAGATGTGATTGATTCATGGCAGAGATCCTGAAGAGGTGGTACATGTCCATTGTTCAGGGTAAATTGAGGTTAGTATGAAGAGATCATATTTGGGAATGAGATCTGTGTTTCAACTTTTAAAAAATTATTATTCCACTCCCTTTCTATCTGTGTGACCATAGATGAGTTACTTAACTTCTCTGAGTCTCAATTTCTTCATCTATAACACTGGCATAAATATACCTAATATGTAGAGTTGTCAGCTTTAAACATAAAGTAGGCAAGATACACTGTCTAGACATATTGGGTGTTCACAAGTGGTAGTTATTCTAAATTGAAATCTTTACATCAAGTCTTTCAAATCCTAACTATGGTAATGAATTTTTAGCACTACTTTATGAAATACAATAAAGTCCCAGCCGGCAGACTCAAGTGCCACTTCTTCATTATCCTCCTTTTCCCTTCAGACCCCTGCTTCTTGCCTCAAACATCACCTTATAATTCATCAAGTCACAGGATTTCACATAGTTCTTTGTGGTATCTCCGGAGCTTCTTCCTTTCAAACTAGTGTCTTTGTCCTTCACAGAGGCAAGAATCTATGGGATTAATCACTCTCCAGAACTGGTGTTCTATCAATAGAGGGATACTGAGTGCTACCATGTGCAAGTTAGTATTCTGCAAAGCCCCAGGGATAGGTAATCATGCAATGCACAGTCCCTGAGCCTCTAGAGAGAGAGGCCTGTCCAATCCACAGTGGCAGTGACATAGGGCCAGGGCTGTGACAGCACAAACCCAAAGCTCTGAGAGAACCAACACTACTGCTGGACAGCCAGAGATGACAATCCTTAGGCTGGGCCTCAGAGAATAGGCAAGAGTTTGACAGGTGGTCAATGGAGGTTAAGGACTCCAAGCAGAGGAACCATACGTGCAAAGGCACAGAGACTTGGGAATTCTGAGAAGTTGGGGTAGGCTGGAAGATGGTAGATTAGGAAGGTGGTAGAAGAAGAGATTGGAAAAGCAGTACAGGAAAAGTTGTTAAGGATATGAACTAGAACAGTGGTGCTGAAGAGGGAAAAATATATATAAAAGACATCTCTGAGGTTGCATCATCAGTTCTTGGCAACCAAAGACACTGGCAAAGGAATGAAGAGGAACATCTAAGATGACTCTCAGGTATGTGACTTGGAGGTGTGTGGAGTGGGTGGTGGCTCCATTGGCTGAGATGGGGTCCTCACAGGAAAAACAGGGAGGTGTGCATTTTGAGCTCTATCTAGTATCTGTTGAATTTCAGATGCATGTAAGTACCTTCCATGCCAGGTGGGTTCCCAGTCAAAATATGTCCAAACTGTAACTCTGTTTGAGCTCTGCCATCTGTGCTGGTTGAAGCATATATCCTTCTCCCTAAGTGGCCATGTCCACTTAAGGCAGTTAGATCTGCGAAAGTGTCTGGACTGAGCATAAGGCTTGAGCAGTCATCTTCATTAATGCAGTCACTGAAACTGTGAGGTAGAAAAGGCCCTTTTTTGAGCCCCAGATCATAGCTCCTGGAAGAGGGAGGAACTTGTGAAAGGAGCTTGATGAATTACTGCTACCTGGTTGATTCTTTTGACTCAGCTCTCCCCCTCCCTACATCATCTTTTCTATAGTTTTCACGTCTTTCTTCTTTTCATCTCCTCCTGCTTCTCCTTTGCAGCTCCCGGTGAATGCTTGATGAATCCTGGCTTAGCGAATAGGCTAAACCCTCCACTTAGAAAACAAGCCCTAGCTTTTATCTTCCTCTGCGGTTTTGGGTTTGCCAGAATCAAAGTAACATTAGCACGATTTGTTTGGATTAGCATGAAGACTTCTAGTCCACTCCTTTGCAATATTCCATATTTTAATAACTTTAATAATTACAGCTTCCTTTTTCTAATTAAGAGCTTAGAGAGAGACCTTGGAGAGGGACCAAAACAGTGGTGTTTGGTATGGTGGCAAATAGGAAGAAAAGTTCGCATAGCAGAATCAATATTCGGAGCTGGCTATGAAGCACTTGGATTTTAATTCTGTGAACATTTATTGTGCCCATGCTGTGAACAAGGGCTTGAATGCTGGAGATTACAGATGTGCAGAAGGTTCCTCTGCAAATCTGTTTGTTTGGGATCCAATTAGGATGCCTTGGGTTGCATTCTGACAATAGCATTAATTCTGTAACAATATTCTCCTGGTGATGTGGTCAGCAGGCCCTAGCATTTAGGGTAAAGTCCAGACCACCTTGACTCTATCTCACTGCTCTGACTTCAGAGATAGGCACTGATGGCTAAGCAGAAGTTCCCACAGGGGAGTTGCCTTCAAACTACAGAAGGTGCATCCTATCCTCTGCTCCAAGAACATCTATCACATTAGGATATGTTCTCTTCACCTGAAGCTAACCTAAAGGGCCCAGCAAACCCTCAGAACCCTCGCTGTAGCTTTTTCCATTGCCCAGCACTGCGTGAATGTGGAGTGAAGGCCACACGATGAAAGCACAGCCCTCTAGCATGGGATGAACCCAGAGCCTCAAGAGGGCAAAGTATCGTCCATGCTGGCAAAGCTGCCAGCCTGGAGATCAGAGCAGGAGGCGGATCTTCTGCTCCTAATTGACAACCCAGCCACAGCCTTTACACAGTGTGACTTTCTATTTGAAGCCCAGCTCAGGAATGAACTGTTCTGGGATCAGTTCTGGGATCTTCCACGTCACAGACCCAGAGTCACCATCCTCTTCCCTCCTGAAGCCTGTCTTCAAGAGCTGAAAAGCTTTTATTTTCAACTCTCACATGAGGGATTGTGGATCCCCCTTTTGTGTCAATCATACTACACCTACTCTTTTAACAAAATCTATCTTTAGTGCCTTTCGAAGGAAGACCCACCAACGGATTCGACTTCTATCTTTCTAAGGAATGCCAGTCTCGGATTCAGAGGTAGCTTTCTACATCTTCTCACTGAAGAGACAAAAATGCACAAATTCAGTCTCAAGTGGGCCACCCTTCTGGCAGAGACTCTAAACCCCAGAGATAAGTTTGGTGCCACCTCTGCCTCAGAGGAATCAGACAGACATGGGCAATACACTCTTACAAGGCAGAACTGACTACATGCAAAATACAGGCTCAAAAAAGCTCACATACTTCTGACATGGTGACATGGTAAGTTGGGAACAGTTTCACAGAGGAGGTATTCCATCTGGGACCTTGAGGATAAGAAAGATTTAATAGATGAATATTAAGGGAAATGGCATTCTGGGGTCAGGGTGCAGAATAAGCCAGTCAGGGGAGCTTGAAAATGCAAGCTCTATTTAGGGAATAATGATGGGTCTGGTATTGATAGAGTAGGATTCACACAGGGCTGAATGGGACAAGAAGCTGAAAATGTCTAATGACACCCAACCAGAAGACCTTTAGTGCTGTGATAAGAATTGGTTCTCTATGCTGTAGGGGATGGAAAACCACCTGCGCAGGTTTACAAAGAGAGGAGTGGTCCAGTCCGATCTTTCCTCAGCAAATGAACTTTAGGAGAACCACTGCTTATCCATGTGAGGGATGAAGAAATAAGCAGCAGGCCAGCAGCTTGAAAGCTATTGCTACCAGCCAGAAAATGAGAGACAAAACCAGGGTAAGGGCAGTAGGAAGCAAAAGGAGAGATGGTACAGAGTATTAGTCAGTTTCTGCAATTGACTAGCTGAGGTGTCATTGTCTGGGTAAACGTTTGGTCTGCCTCACTTGAGTATAAGTCCCTTGAAAACAGAAACCATGTCTTACTCATCGTTGTGCCTTTGGTGCTTTACAGGATACCTGGCAGACTGGTGACTGTCATTATAACAGATATTCTAAAATGGTGACCTTAGGTGGGCTTCAAGGGGGCGTGCAAATCCTCCCAAAACTATACACATTATTTTGTGTGTCTGTATATTGGGCATCTTCCTCTTGGAGAGGGTCTATAACTTTGATCAAGTCCTCAAAGAGCTCTGTGACCCAAAAAACGGTTGGGAGCAACTGCTCTAGAAATTTGTTGTCTTCATAAATGTTTCTGACTCTTAGTTTCTGTTTTTATCCCTTCTCTAAGTACCAACTTCCTACATAAAAAAGGACAAGGTCAACAACATTAAATGGACACTTTGAGCATTATTCATTTTATTTGTAGTAAAAGCCCAACATATAAATTCAGCTATGAGTCTAAGTTATGCTGAAACACTGAAAGACATTTTCCCTGCCCATAACTGACCTCATTCTCTGGTAACACATCCCATTTCAGAACCTACTCTCTAATAGCTGATGCTTCTATGAGAATGTAAATCAATTTTAATTTGGACTTTAGCTTCTGCAGCAAGTGCCTTTGAAGAAGCACCTTCCTAAGAATGCCAACTTGCACCTTTACAGCCTGATAATTGGGATAGAGGCTTGACTGCCACCCATTTCCTTTCTATGAGGATGTGGGGGGTAGCGTTTCTGGGAAACTGACACCTTCGCCAAACATTAAGAGATATTATATTGTTCAAACTTAGCCTAAAGAAGGAACTTGTGCCACTTCTGCATGCCAAAGCAGTCTGGGGGATGTGGTTTGGATGCCAAACTATTGGATTTTCTATGATATCCCGATGGTTTAGGGGGACTACATAAGTGATTGTTGGCTGGGCGCAATGGCTCATGCCTGTAATCCCAGCACTTTGGGAAGCCAAGGCAGGTGGATTGCTAGAGGTCAGGAGTTGGAGACCAGCCTGGCTAACATGCCAAATGCCGAAACCCCGTCTCTACTAAAAATACAAAAATTAGCTGGGTGTGGCGGCAAGTGCCTGTAGTTCCAGCTACTTGGGAGGCTGAGGCAGGAGAATCACTGGAACCTGAGAGGCGGAGGTTGCAGTGAGCCAGGATAGTGCCACTGCACTCCAGCCTGGGTGACAGAGCAAGACTCTGTCCAGAAAAAAAAAAAAAAAGAGAGAGAGAGAGAGATTGTTTAAAAATGGGACTATCCTGGAAAATCTGGAATATATGTGTCCTGGAGGAAGAAAATGTCTCCTGACCTCAAGAAAATGTGCAGTCTAGTTGGGTTGATAGTATGCACACACAAGAAAAAAATAAACCTACTTGACAAAGGAACAAGGCAGTGAATGTTCAGTGTAAGGTAAATTATTCAGATAAGGGGAAGGGAGGGTGAAGGAATTCAGAGAAAAAAGCTGCCACTAGGCAGGAAAGCGTTCACAGAAAAATATGCATAAATAAGGGGCAAAGACAAGGAATTAACATACTATGAACATCGTGCTCTCATATTTAACTTCATCCTTATGCCTCAAACATTTAGAGAGTGCCTACTATGTGCCAGATACAACATCAGGTGATTTTACGTATATTATCTGTTAATCCTCACAACTATATATGAGGTAGGGATTATTCTTCTCATTTCATGAATGAGAACTGAAGCTCAGAAAGGGTAAATAACTTTCCCAGAACACACAGCTAGTAAATGGCTGAGCCAGAATGAAAACCCAGGTCTCTCTGACTCCGAAGACTACATTCTTTCTATACCACAGTGTCCATAAAAAGCTACTAAGACAAAGTGGATGAACCTCAAAAACATTATGCTAAGTAGAAGAAGCCAGGCACAAAACGTCATGTATTGTATGATTCTATTTATATGAAATATCCAGAGTAGGTAAATCCATAGAGACAGAAAGCAGACCAGTGTTTGCCAGGGACCTGGGAAAGCGGTGAAAGGCAAATGACTGCTTAATGGGTACAGTTTCCTTTGAGGGTGATAAAAATGACTTGGAACTAGACAGAGATGATGGTTGCACAACTACTGAATTACTAAATGCCACTGAATTGTACACTTTAAATGGTTAACTGTTAATTTTATGTTATGCAAATTTTACCTGTATTTTTAAAAGCTATTAGAAAGGAGAGTTTGAGGAGACAAAACCAGGGAAATGGAACACTCATCATATTTGGGGAACAATGAGGAGACTGAGCCAAGTGGAGCAGCACGAAGAGCCAACATTTTCTTCTCAGCTCAGATGAAGAATTTGGGTAAAAGTGTGAGTAACTTTCCTTAGTTTAGAGTGAGAGAATTCCCAGGCACAGACACCTGCCTTCCTTAATCACAGAAAGAGCTGCCCTAGCTGGTCCAAAATGCCTCTGGTTGCATTTTGGTGTTAGGAGGGGTGAACGCCACCTCTCCTGTGGGTCTCCTAAATTCAGCAGACACAGTATTCTGCTTGAGCATTCCCAAGTGATTCCTCAATCTACGAAATGTGGTTATTTCTTGGTTACTGAGGGGCAACTCTAAATCTCTGTAAACCTGAAATACGTGGAATCATCTCTTTACTAATGAGGGTGCGCAACCGGCCATCCTGCATCTTATCTCCTGTGGGCTGGCTTTGATCTTGGCATTGAGGGTGCAGCAACTCTCAGGAAGGGTCTCAGGAGCCACTTGAGATATTTGATTGTCTTTACTGCCTCTTATGTGAGATGTAATAGGCACTAAAGCAACTCATGTGGATGGGAACTTCCGCAGGCCAAGGCACACCCCCAGTCAAGGGTCTGCCATCCAAGCTGCAGCAAGCCTGGCACAGACCTACCTCAGAGCATCACTTTCCTTCCAAGCTCTTTGGGAAATGTTTGCCTTCACTCCACACGCTCCTCTCAGATGTACACGCACCATTGACGGTGGCTTCTATTTACTCAGAGTTTCACTGTGCAAACGAATCTTTTCAAAGCCCTGCAGCCTTTCTGGCAGCAAGAAGGAGGCAGCATATGTGAGTGGGCTCTACTGCTTTCCCTCCCTTCCCCAGTGCCTGGGACGTGGCTGCCCTGGTCGGCCTGTAGCGCAGTTTCCTCCATAGAATAGGCTCTGCTCCTGGAAGGTGTCTACTGAGTGGGTCTGGGATACAAGAACTAGCCTCTTCAGCTGCCCGCTCATGCCCATTATTGGGGTAATGGTAGTGCCCAGAAAGGGTGCTTCCCACAGACCAGTTCAGAGTTTTGCATGGTGTCAACTATGATGCTGAAAGTCACATTCTGTGTAGGATCCAGTAAGAATTCTACAAGGTGTCCTGTGCAGTGGTGCACATAGGATTCCATCCAGTGCCTAATGCATTATCCACTCAAGTGCTCTATGCAGTGACCACCCTCAGCCCAGGGAGTTATAAGGTAGTGCTGCCTGGGCAATGACCAGTGAGATGACCTCAGCCATCCCAAACATACAATCTGGCCAAGAGTTCTATGCCATGCTCAGCTCAATTCCCCACAGAGTGCTCCAAGCTAAGCCCAGCATGAGGTCTGACACTGTGCTGAATATAATTCCTAGTGCCCAATGAGTGCCCACTGGATGCCCTTCAAGGTGGCCAATGAATGGACTTCACACCCCAGTGAGTGACACACCTGGGAAGTTCTCTCTTGCCCAAACCCCCCCTGCTAGGGAGAAGTAGGACCACCCCTCTGACCTCCTGATAAATCTCAACCTCACTGCCAGCCTCTCCACAGGCTCTTGGTGTCTTTAAAAAGCCACACAATATTATTTTATCTAAACAAGCAACTTGCTCTAAACCTGAAGCCAACCAAGAAAACATAAAACCCGAATACTAACATAACAAAGTTTTATTTTGAGATTCTTTTTTACATCTTTTAAAAGCAAGGTGTAGTACATGCTTATTATAACACAAAACATGACAAGCAAATAGTACAGGAACCTATTACATAGAAAGTGAAATTCCCTGTTTCCTTTCCTCTCTCTCCCATCTCCCATCAATCCCTCTTTCTAGAATTAACTACCATTTATTTGGTTTGCATCCTTTTGGGTCTGTTCCATGCATTACTCAGACATTTACATTACATGCATTTAACTCTTTTTTATACATATGAGCTGATACTGATGCATTCTTCTGAAACCTGCTTTTTTCATTTAATATAATGTGATAATGTGGTCACCTCTCCATGTCTATGCATACGTATTTACTTCCTCACCTTTAGTTAATGCATATTATTCCATAGTACAAAGGTACTTCCAGTTTTTTAACCAGTCCTCTGTTGATGGCATTTAGACCATTTCCACTTTTTCACTGCCACAAACAACATTGCAATTACCATCTTTTATGTACTGATAATTCTGCAAAATCACCCTCTGAAAAGATTGTAACAATTTACACTTCTTCATGATGAGCACAGTAGAAATCTTTCCCTTGCTTCTGGAAAGCCATTAATCGACTCCACTTTAAGAAATGCAGGAGGCAGAAGGTTGCCAACGCAAGCTGCATGTCCCTTCTGTCTATTCAGAATGGAACTGCCTGTTCTCACTGGGCTTGGGTGTGGTCCCTTTGTCTTGCAATATGCAAGCTGGAGCCCAGTCCTTGGCATGCTCTCCCAGCTGCCAGGTGTGAGGACCTGCCCTCAGTGCACAGGAGGCAGGCTCAGCTTACATGGTGATAAGGTCTCATTCACAGAGAAGCAGGCTTCACTCACATGGGATCAGGCTTCACCCACATGGAACCAGGCTTCACACACATGGAATCAGGCTTCATTCACATGGTAATCAGGCTTCACTCATATGGGATCAGGCTTCACTCACATGGAACCAGGCTTCACCCACATGGAACCAGTCTTCATTCACATGGTAATCAGGCTTCATCATGTGGGATCAGCCTTCATTCACATGGGATCAGCCTTCATTCACATGATGATCAGGCTTCACTCACATGGAGTCAGCCGTCAATCACATGGGATCAGGTTTCACTCACATGGAATCAGGCTTCACTCACATGATGATCAGGCTTCACTCACATGATGATCAGGCTTCACTCACATGGAGTCAGCCGTCAATCACATGGGATCAAGTTTCACTCACATGGAATCAGGCTTCACTCACATGATGATCAGGCTTCACTCACATGATGATCAGGCTTCACTCACATGGAATCAGGCCTCAGTCACATGGGAACCACTGTAGGATCAGGTTTCACCCACATGGGGTCAGGCGTGGCTCACATGGTGATCAGAGTTTGCAGTGTTTCTGCTTCTGCTGCCCCATGACTATCTCGAGAGATCCCTTGAGTGATGCAGGGATCCCTAAATGAGCACAGAGCCATTGGTCATCCCTAATTTCCATAGAACAGTCTTTCTGTCTATCTGACAGGCTCTAGGTCCCTGGCTTTCCCTTTAGTTCCCCACTTGGACTGGAGCCCAACTGACCAGGGCTCCGCCCTCTTCTCTTTGCTCCCTCCAGCTCAGCACCAGCCTTGGTGCCAGCACCCCCACTGACAATGATGGTGAGATTCTTGAGATTCATGCCACTCTCTCACTCCTCTACCTTCTGTTCTGGACTGGGTCAGAACTACCTCATTCTCCAGAATTGGGGATTTGGACAACTGAGCAGTCCCGCTTTTATCATAGCTGCCCAAGCATCTCTCTGCCAGCCTGTGCTTCCCACCTCGTGCAGTGCCAGGAACCAGGATGTCTCATGGCTGGCTTTATCTCACATTTCACTCATTCATTCAACAAATCTTTATGATATGCCACTGTACACCATGCACATTTTCTACCAAACTGTAAATGTCCTAAAATAACTACATACGTATCAAGTTCTGTGTTTCTTTTGTAATATGGATGGCAAGTTATTGAAATTTTATGAATTCATTACTATAAACCGGATACAGTTCAGTCCTCTTTCTGGAATAAATGCACTTCTAGACAGTTACCACTATAGCACTCTATCCCATCCCACTGATTGTATAATAAAAGTCAACATGTATTAAGTACTCTTCAAGTTTGGTCCAAGAGGCATACATGTGTTCGTTTAAATCCCCACCAGAACAACCCTATAAGTACCATTGTTATCACCATTTTACAGGTGATGATCTGAAGTTAAATGAGTCACCTGAGTTCACACAGACTGGAAGGAACAGAGCCAGGATCCAAATCCAGACATTTGACATCAGGGCTTACACTCTTTTTTTTTTTTTTTTTTTTTGAGATGGAGTCTCGCTCTGTCACCAGGCTGAAGTGCAGTGGTGCAATCTCGGCTCACTGCAACCTCCGCCTCCTGGGTTCAAGTGATTCTCCTGCCTCAGCCTCCTGAGTAGCTAGGACTACAGGCACCCACCACCATGCCTGGCTAATTTTTGTATTTTTAGTAGAAACTAGGTTTCACCGTGTTGGCCAGGATGGTCTCGATCTCTTGACCTCAGGTGATCCACCTGCCTTGGCCTCCCAAAGTGCTGGGATTACAGGCGTGAGCCACTGTGCCACTGCGGCCTCCCACACTGTTCATTGTTATGGCATTCTGCACCTCCATAGTGGTTCTCTACATGAGTTCCGTGGGCAGAAAACCAAAAAACTCATCAGGGGCAGCTTTGGGAAAGCCTGAAAGATAAAAGGGACAGAACCTAAAATGAGAGCAACAGTTCTGAGCTGTGACCAGTGAGATACCTTGGCGGGCTCAGTGATCTGCAGATGGCAGGGCAGGGCATTTTGTCCAGCATTTTCCAGTGATGCCATGTGGTAGATCCTCAGAGGCCACTGCAGAGGCATGGAGATTTCAGCTTCATCCTGCTGCCAAGAGTCCTACTGATGAGCAGTGGCCATCCAGACTTACTATTCCTTCAACTCCAGTCATCTCTAAGCTTGTCTGCATGGGGGCTACTAAGAGCTCACTGTGAGAACGAAGGTCAAGGACTCTGGGGTCAAAGTGTCTGGACCTATTCACCTCCTGGCTGTACCACTTCATAGATGTGAGATAAGTTACTAAACATATCTGTGCCTCAATTTTCTCAGGTATAAAATGGGGACAATAATAGTATCTTTCTCAGAGAGTTGTTGTGAGAGTTTATCTAATGAAATGTGTATAAAGTACTGAAAACGTCAATAAATACTATTTTTATGACTTCCCAAGGGCCTGCTGACCACTCTGGAACAGTTGAGGCAGTGAACATAGAGCCATGACCACAGACTTGCTAGGTGTTACAAGTTACTTAGTAGGTGTTACAAGGCACATCCAGAACAGGGGAAGGTGGCAACAGAATGGCATGAAAATAACTATATTAGTTTTCTAGGGCTGCTGAAACAAAGTCCAAAAACTGAGTGGTTTAAACCAGGGGTCCCCAACCCCCAGGCAACAGACCAGTACCACTCTAAGTTACATGCTCCTTATAAGAATCTAGGCCGGGTATGGTGGCTCACACCTATAATCTCAGCACTTTGGGGGGCAGAGGCAGGGGGATCACGAGGTCAGGAAATCGAGACCATCCTGGCCAACATGGTGAAACCCCATCTCTACTGAAAATACAAAATTTAGCTGGGCGTGGTGGTGCATGCCTGTAATCCCAGCTACTCGGGAGGCTGAAGCAGGAGAATCTCTTGAACCCGGGAGGCGGAGGTTGCGGTGAGCCAAGATCACGCCACTGTACTCCAGCCTCAGCGACAGAGTAAGACTCTGTCTCCCAAAAAAAAAAGAATCTAATGCCTGATGATCTGTCCCTGTCTCCTATCACCCTCAGATGGGACCACCTAGTTGCAGGAAAACAAGCTCAGGGCTCCCACTGATTCTACCTTATGGTGAGTTGTATAATTATATCATTATATATTAAACGTGATAATAATAGAAATAAAGTGCATAATAAATGTAATGTGCTTGAATCATCTTGAAACCATTCCCCTGCAACCCCCCAACCCTGGTGAAAAAATTATCTTTCATAAAACCAGCCCGTGGTGCCAAAGAGGTTGGGGACTGCTGGTTTAAACAACAGAAATTCATTGTCCATGGTTTGGAGGCTGAAAGTCTAACATTAGGGTATCAGTAGGTGAGTTCCTTTTCAGGGCTGTGCAGAAGGATCTGTTCTAGGCCTGTGTCCTTGGCACGGATGGCACCTTCTCCCTATGTCTCTCCACATTGTCTTCTCTTCACGCATGTCTCTGTGTCCAAATTTCTCCTTTTTATAAAAACACCAGTCATATTGGATTAGGCTCCACCAGAATGACCTCATTTTAACTTGATTACCTCTATAAAGATCCTATCTCCAAATAAAGTCACTCTCTAAGTAGGGCACTGGGGATGAGGACTTCAACATACGAATTGTCAGGTGATGCAATTCAACCCACAACAATGACTAATGAAAATTGTTACCATTCATTAGGCAGCTAACACATGTCAAGGATATAACTATGACTTTTTAGCACCCACAGCATATCTTCGGGTTATCTACTAAGAAAGTGGAGGTTCAGAGCATTTAAGTGACTTTCGAAGATTATTATACAGTTAGCAACTGGCAGAGCCAGGATTTGGATCACAACTGTCTGATCAAACCCATGTTCTCTAAATGTCATTTAACAGTGTCCTTTTAGTTGGTTCCAACTAGCCAGTGACAGGATCGTTCTTGTGAAGGTGCCCATCTCTGGATCTCCTCTGTTCACATGCAGATCCACTCGGACTCCAGAAGATCGTAGACTCTCAAAGCAGGCAGGACCCTTTGATGTCATCCTTTCCACCCCCTACTTTACGGATGAGGAAACAGAGTCCCTAGGAGACTAGTTACTTGCAGGAGGTCACATAGGAAGTGGGGATGTTCTGAATCTGCTCTCTACCCAACACTGCCTCTGCTGGAAGAAATTTTGAACTTTGCTGGTGGATCTAATTTATTTGGCAAATGGTTTCACAGATTTAAGCCATTTATACAAAATCATGAGATTAATCATTATTAATCAAACACAATCTGACACCGTATGAAATAGGCAAGGGATAGGTCTGTTATGCAAGCATCCTGCAGCCTTAATTACTGAATGGCTGGAATGATGGTCGGCCCCTCACATTTATCACAAGAAACATTCAGCTTCTTAGATAACTCATTTTCTATGCCAATGCTTTGAACAGTAAGAAATAAAGGAAACAGCAATCTGTGCTTGTCACAGGAGATGTTATCTAGAAAAGGAGGAACACATCAAATGTCCACATCCACTCTCAGACTGCACACGCAGCATTGCTCCATAATAGGATCAATCTTCTCTCAATTACCAGCTCTGGGGCACAGCCACCTTGTTGAGTGTCTAGAGCAAATGTCCCCTGCCATGTGATAGACATATGGCATTCTGCTTTCTCTGTCCCAGAACAGAGACCAAGTTTCTCAGGATCATTAGGCAAATGTTAACAGAACTGAGACAGCAACACGACCACACGACCACAAGGCTTGCAGCATCAGGTGTGATTCTGTGAAAAGACCAAAGCCCTACTTGCTGATTCAGCTCTGCTTCTCAGAAACTGTACTTCCTGGGATAGATTCCTTCAGCTTCTGGGACTCAATTTCCTCATCTTCACCATGGGGGAAAGGGTTGCCTACATCACAGGTTGTGAGGATTCAATAAGATGATGGCTGAGAAAGTGCACAGCGCAGTAGCTGGCGCTGAGTAGGGGCTTAAGTATTTTTTAATTAAAAATATATGGCAAATAATTTTCTTCCCTCTAAAGCTCATCTGCAGTAATCTATTCTTCCCTTATTCATACGCAAATAAGGAAGGACGGAGTTGTAAATATTATGGGCCTAACTTGGCCCATCTCTGTTCTAATGCTGCCACCTGCTGGACAGCCAACAACCCACACAGGTATTTCAAGGGGATGCCCTGATACTAATGGGAGACAATCTCAGATGCATCTAGGCAAATCCTTCCTTCCCTAACACACTCCCCCTGGCCTCCATCCTTCAGATCTAGACCTAGTGCACCCCTGACTTATCGGATCCTGGGGTTGACTCACAACCTAATTTCCTTGGCAGGAGGTATTTTTCAGACAGTGTGACGTCTGCCTAATAGATCACAGCTCCCAGCATTGGGAACATGAGGACAGCTATGGGCTGAGTTGCCCAGGGAGTTCGAAACGAGCATGCGGCCTGCAGACATGTTTTGTTCAAACTGCATCATATTGGCCCACACTGTGTTTAATAAAATTCAAATTACCCACCAGCACATAAATATCAGATTTCACCTAAAAACGTGGATATTTTCAGCATGTTGTAAAATCTAAAGATATAGCAACACAAGATCCACACTCCTTCATGACAGCAATTAGCCAGAGCAACTGCTCCCTTCAGCCTGAGCATGGCCTCACCAGTGTGACACACTCCCTACCACTCCCTTTCGGACCTTTCCCTTGACCTGCTTCACTTAGGTTACTCTGCCCTGGCCCTGGAGCCACAAAAATTGTTGTCTCCCTAAACCAAAGCACAAAGCATTGCATAGACTAGGATGGCTAAATAGAGCAGCAGGAGTGAATAAAAGAATGATTTACACCTTAAAGTAATAATGTTAATAATTAGTAATTACCAAGCACTTACTTAGCTTGTGCCAGGCACAGAGGAAAGCACTTTGACCCTAACTTTTTGACCCCAAATATATTTTCATTCCATGGTACATTTAAATCTCACATTTCTGCTCTTCTCATTTGCTTTGTTCTCTGTGCCAAGAAATATAAAATCCCTAACTCATCCAATTCTTAACAAATATTACCTGCAGAAAGAATCTGTTCGAAGTAAAACTAGCAATGGCAAAAGCTTCAAACAGTAAAATTTGTTACGACCAAAAAATAAAAATAAAAAAAGAATCCTACATCTTAGGTAATATTGAAAATAGAAAATTCGAACTAAAAATTTTCATATAAAAGAATAGAATTTTTAATCCCAGCACTTTGGGAGGCCGAGGCAGGTGGGTCACTTGAGCCCAGGAGTTTGAGACCAGCCTGGGGAACATGACGCGACCCTGTCTCTACTAAAAATACAAAAATTAGCCAGGTGTGGTAGTGCACACCTGTAGTACCAGCTATTTGGGAGGCTGAGTGAGCCAAGATCATACCACTGCATTCTAGCCTGGGCAACAGAGCAAGACCACGTCTAAAAAAAATAAAATTTTCTTTACAAATTTTTACCTGTCAATTTTACCCAGGAGAATTGTACTTGCTAACAACAATGGCCAAGAAGAAAACTCACAATAGTAAAAGTAATAATTAAACAAGATAAGAAAAAATGCTAATTACTGAGCCTTAAAAAAAATGTATGTGGAAAAAATTGACCTCAGTAGAAACAACTTCAGTAGAATAAAACTTTAAATTGGGAAAAATAAGAAATCACTTAAATGTATTGTATAGAAAATGGTTCAAGAAGTTATACTGGGTCTATAATTCTTCCCTTCCCCCCTATATCATAGAAAATCCATGTCAATAGCCTAGCATGTATCCTTCCATATATTTCTCCATATTTATTTAATCTCTCATACTCACATTCATATTGAGGGAGGCTTTTCATTGATTGTCTTACAAAAATCTAATCATACTATGCACATTTCCTGACATCTTGTTTTTCTCACTGAATAATATCTTACAGAAATCTCTTTCAATCAGACTGGGCTTATGCATAGAAAAGAAAGCCTATGAAAGGGATTGCTAGGTGGAAGGAATCCACCAGCACTTTTTATTTTTAAAAGAAGTTGTCAGATTACTTTCCAAAAGGACTGAAATAATTTACATTTCCTTGGTCAAAATTATGCAGGGGCCTTTTCCCTACATCTCACCAGCAGGCGGCATGACTGCTGCTTCCCACTAGTCTGACGGGGTAATAATCTCCGTATTACTTTACTCTGCATTCTCTAACTTCTAATAAATTTGAGCAACCTTTCCTATGTTTGTTGACAACTGAATTTGCTTTTCCACAAAGTGCCTATTTATAATACTTGGCCATTTTTTACTGGGATATTTGTCTTTTGCTTGCCATTTGTAAGAGTTTATAGTATATTTTCATTACACATATTCTACCTGTCACCTGCGGTACAGTTATTCTTTTCAAATCACTTGCTTGTCTATTGACTCTGCCTATGATATCTTTGCAATACAGGGGTGTGAATTTTTATGTGGTTAAATGTGATTAACCTCTTGTTAAAAGAGTCTTCCCCCATCATCTCGCATTCTTAGAAAATCTAGGAAAGTAGTCCCCCAGATTATCCTGCAAGATATTATTGGTTAATGTTTTATATTTAGTTTATATGTCTCTATTTAACCTATTTTTTAATATGCATAACATATGGGTCCAAAGTTTTCTTCCAAGTAGACAGCCAGTTGTGCTAGTATCATTTATTATAGAAACATACTTTCCCACTGAACTTAACTACCAAGATGCTTATATATTCCAGAATCTACTTCCAGAGTCTTTATTTTCTTCTACTGATCTAGTTACTTGTTCCAATGCCAATACAATATTTAATTTATTAGTATGCTCTGAAACCTTTTAAACTCTCACTAGTCTTTTTATCATGTTTTGGGGGGCCATCTGGGGGCATTTGTTCTTCTATATAAATTTTAAGATCATTTTATCAAATCCCCCCACACCAAAGCCACTGGGATCCTAATAGGAACAACATAAAACATATATATATATAAATTTTGGAAGAATTGACCATTTTTAATAATGTCTTCCTATCCAAAAATATAGTGTTTTTATTTGTTTATATCTTGTTTTAGGTCCTTCTATAAGCTATATAACTTCTAATGAATTATCTGCTTCATGTAAGTCCTATGCCTTTCTTGTTAAATTTCCTTCTGTTCTATAATTTTGTTGTTATTAATTGAATACTTGTTAACATTTCCATTTGCAGCTTTTTAAATACTAGGTAAAAATTAGTGATTTTTGTATATTTATCCTGCATCTATACACCTAGCTAAATTTTTTTTACCTCTAGGAGGTTTTTACTATAGTGTCCTGGATTTTCTATATATATAACCATATGGTCAGGAAAAAAAGATTATTTTTCTCCTCTTTTTCAGGATTTTGACCAGTTGGATTATTTATTTATTATATTTGCAAGGACTTCCAAGGAATGTTAACTAATAACAGCAAGAGCAGGCCTTCCTGTCAAGTTCTTAGTTGAACTTGGTTTTACCATTTCACCATTTGGGATATTTGTTATTAATTTTTGGTAAATAATATTTGTTTTATTGAGAGTTTTTATTATGAATAATTGCTACATTTAAGCAAATATCTGTTTTAATTTATATGTTGACTTTTCTCCTTTAACCTGTTTAACTTGTTGATTAATAAATTACGCTGGTCGAGGCCAGGTGCGGTGGCTCACGCCTGTAATCCCAGCATTTTGGGAGGCTGAGGTGGGCAGATCACTTGAGGCCAGGAGTTCAAAACCAACCTGGCCAACATGGTGAAACCCTGTCCCTGCTAAAAATACAAAAATTAGCCAGCCATGGTGGCACGTGCCTGGAATTCCAGCTATTCGGTAGGCTGAGGTACAAAAATGCCTTGAACCTGGAAGGCCAAGGTGGCGGTGAGCTGAGATGATCCCACTGCGCTCCAGCCGGGCAATACAGAGAGACTCTCTCAAAAACTAAATAAATAAATAAATAAAGTTGGTCAATTTCCTAATATTAAACTATGTTTGCATTCTTGAAGTAAACTATTTTTGTTTTAATACTCATTAGATACATTACTAGGATCTACTTGCTAATATTTAATTTAGAAATTTTACATTTATAATAACATGTGATCATTGTTTATGATCCAGATAGTGCATAAAACATTTGAATTACCTGTTCTTTAAAAATGAGATGAAACTCACTTGTATATCTGTCTAGTCCTATTGTTTTCTTCAATCATAGCTTTGTAATGACTTTTCTAACATCATGTGTGGTAATTAGTAGTCACATTTTTTACTTCAGCTTACTCCTTTTGAAGATGTATTTTTTGCTGAGAAATCAACTATTGTATCTGTTTTCAAATGTATAGCCATAAAGATGCATGTAATACCCCTTACAATTGTTTTTATCTCTATCACTTCTAATTTTATAGTTTTCTCTTTTTTCTTTAATCATAGAACCAGTGTTGGAAGTCTAGTCTTTCTGCTTCCAGCCCTAGTCCTCACACCACTGCTCCATACCACAACCTTGGAGGCTAATTAAGGCTGAATCAAAACAATTTTGACTGATATGATGTAAAAGACTTAGTCAATTGAAGAAATCAGATTTTTACACAGTTCAAATTATTCTTATTTTTACTTTTAAAAAAAGCTGTCTTGGCATAAGTAGAATCAACAATAAGACATATCCATGCTTGGCAAAATCTTGGGAAATTTGAGTTCTTATTTAACAAGCAGATTCACTGTTTTCTTGATCCTAAAACTGGTTTCTGACCAGCACTGATCATTTCCATGGAGGAAACAAAATCTATCTGAATCTGAATGTTATTTAATTCTTGAAAATGGTATTCAAACTAACATGAGATTTTATTCAGTTTAATAAAATACTACCTAATTAGGAAGAAGCTTTACTACTATCTCTAGGGATATATTAATATCATTAAGAAGAACATATGCTTGAAAATTATATGTACATTTATAATTTTGTTCCCTTCTGAATAGAAAAGACTATTTAATTAAGATTATTACTATCTTTAAAGTTTTTCTCAAGGGAAATGGTCTTCATGCTAAGCTACATATCTTCTATGGAAAAAAAATTGTCTAAAAAACCCTGAAATTCTACAAGTACATATGCTCTGGTTGTATCCTAAGGAGAACTCCCTTCCTCCCTCCCTCATTATATTTCTATTGTACAATATCAACCAGGGTTGCTTGCATGTGCTTGCTTGCTTGCTCTGTGATGATTTTTAACAATTTTTTTTATGAGCAAAGTGGAGAGATAAACCAATTCTTCATATAATTTATACCAAGAAAAAAAAAAGAAGAAGAAGAAGACAAAAGAATACGGAGCCTAACAGGAGGGTGCAGAAAAGTCCACCTGCTGCAATCCAGACAAGGATACAGATGACTGCTCATCCATCCATTTTGCTTTGTCCTCAGTCTGAACATCTTCTCTTCCCCTATGGTGAGTGTATTTCCGTTTGTCCCATGCTCTTCTATTTCCCTTCTATTTCAGGGTTCCACTTTCTTACTTCCCTTGCCCTGTGTATAATCTGGCCTCTGCTGATACTGTTCTCCCAAAGACCACCTTCCCTGTTATAGGTGAAACTGTGTCACAGTTGGAAATTATATCTGCACAGTTAAAAATTATATCTGTCTTAACTGATTACATAATTATTATATAATTACTATAGAACCAGCGCTGAACGCTAGTCTTTCTGCTTCCAGCCGTAGTCCTCATGCCACTGCTCCTATATCGCACCCCTGGAGGCTAATTAAGCCTGAATCTATAAATGGAAATCATTTTGACTGATTTAAAAGACTTAGTCCTGGAACTTAAAATTAAATTAAATTAAATTAATTTTTTTAAAAAGACAAAATGACAGGGGGACTCACATGATATCAATCTTCAATCTCTTCTAAGTACATTTAAAAGCACTCCAGAAGCATCAGTATACACATATCACAACATTCTTCATCCATTGTTGAGTCCAATTATTGTTGAATATTTTGTTTTTGCCAAATAGCTACCTTTGAGGAATTTACAACCTAGTAGCCACAAACTACAAATTTCCCTAGTTATAAATCATTCTGGTTATTGGATTTTTAATTATATCATACCGAGCATGTACAAAAGAAAGTTTTATATATATATAAATTATGAAACATAACAATGAAATAAATATCCTATGAATCTACCACCTAGCCTAAGAACTAGAATATTCCCAATGTCCATGAATTAACCTGCAAGCCCCTTTATTATCCCCACCAGAACTAACCACTCTCCTGAAATTTTGCGTGTATCTTTCCTTTGCTTTTCTTATAGTGTTATTCCATATATATGCATTTCTAAACACTAAATTAAGCTTTGCTTTTTTCAAACTTTTTTTAATGGCATTGTGCTGTATGGAGTCTTTTGTGATCTGCTTTTCTTTATTCAGTATTAAGTTTTAAGATTTGTTCATGCTATAGCTGTGTAGCTGTGATTTGTTCATCTTAACTACTGTATAATGCTTCATTTTATTTATCTAGTCTCATGATGATGGACATTTGGGATGTTCCCATTATTTTTCTATTACAAATAGCACTGCTAGGAACATTTTTGCACATGTGTGGTGTTTATAAACAAGAGTTTCTCTAGGATATACCTAGAAAGAGAAATGCTGGGTCCTGGAGCATATTCATTTCCAAAATGGCTATATCAATTTATAGTTCCCTCAGTAAGGTATAGTTTTCCATTGATCTATATTCACTCCAATAGTTAATATCAGCAGATTTATCTTTTAAATTTTGTGGATTTAGTGAATGTGTAATGTTATCGCTATTTTAATTTATGTTTCCTTGATTATCAATAAAATTTAGCACATTATCATAAAAAAGAAATAAAAAGACTTAGTCAATTGAAATCAGATTTTTACAAAAATCTGTGTATAATCTGACCACAGATCTGTGTATAATCTGACCCTAGGTAAAATTTGACCACAGATTATAATCTGTGTATAATATGATCTGCAAAGATGCCAGCAAACCACCAGAAGCCTGGTCTGCAAAGATGCCGGCAAACCACCAGAAGCAAGGTGAGGGGCATGGAACAGATCCTTCCCACCCAGTTCTTGAAATTGTCACCTAATGCTGCAAAACTATAGTTCATTGATCCTCTTCTGCTGTTTCTTCCCATCTTCTCTGACTTCTTTTCCTCCACCCCCCAAAAATGTCAGTGCCCTCAATTTTCTATCTAAAATCATTTTATATCTAAAATTATATAATAATATAAATATTATATAATTAGTTAAGACAAGGTCATACTGGAGCAGGGCGGGCTCCTAATCCAATATGACCCGTATCTTTACAAAGAGGGGAAATTTGAACAGAGACATCCACACAGCGAAAATGCCATGTGAACATGAAGACAGAGATTGAGACGATGCATCTATAAGCCAAAGATGCTGGCAAACCACCAGAAGTGAGGTGAGGGGCATGGAACAGATCCTTCCCTCACAGCCCTCACAAGGAACCAACCTTGGGACACCTTAATCTAAGACTTCCAGCCTTCAGAACTGGAAGACAATAAATGTTTGTTGTTTAAGCTGTCTCGTCTGTGGTACTTTGTTACAACAGCCCTAGCAAACTAATATATTCCCATTCCAAATTTAACAGTATTTTCTCTATATTCATCCACATTAACTTCTCACCTCAATTATAACAGTGGCTACCAAGTCCTTGAAATTCTCGCCTAATGCTGCAAAACTATAGTTCATTTCTCCTCTTCCACTATTTCTATCCTCTCTGACTTCTTTTCCTCCACCCTCCCAAAATGTCAGTGCCCTCAATTTTCTATCATTGTACTACTAATCATTTTCATTGTACTATTATCTACTAATAATCATTGTCATTATTAGTGGTAATAATTTTTAAAATGGTAGCTTTTATCAAGCAGTCATATGCTGGGCATCCTTCTAAATATTTTGCATATGTCATCTGATTTAATCCTCATAATCCCCTCCAAAGAAAAGGCTATATTACATCCCATCTTATAGATGAGAAAACTGAGGCTTAAAGAGGTTAAGTAACTTGTCTAAGGTCACACAAAGACTATGTGGCAGAGCTAGGATTCAAATTCAGGTCTGCCCTCTGAGCACAAAGCCACTTTCACATTGCCTCTCATTTTCTTCTGCACAGATAAGAGATCTCCCAACCTCCTCTGAAATCTTACCAAATTCTACCGGTTTATCTTTTTCTCAGTGGAACTGATCTCATATTCTATGTCTCAAAGCCATTTCCCTTCTGTACTCCAAGCCTGAATTTCTACCTGAACATTCTACAGATATCTCAAACTCCTCTTGACCAAAATGGAACACCTCCCATTTCCTTTCAAACATGCTTTGCCTCTGTACCTGCTATGGGTTCCACAATCTTCCCAGCCAACAGTGTTTGGAAATGTCATGGCATTTTAAAAATTCATCTCTGTCCATTGGCCCTTTTTACAATCAGTTGCCAAGTAATGTTGATAAGTGATGAAACACTTATTTAGGTTGCCCTCTCCTCTCCATTCCACCTGCCTGAACTATCCTAATAGTCACCTAATGTCTCTCCACATTTCATCCTTCCTTCCTCCCATCCATCCTATGTCCTATCACTGAATTCTCCTAAAACACTCTTCTCATCAGGTTATGCTCATTGCCTAAGAAATCAGATCCAAACTCCTTGCACAGATGATGAGGACCCAGTTGGATGTAGCCTCCGTCTATCTTTCCAGTCTCCATGCACCAAACAAAACTTCTGGCAGTTTCACACACACCCAGGCTTTCCTGCCATGGTTCCATCTGGGATGCCCTCTGCAACTCACATTCTTTTAGTTCAAATGCTCCCTGCTATAAAATTTTACTGTTGGATATATCTCCCTCTTCTGAACTCACTTACATTTTACTTCTACTTGAATCATTATCACTTTCCCCCCTCTAATTCAACTGTCTATGAGTCTTTTTTTGTTTCTCTTGTTTTCTTTTGTTTTTATTTTATTTTATTTTATTATACTTTAAGTTCTAGGGTACATGTGCACAACATGCAGGTTTGTTACATATATATACATGTGCCATGTTGGTGTGCTGCACCCATTAACTCGTCATTTACAGTAGGTATATCTCCCAGTGCTATCCCTCCCCCTGCCCCCTACCCAAAGACAGGCCCTGGTGTGTGATGTTCCCCACCCCGTGTCCAAGTGTTCTCATTGTTCAATTCCCACCTATGAGTGAGAACATGTGGTGTTTGGTTTTCTGTCCTTGTAATAGTTTGCTGAGAATGATGGTTTCCACCGTCATCCATGTCCCTACAAAGGACATGAACTCATCTTTTTTGTGGCTGCATAGTATTCCAGGGTGTATATGTGCCACATTTTCTTAATCCAGTCAATCACTGATGGACATTTGGGTTGGCTCCAAGTCTTTGCTATTGTGAATAGGGCCGCAATAAACATACATGTGCATGTGTCTTTATAGTAGCATGATTTATAATCCTTTGGGTGTATACCCAGTAATGGGATCGCTGGGTCAAATGGTATTTCTAGTTGTAGATCCTTGAGGAATCGCCACACTGTCTTCCACAATGGTTGAACTAGTTTACAGTCCCACCAACAGCATAAAAGTGTTCCTATTTCTCCACATCCTCTCCAGCACCTGTTGTTTCCTGACTTTTTAATGATCGCCATTCTAACTGGTGTGAGATGGTATCTCATGGTGGTTTTGATTTGCATTTCTCTGATGGCCAGTGACGATGAGCATTTTTTCATGTGTCTGTTGGCTGCATAGATGTCTTCTTTTGAGAAGTATCTGTTCATATCCTTTGCCCACTTTTTGATGGGGTTGTTTGATTTTTTTCTGGTAAATTTGTTTAAGTTCTTTGTAGATTCTGGATATTAGCCCTTTGTTAGATGGGTAGATTGCAAAAATTTTCTCCCATTCTGTAGGTTGCCTGTTCACTCTGATGGTAGTTTCTTTTGCTGTGCAGAAGCTCTTTAGTTTAATTAGATCCCATTTGTCTATTTTGGCTTTTGTTGTTATTGCTTTTCGTGTTTTAGTCATGAAGTCCTTGCCCATGCCTATGTCCTGAATGGTACTGCCTAGGTTTTCTTCTAGGGTTTTTATGGTTTTAGGTCTAACATTTAAGTCTTTAATCCATCTTGAATTAATTTTTGTGCAAGGTGTAAGGAAGGGATCCAGTTTCAGCTTTCTACATATGGCTAGCCAGTTTTCCCAGCACCATCTATTAAATAGGGAATCCTTTCCCCATTGCTTTTGTCAGGTTTGTCAAAGATGAGATGGTTGTAGATGTGTGGTATTATTTCTGAGGGCTCTGTTCTGTTCCATCGGTCTATATCTCAGTTTTGGTACAGTACCATGCTGTTTTGGTTACTGTAGCCTTGTAGTATAGTTTGAAGTCAGGTAGTGTGATGCCTCCAGCTTTGTTCTTTTTGCTTAGGATTGTCTCGTCAATGCGGGCTCTTTTTTGGTTCCATATGAACTTTAAAGTAGTTTTTTCCAATTATGTGGTGAAAGTCATTGGTAGCTTGATGGGGATGGCATTAAATCTATAAATTACCTCTGGCAGTATGGCCGTTTTCACGATATTGATTCTTCCTATCCAGGAGCATGGAATGTTCTTCCATTCAATTATTTGTCTATGAGTCTCATAATCCCCACCAGATTGTGAGTTTGTGGAAGGTGGGGGCAATGATTCATCTCAGAATTTGCCACAGCACTTGCCACAGCACTTAACACCTAGTATATGGTAGGTATTTATTGGCTTAATTTATTAAGTCTCTAAGTAAATGAATGTATTCGCCAAACTGACTGTTGGACTACTTGAAATTCACAGAGCTCAGAGCAGCTAAACCTTGAAAGTAGATAAAAATCACCAGGAGACCTGGCTCACCTGGGTCTCATTCTGATCCAGTCAAAGGTTGTCATTATGTACAGCAACCTTGCTTTTTGTCCCTGGGGAGCACTCCAGGCTAACCCATCCCACTGGCACCAAAGCCCTTTCCCATCATCCCCACCACACCCTGGAAGCTTAGAACATGTCATTATCCTCCCTCATATGTCAGTCCACAAGATGCCAAGTAGATCCCTAACACTCCTTGCAGTGATAACAAGATAACATAGTGACAAAGTACTTTGAACTTCACAGGTTCCATTCACCCTGCAGTTATGGCTATTACCGTGCCCAGAAGCCACCACCAGGGGGCTCCAGCATGTCTCTGAAACCTGGCTGTTCAGTAAGTCTATGAGAAAGACTGGAGGAAAACTCCGAAGTCTTAATTTCCATTCCCAAGACACAGAAATGCTGGACAATCCCAACTGACCCCCTCACCCGAGAGCACAGCCGGGGAGGGTCCCAGGGCCCAATGAGGAACAAGTGCTTGTCTTGTCCCTGCAGATTTGAGAATCCTTGGGTGAGAATTATGTGGATTTCAAGTTTTCTAGGAAGGACAGGGAAGGAGGACTGGAAAATCAGAGCTGGTAGTTCAAATTTTTAGTCAGATCTGGTTACTTTCTCCCAAGGCAAGTAACCCAAGAAAGTACCAGAAATCTTACACTAGCTCCACTATATTATGGTTTAGTAGTATTAGTGTCAACATTAACATTGTTGAAAAATACAATTGCAATTTTTTGAGCACATGCTATACAACAGGCATTGTACTTTTTTCTCTGTACATGATATCATTTGACCCTCACGTTGCCCCTGTGAAGAATTATGATTATTAGGAAACTAAGGTTCAGAAGAATAAGTGATATCCCAAGGTCACATGGCTTCTAAAGGCCAGACAGTCCAAGGCAGAGTGGAGCACATGAGCAAAGACACAGAAACAGGGAAAGCAAAGTATTCACAGTGCCCTACAAGCAGCTGGGTATTCTTGGAGAATAAAACAAGAAGGACATAGAGACAGAGACCACCTATCACAACACAGAATATACTGTTAGGCTAATGACTTTATCATGCAAATGACTGAAAGCCTTTGAAGAGTTTTAAACAGGAGAGTGACATGCCAGACTTATGTTTTAGGAACTGTGGCAGAGAATGGATCGGAGAAAATAAGACTGAAGGCAGGAAGACCAGATGGAAACTGTTGAAGTAATAAAGAAATGATGACAGCTTTGTGCCTTCTCCATCTCTTTTATATGGAGGGACAGCCCTGGAATAGAAAAATGTTTAGGAGGTAAAATCAGCAGGTCTTGGTGAAGTATTACATAAGGTGTCAGCCTACGGCATCTCCAGCCTATTCTCCCATGCCTTGGACTGACGTATACAATCATCTTGTAAATGACCCATGTCAAATTGTGCAGAGAATACATGAATGAACAAAGCAAAGTTTCTGATGACCTTCTAGTTGGAGCAGACAATACCAAATAAACAAGAAAAATATCCAACAGAGATAAGTGTTATGCAGACAATTAAAATATGGTGATGTGATAGGTGTCGGGCTCCTTTAGAATGAGTGGTCAGGGAAACCTCTCTGAGATGTCATTTAGACTTTCTAAGGCCATGTGAAAATCAGGGAAAGAAGTGGCTTACGAGGTTGAAAAAATCCAAAGCAGGCCAGTGAAGCTAGAATAGAATGGGCAAAGGAGAAAAGGGAATAAGGTAAGATTAGAGAGATCGGCCAGAGGCCAGATCACACAGGACTTTGGAAGTAAGGTTTGGGAACCTAGATTTTGAGTATCATGGGAAGCTTGTGGAAGGTTTTAATCAAGGGAATGACCTTATCTAATGTAAGTTGCTAAGTGATCTCCCTGGCTTCTGTATGAAAAATGAAGGCAGGGGAATAGCGAAAGCAGGGATAGTTGTTCCACTGAGAAATGATGGTGGTCTGGAGCAAAGTAAATGGATTACGGACCTCTTCTGATAGAGTAGAGTGGAAGGTAAGAGAGAGACGAATCAAGGGTGACTCTCTATTTTGGCTTGGGCAACAAGGATGGAGAAGCCATGAAGGAGCAATTTGACATGGAGAAATCAAGAGCTTTGTTTTGGACGTGTGGAGTTTGAGATGTCTACTAGAGACCCAAGGGAATATGCCAAGTAGGCAGCTGGAAATACAAGTCTGGAATTCAGGACAGAAAGTGCATATAGAAATGCACATTCCAGAATGATCAGCCTATAGTTGGCATTTAAAGTCAGAACACCAGCTGAGATTTCTTACTGAGTAAGAAAGAGCAGAGATGAGGCTGAGAAGTGAGCTCTGAGACATTCAAATATTTGGACGTCAGAAAAAAAAGAGGAGCTAGGGAAGAAGATAAGATGGAACAGCCAATGGGTGAAAAGAAGTCAAAGACTTCTGCAGTGTCCCCATAACCAAATGAAGAAAGTGGTCAAGAAAGGGAAAGGAACCAACTGTGTCAAATATCACTAAAAGTTCAAGTTGAAAGAGGACTGAGAACCAACCATCAGATTTTACAAGATGGATGCTATTAACGCATACGGAAAGAGATCTCAGGGGATTGGCAAGGACAAAGTTCAATAAGAGCAAATTAAAGGGAGAAAGGAAGTAAGGAAATGGCCTCAATGTCCCTAGGAGGAAAAACCACATGCCAGGGATGAGAACTCAGGGGTGGTATAGGGCTTGAGGAAGGTGGTGAAGGCTAAGGCAAGTAATGAGCTCTTGAAGGAGGAGCTAATCGCAGTGGCACAGTGTGTGTAATCTACACTTCTTCTAGCAGCAGGAGCAGCAGCCCAGAAGTAGGAGCTGAGAAGACAGAGGTCTCATACATCCAGAGTTAGTTTTCTGATGGATGAGTCCAGCCAAATGAGAGAAAGTGAGGGAACCCAGAGTTCTGACAAGGAAGTGGCTCAGATAATTAACCATGTGAGTTCACAAAGAAAAATGTGCAGGGCAGTACTTGTGGGATGGGACAAAAACAGGAGCCAAGGACTTGAGGACTCTTTGTGGAAGAAGAACAGGCAGGGGAGGAATGAGTACTAACAGAGCTGAATAAGAAGCTGGTCGGAAGGAGAGATTAAGGTAACAAGACCATGAGAAGGTCCTTAGCTAACTGGGAAATCAGTCCTGGAGTCACACTGGCAGCGGCTCCATCTTCGCGAAGAACAGGTTGGTACCAAGACTTGTCCCCAGAGCAGTCCTATTCCATTCATTGCATTTCCAGAGATTGACAATGCCAGGTGAGCTAACCATGCCTTTCACAACAGGTGGGTCCTGGGTTGGCTCTGCAGCAGTGTGCGTGCTCATTATAGGTAAGACCTGCCTGCAGGGCTGGAGGGGATTTGCTCCTGGCCTTCAGAACATCACGTTGTACATTCTTCCAAAGCAATGTCCCCTTGTGTTTTTGATGTTCCTAGAGACGCAAGCTTGGGTCCATGAACAATCTAAGAAAATCCTGGACTCAGAAATGCTTCTTCTTTTACACAGATGAGGTAGTGTTTTTGACCCAAATTATCTCCATTATGATAAACACCTTCCCTCAGACCTTAGCGCAAATAGATAAGCCCACTCCTCCACACATGCCCTGGCATACTTGGCCCGTAAATGGAAGATAGCTTTATTTCAAGGCAAAACCCTACTACACTGATATTTTTTTCTACTGTGTTGTGAGATATTGGGGAGAAATTGGGGATAAGAACAGTGCACCACTTCCACAGCACATAATAAGCACTCAGTAAATATTTTGTATTGGAATGAATGAATGGACACAATTTAGAAAACAGGGAAACAAAAGAGAAGAGAAAAGAAAGAGGTACCAAAACTTTTAGAAAAAAATTAAAACATCGTCTTTTTTTTTTTGAGACAGAGTCTCATTCTTGCCAGGCTGGAGTGCGGTGATGCGATCTCGGCTCACTGCAACCTCTGCCTCCCGGGTTCAAACGATTCTCCTGCCTCAGCCTCCCAATTAGTTGGGACTACAGGTGCATGCCACCATACCCAGCTATTTTTTTTTTTTTTTTTGGATTTTTAGCAGAGACAGGGTTTCACCATATTGGCCAGGATGGTCTCGATCTCCTGACCTCATGAACCGCCTGCCTCAGGCTCCCAAAGTGCTGGGATAACAGGTGTGGGCCACCATGCCCGGCCAAAACATAGTCATTTTTACATTTGCCAAAAATCCCTCTTTGTAAACTATCAAGGAACAATTTTTTTACTATTCACTCAACTATTTCCTATAAATAAACACAGCCACACTGAGGATTATTACTTTTTTAAAAAACTTTTTTTTTTTTTTCTGAGACAGAGTCTTGCTCTGTTGCCCAGGCTAGAGTGCACTGGTACAATCTCAGCTCACTGCAACCACCGCCTCCCAGGTTCAAGTGATTCTTGTGACAGCCTCCCAAGAAGCTGGGATTACAGGCATGTGCCACCCACCTAACTAATTTTTGTATTTTTAGTAGAGACAGGGTTTCGCCATGTTGTCCAGGCTGGTCTGAAACTCCTGGCCTCAAGCAATCTGCCCACCTGGATCTCCCAAAGTGCTGGGATTACAGGAGTGAGTCACCGTGCCTGGCCTTAGAAACTTCTTTTCTAGAAAAGTAGTCAACTAACATTAGTATTTTCTACTTTTACTCAAAACGGAGGTCAGCTACCATTGCTTTATCTATATTAGCTGACAATTCAGTGTTAACACCTCGAGAGATACAGAAACAATATAAATGTTCATCAATGGATACATAAGTAAAATGTAGTATATAAATATAAAGGAATACAATTCATCCTGAAAAAAGAAAGCGAGCCTGTTATTTGCTGCAACATGGGTGGATCTAGAGAACATTATGCTACATGAAACAAGCCAAATGCAGAAAGACAATCACTTATATGTGGAATCTAAAATAGTCAAACTCACAGAAGCAGGGAGTAGAATGGTGGCTGTCAGGGGCATGGTGGAAAGAGGAAAATGAGGAGGTGATGGCCAAAGGATACAAAGTTTCGGCTATGCAAGATAAATAAGTTCTGGAGATCTACTACATAGCATAGTGCATATAGTCAATAATACTGTATTATATACATACAATTTTCTTTTTTTTAAAATTTTTACAGAGTTGGGGGTAGAAGTGCAGTTTTGTTTCATGGATATATTGTTTTGAAGTTTGAGCTTTTAGTGTACCCATCACCCACATAGCGTACACTGTACCTAAAAGGTAATTTTTATCCCTCATCCCCTACATTCAACTCTATGGCCATGTGTACACATTGTTTAGTTTCCACTTATAAGTGAGAATGCATGGGTTTTTACTTTCTATTTCCATTCATGTTGCTGCAAAAGACATGATTTCATTCTTTTCATGGCTGAGTAGTATTCCATGGTGTGTGTATATGCTATATACATAGTATTCCATATTCCACATTTTATTTATCCAATCCTCTGTTGACGGACACTTTATGTTAATTCTATGACTTTGCTATCGTGAATAGTGCTGCAATAAACATATGATTGCAGGTGTCCTTTTATATAATGATTTCTTTTCCTTTGGGTAGATACTCTGTAGTGGAATTGCTAGAGCTAATGGTAGTTCTATTTTCAGCTCTTTGTGAAATCTCCATACTGTTTTCCACAGAGGGTGTACTAACTTACATTCTCACCAACGGTGAATAAGTGTTATATTTTCTCTGCATCCTTGCCAACATCTGTTGTTTTTTTACTTTTTAATAATAGCCATTCTGATTGATGTAAGATGGTATCTCATTGTGGTTTCACTAAAATGACCTTAAAGCAATCTACAGATTCAGTGTGATTCCTATCAAATTACCAATGTCATTTTTTGCAGAATTAGAAAAGACAGTTCTAAAATTCATATGGAGCCAAAAAAGAGCCCAAATAGCCAAGCAATTCTAAGCAAACAGAACAAAGCAGAGGTACCACATTACCTGACTTCAAATTATATTACAAGACTACAGTAAACAAAATAACATGCTACTGGTATAAAAATAGACACATACATCCATGGAACAGAATAAAGAACTCAGAAATGAAGACACATACCTACAATCAACTGATCTTTGACAAAGTCAACAAAAATATCCATAGGGGAAAGAACACCCTATTCAATAAATGGTGCTGAGAAAACTGAATAGCCACATGCAGAATAATGAAACTGGACCCATATCTTTCACCATACACAAAAATTAACTCAAGATGAATTAATTACTTAAATGTAAGACCTGAAATTATAAAAATCCTAGAAGAAAATGTAGAAAAAATGCTTCTGGACATTGGCCTAGGCAAAGAATTTATTTCTAAGACCTCAAAAGCAAATGCAACAAAAACAAAAATAAGCAAATGGGACTTAATTAAACTAAAAAGCTTCTGCACAGCAAAACAAATAATCAACAGAGTAAAGAAACAACATACAGAATGGGAGAAGAAATAATTATTTCATCAGCCATAACTACCTCCTTGCTTTTCAGAAAGAGAAGAAAACAAAAACAGGCAAATGGCCAAAAAAAAAAAAAAAAAAAAACAGGCAAAAAAAAAAATTAGGTAAATGGGACTTAATGCACAGCAAAAGAAATAATCAACAGAGTAAAGAGACAACCTACAGAATGGGAGAAAATATTTGCAAACTATGCATCTGACAAAGGACTAATATCCAAGCTCTATACAGAACCCAACCAACTCAACAGGAAGAAAACAACCCCAGCAAAAAATGAGCAAAGGACATGAACAGACAGTTTTCAAAAGAAGACAATCAAGCGCACAAAAAAACATGAAAAAATGCTCAACATCACTAATTATCAGAGAAATGCAAATATATACATATAATTTTCTAAGGAGGTAGATCTCATGTTGTGCTCTTACCACACAAAAAAATAATAATTACAAAGGGGGCTGGATAAAACTTTAGGAGGTAGATGAATATGTCTATGGCCTTGAAAGGTAATAGTTTCACAAGTGAATACTTATCTGCAAACTCATTGAGTTATATACCTTAAGTATATACAGCTTTTTACATGACAATCATACCTCTACAAAGTGATTTGAAAAAAATAATAAATTGATGTTTCTCCATTTCCTCAGCATATTTTCTAAATTTTATAACAAAAATACATGCTAAAATTCAAAGTTATGTATGTATGTGTATGCTTGTGTGTTTACATTGTGCTGTTTTATTTTCTTAATACAAAATAATACAACTATAAAAACTGAAAAACTCTGCTTTAAAATTTAGATTAGCTCATATTCCTGGGTAATTTCTATGATTAAACCCTGTCCTTCGTCTTGGTTTTTATTTTCGCTGAAGTCTCTTTAAAAATATTAGTATCACGTCCACTTTTTGAGAAAAAGGACGAATTCAATTTTGTCTGAATATATTTTATCTCATTTGTTTTTTGCGATTTGATAAAAACATATTTTTCCTCTAGCTATTATCACAAGAATGGTAGTCATTATACCTGAGTCTTCATTTTTGTCTTCTATAAGGCTCACAGTCTCCAAAACATTTTTAGGAGTCACGAGTTTCATCACCAGCATTCAGCATATTACAAAATACACTCTAAGCCCCTTTCAGCCATGACCTACTTCTTCCAGGCAAACTCTAACCCAGATGCTGTTCATCCAAATCTTCTCTTTCTGAAAAGCAAGGAGGTGGCTATGGCTGAAGAAATAAAGAAATCTTCTGCCTGACTGGCTTCCTCTTGGGTGCCCATATGGCTTCTGATTCTCTGAGAGGATCTGAAGTTGCTCTGAGGAAGATGGCTATACCGTCAAACTGTTTCTCCACTTAAGATCTCTGCCCAACTTCTGCAGAATCACTGAAATAGTGAATTCCTTCTCCACTTCCACCCCTGACATATTTGGGAGTTGCTAAAGACAAATAACTGCAGTGACTACTGTGACTATTGGTAACAAGCCCTGATTTTAGAGGGAAAAAAAGAGGGGCTTTTGAGTTAGAAAAATCTCTTGACTGTGATCAAAACTGCTGTCCATTTTTTTCAGGGCTTATCATGCCTATTTGAGAAGCTCTCTTATCTGTCAGACTCTCCACCCAAAATTCATCTTGCAAGTTACATGTTTTCAATTCAAGCACAGATGGACTGGATGACAAAGGAGGCTCTATGTTATGAGGACAGCTGTTTATTTCAGGGAGGGCAACTCCTAATACAAGGCCTACAATGATTTCCTTGTGTGCCTTTTTTTGCTTTTGGAATTTGCTAGGATCCCATCATCAAAACAGTATGAAGCAGTTTTAAGATCTTCATTGCAATTATCTCTGGAAATACTGGTTACCTGGTGTTCGCTGTCTTTACTGCAGCAGACAAGCATATATAAATACATACACAGCTCCTTTGGCCTCATCTTGATCTTACTTTTCTTGAGAGAAATGGGATTTCTGCAAAATCTTTTATAAGTTAAGTCTGACAATGAGTCTTAACTTTTTAAATGTGCTTTTCTCTTCTTCTTTCCTTTCTTGTCAATAATGGACAAGAATGAACATGAAAGAGAAAAAGCTTGATCCCGATGAATGTCTTTTTTGGTAGCTTTGATTTTGCCTAGATCCTTTTTGTCATGTTTAGGATGTTTTTAGAAGTTTTATTATTTTTATAAAACGAGGCATTGGGATGTTTGAGATTTTTTAAAAACATTCATGTTTTCTGAATATAGTGTCATGTCTTAATTTTTCTTATACAGCTGAAGCATATTTTGATGATCCATGTGATTTTCTAGCTTTATCTTTTATGTGATGGTAACTTGTTCTTAATTTTTCTTTACAGACATCAGAGTTCTCAAACTGGTGCTTACCTGCTTGCAACTGATGATACTTAAAATAAGACAGACTACAGCAAGCTCAATTCTTCCATATAATAAACATTTAAGTGGTCACTATATGCACACAGTCCTACACTAGATGCCATCTATTGTAATATCTTAAGGAATTTAGTTGGGGAAGGAAAGATATAGGTCCTTGGAAGAAAAAATCAAGGCACTATATCAGCAATTACATAACAGGTGGTCAGATCAAAGATGGCCATAACTAAAAGTAAATCTATATTATTTTAGTAACATTACACATAGTGCAACAATTTGACTATAATACAAGTAGTATTGGATATGTCTAGTGAAACCGTAAGATGATTCAGCTGTAGCTAGGAGTGACAAGATGTACTTTAGTTAGAAATGGTAACTTTCTTAAGCATATGCTTCCCAAACAAAGTACAGAATGTGATTTGATTTTTTTTTCTTTTACAGAGGGTGTCTCACTATATTGCTGGCTGGGCTCAAGCAATCCACCCACCTCAGCTTCCCAAGGAGCGGGGAAGTACAGGCGTGTACCACGGTCAAATCATAAACAGCTTACGATTTGACTTTTAAGCAGAATTTTTTTTTAAGTTTCTACTGCCAAGTTGCCAACTTAGTGAATTTTAAAGAAGAGAATGCTTGTTTGATGAGAATATCATCTCATCAAAAAGGTATATAATGTTTTGAGTAGGAAAGCAGAGAATCAATTATGAAACGTCATCTAGGGACCATGTGTCAGGAGAAAAACCATTTTAAAACTACAGACACAAGTCACGAAAAATTAAAGAAGCCAATTTACAATAACAGCTGTATCTATCTAATAACACATCATAAAACCAACAAAGCCATGTTCTGCTGATAAGGTACAAGTAAATATCTACATAAACTTTTCCCTAGAACTGCATATTATCCATAATAGCAATTTACATTTGTATAGTGTGTTTCTGCTTTCAAAATGTTTTCACATTCCATACCAATAAATGAAAAAGAATGTTGTGCAGTGTGCCAGATGCAGCTGTAGTGCAAATTGAGGGGGAAAATGTCTGGACCATTAGGCAGTGGTTGCAGTTCAGGATAGCTCTGTCTTTGGCACGTTGTGCTTTATGAAGATAAACCCCAGATTATGAAGCTGGGTTCCAATCAAAACAAAAATCAAACAAGGCTGAGAGGACCAATTAAAAGACAAGGCAAGAGAAGCATATCCTGCTATGATTTGAATCACACTTCTAACCACTGACCTACACAGTACCAGGGAAGGAATAAAAATAGAACATAAGTCTGGTTCCACCAGTTAATTTAAATTGCTTATAATTTCACCTTTAAATCGGCCACTCCAACTCATCAGGGTTGGCAACAAATAAAGTGTGATTTACAAAAAGAACCTAGTAGGAAGGAGAGAGAGAAAAGCTATGCACCAACATACTAAGCCAGGTGGAATCACTCTATACAAAGGTAAACAGAACTGATCCCGGAAAACAACAACAACAAAAACCTGTTAAGTGAAGTGGGCTAAGGCGACCTTCCTTTAGGAGTCACTCCTTTCTTAGACTCTTTCTCACTGCCTTTCCTCCTATTTTCTCTGGTCTTCCCCACCCCAACCATTCACACTCCCCACTTCCAGGCCTTAGAAACAGGAAAAGATCTTCAGTGTGAATCAGTTGAGGTCAGATACTCCTAACCAGAACTTAACACATTGAATCAGGTGTCCGGAAATGAACTTAGAAGTCTTTTCCCCCCTAATGTTTCGCCCTCTGCATCAATTGTCTTATAATAATTCCTACACATGGAGCCCAGACTCTGAGTAAACACGTTCCCTGACTGTAAATCAAGGCCTCCTGGGGCAGCTCATTCCATTTCTGGATTGTTCTAATCATTAAAATCTTCTCAGTTGTGCTAGCCAAAATTAGCCCCCTACAGTTTCTCCTCACTTGAGAAACATAAAACAAGTCCTTCTCCTCCTGGCAGCCTTTCACTTTGTTTGAAGGCAGCTGTCCTCCCCACCAAGTGCTATGTCCCTGCAGTTTAACTATGCCTAAATGCCCCTCATAGGACAGGATTTATAGGCTCCTAACCATATTGGTTATCCTCTCTTGAACATGTTGCAGTTCAACAAAGTCCCTGTTCAAAAATGTCACCCAGAATAGAACACAATATTGCAAGAATGGCCTATATATGGAATGAAAGCCTTTATCCACTGTTGAAAAAACTGAGCCTTCAAGAACCAAGGATCACAAAAACAAGAGAAGGGTTTGTGTTGTTGTTGTTGTTGTTGTTGTGTTATCAGAGGGTTTTTTCATATGGGAGTAGGAAGGAGGGCTTCACCATGCTTTTCATTCTGTGATTCTGGAATTAAATTTTTAAAAAATAAAAATGAGAGTTGGCTTTCAAGATTCTCTGCTGGGGATTTTTGAAGAAACAAATGAATAAGATACAGCCTTGAAAGAGTCCACATACCTGGCACATATACACCATGGAATATTATGCAGCCATAAAAAATGATGAGTTCATGTCCTTTGTAGGGACATGGATGAAATTGGAAATCATCATTCTCAGTAAACTATCGCAAGAACAAAAAACCAAACACCGCATATGCTCACTCATAGGTGGGAATTGAACAATGAGATCACATAGACACAGGAAGGGGAACATCACACTCTGGGGACTGTTGTGGGGTGGGGGGAGGGGGGAGGGATAGCATTGGGAGATATACCTAATGCTAGATGACGAGTTAGTGGGTGCAGCGCACCAGCGTGGCACATGTATACATATGTAACTAACCTGCACAATGTGCACATGTACCCTAAAACTTAAAGTATAATAATAAAAGAAAAACAAAAACAAAAAAAGAGTCCACATACCATTGCCCGCCCATTGTCCTCACCCCGTGTGCATTACAATCACATTGGGCTTTTGGATGAGGCAAGTCTTATGTGAGTCTTCTTTTAGAGTAACTTGTCGGGCATAAAGTACCCACAGATGAGCTTGACCTGGCGCCAGAATAGTTGTTTATTCCCCGGAAATGTAAAAGTGTTTCCTACCCTGACATTGCCCCCCATCCTCCAACCACATCAGTCTGGCTCTTGTACACTGGGTACCCTCTTCCCAGTCCTTCCTGCTCCTCAGAACGATAGACTTCTCTCTCTGCCCAGATACCCAGCCACTACACATCTAGTATCCAGTCTCTTGGACCCTGAGGGCTTGGAAAGAAAATGTGGGCTTCACCAGTCTCCCTGCGGACTGCGAGCGCCAGAACACAGAGCAGCTTGCCTCCTTTCCCAGAGAATCCCGAGGATCTTGCCTTCATTCTCTTTGCTTTAACACCTGTTTGGTGCTGAAGGGCTGGGAGGTTTGCAGCCACGATCCTGTGATTAACGATACCGGAGCTGAAGCTGTGAAACTTCACCAGACTGCCCTTTATAGACTTGCAGGACGGAAGTCTTGGGGAGCATTCCTTTTATGGGTGACAGAATGAAGGAAGCCCAGAAAGTTAACTGACTCATTCGAGATGACAGAGGACCGCAGTGATAGAGGAAGGACTATCTCAGTTCCCAGCTCAGCACCCCTTTCGCTGGAGGGCCTTATTAATTAACATCATCTAAATACTTTCTGTGTATTTTTAAGAAGTGGCTTTGGCTCTATCTATTCCACTTACTATTTTAACAAAGACGGTCCCTAAAAATGAAATGCCCACCCCACTTAGGTACAGCAGATCTTCCCTTCGATGCCTAACTGCATATGGAAAAGCTGGCCTCACCACATCCTCTTCCTGCAGAGGGCGAGGACTCGCAGGACAAAACTTGGTTTCCTTCCATTCTCTGCTCCTCGGGAGGGCCTGGGCTCGCTAGGTGTAGAACAAGGAGAAAGGGGTAGAGGGGAAGAGTCGGGTCGAACCCCAGCGAGGGACCCGGCCTTCCCTGGAGGAGAGGATCGTACTCGCGCCAGGAGTATGGACTCACCCAGGGAGTGCTTGGGCGGAGAAGCAGCCTCTGCTCCAGGCCTTCCGCTGCGGCACCTAAAGAGGCCGGGCGGCCCAGAGGCCCGCAAGCCACGCCCCCTTCCAGGCCCCGCCTCCGTTTGGCCACTCCCCTTGCTGTCAGCTCTTCCACCAGTTCCTGCCCCTGCCCCTTTCCTCCCACGCATCCGCACCCGAGCAGCCCCACCTGCTAAGCCACGCCCCCTGTCCTGTGCTGTCCTGCACTCCCAGGTGCCCCACGCTTTCCCACCCTCCCAGTCAACCGGCGCAGGGAGCCTCATCATTATTAGTGCGTGGACAATCACATGTAACAAAATGAGCTAACGTGCAGTTATCTACCAGGTGCCAGGCTCTGTCCTAAGTGTTCTACACATAAACGTTAAGTTACCAGTATTGTGCTTATTTTATAATTGGGAGACTGAGACATAGGTTGGTTAAAAAGTTTAAGACTTTTGGCTGGGCGCGGTGGCGCAAGCCTGTAATCCTAGCACTTTGGGAGGCCGAGGCGGGTGGATCACGAGGTCAGAAAATCGAGACCATCCTGCCTAACACGGTGAAACCCTGTCTCTAGTAAAAATACAAAAAATTAGCTGGGCGTGGTGGCGGGCGCCTGTAGTCCCAGCTACTCGGGAGGCTGAGGCAGGAGAATGGCGTGAACCCGGGAGGCAGAGCTTGCAGTGAGCAGAGATCGCGCCACTGCACTCCAGCCTGGGAGACAGAGTGAGACTCAAAAAAAAAAAAAAGTTCAAGACTTTTTAAAAATAAAATGTGGTGTATCCATACAGTGGAATACTATTCAACAATAAAAAGAAATAAACTACTGATGCACTCAGTAACATGGCTCAATCTCAAAAACACCATGCTATGTGAAAGAAGCCAGACACAAAAGAGAACACACTAATTCCATTTATATGAAAATCTAGGAAAGGCAAAACTCTAGTGACAGAAAACAGAGTAGAAGTTGCCTAGGACCAGAGATGGGACAGAAAGGAACTTTTTGGAGCAAAGAAACTATTCCAAAACTTGATTGTGATGGAGGTTGTACACATCCCCACTGCACATTTACCCAAACTAATTAAAGTGTACACTTAAAAATGGGTGATTTATGTGGTAGGCTGAGTATACCTCAATGCACTGCAAACAATAATTATTATAAAAGGGAAGAGGAACAAAAGGGAATCCTGGGAACACCAAGGATAAGTAGACAATGAGACAACAGGAAAGGAGGAGAGGAGAAGTCGGAGAGATGGAAGAAGGAAGACAGCAAAGACGCCAAGTGAGACGCCCGCACCTGGTGCATCGTAGTTGCAGGATAACGACTTGCTGAATGCAAGGTGGAGCCGTGTCCCTAGGAGGGAAGTGCTCAACAGGTCACAGAGAAGTTGTGGAGGATGAGAACTCTAAAGAGGCCACTGGAGGCTGGGCGTGCTGGCTCACACCTATAATCCCAGCACTTTGGGAGGCTGAGGCAGGCAGATCACCTGAGGTCAGGAGTTCAAGACCAGCCTAGCCAACATGGTGAAACCCAATCTCTAACAATAATACAAAAAAATTAGCCGGGCATGGTGGTGCACACCTGTAATCCCAGCTACTCGGGAGGCTGAGGCAGGAGAATTGCTTGAACCCGGGAGGCAGAGGTAGCAGGGAGCCGAGATCGTGCCACTGCCCTCCAGCCTGGCCAGGCGACAGTGAGACTCTGTCTCAAATAAATAAATAAATAAATAAATAAAGTTAATTTAATAAAGTTCATTTGTATGAAAATATTTTGAAATATTTTTAATAGTACTTGACCAATGGCTTCCAAAAGGGAGTTAATAATGATCTGTCCAGTGTTCTCATCTTTTGAGATACAGGCTCATGACCTTGGAAGGGTGGCAATCATAGAAGATATGTCCTCTGCAGTGTGAAGTTTCTGACACTGGTTTACATGAGTATGATTAGCAGTGTACTGTGGTATTCAGTGAAGCTGGCCAACAGTGTAAGCATTCCAAAGTTCATGCTTTGGCCTGGAGGACCTGAGTCACAATGACTGACGCAAGACAGTATTGCCCAGAAGTTATGGGCTGGTGGGCTGATTAATGGTCTCAGCATGAAGCTTTGGGTCTCTAACCCTGACAGATCATTAGCTCCCAGCAAATGTCCAGCCTCTGAAGGTCGTGGTTATTATTACAAACCAATAGATACATGAATTACATAAAACAAAGCAAATGACCTTTTTATGTGCTAGGGATATTTAAAAACTAAGCTGTATATTTCCGTGAATACAGAGTCTGTTTGGAGCATAAATCTTTGCTGAACTTTCACAAAGCAAAAGCAGAGACTGAAGAACCATACTTCACTGTTAATGTCTCATTAAATTTTAACCACTGCAGTCATGGTTAAGGAGATATTTTTATTATAATCCAGCATTTTCAGGACCTTACAATTTAACTTAGTTCCACATTCTCTTTTGGTGAATTAATTATTTTTATATTGGTCTCTCACTCAAGAAATATGAATGTTTGAAGTTTGATAAAACTTAATCAGTACTTAAGGTAATTTAAATGTTAGAAAAGAGAAAATCCTCACATACAGAGTAATATATTATTATATGGGGAAACTATTAAGCCCCTATTGGGAACAAACATTGTTCAGCCTCTGTTTCTCTGTTGAGTACAGTATGTTTCAGTGAAAAATACATACGGTACCACCATAAACTGGTGGTATGTAAGGCCAGGCACTGTGGCTCACACCTGTAATCCCAGCATCTTGGGAGACCGAGGCAGGCAGATTGCTTGAGCTCAGGAGTTCAAAACCAGCCTGGGTAACATGGTGAGACCCTGTCTCTACCACAAGTACAAAAATTATCCAGGTGTGGTAGCACATGCCTGTGATCCCAGCTACTCAGGAGGCTGAGGCGGGAGGCAGGAGGATCGCTTGAGCCCGGGAGGCAGAGGTTGCAGTGAGCCAAGATCACGCCACTGCACTCCAGCCGGGGTGACAGAGGGAGACCCCATCTCAAAAATAAAACAAAACAAACAAACAATCAGAAACTCTATAGTATGTGAAAAGGAAACCAAAAGCACTACTGGAATCATTGTCTACTTGTTTAGTTCTACTTTACCTGGGGGTCGGGGGGTTGGGCTAACAAAAAGGGACAAATGAAAACAGGGTAGACGGCAACAATTCCACTAATAAGGACCACGTTAGTTACTGGGATGGGGCTGGGGATCAGAGCTCCTTGGTACTAAGGCCCAGAGGGAAACTTCATAACCAGATGTAACTGTCATCAGAAAGGGGAAAATGTGGGAGGTCCTTCAGGAAAACAAACTATTGAAGTTTAGAAGCCTGTTAAAGTTTAATCATGTCCCATTCTCTTTGGCCATTAGACTGTGGTACCTTAGTGACACTTTGTTATAGACTGAATTGTAGCCCATCAAAATGAGTATGTAAAAGCCCTAACTCACGATGTGACTGTTTCTGGGATAAGGCCTTTAGGAGGGAAATAAAGTTAAATGAGGTCACAAGCATGGGGCCCTAAGTTGAAAGGACGATGGCCTTATAAGATAAGGAAGAGAGAACTGTCTCTCTTCCTCTTGTATCCCGCCCCAGAAATGGCCCCCTCTTGTGAACACACAGCCAGAAGGCAGCCATCGGCAAGCCAGGAAGACAGCCCTCACTAGAACTTGACCATGCTGGCACCTTGAGCCTATACTTCTAGCCTCCAGAACTGTGAGAAAATAAATTTCTGTTGTTTAAGCCACCCAGTATGTGGTATTTTGTTATGGCAGCTGAGCAAACTAATGCACGCTTAGACATAATCCATGCAGTCACCCTTAAGACATGAGTACACTGTACAGTCAGATGTCAGGCAAACTGGGTCTGCTGCTGGCACTCTATTTCCTTCCATGGCTTGTCAATGTAGATGACAGCAGGATCTGGTTAGGTGTCTTTACCTGTCCTATAAACTGCAAGATAATAATAAACACATAAATAAACAAGACTCTTCCTTTATGTCACACAGTAAAGTCACAAGTTCTCTTTAACAAGCTATACGGTGAGCCTATTAAATCAGTTTGTTTTTAACAAATAAAAAAGATGGGGTGTCTTACACAGATGCACAATAATAGGAGGCTGATAAATTATGATGCTTTGACTACATCACTATAAACTTTGCTTTAGGAAATTTTGAAAAATATATGCGATATAATATTAAGTAAAAAGTTAAAGAAGACATTCTGTGATTACCATGACTTAAAAACTATAAAGATAATGTAAAAATGAAAATAATTCTAATACATGGTTGAAATGCAAATCAATTTTTCCCTACATTTTGATTTTGTGCATGTTGCAAAATGTTCTTTTTTATTATTTACAATTTAAAAAAATAAATTCAAAAGCACCTGTGGGTATCTTCTGTGGAGAACTGTCTTTTACTGTCAAATTGACGGTGCCTTTTATTAGTTATTGAAAATTCCAATTGTAATTAAAGTTTCATTTGATTGCTAGTACTGTCATCTTAAATACACAGAGTCAAAATTGACTAAATCAAGCCGACCAAATGTTTCAATTTTAATGAGATCTGAAAGTTCTAATTTAGCAAAATACCTTCAAAAGACTTGCTCAAGTTGAATATTGTGGTAATTAGATATATTCATCTCACTATAAACATCAAGATTGTCCAATGCAAGATAAAAAGGAGATGGTATTCTTTTAAAAAAAAAATAAAATAAAAAGGAAAGTATTCAACCCTCACGAAAACTGGATCTTGATTGCTAGGTATGAGTGGATAACAAAGGCCTCAACATTGATTCATTCATTTATTCAATTCACATTCACTAATCACTTAAAGGACAGTGATTTAAGGCACAGGCTGGAGAGCCGGATTGTCTGGGTTTAAATATCTACTGCATCACTTACTAGAGTTCTGATCCTGTGTATTAGTCAGGATGAGTTAGGTTTGCTATGATAACATATCAAAACCCAAATCTCAGTGGCTTAAAACATCAAGGTTTATTTCCTACTCGTGCTACATGTTCATGTGGAGGAGAGGGAGCTCTGCTCCACAGAATCACTCAGGAATCCAGGATTATGGAGACTCTAATGTCTTGCAACTACATATGTACTTCAACTCTTTTGAGCACTGGAGGGTCTCATATCAGCAGTTAAATGCTAAGGCAGAAAAGTGGCCCATAGCACAGAAGTGACACATATCAATTCTACTCATAGCTTATTGACCATTACTAGTCACAAGGCCACCTAACTGCAAGAGGGTAGGAAAGTGATCCTCCCACATGCCTGGAAATAGAGGAGACCCAGGGGAGGGTGAGCACTAAAAGCCTCTATGGCATCTCAAGCAAATTACTTAATCTCTTTGTGGCTCTATTTCTTCATCTGTAGAGTGAAGATAACAATAGTGTCTATCTGATAGTGTTATTGTAAGGATTAAGTTATTATGCATAGAGCACTCTGAACTAAGGGCTAAGCAGTTGGGACAAAAAGAGGAATTAGATAGGTCTGTCCTCCTTGGAAGTTTACATATTAGTGGAGAACATAAACATACATCATAATTCAACAGGAAATCTGATTATTATCACTTGGGAAACTGCCTTAGTTCTGATTCTCCAGTAACACAGAAAGGCAGAGCAGCATGGGAAAGTGGAACACATTAATTTGCAAACAATGGAGTTGGGCAAATGTTGATTTGACTCTTGGCTCTGCCGCTTACTGGCTATGACTTAGACAAGTAACTTAATCTTTCTAAGCCTCAGTATCATTCTCTGTAAAAAAGTGAACTTAAAAACATTCACCTGTGGTTAATTACGAGGATTAAATGTGAATCAGGTACAATATGAAACATGTAGTTCAATCAACAGGGCTACTGTTTTGAATATACTATTAAGCACTCTAGACAGAAACCATTTCTGCTGTTTTATTTATTTCAAGTCAATAAACATGCATAGAGCCCCTCTGTGTCTACCCAGACTTACTGGGGAATATGAATTTAGCTAGTTTTTCTTATTGAGGTCACATCAGTTTAAAACAAGAAAAATAAAAAGAAAACCAAACACAACACACAAAAACCTACATGATCCAGAACAATGCAGTTTTTAATCTAACCCTCCCCATCTTCCTGCTTCTCTTCTCTCCAAAATCCAGCCCTACCAAGACTCTTCACAATTATTTTGCAAGTCCCCAAAGAGCACCTCATGATTTCCTCAAAAACTAGTTCTCTTTGCTTCTGCCTTCAGCTTCCTGCACTGAGCCACGCCAGAGGGCTCTTCAGCTCCCAGTAGCTCCACAGCCCCAGAAGGTATTGCAGTTGCCGCTCACAGAAATGTGTGAGATGGGCTGGGTGTGGTGGCTCACACCTGTAATCCCAGCACTTCAGGAGGCTGAGGCGGGTGGATCACTTGAGGTCAGGAGTTCGAGACCAGCCTGGCCAATATGGTGAAACCCCGTCTCTACTAAAAAATACAAAAATTAGCCGGGCATGGTGGGGGTGCGCCTGTAGACCCAGCTACGTGGGAGGCTGAGACAGGAGAATTGCTTGAACCCGGGAGGCGGAGATTGCAGATTGCGCCACTGCACTCCAGCCTGGGTGACAGAGAGAGACTCTGTTTCAAAAAAAAAAAAAAGAAAGAAATGTGTGATGTGGTCCTGATGGGAAGATGGGATGCTCTGTTATAAATGTGCTGACATGGACATCTTTTAATTAACTTTTAATTTATCAATCTTTTATTTTGCATAATTGTGCAGATGTTAGCACAGTCAGAATGAGTATTCACTTTAGCCAAAAGCTAACTTGCAAATACCCAACCAGATGACCCCACTTGTATTACAGGTTTGAAAAAAAAAAAAAAACAAACTTCTAACACCAAAAAAAGATAAACAGCTGGTATTTTCCTTTAATGTGAATTTCTAATAAATAGTTACCCATGTGCTGATGCGTGATGTAATCCCAAATATCCTATGGCCAATCAGTAAACATACAGCAATCATTTTCAACATAGCTATAAATTAACAATAATTAACTTTATTGAAATATTTTCAAGAGAAATAGAATAAAGCTTCATAAGCCACTATCCTGGGTATGACACTTAAGAAGCCAAGAACACAAGAGGAGCTTGAGCCAAAACGTTCTCCCTCTCTAGTCCATTTAACTTCTCATAACTAGTAGGAGCTCAGGGAGGGGTATTTATGCCCTCCCCTTGCTCTATCTCTGGGCACTGTGACTACCAGAAACCCATATGTGGCTTTGTTCTGAAACCCAGAGACACCTCTTCCACAGTACAATGCTGCTAGAGGGAAGAGTCGTCAGCCTTTGGTTGAAGCTCAGCTGCTTAAGGCACCCCTTCCCTACCCATGTACCTTGCCTCAGGCTTTCTCCCTGCTCCTGCCCCTAGAAGCCTGGAGTGTCTGCTTCTCTGCCTCTCTTGTCTCAGTCAAGTCCACAGTCTTTCTCCTTCCTCTCTCCCTGACAGGCAGCATGGAGGACTCCCCAGAGGAGGTGAGCCTCAGTGGACCCTGCTAGGGTGAGGCTGTGTCTTCTTCAGCTGGGGACCAGGTCCTTCAACCAACCAAGTTACCTGATCTAGGGCATTCTCTGCTTCCTTTCTGTTCTAGCAAGACATGTCTAGTTAGAGCTGCATATTTTTTCCCTTGACCTCTTTTCTGAGAAGTACGAAGTGTGTGTGTGTGTGTGTGTGTGTGTGTGTGTGTATGTGTGTGTGTGTGTGTATTTTAGAGCAATGTCTAGTCCTGTTTCTCAATATGTATTTATACTATGTTCAACTATATGTTCAATTATTCATTTTATAATTAAATTTTCCTCATTGTGAGACACAATCTTTCATTTACAAAATTATTCTTGTATTATTTATTCATTCAAACAGATATTTATTCCCGCCAATGCTGTGATAGTGATAAATACGGCATTTCTTAAAGAACTTACATTCTACTGGGGTAGACAAATATTGAACAACCAATAACATAAGTACTGAATTACAGTTTTGTTAAGTGCTAAAAAGGAGGAAAATAGATTGTTAAGAGAGAATATGACAAGGCCTGACTACATCCCGAGAGAAAGACTTCTTTGAAAAAGCGTGATTGAGCAGAACTCTGAGGGTAAGTAGAAAATAACTGGGCAGGTCAGGTGCGGTGGCTCACAACTGTAATCGCAGCACTTTGGGAGGATAACTCGAGGCCAGGAATTCAATACCAGCCTGGGCAACATAACAAGATCCTATCTTTAAAAAAAAAAAAAAGCAAGATATGATGACATGCACCTGTAGTCCTAGCTACTCGAGAGGCTGAGTGGGGAGGATCACTTGATCCCAGAAGTTAAAGGCTGCAGTGAGCTATAATTGCACCACTGCACTCCAGCATAGATAACAGAATGAGAACCTGTCTCAAAAAAATTATTTTTAAAAGGAAAATAACTAGGCAAAGAAGGTGTGTGGAATGGGAGAAAGTGCCATAGTAGAGAGCATTCCAGGAAGCTGAAAAAACATGTGCAAAAGCCCTGGGGAAGGGAAAAGCCTACTGGCTCACACCTGTAATCCCAACACTTCAGGAGGTCAAGGTGGGAGAATCACTTGAACCCAGGAGTTTGAGACAAGCCTGGGCAATACAGGGAGACCTCATTTCTTAAAAAAAAAAAATTAAGTATTCAGGTGTGGTGGTACACACCTGTGGTCCCAGCTACTCAGGAGGCTGAGGCAGGAGGATCACTTAAGCCTGGAAGGTCAAGGCTGCAGTGAGCCTTGATGAGTCCATTGCACTCCAGCTTGGGTGACAGAGCAAGACCTGTCTTAAAACAAAAAGGACAATGCCCAAGAGAAAGCTAGTGAGCAGGCAGGAGCCATATCATGAGGAGTTTTCTCGGCCATGTTAAAGACTTTGGTCTTTACCTTATGAGCTATGAGGAAGTATTCAGAGATGTTTAAGCAAAAAAGTTACATGAAATGTTTTTTAAAAGATTATTCTAACTGCTGTGTGGGAAAGATATTAAAGAGAGTAGAGGTAAGAAGTTATTTCATTAGCCTTTTACAAAAATTTTTATTCAGAGACAGGGTCTCACTACATTGTCCAAGCTGAAGTGCAGTGACTATTCATAGACACAGTCATAGCTCACCGCAGCCTTGAGCTCCCAGGCTCAAGCAATCCTCCCACTTCAGCCTCCCAAGTAGCTGGGACTATAGGCACCCATCTCCCCATTTGGCTATTTCATTCATCTTAATGAGAGATGATAGTGGGTTGGCCTAGCTTGTAACAGTGGAGATGGAAAAACCTGGGAAGTTTTGATATATATTTAGGAGCTAGAATTGCCAAACAACTAAGTCCTAAAAAGTCAAACAATTAGATATGAATTTAAGTTTTTCAAAAAATAGGAAAAACAACTAAGTAAGAATCATGGAATTCCCTATTTATTGCCCTATTTTAGAAAGGGTGACAGAGAAATATTCTTTGAGATAATGACATTTATGTAGGACTAAGGTGTGTCATGGCAGGTCAAATTCATGCCTAAAACCTAAACCAAAAATTCTAAGTTATTGGAGATACACAGACACACACACACATTATATATTTTATATGAAACATAAGTTTATAGATCACACATTCATTTCACATATATTTATATAAAATTTGAATACATGTTCATATAATATTTGTGAATATATGGGTATTCAAATTATGTCCTTAAGAACAACGAAGAACTGTGAAATGTTCAGGTCATATTTCTGTTTAATTTTTTTACACAGATTGGTTAATTATTAGCCTGGTTTATTTGCTTGGAAAACAAATTGAAATAGAGAATGTGTTTGTATTATGTAATTTAAATTTTACCTACAGATATAATGCTACTTTTTTGTTTGTCTTCATTCTTGAGAGAAGAGGGACTCATCACAATGGAAACTATTGGTTTTAGGTGAAGCCAAACACAGAACACAGCAGCTGGACATAAAAATCTTTAGTTGTCTTAATTTTCTTCAACCTTCTGGAATCAGATTAATTTCTGGCTCTCAAGAAGGTCTAAATAACAAAAGATGAGTTGTGGCCATCTGGTACTTTTGGGGAGGTGCTATTGGATTATGAAGAAAAATCAAGGGCTAGGAGTTAAGAAATATAAATTCTAACTCCAGTTCTATACCTGGCCTCTTGGATTGCCTTGAGTTGATGTCTTAGACCATTTTTGCTACAATAACAGTACATTTGAGACTAGGTAACTTATAAGGAATAGAAATGCATTGGCTCATGGTTGTAAAGCCTGGGAAGTCCAAGATCAAGGAGGTGGTGCTTTGTGAGGGCCTTCTTCCTGCACCATCCTATGGCAGAAGGTCAAAGAAAGGGGGAGAGAGAGACAAAATGGGATCAAACTCATCCTTTTATAAGAAACCCACTCCTGCAATAACAGCATTCATTCATTCATGAAGACAGAGCCTTCGTGGCCTAATAGTCTCTTAAAGTTCCCACCTGTTAGTATTGTTACAATGGCAATTAATTTCAACATGAGTTGAGAAGGGGACAAACATTCAAACCATAGCAGGTGATTACTTGGCCTCTCTGTGCTTCAGTTTTTCACTATGGAATTTGGACTAGATTAAGTCTTGGGTCCCTGTAATACTCATTCTATGATTCAAAGAGGAAGTATGAAGCCTCCTCCCCAACATTTCACATACACAGTTCTTTAATCATTCACTAATAATGTTAACGAATGAGAAGTTACTATGTGTCCAGCATTATTGCGGGCATGAGGCACAGTGGTGAAGAAAAACAGACAAAAAAACCTCATAGAATTTATATTCTAGTGTCTATAGAGGCTGTATACAAATCCTGGGTCATTAATAATAGTATCTTTAATAAACAGTTTAAAGAAGATCTTTGTTTATTTAACATTTAATAGGCCAGGAACGGTGGCTCACACCTGTAATCCTAGCACTTTGGGAGGCCAAAGCAGGCGGATGACCTGAGCTCAGGAATTCGAGACCAACCTGGGTAACACGGTGAAACCCCGTCTGCACTAAAATACAAAATAAATTAGCCAGGCGTGGCAGCATGCACCTGTAGTCCCAGCTACTCGGGAGGCTGAGGCAGGAGAATTGCTTAAACCTGGGAAGTGGAGGTTGCCGTGAGCTGAGATCGCGCCACTGGACTCCAGCCTTGGTGACAGAGCAAGACTCCGTCTCTACACACACACACACACACACACACAAACACACACACAATTTAATAAAGGAAAGTTTGTTCTTTCAATACTTATCCCAGGCACCACCTCCTACTTCCAGGAAATCTTTCCTCTGAAAATTTCTGTGTGTTATAGGATTTTGGGCTATACTATTTATTCATAAATTATATGTATATTTATATATTAACAGATATGAACAAATTATTCCTTTTGAAGCTGTATGTTGGTGTGGGTCATCTCTATCACAGACTATAAAATCATGGATTAAGTGACTACATACCTTCAGCACCCTTATCACAGTGCTGAGCCACAGTAGATGTTAAATTCATACTTGCCCAATGAATATATCTGAACTGTCGGAATATGTTGTATCTGAAAATCCAAGGCCTCACTGACTTGCATAGGAAGAGCCTTCAGAGCAAGATTATGTCTATAACTAATCTGATTCCTGGGCTTTTGCCAGGTTTCCTTTGCTCTACCTGCCCTTTCCTGCCCCTACATTTTTCTCGTATCCAAGGCTCAGTCTTGCTCAAGTCCTGCTTCTATAGCTATCAGCTGTCCGTGACAGGCTGCAGATCCGTTCTCAGCAGTGGATCCTCTAGCATGTGGGCTTCCAAAGTGGTGTGTACACATCACAGGGAATACCCTAGAAAGTCTACTGAGGTTCAAGAAGAAAATATTAGACTATATACATCTGCTAATATATATTTCTGCACAGATATATATACACATATTTGCATATATACACACAAATATATATACGAACACATACATAGGTATACATGCATGCATGTATGTATGTATACACATACATAAATACACATATGCATACACATAGCTGCACATACATATATACATGCATGTATATGCACACACATATACATATAAAAACATACATGCACATATATACACTTACATGCATACACATACATGTATAATATATACACACATGCATACATATACATGTACAGTCATGTACCACATAACACCATTTCAGTCAACAATTAACTACATATATGATGGTGGTCCCATAAAATTACAATACCATATTTCTAACATATCTTTCTATGTTTAGACATGTTTAGATACACAAATGTTTACCATGTGTTACAGCTACCTACAATATCCAGTACAGTAATATGCTGTACAGGTTTGTAGCCTAGGAGCAATGGGCTTGTATTAGTCCGTTTTCACACTGCTGATAAAAACATACCTGAGACTGGGGGAAATAAAAGAGGTTTAATTGGACTTATAGTTCCACATGGCTGGGGAAGCCTCAGAATCATGGCGGGAGGTGAAAGGCACTGCTTACATGGCAGCAGCAAGAGAAAATGAGGAAGATGCAAGAGTGGAAACCCCTGATAAAACCATCAGATCTCGTGAAACTTATTTACTACCACAAGAACAGTATAGGGAAAACCACCCCAATGATTCAAATTATCTCCTACTGGGTCCCTCTCACAACACATAGGAATTATGGGAATACAATTCAAGATGAGATTTGGGTGGGGACACAGAGCCAAACCATATCATCCCACCCCTGGCCCCTCCAAATCTCATGTCCTCACATTTCAAAACCAATCATGTCTTCCTAACAGTCCTTCAAAGTCTTAACTCATTTCAGTATTAATCCAAAAGTTCACAGTCCAAAGTCTCATCTGAGACAAGGCAAGTCCCTTCCACCTATGAGCCTGTAAAATCAGAAGCAAGCTAGTTACTTCCTAAATACACTGGGGGTACAGGTATTGGGTAAATACAGCCATTCCAAATGGAAGAAATTGGCCAAAACAAAGAGGTTACAGGGCCCATGCAAGTCTGAAATCCAGCAGGGCAGTCAAATTTTAAAGCTCCAGTGTGATCTCCTTTGACTCCACATCTCACATCCAGGTGACACTGATGCAAGAAGTGGGTTCCCATGGTCTTGGGCAGCTCCACCCCTGTGGTTTTGCAGACTACAGTCTCTCTCCCAGCTGCTTTCACAGGCTGGCATTGAACATCTGTGGCTTTTCCAGGCTCATAGTGCAAGCTGTAGGTAGATCTACAATTCTGGGGTCTGGAGGATGGTGGCCCTCATCTCACAGCTCCACTGGGCAGTGCCCCAGTAGGGACTCTGTGTGGGGGCTCCAACCCTGCATCTCCCTTCTGCACTGCCCTAGCAGAGATTCTCTATGAGAATCTATGAGATTCCCACCCCTGCAGCAAACTTCTGCCTGGACATCCAGGTGTTTCCATACATCTTCTGAAATCTATGCAGAGGTTCCCAAACTCCAATTCTTGATTTACGTGCACCCACAGGCTCAACGCCACATGGAAGACCCCAAGGCTTGGGGTTTGAACCCTCTGAACCCATGGCCCAAGCTCTATGTTGGCCCCTTTTAGCCACAGCTGGAGTGGCTGGGACGCAGGGCACCAAGTCCCTATGCTGCACACAGCACGGGGACCCTGGGCCCTGCCCATGAAACCATTTTTCCTCCTAGACCTCTGGGTCTGTGATGGGAGAGGCTGTCACAAAGGTCTCTAACATGCCCTGGAGATATTTTCCCCATTGTCTTCGGGAATAACATTCAGCTCCTCATTACTTATGCAAATATCTGCAGCAGCTTGAATTTCTCCTCAGAAAATAAGACGTTCTTTTCTTTCGCATTGTCAGCCTGCAAATTTTCCCAACTTTTATGCTCTGCTTCCCTTTTAAAACTGAAGCCTTTAACAGTACCCATGTCACCTCTTGAATGCTTTGCTGCTTAGAAATTTCTCCCACCAGATACCCTAAATCATCTCTCTCAAATTCAAGGTTCCACAAATCTCTAGGACAGGGGCAAAATGCCACCAACCTCTTTGCTAAAACATAACAAGAGCCACCTTTGCTCCCATTCCCAACAAGTTCTTCTTCTCTATCTCAGATCACCTCAGCCTAGATTTCATTGTCCATATCATTATCAATATTTTTATCAAAGCCATTCAACAAGTCTCTAGGAAGTTCCAGACTTTCCCATATTTTTCTGTCTTCTTCTGAGCCCTCCAAACTCTTCCACCCTCTGCCCGTAATCCAGTTTTAAAGTCGCTTCCACATTTTCAGGTATCTTTTCAGCAACGCCCTCTTCCCGGTACCAATTTACTGTATTAGTTTTCACATTGCTGATAAAAACATACCCGAGACTTGGAAGAAAAAGAGGTTTAATTGGACTTACAGTTCCATATGGCTGGGGAGGCCTCAGAATCATGGCGGGAGGCAAAAGGCACTTCGTACATGGTGGCAGCAAGAGAAAATGAGGAAGATGCAAAAGCAGAAACCCCTGATAAAACCATCAGATCTCATGAGACTTATTCACTACCATGAGAACAGTATGGGCAAAACTGCCCCCATGATTCAAATTTTCTCCCACAAGGTCCCTCCCACAACACGCGGGAATTATGAGAGTACAATTCAAGATGAGATTTGGGTGGGGACACAGAGCCAAATCATATCAGGGCTATACCAAATAGCCTAGGTGTATGGTAGGTTTACTAGGTGTATCATCTAAGCTTGTGTAAGTACACTCCATGATGTTCACATAATGACAAAATTACCTAATCATTTCTCAAAACGTATAGCCATCATTAAAAAAGGCATGTCTGTATATATACACACACAAATATACATGTATACATATGTATGTCCATATGTATATATACATACACATATATATTTACTTGTTACCAATAAAAGAAAAAGAAAAATGTACTAACCTTTTATGTGTGGATTGACATCAGCTCCCCCACTTGGCATGCATGTCTCATGATCTCTTGGTGTACACTGTACCCAGGTCACCTGGGACGAAGTGGTGGAGAGGAGCTCTCACAGCAAAGAGGTGGGGTCACTGAGGGTTCAGTGAGGCAGAGTTATAGATTACATAATCTGGTTTTAACTAATTTGCCCTCAAAAAATAGAAAAGTAACTTTAAAAGATTTTTACAAAAAAAAAACCACTGCAGCATTAAATATATATTAAATATATTAAATATAATGCCAATAATATCAAATGTAGTCAACACTTGATCAGTATGGATTTGAACCACATGGAACCATGTACAGGTGGATTTTCTTCCGCTTTTGCCACTCTGGAAACAGCAAGATCAACCCAACCTCTTCTCTTCCTTGGCCTACTCAAGGTGAAGACGAAGAGGATGAACACCTTAATAATGATCCATTTCCACTTAGTGAACTGTGAATATATTTTCTCTTTGTTATCATTTTCTGAATAACACTTTCTTTTCTATAGCTCTAGTAATAAAGTAATATAGTATGCATGCAGTATATAATACATTTAACATATATAATATGTGTTAATCAACTGCTTATTTATCTGGAAGGCTTCAGTCAACAGTAGGCTATTAGCAGTCAAGTTTTGGGGGACTCAAAAGTTATACCCAAATTTTTGACTGGGGAGGGGAAGGGGGAGCTAAACTCTACCTTGTTCAAGGATCAATTATATTTATGTGGCATTTAGTACAAGCCAGACACTGGCCTAAGTGTTTCATCTCTATTAACTTAGTTAATCCATGCAAAAACCCTGTGAGGAAAGTACTGTTTTAATTCCCATTTTAAACATGAGGAAACTGGGGCGTAGACAGCTTAACGATGTTGCTAGTCAATGGCAGGGCTGCAATGCAACCCAGGCAATTTCTCTCTGGGGTCAGTGGCCTTAACCACAACATGATGCTGCTTGTAAACACAAGGAGACGAGAAAATGGCAGAGCGAACATTCCTCTTCCTCTTGGTACAATACCTCAGCTGCCATCTTAGGAAGCTAAAGCTGTGACAGTGTTGTCAAGTCTGACAAGTGTGTCAGTAAAACAAAGCGTTGTGAAACGATCAAGAAGATATTGAAATATGGATTTGCAATCACTATATTTATTTAGACAGGTTCTTGCTCTGTCACTCAGGCTGGAGTGTAGTGGTGCTCACTGTAGCCTTGACGCCCCGAGTGCAAGCCACCCTCCAACCTCAGCCTCTCAAGTAGTTCGGACTATAGGCACATGCCACCATGCCCAGCTATTTATTTTTATTTTATGTTTTCGTAGAGACAGAAGTCTTCCTATGTTGCCCAGGCTGATCTCCAACACCTGAGCTAGAGCAAGCCTCCCACCTCAGCCTCCCAAAGTGCTGGGATTACAGGTGTGAGCCGTTGCACCTGGCCACCCGTGTCTTTAATGATGAACTTTGCTCTAAGTTGTTAAGTCTCAGGACATTAGCCAACAATAGTAAGACATGTATTGAGTTTATAAATAAATTAATCAATATATATTAGTGATTTATGAAATAAACATCTGGTCAAAAATAATTGGAGAACACTGCCCCCAAAATTAACAGCTAAACAACTTTCTGTGGTAGTCCAGAAGCTTACACTTCAAAATGCTTATTGTAGTTACTTTCTGGAAAATGAGTTTGTGTGTTGAAAACAGTTTTAAGATTCAAATTCCACTTATTACATGTAGACTTAAATAATACTGAATTTTCCCAAACTACTATAAAACATTTTATAAAGACAAAATTTATTTCTAATAGATTTCTCTACTAATAACCAAAAAATGTGTAAGTTCTCAGCATGACATTTGTAATTCTCTTCTCCAGGATTCCCGCGTTGCTTTTGCCTGCCAGGAATGTCTTCACACTTGTGTGTCTATTGGGACGATCAGCACTCAGTTTAGTCTTGGCCATTACATGAAGCATACGACCCATACTGGGCCAATCATAGGTAAAGGGGACCTTTTTTTCTCTCTCTCAAACATTTGACCAATCATCTTGAGGTTCAATTGTCATGTTCACATATAATCCATTTCTCTACACTCAGGTTTATATGTGCACATCTATTATTCTATCTTTCCATCATGCTTGTTTGTTTTAGTCATAGCTAGGGCTTCTGTGTGTGATTGTTCAAGCTGTGCAATGCACGCAGATGCCTGGCTAAGGGTGAGTGAAGGTTCAAGTCTAGCCCAAGCTGTGCTCAAACAGCTGTGAGTTCTGGAGTGCCTTCCCCAATTTTCATGTTGGCTAGCGCTGTTCTAACTAAATTGTGAGCTTCCTGAGAGTAGAGAACATTCTTAGTCGTCTGTTTGACATAGTTCCTGGCAACACGCCTTGTCAGAAGACTCTTAATAAATATCTGTTGAATTGAATTTCAGAGTACATTTTCCGACATAAATTCTGACATGCTCCATCATTTTTAATCTCCTTTATTCAATTATGCAGGCAATAAGTCACCAAACTGACTTTATGCTCTCTTAAGCATCTATCACAATGTCAAACACCTTAGAGATATTTAATGGAGATTAATGTATTATGATAAATGACTATTGCTCATTTTCTGTTCTTTCCATCACATTTTCTGATCTATTTTTATGGTCTACCTTCTAAATTTTATTTATTATATTTTATCTTCCAAAGAATCTTGTATGATTGTAGTGCTCACACACATAATAAATTTTGAAGTTTTTGTGGTTAAATCAACTGAGACTTTGAGTCTGGCTAGGAATTTATGATTCCTCATAAGCAACAGGGCCATGTATACGACAAGAATCCAATCTAAGTGTTGATTATGGGCAACAATGGTGATGATAATTAGGTTTAAAAGCCTATGCTCTGCCAACACATTAGAAAATTAGATAACATTTCTGAAATATTTTTAAACAAAAGATGACCTAATTATCTGTACCTGTAGAAAATTTTATCAACAGTTAGCATCTAAGTATCATTTTCAATTTTTTCTACCAGAGGACTCATGTAAAAAGATAAGATGATACTCCTTTACTTGCATGTTTTGGTCCATGAAAGACTTTGACAAGTTTAGGTGGCATTATGCAAAAACACTACCTGCTCTATCAGATGAAGACAGAGGAAGAAGAAAGGGATAGCAACTGCTAATTACCTTCTTAAAGAAAATGTTCAGCCGGGCGCAGTGGCTCATGCCTGTAATCCCAGCACTTTGGGAGGCCAAGGCGGGTGGATCACCTGAGGTTGGGAGTTCAAGACTAGTCTGACCAACATGGAGAAACCCCGTCTCTACCAAAAATACAAAATTAGCTGGGTGTGGTGGCGCATGCCTGTAATCCCAGCTACTAGGGAGGCTGAGGCAGGAGAATCGCCTGAACCCGGGAGGCGGAGGTTGCAGTGAGCTGAGATCACGCCATTGCCCTCCAGCCTGGACAACAAGAGCAAAACTCTGTCTCAAAAAAAAAAAGAAAGAAAGAAAATGTTCACTTTTAGGGAAGGAGATTGTTAGTCTTCCAGAAAAGAAACTACAAGAATTAAACAATTAGATCTCTTAAAAAATGATGAGGAAGTGGGATCATTTAGTCTAGTGAAAATCACCAAACAATTAGATGAGTAGAAACATTTAAAATTTAAAGAATCAAGCTACAGAGCCCATTGGCTAAAATTTTTAAAGAAAGATCTAGAGATTTCAGATCGTCCAACTCTGCTAAAGAGTGAAAATGATTAGCCATTACTTTCTTCCACTGTAGGTAGATTGCAGTTACCACATAACGAACCAGAAGGTTTAAAGATTGTATCTGTAGAAGCAACTGAGGCTTCACCTATGATGAAAGACTTTGGAGTCAGACTGCTTAGGTTTAAATCCCAGTTCCATTATTTATCTATTTGCCTTATGACTTTGGAAGTTACTTAACTTCTCTATTCCTGTTTCCTTGTCTGTAAAATTAGGATAATAATTGTTCCCAAATCATAAAGTTGTTATGGGGAGTAATAAGATAGAGTGTGTAAAATACTCCATACAGAGCCTGGACCATAGTTAAGAGTAAGTACTCTACAAAAACTTGTGTTTGTCATTAGAGATACAATAAAAAGTTATGAACCAAAGTGGCCAGTAAAAAAAATGAAAGTTTTTATATACTGAGCATCTATAATGTGTCAGTCATTATGTTAACCAGTTTTCATACATTATTTCTTTTAATTTGTTGTCTTCGAATTATTTTAAAAGAATTAAAAGAACACAGTATGATTTAATGTGAAAACGAAAAAGAGAAGATTCCAGCTGGGCACGGTGACTCACGCCTGTAATCCCAGCACTTTGGGAGGCCTAGGCAGTTGAATCACGTGAGGTCAGGAGTTCGAGACCAGCCTGGCCAACATGGTGAAACCCCGTCTCTACTAAAAATACAAAACTTAGCCAGGCGTGGTGGCATGTGCCTGTAATCCCAGTTACTCAGGAGGCTGCGGCAGGAGAATCACTTAAACCTGGGAGGTGGAGGTTGCAGTTAGCCGAGATCACACCACTGCACTCTGGCCTGGGTGACAGAGTGAGACTCTGGCTGAAAAAAAAAAAACAAAAAAAAGAAAAAAAAAAAAGAAAGAAAAAGAGAAGATTCTAACTAACTCTTTACTTCCACCGACATTGAGAACTTCCATTCCAGTGACTTAGAGATAATTACTACAAACTTTTCTGAGGAGAGGAGGAAGGGGGAGGAGCATATTCTTCTAGAGATTTCTATGCTTATACTGGTGTACATATTTATAACACCATCTTTCAGTACACAAATGCCATACATACAATCCTGCAAGTTTCTTTTTCTTATTTGTTATATCTTGATCTTCTATCTCACCTTTTTTAAATAAACTTTTCATTTTTGCATAATTTTGGATTTACAGTAGAGTTGCATATTAACATTTTACATAATCAAGGTGTGTCCGGAGTTGGTTCCTTCTGGTGAATTCTTGGTCTCGCTGACTTCACAAATGAAGCCATGGACCTTCACGGTGACTGTTACAGCTTTTAAAGGTGGCACAGTCCCAAAGAGTGAGCAGCAGCCAGATTTATTGTGAAGAACGAAAGAACAAAGCTTCCACAGTATGGAAGGTGACTCGCGGCTTGCCGCTTCTGGCTGGGGTGGCCAGCTTTTATTCCCTTATTTGTCCTCGCCCACGTCCTGCTGATTGGTTCATTTTACAGAGTGCTGATTGGTCCATTTTACAGAGTGCTGATTGGTGCATTTACAATCCTTTAGCTAGACACAGAGCACTGATTGGTGCATTTACAATCCTCTAGCTAGACAGAAAAGTTCTCCAAGTCCTCACTCGACCCAGGAAGTCCAGCTGGCTTCACCTCTCAAAGGTACTTTTGTCAAAAATAAGAAATTAACATTGGTACATTAATATTAACTAAAGTCTGACTTTGAATTTCACTAGTGTTTCACTAATGTTCTTTTTGTTCCAGGATCCAGTCTAAGACATCATGTTGCATTTAGTCCATAACAGTTTTTATTTTTCTACCTCATTCTATTTGAATAACTGCATAGTATTATATAGTATGAGTGTACCACAATTTACATGATCCTACTGACAAATATTTATATTATTTCTAGTTTTGCATTATTACAAACAATGCTATAATGAACATCAATACACATATGTCTTTGTACACTTGTACTGTAGGATTATCTTAGAATTGTTGGGTCAAAGAATAGGCACATTTGAAATTTTTTATATACATTGACATATTGCCTTTAAAATGTTTTTAATAACTCATATTCCACCAAATTCAAACAAGAGTTTTTATTTCCCCATAAATTTTGCTAATCTAAGAGTGAAATGTCATTTCATTGTTTTCATTTGCAGTTATTTAATTATGAGTACATTTGAGTATCTTTTCAGATATTTATTGGCAGTTTATATTTCATTTTTAATGAGGTGCTAACTTACCTTCTAAGCATGCTTCTCTTGGGTTGTTCATCTTTTCCTTATTGATTTATAAGCAGTCTTTTAAACTGAAAAAATTAGCCATTTGGCATATTTGTTGTGAATATTTTTCCAGATGATATTTTGTCTTTTGACTTTATTTATATTAATCTTTGCTATACATGAGTTAAAATTTTTTAATTACCATCTTTCCCTTTACACTTCTGGCTTTTATTTTGTTTCAAATCAATATTATTATAAAATATTCACCTTTGTATACATTATTTCTAATTCTCACAATGCTATCAAGTAATTATTACAACTCAGTCTTCACATTCTCAAGGAATATTGAGATCTCTTCAAATGACAAATTTATAAATATTACTCTACTTCAAAGACATTATGAAATCATTTCAGAAAGTTTAACACTGTGACTCCAACTTTATTTTGCTAGATTCCTTCCTATTCTTGCACCTTAAAATTTAGGCACTTGCAGACCGCAAAGAAAGTTGAGTGAATTGTGGTCAATTTATCTTTGGTTGCCTTAGGCGCTGATATTTGCCTCTCCTCCTTCAATATGTTTACCAAGGTATTTTCTGTTGATGTGAGCCTCTTTTTAATACTGTTGAATGCACTGACCTATTAACCTTTTCTTTATGAATTTCTTCAGCTTAGAAAGAGGCAAGCAAGCACTTCTGTGGCAATGATTTTTATCTTTATAAAATGTCAATAGAAAAATGCTACTTTAGGTCACAGAACCAATCTTTTTTTTGAGGTCACAGTGGGTTAAGAGCCCCACAAATGTCCTCACTCGCTTACCTCATGAAAATATTTATACAAATGTTCCTAGGTTTCTCCCAGATTACATTTTCCTGAGCATCATTTTTTCTATTCTCATCTTCACACCAAAAGTTAGTCATCTTTTCAATATTCAGTGGTTTTTAACTTAATTGATGAGCTTTTTTTCCTTAGTGGATGCACTCATTTAAATAGTTTCCCAAATTACTTTTTCTTGTTTCCTTATTGATGGTGTCTTTTCCATCATAAATATAAGCCATTGACTAATTTTACATCCCACTCTTTAACTTAGACAGAAGGCCTATTTTGTGGCTAAGATCCATCACTTTAATAATTTCTTCAATCTCATTACTAATAATTGAGTTTCTTTTCAGAGCCATTTTCCACAAAGAAAATTCATGGAAGAACTACATAAGTGGAGAAGAGTAGGCAGAAATGAGACTACGTCAAAGTGTAGTTGCCGTATGATTAACAAGACTTACTCACTAGCTAAGTGACTAGTTTATTTATTCAACATGAATTTAAAAGCACCTACTATATGCCAGGTACTGTGAGGGTTGTGCATTCCCTCATGAAACTCAGTCTATTGCTAGGATAATTATAGCCAGCATATATTGATTGCTTAGTATTTGTCAGGTAGTGTATGTTGAGTGCTTTAAACAGTTTATATGCATTTCCTCACTTGTAAGATGGGGATATTAGAAGTACTTATGCATAAAGTTGTTGAGAGAACTGAATAAAAAATATGTGCAAAGGGGCTGGGCGCAGTGGTTCACACCTGTAATCCCAGCACTTTGGGAGACCAAGGCAGGCGGATCACGAGATCAGGAGCTCGAGACCAGCCTGATCAACATGGTAAAACCCTGTCTCTACTAAAAATACAAAAATTAGCCGGACATGGTGGCGCGTGCCTGTAATCCCAGCTACTCAGGAGGCTGAGGCAGGAGAATCGCTTGAACCTGGGAGGCGGAGGTTGCAGTGAGCCGAGATTGTGCCACTGCACTACAGCCTGGCCAAAAGGAGACTGTCGCAGACAAAAAAAAAAAAAAAAGCAAAGGATCTAGAGCAGGGCTCAATCTATATATTCAACCAATTTTTTTTTTTTTTTTTGAGACAGGGTCTCTCTCGTCACCCAGGCTGGAGTCCAGTTGTGTGATCTCGGCTCACTTCAGCCTCGACCTCCCAGGCTCAAGGGATCCTCCCACTTCAGCTTCCTGTGTAGCTGAGACTACAGGGGTGCACCACACCCGGCTAATTTTTTATTTTTTTGTAGAGATGGGGTCTCCCGATGTGGCCTAGGCTTGTCTTGAACTCCTGGGCTCAAGTGATCCTCTTGCGGCAGCTTCCCAAAGTGCTGGGATTACAGGCGTTAGCCACTATGCCTGTCTATTCAACCAATCTCTTTTTTTTTTGAGAGTTTCACTCTTTTGCCCAGGCTGGAGTGCAATGGTGCAGTCTCAGCACACTGCAGCTCACTCAGCCCCGCCCCAGGTTCAAATGATTTTCCTATTTCAGCCTCCTGAGTAGCTGGTATCATAGGCGCCCGTAACCATGTCCGGCTAATTTTTTTTTTTTTTTAGTAGAGATGGGGTTTCACAATGTTGGCCAGGCTGGTCTTGAACTCCTGACCTCAGGTGATCCACCTGCCTTGGCCCCCTAAAGTGCTAGGATTACAGGCGTGAGCCACCGCACCCGGCCTCAACCAATCTTAACTGCTGTAGTTTTGTGATTATTATTACTTTCTTTACTAGTTACTATAACAACCTTGTGAAGAGAGGCTGTTATCATCCCCATTTTACAGATAAGAAAACTGAAGCTTGGTGGATTTAAGAGATCTACCCAAGGCATGTCACACAGTTAATAATAATAGAGGTAGGATTCAAATTCAAATAATGTATTTTCAGCTTACTCTTTCAACCACTTAGCTCTTTGGTCTTCTGTACTCTGGCTAACGTATAAAGTTCAAATTTCCTTTCTATCACAATTACGCTACATGTCATGGACTTTTCCAGTCAACATGGCAAATGTTAAACTGATAAATGCCAAGGGTCTACTTTATTGCCCCCATTTTATAGTTGAGAAAATGGAGGTTCAGACAGGTCTTATATGGAGGAAGTGGCAGAGTTTGGATTTCAAAACAGGTAAATCTGGCTCCAAAGCCACATTACACTGACTAAAGATTTTCTCCTTAACCTTATTAAAACATAGTCATGGTGAAATTTTCCTTTCATTTTTATAATACACATTTAACCTTCTATTTTCACTGGTTCTTAAATTGTATAATGTGACTTTGACTACATGCTTAGACTTGTGCAGTGAAGAGTCTTGAAATATAAAAGAAAGAAAATAAAATCTTAAGTATTGCCATGAACATTTAAAAATATACCTTTTATTTTGGAATAATTTTATGCTTTCAAGGAAGTTACAAAGATAGGACAAAGAGTCTGTATATACCTCCTCCACTTTCCCCCACTGCTTATATCTTGCATTACCACATTACACTTATAAAAACTAAGAAACTATCAGCAATGAACAAGTGGAATTTGAAATATAAAACACATTACCATTTACATTAGAACCCCCCAAAATCATACTTACATATAAATCTAACCAAATATGGATGATATATATATATATATATATATATATATATATATATATATATATATGGAAAGTGACAAAACTCTAATGAAAGCTATCAAAGAACTAAATAAAGGAAGAGATATTCCATGTTCATGGATAGGAAGACTCAAAATTGTCAAGATGTCAGTTTTTCTCAACTTGATCTACAGATTCAGTGCAATCTCAATCACAATTCTGGCAAGTTATTTTGAGGATATTGACAAACTGATTCTGAAGTTTATATAGGGAGGCAAAAGACCCAGAATAGCCAACTCAATATTGAAGAAGAACAAAGTCAAAGGGCTGACTTCCAGACTTACTTTAAAGCTACAGTAGTCAAGACAGTGTGGCATTGGTGAAAGAATAGACAAACAGATTAATGGAACATAATAGAGAGCCCAGAAATAGACCCACGTAAATATAGGCAACTAATCTTTGACAAAGGAGCAAAGGCAATATAATGGAGAAAAAAGTCTTTTCAACAAATGGTGCTGGAACAATTTTATGTTCACATGCAAAGAAACAAATCTAGCCACGGACCTTATACTGTTCACAAAAATGAACTCAAAATGGATCATAGACCTAAATGTAAACTTTAAAACTATAACACTCCTAGATGATAACAAAGGAGAAAACCTAGATGACTTTGCGTTTGGTGATAACTTTTCAGATACACCACCACAGACATGATCCATGAAATAAGTAATTGATAAGCTGGGCTTTGTTAAAATTAAAAATTTCTGCTGTGTGACAGACAATGTCAAGAGAATGAGAAGACGAGGCACCGATAGGGAGAAAATGTTTACAAATGACACATCTGATAAAGAACTGTTATCCAAAATATACCAAGAACTATTAAAAGTCAATAATAAGAAAATGAACAACCCAATTAAAAAAATGGGCAAAAGACCCGAACAGACACCTTACCAAAGAAGATAAGTATATGAAAAGATGTTCAACACCATATGTCATTAGGGAATTGCAAATTAAAACAAGGAGAGATACCACTATACATGTATTAGAATGGTCAAAATCAAAACTCTGATGATGTCAAATACTGGCAAAGATGTGATGGAGTAACGGGAACTCTCATTCATGGATGGTGGGAATGAAAAATGGCACAACCACTTTGGAATGTTTAGTTTTGTAAAACTATGCAGTTTTGTTTTTTTTTTTACAAAACTATGTAAAAAACAATGTAAACAAACTATGTAAAAAAACTATGTAAAACATGCAGTTTTTTTGTTTTTGTTTTTTTTACAAAACTAAAAATACCCTTATTGTGCAATCTATCAGTCATGCTCTTTGGTACTTACCAAAATGAATTGAAAATTTACACATACACAAAAATGTGCATATAGATGGTTGTATTTACTTTATTGGTAATTGCCAAAACTTGGAAGCAACTAAGATGTCTTTCAGTAGGTGAATGGATAAATGAACTGTGGTACATCCAGATGATCGAATATTATTCAGTGCTAAAAGGAAATGAACTATCAAGCCATGAAAAAACATGGAGGAAACTTAAATGCATATTACTAGAAGAAATAGCCAATTTGAAAAGCCCACATACCATGATTCCAACACTCTGGAAAAGGTAAACCTATGAAGACAGTAAAAAGATCAGTGAATGCCAGGAGTTAGGAGAGACAGAGGGATTAATAGGCAGAACACAGCAGATTTTGAGGGCGGTGAAACTATTCTGTATTATACTGCAATGGTGGATATATATCATTATATATTTATCAAAACACATGGAATGTACAACACCAAGAACGAACCCTAATGTAAACTATGGACTTTGGATGATAATGATATATCAATGTAGGTTCATCAGTTGTAACAAATGTACCACTGTGGTGGCAGCTGTCAATAGTGGAGAGGGTGTGTGTGTAGGGACAGTGGGTGTATGAGAACTCTCTGTGCTTTCAGCTCAATTTTGCTGTAAACCTAAAATTGCTCTAAAAAATAAAGTTTAATTACAATTTCTTCTCATTTACTATTTAAATATAGTCTTTGCTGTGAATAATAAAAACAAAGGCTGGGCACGGTGGCTTATGCCTGTAATCCCAGCACTTTGGGAGGTCGAGCGGGTGGATCACCTGAGGTCAGGAGTTCGAGACCAGCCTGGCCAACATGGTGAAACCCTGTCTTTACTAAAAACAAAAATCTGCTGGGCGTGGTGGTATGCACCCGTAATCCCAGCTACTCAGGAGGCTGAGGCAGGAGAATCGCTTCAACCCAGGAGGCAGAGGTTGCAGTGAGCCAAGATCACACCACTGCACTCCAGCCTGGGCAACAAGAGCAAAACTCCATCTCAATAATAATAATAATAATAATAATAAAGTGTATTAAATTTTTTAAAAACATTTTAAAAACTAAGAAATGAATATTAGTACATAAATATTAACCAAATACACATTTTATTTGAGTTTTACCATTTTTTTTTGTTAACGGCTTCTTCCTGTTTCAGGATCCAATTCAGAGTGCCACATTGCATTTACTTGTCATATTTCCTCAGTTTCCTCTGGTCTATGACAGTGTCTCAGTTTTTCATTGTTTTTCATGACCTTAACAGTCTTGAGGAATACTGACCAGGCATCCTGTAGAATGTCCTCCAAACTGGGTTTGTGTGATTTTTTTTCATACTTTGACTGGGGTTATACTATGAACATTTTCATTTGAAAAGGAAAAGGAAAATATTCCCAAAGAAATTATAAGAAAAATCATCAGCCTCTGACCTACACCAGTCTTGGCATTTGGTTTTTGTTTTTAATTCAACACCAATTTATTAATGACCTACTATGTGCTAGGCATTGTTCTAGACATTGAGGATGCATTATGGACAACCAGTTTAGATTGGATTATCATAAAAGGCCTTTTCGAAGATTTAACATTTGAGAAGCCCAAATGACAAGATTGAACTAGATAAGAGAAAAGATCTACGGGAAGAATATTTCAGGGAAAGGAAATAACTACTACAAAGGCTTTGGGGCAGAGACAAACTTTATGTGTTTAAAAAGCTCAATAAAGGCAAAGTGGCTGGGTCATTGGGCGTAAGAGGAAGAGTGGCAGATGACTGGAGCAAGACAGATGGGTTTGATTACATTGGATCTCACAGGCTATAGCAAAGAATATGAATTTTATTCTAAGAGGGATGAGATGTCTTTGGAAGATTTGGAAGGGATATGACATATTTTTGAAAGATCACTCTGGTTGCTCTATGGAATATGGATTGTTGAGGGATAAGATTAGAAACAGGAACCCAGTTAGGAGGTAACTGCAGTAGTACAGGCAAAAGAATAAAGTAATTGGAGTGGGATGTGCAGTAGTAGATAGAAGGAAAAGTGGATGGATTTGAGATGTGTTTCAGAGGTGGAAGCAACAGCCCATATGAAGGGATTGAATGTAAGATGAAGAGTGTCAGGTTTTTGGTTTGATAAACTGAATTGATGACAGTGTAATTTATCAAGGTGGAGAAGAACTGATAGAGGATATGTTGCAGGAGGTAGGGGAGGCTTGGAAATCAAATGTTCTGTTCAGGTCAAGTTTAAATTTGGGAGGTATTGAGCCATTAAAAAGGTAGATATATGAGTTTACAGCCTATAGGAGAGGTGAGGACAAGGGACGTAACATTTACATATAAAGTAAATAAACACATATCCATGTAATCTCAGTAATAATATATTAGGAAGAGTAGCCATATATTTGTATTTGTCCATTTATTCATTAATCAATTCATGAATCCACATACTTATTCCACAAATATTCATTGTATACTTACCATCTTATCAGGCTCTCCTGCAATAGTCAAGCCAGTGGCCTATAAAGAAAAGAGTGTGCAATCAGAAAAGGGGGATTGTAGGAAGAAAATGTTAGACTTTCTTTTTATATTTATTTTAATCTAAAAACGCAAAATTAAATCTTACTTATATTGAATATATAAACACCAGCATCTCACTACTCCTGAGTGAGAAGTGTGAGTTCTGCAATGTAGAGAATTCAGAGATTCCTTCATTTTCTTTTAGTATGTTGTCACTTATTCCAGTTTATGTGGGCTGGGTTAAGTAGATTTATCAATTACATTCTTATTTCATTATATCAACCTTTACTAAAATGAAAGTGACTAAAAAGGATTTCTGGAAAGACAACATGAGTTTGAAATAATATTGCAAGCATAAGCAAAAAAGATGACAGAGATGACATTTTTACTTCTAGGGTGAGCACTACAGCACTGGCCAGCACTACAGAAGACACCTTACTAAGTCATGGGATGACATTTTGAAAATAAAAGTTTGGAAATATTTCCATCATGTGATTTTGATGCAAAAATGATATATGTGAGCCACCCAAGTCTGGGACTATGGTGAAGCAAATGGTTTTCAAGGTGAAAACCGTTCACCTTGGGCACAAAATTTAAGGGGGGGGTGCCAAAAATTCAATAATCAAGACAACTAATCTTAATACAATATTTTAAAAAGTCAAAATTTATCTTAATCAATCCATGATAATCAAAATATCAAAACCTTAAAGACAAGATCTATAACTCCCAAAACTCATACATGAATACTTAAAACTTGAAGATAGAAATTTTCAACTTCTTAAAAATCTTCTAAGCAATTTATTCCAAAGAGCTTTGAACCCATTTGTAAAAATATAAAAATGCAACATCTTCTGGTTGACATCAGGAAAGATGGAACACTACTAGCTGAATTTCAATAAAAACCTTTGCATGGTTGTTGGATGGAATGGATAAAAATGAAACTTTTTTCATATCAGTTTTTTTTTTTAAATCGTTCTAAACATGCATTAGGAAGAGTGGCCAAAGATGTACTTCCTCCTTTAGGATCTACATCTTTGTGAGTTACCTTTTTTTCAGCTTATGACAGCCATTAAAACCAAGTACAAAAATAACCTGACGTTCAATCAGATATTTTAATAACTATTTCACGAAGTATTAAAGATTTTTAAAACTAACGAAACCTAGTCAATCATATTGATTTCCTTAAATATTTTTAGTGAGAATAACAAAGATTTTTATACCATTAATATGGAAAATAACTAAGTTATTTTAAATGTTTATGTCATCTTTGTCTTAGCCTTTTTACATTTTACAAATGTTTTATAATTCTGCACACAGCAGGACACGTATAAAACTTATATAAGTATATGGATTTTTTTTTGGTAACGGGATTACAATAAAAAAAAGTTTGGAGAACACAAGTGCAGGCAGTTAATGCTGTGGGTGTTAGGAACATGACAAGATTATATTATCTCAGCATGCTGTAAGATCACTGTATCCATAAAAGTCTTCATGAAGGAGCCCCGCCGAGTCTCCATAATGGAAGCAGGATTTGGAGAAATGACTTCTGCAAACTTTGTTTAGTATAACACAAAGCACCATGCTTACTACTAGAGAAGATTAAAATTCTCTAAAAACCTTGTTAACGGAGATCACAGGTTGAAGCATACTGCAGCTCTACTCTTGGAAGGCTAGCTCAGTCTCAGACTTGGCCCTGATGGAGAAGGAAGTTCCCTGGAAGAGGGCAGGGGAGCGCCTCTCCAATGTAGTTGCGGGGGGCGGGCGGTGAGGACACCGCTTCATAAGGGAAGGGGTGGCTGCCTCCCCAAGCAGGGGGTGGCCCCTGAGGTCCCTCCAGCTGGGGGCCCTTGAGAGGGAGGGTGGGGAGAGGGGAAAAGAACGTCAGGAGAGTGAACGGGAGCAAATAAAACGCTGTCCATTCTGACTGGAAGGGCCAGAGCCGTGTCTAAGGGCGGGGGCCGGGAGGTGGCCCGCGGTGGTGTCTCTACCAGGACGAGGCCTGGGGTATCTGAAGAGGGGATGACGTCCAGGCGCTTTGCTAAAGGGAAGCCAGAAGGGTATGAGTTGCTAGGGTCAGAGATGGGGCTTTCGGCTCGAGTCTTTCCCTGCAGGGCAGAGAGTCCGAAGAGCCCGAGAAGGCAGGGAGGACAGTGGGCCTGGTCCTTCCCCGGCCGGCAGAGGGAGTCCCGAGATGGAACGTCCAGCTCTCCTCTAACGAAAAGCGTTTGCATGGCTGTCTCGCCAATTCTGTACCTCCCGGGGCTGAGGAAGAGCCGAGGTGACTAGAAGCTAGCGACAAGTGCCGGCCACCTCCGACGCCAGGCGCCGGGCTTGGAGCCCGACGGGCCGAATTCTCGCGAGAGCGGCCGCCGCCATTTTTCCATTGATTGCAGCGGGCTGGGGGAGGGGCCGACGACGAAGGCGGCTGTGGTAGCGGCGGCGGCGGCGGCGGAGCCCTGGGTCGGTGTCTGCGCGCTGGTGTCTGAGGCCCAGGCTGAGGCCTCCGCTATTGCTGGAGCGCAGGCGGCGGAGAGGATGACTGCCGCTGCCATTCTCTCTTGAGCTAGCGAGCCGCCGCCACCCTCCACCCTCCCCCGGCAGGGCGGAGAGGAGCGGCCGGAGTCAGCGATGGTGCCCGGCGAGGAGAACCAACTGGTCCCGAAAGAGGTGAGGGGCCCCAGAGGAGGTTAGGCCTTAGGCCTGCGGCCGCTCGAGGCAACACAGGCCCGGGCCGGGGTTCGGCTGCGGGCCCGGCCGGGGTGCAGGCTCGGCTGTGGGGGAATGAGGAGGCGTGAGGCAGTCGGGGGTGGACGGTGGGTGCGGCGAGCAGTTGGGAGACCCGCTGGCTCTAGGGGCCGGGGAGCGGACCTCCCGCCTCGGGTTTTATGGGGCTGGACGAATAAAGGAGCGGACGGGAAAGAATCAGGTTCTGCTCTAGGGGAGAAGGTGGCCTTTTAAGTTCTTGTTTAACGTGTGGAGCCGGGAGAGATCATTTCAAAGAAAACATTCTGGAACAGTTGCCTATGGGCACGGCAGGGTGACGGTGCTGCTTCTGGGTTTGACAGTGGCAGCGTATAGCTTTCAGCGCTTGTGAAATCTACACCCAAGTGAGATCTGTGGGAGGGCAGACTTAACTGTTACGACTTTTTTCAACTCCTGTTACTTGGTAGTACTATTGGCCTGCCTAAATGGGGCCTACCGAAGATCGTGGAAAAGTAGTACATGGGACATTAATGTAAAGGAAGGAGATAGGAGAACATTACCACATGGAGAGCTGAACTCTTTTTTTTTTTTTTTTTTTTTGAGGTTGGGTTGTGTATGCCAATTTGAGTGACTTCTTAAATTCTTAAAAGCAAGTGATACGAGAAGCCTTGACTACTTGGCTTCTCTTGAATAGTAGTAGAAGATTTAGGGTAGAATCCAGCACTGGCCAGCGAATTTCAACGTATTAATAGTATCTCTGTTGGCTTTATAAATATCTTCGGCGTATTCAAATGTGTATTTTTAACTGGCTGATCATCAGGCTAATGCTTTGGATTTTTATTTCTCATATACCTTAAATAGAGACAAGTGTTGGATTGAAATTAACTGTGTGCGATCTTGAAATTAATGAGTGATCATTACAGATTCTTAAATTTTTTTGTGCCTGTTTTACTTGTTTTGTAGCAATTCTTTGTTACTTAAGCAAGCTCTGACAGTATGCAAGGGTGATATTATTGGAGTTATGTACCTGTATGATACAAGTATTTTCCCAGCTTTGTCAGAAGGGCAGTGATAGTTGTTTTGCAAGGACGATTTTTGTAAAAGGCAGAGAGTTATGTGTCAGTATTTGTTCATCAAGCGTCACCAACTCTGTGCAAAGCAGATAAACAGATGAGTTAATCAGAATTCTTGCCTTGGGAACTTTCTGAGCTACTAAGAAAGGGAACACTAGTGTTTGTTGAACTCCAATTAGGGACTAGGTACTTTACCACGTAAGTAATTCTTATGCAAGGAAGGAAGTGATAGGTGCTGTAAGAAAGGTATAAATGTGTATTTCATTTTAGAGCTTCATATTGCTGGTTTTCATTTTTATAAAAAACAAAATTCTTTCTTAATTTTTTGACCATTAGAAAAATATCATATAGGTGGAACTCTGCTTTAAGAAAACCCAACATTAGATTTATTTCCCTAATAACTTGATTTATAGAAAACATGATATGATAATAGATACCGAGCTTTGCAGAAACATCTGTTGTGTAAAAAGTGATAACAGCAACGGAAGTTTAAAGATTAAATGCCTGTCCTTTTAAGATTAATTCCCTTCCCTGAGGCTTTAAATTCATCACAACTTATGTTTTTTCCCTTTCTTCTTTTTATGGACCATATGCCTTTATTGTCTATTCCTTAGTCTCATCTTCAGTCTTCTTTTTCCCTGGTTCCTTTCATGATTCCTGGAAGCATGATCTGTGGTTCTTACCTTTTATAGCTAGCCAACTAGCTTTTTCTTCTTTGATGGCCACACTCATTCTTTATTAAAGTGATTGCCTCCAGTTCCATATTTGCTTCTGGATTACTGGAAACTTTTTCTGAAAATCACCAGTTATCTCTTAAATGACCAAATTCTTTGACTTTTTTTTTCTTGCCTCTTCTGCTGTTCGAATTCTCTGCAGGATCTGATAGTTTTTTTAAAAAAACAATTTCTTGATTTTAGTGATACTCCACTTTTCTGGTCATTTTCCCACCTGTTTGTCCTATCTGCCCACTCATTTAGTCAAGGCCTTTCTCTTCTTTTTTGTATTCTTAATTGGCACTTTTGTGTGATCCTTGAAGCTCCGGGACAGGTCCTTTTAAACAGTAGTAGAATCATACAGTGCTAGAGCTAAGAGAAAGCATAATCATCATCTAAGTTACCCCTCCACTTTACAGTTAAGGGAGTTAGGCCCAGAAGATTGAAAGTGACTTGTTCAGGGTCAAATAATGAGTAAATGGCAGACCTAGTGCTAGAACTCACTTCCTTTGCTACTATTCCCTTGATTATACCCTATTTTACAGAGCCCTACATGTAATTTAGAGGCTCTGTAAGAATAGTTTGTAACTCTCTAAGTACATATATATGTGAAAATAAATGGCAAATTAAAAAATTTCATGCATTTATTTTAATGGCTTATTATCAATAATCTAAAGATTTTTTTTTTTTGAGGGCCTTTGTATAGGGAACCTCTGACCCCTGCTAGATTTAGATCTTGGTTAGATGTGGGCATGTGTGCGTGCGTGTGTTGGAGTGTATAGTTGTTCAGTGAATAATATATTTTGGTCCCTGAAACTCAAGGACAAATGTACCTTTAGAGGACTCTTGAAGAAGACAGCTTAGTGTAGTACAGGCATTGGCAAACCACGGCCTGTGGTCCAGATCAGTTCACAGCCTGGTTTTGTATGGCCTGTGAGTTAAGAATGAGTTTTACATTTTCGAATTGTTGAAGAAAAAAAGTCAAAAGAATTATAATAGTCTGTGACACATGAAAATAATGTGTAATTCAAATTTTAGTCTTGAAACAGCTATGCCATTTATTTAGTATTTTGTATGGCTACAACAGCAGAGATGAGTAGTTGCTACAGAGACTCTATGCAGGATAAATTTGAAATTACTTAGCTTGGTATTCAAGGCCCAGTACCATTGATTCTGGCCACAACCTGTCCTTCCAGCTTATCTCTTCTCCCATGAAACAGGTTTTTAATGTAGTCAAACAGGTTTCTCTCTAACTTGCATTTCACTTCTGTTTGTGCTGCCCCCTCCTTCCTGTTCAAAACCTTCATACACATTTTTCCATAAGTACCTCATATCTCATTTATGCTAAATAGCCTTTTCTGACCATTTTAACCTTAGAGATTTCTCCCTCTTAGAAGACCTTTATATAGGAATAGAATTCATTTGGCAATTACTAGATGGTGCTTGGCGACATCTATTATGATCTGAAACTGTAATCTACATTTTATATATTATTTGTTGTGAATTCCTTGACAGCAAAGACTTGGTATGTTTCTCTGTCTTTGCTTTTTGTTTTTGTAGGTTTTGTACTATAGGTTTAAGACAGTGTCTTTCCTGGAGCAGATATTCAGTAAATATTCGTTGATGTGGTGACAGAGTTGTAAGTAAATTTAGCATTCTAACCAATTATCCTGTCCTTGGAGGTTTTCCACAGCATCATTGGCAAGCTATTTGCCAACTTTTGCTTTAATACATACTTCTATGACTAATCTTTGATAAAATCTTTGTCTTAGAAGAGATCTGTTATTTTTAAGTTTTTGAGTTGAGAGAAGTCTAGATCTCTATAGCTGCCATCTTTTGATAGTTGCCTTACAGAAATGTTAAAGCATTTCCCATAGGATAGTTTTTCTCATCATTGAAGATGGGAGAGGGTAGCCTGAGAACTGACCTTTTCTGTTCTGAGTCTGAGCTTCCTCAGTTCTTTAACTGTTTCTTAGTTCCTCTCTTTTGGACATAATCTGGGGTTTTTAGTATTCCTCCTAAATTGTTGTACCCAGAAAGAGCAAAGAGAGTGGTATCTCTTCATTGTGGTGAAGAACAGAGCTTTTCACCCGTTTCATTCTGCCGTATGTCTTTGAATTGTAGTATATTGATTTCTGCTTTGAGGTCTCTTTTAATAGCATCCCAATTTTAATTATTGTTTGGTTGCTATTTTGTTATTCTGTTTTCTTATAAGGATGTGTGTCATTAATATTCATTGAGTACTCACTGTGCATATTACTGTATTCTGCCAAATAGGAAAAACTTAGAATAGAAAAATTTGTTCTTCTCTCAAGTGTCTTATAGAATGATCAAGGATAAGGTGCATATTTACTGATGCTTTAAAAATAATACTTAAACTGCAGTACTTAAAGTAGTGCTCATGGACTCTAAATCCAGAGAAAATGGAAAAAATGAAGGAAAAAGAGTAGAAATGTAAATTCTTTATCTCTGGGTTTTTTTCTCCTGTCTTTCATGCAATCACTACTTCTGTCTGGAACTGGTTTTGGCATCTAATGATGATGATGATAGTAATAACCAGTATTTATTGAGCATTTATTTATATACCAGATACTGTTGGTTGTGCTTTGTATTAACTCATTTGAGCTTCACAGCAACCTCAGAGTACATAAGACACATTGATAGCAAAAACAACTTATTTTTATTTCTATTGTCTGACTTCTTATAAAATCCATTCATCAGTATCTATTATGGAACATGTCAAATGCATATTCTTTTAATTTTATTTCTCCTAATTAAATTACCTGAGGAAATGTGCTGCAATTGTCATTCTTGATTTTAGTGATTCTTTTAAAATGAGGCTTTTTCTTAAATTTCAGATGTTGACTCTCTCTTACCAGTAAGAGACAAGTTTGTCAAGTTATACCCGCCAGCGTTTTAAACAAATTGGAGTGTTTAATAAAAGTCAGTATTTTAGATATCATTGGAAATGCTCATTTAATGAATGAAAGCAAAAGCTGAATGCAGAATTGTATATGATTCTAATTTTGTCCAGGAAAAAATGAACAATTTAGGGTTAAATGCGTTGAAAGATTAGAAGGAATACACTAAAATATTAAGAGTTGCTATTTCTGAATTTCTGGATTATTGGGATATATATTTAGACTTTCATATTTAAAAATGAGCATGTACATTATTTTCAAAAACAGAAATTGAGATGATCTGATTGTAGTTTTGGGGGTATTTACATAGTGTTTTTTTTTTTTGTGCTCACAGTTTTCCTATTTCCCCTCTCCTCTTACTCTGTATATTTGTCTTGAGTAATCGGATCCACTTGTATAGCTTCAACCTTTGATTGTGATTTACACATTTATATCTCCAGCCCTGACCCCTTCTAGATTCAGATTTCCACTGTTCTGGATATCTGTACTTGGTTGTACTCTAGGACCCACAAATTAAATATAGGTAATATCGAACTTATTTCTCCTTCCCTTCTCACAACCCAATTCTTGGTGTTCTCCTGTTTCAGTTAGTGTTATCGCCATCTATTTATATGCTTAAGTTAGAACAGTTTTTGACTCCTCTCTTTTCCTTTTTCTCACATATAGTTCACCACTTAGAAAATGTCTCTGTATCCTTATCTTTCTCTCCATGGCTCTGCCTTTGTCTAATTATTGTTATTTTCTCCAATGTGTAGCCTTTCTAATTGGTCAGTCTGCTTCCAAGGCCTTTCCTTTCTTAACCATCCTCCCCACAACTGCCAGGGTTACTTTCTAAAACAGATGAGATTAAGATTTACCTGTTTTAAAGTTTATAATTATTACCCTCTGATTGCAATTTGAATGATAGGTACTATTTGTAAACAGTATGTGCTAGACACTATGCTAACCAGTTCACTTACATTATCTCATTTGACAGTATGACAGTATTAGCTATTATTCTTCATTATCCATTTTACACATGAAGAAACTAGGCTTAAAGATGCTAAGTAACTTGCTCAAAGTTACATAGCTATTTGATTCTAAATCAAGGTAGCTTTAACCAGTAGGAAAGTCCTTGATAATATGGATTCAGTTGATTTTTTAAATTTAATTTTTATCAAAGTTATGTTTAATACATGCATATATTTATAAGAGTTAAATAGCTCTGCAGAACTATAGTCACTTGTCACTTAATGATGAGGACCTATTCTGAGAAATGTATCATTAGACATCATTTGAACATGATACAGTGTGCTTGCACAAACCTAGATGGTTTAGCCTGCTACACACCTAGGCTATATGGCATTGCCTGTTGCTCCTAGGCTACAGCATGTTACTGTACTGAATACTGTAGGCAGTTGTAATACATCATAAGTCTTTGTGTGTTCAAACATACAGAAGGTACAGTAAAAATATGGTATTTGTAATCTTATGGGACCACTGTCATCTTTGTGATTGTTGACCAAAATGTCTTTATATGGCACATGACTATATTTACAAAAACAGTAGGTCTCTGCAAATTTCCCCTCATTTCAGGCTGCCTAGGGGCAACTGCTTTCAACTCATTCTTTTGATACTTACTTCCATATTTGAAACTGGCATTTTTTTTTTTTTTTTTTTTGAGACGGAGTCTCACTCTGTCACCCAGGCTGGAGTGCAGTGGTGCGATATCACCTCATTGCAACCTCTGCCTCCCGGGTTCAAGCGATTCTCCTGCCTCAGCCTCCTGAGTAGCTGAGACTACAGACGCGCGCCACCACACCTGGCTAATTTTTTGTATTTTTAGTAGAGATGGGGTTTCACAGTGTTAGCCAGGATGGTCTTGATCTCTTGACCTCGTGATACGCCTGCCTCGGCCTCCCAAAGTGCTGGGATTACAGGCGTGAGCCACCATGCCCAGCCGAAACTAGCGTTTTTATAGTGTTACTTCTTGATTTTTCAGTTTAAGATATTTTTCAGTTTAAGTAAAAATGAGGGTTTACCACTATCCCCAACCACACACAAGCACACATTTTAACCCTGCCCAGTACTCCCAATATTGTCATACTGCAAGTCGTTTGGATACATCCGCATTTCATAGAGATGGAGTTTCACTATTATTGCACAAGCTGGTCTTGAACTCCTGGGCTTAAGCAATCCTCCTGCCTCAGCCTCCCAAAGTACTAGGGCTATAGGCGTGAGCCACCATGCCCAGCCTGTATACATCAGTATTTCAGTTTATAATGACTCCATTTTCACCATGTTAGCTAGGCCAGAGTTAGTAATTTTTAACAATTTTGCTTTGCTTAGTTTTCTGTATACTTATTAAATTAGCCAAGTGGTTATCAATTGGGGCCCATTTTCTCTCCAGAGGACATTTGGCAATGTTGGGGGAGGGGAGGAGAGTGCGGGTGTGTGCTACTGACATCTAGTGGGTAGAAGCCAGGTATGCTGCCAAATATTCTTCTGCACTGCACAAGACAGCCTCCTGTAACAAAGAATTAGAAGGCCCACAATGTCAGTAGAGCTGTTGTTGAGAAACCCTGATTTAGCCCAAACTATCTCTCAAGTGTATAAATGGCTTATCTTCAAACCTACCAATTTTGACTTCGTGAGAAGCTCTTTCCCAGGGCCTTCTGACCTACTCCAGTTTGAACTTGTTAAAGCTAGAACTTTTGTGCAGCTGTTGTCTTGGACTTGCTTTACTGTCATCTTTATGATTCTCTCAGTTCTGTCTTGTTTTGGAGCCCCTGTTTCTGTATCTGGTATCTTTGGCTGTCTTTGTTTACTTTCTCATTTTGAAGGGCCACTTTCAATAGTTCTCTGGATGGGATAGAATTTTTTCAAGACTATACATGTCTGTAAATGTTTTTTCTCCCCTCTTGTTTTATGGATAGTTTGGCTGGGCAGAGAACTCTGAGTCAGAAATAATTTTTTCTCAGAATTTTGAAGGCATTGCTCTACTGTCTTCTATTTTTCTGTGTCGATGTTGAGATCAGATGCTTAGAACATCCTTTTCAACTATTTTGAAACTTTCTTTTTTTCTCTTTGCGAGCTAGAGAGAGAATCTTTGTCCCCAGAGTTCTGAAATTCTTGTATTATGTAGTTATATGTCTGTTTTTTTAATTCATTCTGCTAATCCTGTTCAATCTGGAATTTATCTCATAAATTCTGCAAATTTTCCTTAAATAATTTCTTTGATTTCCTCTCCTTCATTTTATCTCTCCTCTCTCTTTTGAATTCCTGTTGTTAGATGTTGGGCCTACTGATGGGTTTCTCTAATTTTCTTGTCTATTTTCATCTATTTTCCATTTCTTTACATTTTTTTTCTTTGCTTTCTGGGAGATTTTTCTCAACTTTGTCTTCCAGTTTTTCTACTAAGTTCTTATTTCTGCTATAATATGTATAGTTTCCATTCCTTTTTTTGAAAAAAAAATCCTATATTTGTTTTATGGATGCAGTGTCTTATCTCTCTTAGGAAATATTGGTAGTTTTTTTTTTTTTTGTCTGCATATTCTTTTTCTTCCAAATTTCCTTTTTCTGTTTGTTTGCTTTGGTCTTTATCTTTCATATTTGTTGCTTTCCTTAGATGTCTCATGATCCTTGGCAGTCTGTGCTTATTTAAGAGAGAGGCCCTAAGCTGAATGGAAGCTCTGCTTTTGTGTGATTATGGTTTTTTGTGTAGGATGGTAAATCTGGATGATTTCCTTGCAGACTCCCAGTCTTAGTCCATTTGGGCTGCAAAAACAAAATACCATAAACTGGGTGGCTTATAATCCACAGAAATTTATTTTTCACAGTTCCTGTGAGTGAGGCTGGGAAGTCCAAGATAAAGGTGCCGGCAGATTTGGTGTCTGGTAAAAGCCTGCTTTCTGGTTCACAGAGCAGCACCGTCTCGCTGTGTCCTCACATGGTGGAAGGAGACAAGGCAGCTCTCTGGGGCCTCTTTTACAAGGGCACTAATCTCATTTATGAGGGCCCTGCCTTCTTGATCCAGTCACCATCCAAAGATCCCACTTCCTAATATCATCATATTGGCAAGTAGGGTTCAACATGTGAATTTTGGGGTAAGGAGACATAGGCATTTAGACCAGGGCACCCAGTGACACATCTTTTCTTTTGTGCTGGATTGTTTTCCCAGACAAAATTTCTCATCTTTTGCCAGGAGAGAACAAGCTTGAGAGCTGAGTAGGAAAAGGGGATATGGGTCTCATCTTTAAGCATGCAGATTAACCTAATTCCCCAGTTTTCATTATGGCACCCTTCAAATTCAATTGAGCATGTTGTCCTCTAGTCTAGATATATCCTGTTATATGCTCTCTAGAGATTGTTTAGTCTTTTATCAGAAAGGGTTGAAGAGTAGAAGAGGAGGTCTGGGGATTTTCACTACTTCTTAGATTTTGGTCAGTTCTAGTTTGGACTCCACTCTCGTTCCCAAAGTGTCTGAAACTTCCAGTTCCTGAGCCCCTTAGTTTATTTTTTTGTTTGTTTGCTTTAATGTATTTACACAAGAATTGCGGAAAGAGTACAAAGTTTCCGTATACCCTTCATCCAGCTTCTTTTTATCTTAACATCTTATATAACCATAGAACGATGATCAGAAGAAATTAACCTTAGTATAATATTATTAACTACACTACAGAATTTATTCAGATTTTACCAGTTTTCCCTCTTATAGTTTTTGTTTGTTTCAAGATCCAAATTTAGGATACCACATTGCATTTGGTTATCATATCTCCTAGTTTCCTTTTATCTGTGATAATTTTTCAGTCTTCATTTTCAAGATCTTGACACTTTTGAAGAGTACTGGTCAGTTATTTCATGGAATGGCTCTCAATTTGGGTTTGTGGATGCTCTCTCATGAATAGATTGAGGTTATGAATAAAAAGAAGGATTATCACAGATGGGATGTGTTCTTCTTAGTGCATTATGTTGGTAGGGGGGCATGATGCTGATACGTACTACTGGTGATGTTAACCTTGATCACTTGGGTAAGAGGGTGTCTGCTAGGTTTCTCCACTGTGAAGTTACTATTTTTCCCTTTAATAATTATTAAGTACTTTGATTTAAAGTTACTCAGCCAGGCAGGTCAAACTTTAAAAATAAAATAGCTTTTAAAAATCAAATTCTTTGAGACCATGCAGATAACCTATTTCCCCCTAAATTTCTGCCCACTAATTTTATCATCTATCTGTGATCTTGCCTGCAGCAATTATTACTGTGGCTTAATAATAGTGATTTTCTATTTCTCTCATTATTTCTACATTTATTAATTTAAATTCTTCTGTGAGGAGAATTTGTCCTTCCCCCCACCCCCATTTATTTACTTATTTATTTGTATCAGTATGGACTTATGGATATTTATTCTTTGGATTATAATCCAATTCTATATCATTTATTTTGTTGATCAAGCTGTTCCAATTTTTGCCAGGGGGTGCTTTTTCTGGTGGGCTTCTGTGCTCATCCTTGCTTTTTGAGCACTCACTTCCTTACTTTCCAACACCACATAATGCTTCAGCCCATCTTATGTTTTCCTTGCCCCAACCCTGGAATCAACCAGTTCTCCAAGGAGTTTAGAGGTCTTTTGGTGTACTAAATGTCAGTGTGATATAAACTAGGTGTCTTTGCTTTCTTCTAGGCTAACATGGAATTCAGCCTTCCTAGTTGTAATTGTCATTGCCACTTATTCTGTTTTCTAGCTTTTAAAATTGTGTTTCTGTTTGTTTGGGGTTAATAGTCTTTCAAAAATTTCTTAACTGGGAGGCATCAGAGCTAAATCCTTATATTCAGTCTATCCTCTTTAACCAGAGATTCTTAATGTTTTTGTCTCATGCCCCAAGCCAGTTTTGTACAAACCACATTCCACTACATTAGTTGCTGTTCCTCAGATGTGCTGTTATATGTTCATGTGTCACTTCTGTGCCCTTGCCCTGACTGAATACTATGAAGTATTTCTTTTTGTCCTGCAGTTTTTAAGGAGTTTTAAATGGGTGGACTTTTATTTTACATGAAAATGACTATTTGAATAATTAGGATTCTTGCCTATCTTCTATTTTCTCTTTTTTGGATTAGTCATATAGATTTTTTGTCTTTTAGTGCCCAGATACTGTAATTTTTTTTTTGCCAAATGGAAAGGAGGAGTTCCTGCATCTCCAGAATAGTAGGGTATGGTGATAGCCCAAGTTAGAAAGAAAAGATTGTATCAAAAACAGGGGTTGTAAAAAACAGAGCATTAAATATATATATTTAAATACCTATTGTAAATTAAAGTTCCAAAAGACATCTACTTTTAGAACAAATTCCTTGGTATTAAGGACCTTCTTCAGTTCAGGCAGCATGTGTAGGTGGCATGATATGCAGAGGCATATTCTGTTATGAGGTTTATGACACAGATTTTCAAATCTAACATACAGACATTCTCCATTGTGGAAAAGTATTTGGCAAAATGATTGTGCTTGGCAGTGATGGCAGATGACTGACAAAAAATGATGTGATCTTTCACATCGACGTTCTTAAAGAATATGTGTTTTCCTGAGCCTGGTTTTTACTGGTATAGTGTAAGAAGGGATGGATGTAGATGTAGTGTGAGTAAATAGATGCGTCCTCTCTACCTTACTGCATACTTCCATTTCCTTTGTCCTTAGGTGTGGAAGTAATAATTGCCCTCTTCTTTCATTTAATGAAACTAAACTGAAACATGCATACATAAAGTATCCATGTATATGAATGTTTTAATTTATGCAAAACTGTTATTGATATAACCTGCTGTTGAGAGATTACAGTTTTTACAAAAATTACTGAGATATATGTCTCAAGTTTTGATGTTCTTTAAAACATGCTCTTAAAATCCTATCCAACCGGCTGGGCCTGGTGGCTCACACCTGTAATCCCAGCACTTTGGGAGGCCGAGATGGGTGGATCACGAGGTCAGGAGATTGAGACCATCCTGGCTAACACAGTGAAACCCCGTCTCTACTAAAATAAAATAAAATAAAAAAAATTAGCCGGGTGTGGTGGTGGGCGCCTGTAGTCCCAGCTACTCAGGAGGCTGAGGCAGGAGAATGGCGTGAACCCAGAAGGTGGAGCTTGCAGTGAACCGAGATCGCACCACTGCACTCCAGCTAGGGGGACAGGGCGAGACTCCGTCTCAAAAAAAAAAAAAAAAAAATCCTATCCAACCAGCAAAGTCCAGCCTGAAAATTCTCCTCTTTCAACCTGATTGCATATTCTTAATCCTAAAATCCTACAGCACCTTTGGCATTTGAAAAATTCTGCTTCTTTATTATAAGTTATTTGTTATTTCAGTTAATACCTTCTATTAGATGGGAGGTTCCTCAGAGTCAGGACACTACAGCTGGAGTCCCTAGGTTCAAATACCAGCTGTCTGACATTGGACAAATTCCTTAACCTGTCAGTACCTTAGTTAATTAAGGATAATTCTAAGTACCTCCTAGCATTGGTGGGAAGATTAAATGAGTTAATACATGTAATGTGTCATGCACACAATAAGCTATCAATAGATATTAGCTATTACCACCTTCTGTTACTACCATCATTTCTATCATTACCTTCATTTCTATATCCTCCCCCAGGGGCCATCACAATGTGCTGTACATTGTTGTTATTCAACAAATATTTGTGGATTAAATGAAAATGAAATTATATTTTAGTTATGCAAGTCATTTGAAGTTGACAGCTGATTACAGCCTGTCAGCTACTTATCTTAATGTCTACAGCACTAATCCTAAATTATTGTTAGATTTGACAGGTTCTCTTATATGATCAAGTAAGACCTATTGTTACAGCTTTGAAAATTGGAACACATAGGCCGGGTGTGGTGGCTCACGCCTGTAATCCCAGCACTTTGGGAGGCTGAAGCAGGCGGATCACGAGGTCAGGAGATCGAGACCATCCTGGCTAACACGGTGAAACCCCGTCTCTACCAAAAATACAAAAAAAATTAGCCGGGTGCAGTGGCGGGCGCCTGTAGTCCCAGCTACTCGGGAGGCTGAGGCAGGAGAATGGTGTGAACCCGGGAGGCGGAGTTTGCAGTGAGTGGAGATTGCATCACTGCACTCCAGCCTGGGCGACAGAGCGAGACTCCGTCTCAGGAAAAAAAAAAAAAGAAAAGAAAATTGGAACACATAACAAAGTGAAAGTATTAAAAGTAAAAGAAATTTTGAGTTCAGCTAATGAGGTTCTGAGAAAAATTAGTTTGGTTTATATAGGTGGTTGTCAATTCACTAGATTAACACATTTCTTGTTTATTAGGATTCAGTGCGAAATGTTATTTTAAAGCAGGATCCATATTAAGACAGTTTCTGAGAGAACTTGATGTGTTTGATAATTTTGATTTTCTGTAGCTCTGGTGTAGAACTAGTTGACATGGATAGAAGAGACTGTCCCTGTCAGTGGTACTATGATGATGCTTTAAATTTGATGCTGTGTAGTGGACTGCTTCTATACTAATAATTTTCAAGTATTAGTGTAATATGCTTATATTAAATAAAGTGACTTTCTAGTAGAGAAAAATTAAAGAAAGCCTAAGTGACATAATTCAGAAAAAGGTCTAGAACTTAAATCTTTCTGTATAAAGATGTGAATCCAATACCTGTGGTAAGGTTATAGGTTTAACTTCAGGAAAATCATGAACCTCATTTACAACCTCAGTGAAATTTTTTAGTACAACCAAAGCATTCTAGTTTACTACAAATACCTTTCTTGTTTTAAATACTTATTTGTATTTAATAATGAATACACTTTCATTGTTTTTAGTGTAGATTTCCATGGCTCCTGATTTTATAGAATTCATTCAGTTAAACATTGAGTTAGTAGCTGCCAAGAACTACTACAGAGAGATTCAAAGATGAATAAGGAATCTGGCCTAGTTCTAGATCCTAGTCTAGACTAATGGAAGAGACAAACAGGTGACCAGACAAATATATAATGTGGAAATAAAGTGGGACCATAGAGCGGGGAGCAGCTGGCTTTCTCTAGGGGATTCTGTGAGAATGTAATCACAAAGGCTGACTTGATTATTATGTAGAGAAGGAGGAATAGTGTTCAAAACAAGAAAGTTTGTAGTGCATTTTAGGAAGTGGCAAAAAATTTAGTGTAGATGCATGGGGCGCCTGGTTCTGGCAGATTGTGTCTAAAAATTCCAAAGGCTTTGTGTGCCCAGAAAGTGTTTAGATTTTTATTGTTTAGACATTAGGGGGCAAAAAATATTTTTTTCCCCAGAAAAAGTCAACAGATTTGTTTACAATTGTTATAAAATTTAGTTGCTGAAACTTGTTCATGGAAACATTTTTTACTTGCTGGAATGTTTTTTGTCCCCAACATTAATACCAAAAATTTGCATACAAATCAAAGTGGGGGAAAAACTTGCTAATACCTTATTCTCTCATCCATTTATTTCCATTTGCAATCATATAATTAGGTACCTTTTTGTTTTTTAAGAATAAAATATTTCTTTTCATAATACATTTTAGCACATTTTCTACATATGAGTCTTTTTGGTGGGATATCCTTAGGCATAATTGTTACATATTTGATATGGATAAAACAAAGGTGGGTGTCTTCAAATAGGCTAACCAGGTAGGCCTCACTTGCCTTTAGAAAAGTGTCAGTGGCTGCACTCTGGAAGTATAGATCTGTTTTGAAGTTCTCACAACTGATGCTGGAAGGGAAATTTGCAAGTGAGAAGTTCAGCATACATTTGATAACTTCTGATCTGATTTTCACTGAGAGCCACAGTACAAGGCTTATAATGATGTGGTTTCTTAACCTTTCTAGTACACAACATATTCTTGTGAGTGGCTTTTGTAGCTAGTTACTTCCTGTGTGCTTTACCACTGGCATTTTTGTGGGCATTTGGCTTTGTAGGAACTGTAGTGTAGAGAACTCCCTATTTACTTCTCTTCTTGGCTGAAGCTCTGCAAGCTAAAGGTGACACCGTGCTAGGCAGTGATGACTGTTGGTGGCAGTCACAGTGCAGTAACTGAGAACACCATAAGGAATGTCTTTAATTTGAGAATTAATGGAATCTTCCTAAGGTTATCCACAGTGCTCCAAATAATATTTATTTAATAAAAATAAAATATTTAATAAAGAGAAGCTCTGGATTATAAACCTAGTTCCAGGTTGCATTAATAAGTAGAATTTTTGTATAACTCATCTCCAAAAGATGCAGCATGTTGCTTTAGTAAATATAAATAAGCTATCAATGAATTTATATACATTTCCTTCATTTTATAGTGTCTGTCCTTTTATGTGTTTAGGTATTTTACTTGTATTGCCTTTAAGTTTACACCAGTTTATATAATCTATTATTTTATATCTATTTATAGTACTTTGTGATAACAAGAGAATTGGTGAAAAATTATATATTTAACAACCACAACTTATTAAAATATATCTGAGAAATATTGCTTTGACATTTTAAATTCGTATGTCTTGAAATATTTATTTACCTTTAGTTATTTACCATTAACACAAAACAAATATAATTTTAAGAGTTCTAAGAAAAGTAGACGTGACACAAAAATGTTTCTACAGTTGAGTAATATGATTTTAACACTGGAAGGGAGGCAGTAGTTATGAGGCAGGAGAATAGAGTCTGGACTCAGGAGCTTAAGGCCATTTCACGCTTACTTCTTAGAACTAAATTGAAAGGAAAACCCTCACTTTCCATGCCTAAGTAACAAAAGAGCCGGAGGCTACTCCCTTTGCAGACCCCTACCTTTTCTGCGTGGCAGATGGAAAATTGAAAGTACCTCTGGTTGGTTGCAGAAAGCAACCAATCAGACGTTTGCAAAGGAGTGTAACTTTGTAACTTCGCTTCAGCCTCTGGTTGGTTGTTGGCAAACAGACTGATTACGGGCCAAATCTTCATTTGCATAGAAGTGCAGCTTTGTAACTTCACTTCAGCCTCTGATTGGTTGCTTTCCACAACCAATCAGATGTTTGCATAGGAGAGTGACCTTTGTAGCTTCACTTCAGCCTCTGATTTGGCACCACTTCATTTACATGAGGTGAATACCAAGTGACCAATGGGAAACCTTTGGCAGGTATTTGGACCCAAGAAGATTCTGTATCCAGGCCCTTTAGCCGCTGCTGGTGCAGTTCCCATTAGTGGAGTGTACTTTCGTTTTCAGTACATCTCTGCTCTTGTTGTTTCATTCTTTTCCTTGCTTCTTTTGTACATTTTGTCCAATTCTTTGTTCAAAACGCCAAGAACCTGGACATGCTCCACCGGTAACGGTTAAATACTAATATTATAGCCCCTCCATTTTCTCGGTAAGAAAAACTATAAAGGCCACAGAAACTCATTAAGTTACTTAGGGTCTCAGGTAATGAAAGGACATAAGTGAGACTTTTTGTTTTTTAAATCAGTGTTACTGAGGTATTATTTATATATAGAAAAATTCATCCTTTTAAGGCATACAGTTTTGTAAGTTTTGACAAACATACAGTTGTACAACCACTACCATAGTCAAAATATAGAATATATCCATCATCTCAGAAAAGTTCTCTGTTGTCTCTTCATCACCTCAAAAAAGTTCTCTGTCGTCTCTTGTAATCAGTTCTCTTCCCCTTCCTCCAGGCTCTGGCAACCACTGATCTGTTTTCTGTCCTCATGTTTTTCCTTTTCCAGAATGTCATTTACATGGAGTCATATAGTATGGTAGCATTTTGGGTAGGAATTTTTTCACCTAGCATAAAGCATTTGAGATTCATTTATGTTGTTGCTTCTATCAGTAGTCTATTCCTTTTTATTGCTGAGTGCCACAGTTTATCCATTTACCAGCTGATAAACATTTGGGTTGTTTCCAGTTTTTGGTGATTCTGAATAAAGCTACTATAAATATTTGTATACAAGCTTTTGGGTGGACATATGTCTTCATATGGTAAGTGTATGTTTAACTTTGTAAAACACTGCCAAACTCTTTTCTGAAATGGCTGTACCGTTTGTGCATTCTAGACAGCAATGTATGAGAATTCTGGTTGTTCTGTATCTTTGTTTACTTGGCAGTGTCAGTTTTTTTTAAGTTTAGTTTTGTTTTTTAACCATTTTATTAAGTGTGTAGTGGTGGTATCTGTTTGTGCTTTTAGTTTGCATTTTCCTAACGACTGATAACAGAGCATCTTTTCATGTACTTAATACTGGTTTTTATTAAGCTTAATCCAGCATCCTTTATGTATTACATATTTAAGGTTTTGCTAGGTACTGATAGAAGGGAGAGGAATAAAAAGAGTATCCTCAAAGAGTTTGTGATTTATATAGGGAAAACTGGTAATAATGTTAACATGATGCTAGTTACAATTTTGGTAGGCTCTTTGAGAAAGGGATTTACGTATTGACTGGCCTTGTGGAAAGGACAGTAGTTTGGGAATCAGAAAACTCAAGTGGTTTGACTTTACCTTAGTTGCTTAACCTTTCTGGTATTTTTCTTCTTTCATTTGTTAAATGAAGGAGTAAGGCCGCATAAGGTATAAGGTTTGTCGCTAAATTATGTATCTACATAGTTTTTCTTTCCAGGCAGGTTTTGAAACCTTGTGAGAATGCCAGTCAGAAAACAAAAGATCTTTGCAGATGTTCCTCATCTGATGAAATTCCTCTTACCTGCATCCCCAAAAGATAATCTTTTGAAAATTTAAATATTGAAATTTTAGTATATAAATTTCATTATGTACAAGAATTGCATGTTTCTTAAATGTATTTTAAGGGTAGTAACTGATAGTTCTCTAATAATAACTTATTTTTGTATGGTATTACTATAATTCATAGAGCATTTTCAAGAAGTTCTCCCCTTCGATAGAAAAACTATGTGGATGGCCAGGCACCGTGGCTCACGCCTGTAATCCCAGCACTTTGGGAGGCCGAGGCAGGCGAATCATTTGAGGTCAGGAGTTCAAGACCAGCCTGGCCAACATGGCAAAATCCCATCTCTACTAAAAATACAAAAATTAGCTGGGAGTGGTAGCACACGCCTGTAGTTCCAGCTACTTGGGAGGCTGAGACAGAAGAATTGCGTGAACCCGGGAGATGTAGGCTGCAGTGAGCCAAGATCGCGCCACTGCACTCCAGCCTGGGCAACAGAAGGAAAAAAAAAAAAGAAAAACTGAGTGGAGGATATATTTTATTTCTTTTCTTATTTTATTTATTTATTTATTTTTTTGAGATGGAGTTTCGCTCTTGTTGCCCAGGCTGGAGTGCAATGGCGCGATCTCGGCTCACCACAACCTCTGCTTCCCGGGTTCAAGCGATTCTCCTGCCCACCCTACCACTGAGCGGAGGATATATTTACTTTTAGGACCCTGAGAGTGAGAGATAAGTTAAATGATTCGTGTAGGATTACACAGCTAGAAGAAAAGTAGCCACTTTGACTTAAGGAGTCTAATCTAGATCTTTTGACTCTGCAGTCCATTGTTCTTGTACCATAGATCACTCTAATAGGAAATAAACAAACTTTAAAAAGTGTTAAGTAACGTTAACGTTTCTTTCAGATGTATAATTTCATGTTTGAAGTATTAAAAGAATGTAATATTCTTAAGAATTACTGTCCATGCTTTTAAATAAAATGCATGGTAACAGATAATATAAACAAGCTCCCTTGATTTAGTAATAATAAGTAGAATGTTCATAACCTATAAACAAGTCAGTTATTTCACAAGCTGAGTCACTGCTTGTCAACAACAGCCTACTCACAGAGGAAATCTTAGCTGTAATCAAAAATAAAGATAACAGAAATAGTAAAGGACGTATTATTTCGCCTCCTGAGAATAGTTTTGGTTTCTAAGTTTAGATACCTACAGTATATTATCAGTGGGTTACCCATTGCCAATACTAGAACAGCTATTAAAAGGAGCAAGGCAGAGTGGGAAGAGTATTAGGATAAAAGTGAGAGGAAAAGTAATACATTACAATTTTAATGCTACAAACATGTCAGCATTATACAGTCATCAGAAGGCCTCTGTTATTTAGAAGACCTGTGTTCAAATGTGACGTTGGGCAGGTCACTTAAGGTTTCTCAATTTCTTTTTCTTCATCGATAAAATAAGGAGCCTCATCTGATGTTCAAAGGTCCATCCAACTTTATTTTATTTTATTTTATTTTATTTTTTGAGACGGAGTCCCGCTCTGTCGCCCAAGCTGGAGTATAGTGACACGATCTTGGCTCACTGCAGCCTCTGCCTCCCAGATTCAAGCGATTCTCCTGCCCCAGCCTCCTAAGTAGCTGGAATTACAGGCATGTGCCACCATGCCCAGCTAATTTTTGTATTTTTTAGTAGAGACGGGGTTTCACCATGTTGGCTAGGGTGGTCTCGAACTCCTGACCTCGGGTGATTCGGCTGCCTTGGCCTCTGAAAGTGCTGGGATTACAGGCGTGAGCTACCACACCCGGCCCCATCCAACTTTGAATGTAGTTGTATGTTGAGTGTGATGAGCCATCTGGTTGGTTGGTTTTTAATTGTCAAAATAGGTCAATCATAGTTAAATGGATTGTAAACTATTCTTTTAAAGTTCTGAAACTTTGCATTTTTAGTTTCCTATTAATTGATTGAGTACTTGATGTAATTTGTTGCAACAACTAAAAATAAATTACATAGGATCAAAGGAGTTTTATTTATTTTCTAATTTTAATATACTGTGGGGTTCTGGGAGCTTATTTCATGACTGTTTTAGAATAAAATGGAATGCATTTACCTGAGGGACACCCTAATACTAGAGCACAGAGGGCAGGTATGAAAATAAGTATTTTTACAAAATTTTAAAAGCATACTTTATCCAAGTCAGCCTAGTTATGTTTTATTACTTGAGTGTTTTTATAGTATATAATTTAGAAACAAATGTGATATAGTGACATGTAATTTATAACATGTTTATTAATTTAAATTCAGAAAATTCATACCATGATACATTGAACAACATGTGCTAAAACAAATTATCACAGAATTTGTATTTAACTAGAATAATAAAGCAAATCTACTTATAATTTCTTTACTGCTTTAGGCTTTTAGAACAGGTACAAAGTCTTTTTTTTTTTTTTTAAGGAAAACACACATAGGATTTGAATTAAAAGAGCCAATTAAAGCAGAGCATGATTATCATCAAACTTCACTTAAGTAGTAAAAGCCCTTATTGCACTAACAAATTCACAATTTAAAATGAGATTACAGAATTTTCTGTTTCAAAATCAGTTTCTAGAAATTAAGTTTTTAAAGCACACTTTATGCTTCCAAAAGCATCAGCTATAATACATTATGAAATTATTTTTCTGAATGAATATATTTTGCTTACAGAATTCTGTGTAGGACTTAGATTTTCTACTTCTGTGGTTTGTTTTTAGTAGTAAAGATTGTAAAATAGCTGTTTTCATTTCTTAGCTAAGCACAATCGTGCATAAGAATCTGCTTATCTTATTATATACATTGTGGGTTTTTTCATGTTCTTGTTGTGTCTTTATGATTTTCTGAAGTATTAGTGTATTCCTGACAAGTCTCCTCACATCCTTTGACATGTTTGTTTTCCTTGAGTATATAAGCAAGAGGAAATAAATTACATGTTTTTAGAAAAACTGATATAAATCCTAGATAAGGAAAATAAAATTTTTTGAGAAATTTGAGCCTACAGCTAGATATTCTGGATGTAATTTGACAGTGGTAGAAAAGCTAAGGCTAAGAAGACTTTTCTCTTCTTTTAATTTGTATAAACGTATGGGATACAAGCATAATTTTTTTTTTCTTTATTAGAGATAGGGTCTCGCCATGTTGCCCAGGCTGGTCTCGAACTCCTGGGCTCAAGTGATCCTCCCACCTTGGCCTCCCAGATTATTGGGATTACAGGCATGAGCCACCACACCCAGCCTACAAGTGTAATTTTGTTACATGCATAGATTGTGTAGTAGTGAAGGCAGGTATTTTAGGGTATACATTGCCTGAACAACATACATTGTACCCTTTAATTAATCTTTCATCATCTACCCCCCTCCCACCCACTTAGGGCTAAGAAGACTGAGCCATTTAGGGGAAATTGCAGAGGGATACTAGTGGGAATGGAGTTGAAGATAAAGTGGATACTAAGAAAGTCTTGAATTTTTATATTAGTATAGTTTGCATTATTTTCCGATTATAATGATTTATAGAGATTGTTTATTAGAAAGGCTTGATTATTTACAGATGTTGTGATTTGATTTTTAAATTGACGAGTCATGGGAAATGTGGTATATTTTAATGATGTACTTTACTTCAGTTTTCATCCACTTTAAAATGGAAGCATTCAAAACATGAAATCACAAAAATAGAAAAGCAATTTGATGCTCAAAAACTTAGAAACTGAAAAAAGGCTAAAAAATTATAACTTGATGATGTTTTTACTCTTAGTTCTCTTGTATTTACATTTATTCCTAAATCGAAATACACTGAGTAAAAAGTTCAGTCAGATTTTTAAAAAATATGATCAGACTTGTCATATTTAAGAACACAGCTTTCTGCTGCTTAACTTCTATAGCTAACACTTTAGATTTTAAGTAAACAACGTGAATTTTAATACAGAAAGTAAATTTTTTGAAGGGATCCTTGAGTATTAAGCCAATTATAACTGTTCTTTAATCTTTACTGTCCACTGTCAGTATTTTAGTAGTATTTAGGAAATTGGACATCTTTATTTAAATTTTCAGAATACCTACAAATGCATTCTTAGTTATTTGATTATTTCTCATGCTATGTAACTATCTTTTTAATGTTAACTTTTACATTGAATAAATCATTTATTTATTTTAATGTTTAAGTTTTTCCACATTTGGCCAGTGCGAGCCCTTTCACCTGACTTTATATGTCCTCTTAACGTACATACACCATTCTTTGAGCGCTTATTTTCTGGCAGTACAAGGTATCCCAAATTATTGTAATTTCTCAGCCCTAATTCTAAGATTAGCCATTTCTGCAAAGACCTCTAGGTTCTTTTTCTGGAGAATGATACTTAGAAATTGAGATCTGGGTTCTAATTGTACTACTATTATGGTGATAGCATTGCTTCTAGTCCTTTCAGTGGAAGGAGCTAGAAAATATGCATACAAACACATATGTGAGTGAGAGCTATATTTATTTTATATCTATTTCTCTCTAATATGTATGTATATATCCACTCAAATTATATTAATTCCTTTAATAAACAGTTAAAAAAATTTTTTTGTATTACAAGAAAAATGTAGGAATTTATTTTATGCTTATATTTATTTATACATATTTATAATATGCCTATATGTAGTATGTGTTTGTAATGTAGACATGTTGGAAACCTAGTGTGTTGGCAGTTTTGCTTCTTCCACAAATTTATGGAGTTAAGCTATTTATAAAAAATTTATTTTTTTAAATTGTAAAATACACATAACATAACATTTACTGTCTTAACTGTCTTTAAGTATGTACAGTTCGGTGGTACTAAGTACATTCTTATTGTTGTACTACCATCACCATCATCTATCCACAGAACTCTTTTCATCTTACAAAACTGAAACCATGTACCTATTAAATAACTCGCCATTCCTCTCTGCCCCTAACCTCTGGCAACCACCATTCTACTTTCCATCTCGGTGAATTTGACTAGTGTAGATATCTCATATAGTATTTGTCTTTGTGACTGGCTTATTTCACTTAGCATAATGTCCTCAAGGTTTTTTCATATTGTGGAATTGTTTCAGGATTTCATTCCTTTTTGAAACTGTGTATGTGTGTATATCATATTTATACATTATAGAATATAATCTTATTTTTAATGTAAAGTAGATTTTTAGCATTTTTATTTCTATTTAGATAACTTTCTTTAGCCATTTTCTTTTAGGTTAGGTCTGCTGGCATCAAATCTTTTCATTTTTCTTCATCTGAGAATGTCTTGATTTCTCTATGATTCCTGAAGGATATTTTCACTGGAAATGTAATTCTGGGTTGACAGCTCTTCTTTCAGCCCTTGAAGTGTTGTGCCACTTCCTTCTGCCTCTGTTGTGATGTGATCAGAGAAATCTGCTGTCATTTGAATTGTTTTACCCTTATAGTTAAGATGGGTTTTCCCCTAAATACTTGCAAAAATCTTTCTCTTTGTCTTTAGTTCTTAAGGGATTTGATTATGATGCGTCTTGAGATGGATTTCTTTAGGTTTACCTTATTTGGGGTTTGCTCAGCTTCTTGATTATATAGGTTAATGTCTTTTGCCAAATTTGGGAAGTTTTCAGCAGTTATTTCTTTGAGTACTTTTTAAACCTGCCCTCTTTCTCCTTTTCTTCCCAGTTCTGAATGACATGAATGTTGGATCTTTTGTTATAGTCCTACAGGTGCTTGCCACTGATCATTGTTTTAGGGTCTGTTTTTTCTTTATTGTTCAAACTGGGTAATTTCCATTGTTTTTATCTTCAGTTCACTGATTCTTTTGTCATCTTCATTCTGCTGTTGGGCCCACCTAATTAGTTTTCATTTCGGTTTTATCTGTTATTTATTTGCTGAGACTTTCTGTTTTTTTTCAGGCGTTTAGTAATTGCTTGTTGAAACATTGCTGGATCTTATGGTAATACTATGTTTAGTTTTGTGAGTAACCACCAGACTGTTTTCCACAGTGGCTGCACCATTTTACATTCCTACCAGCAATGCACAAGAGTTCCAGTTTCCCCACATCCTTACCAACACTTTTTATTTATTTTCCTTATCTCTCTCTCTTTTTTTCATTTCAATGGCCATCTTATAATGGGTGTGAAGTCGTTACTCTTTGTGGTTTCTGATTTGCATTTCCCTGATTACTGATGTTGACCATCTTTTTATGTGCTTGTTGGCTATTTTTACATATTCTTTGGAGAAATGTTTAAGTTCTTTGTCCATTTTTTAATCAGGGTGTTAGGGTTTTTCTGTTGTTATGTTATAAGAATTCTTTATATATTTGGGGTATTAATCTCTTATACAGTTTGCAAATATTTTCTCCCATTCTGAGTTGTCTTTTTACTCTGATAGTGCCCTTTGATGTACAAAAGTTTTAATTTTGATGAAGTCCAAGTTACTTATTTTTCTTTTGCTGCCTGTGTCTTGGTATCATTTCCAAGAAATCATTGCCAAATCCAGTGTCATGAAACTTTTTCCCTTTGTTTTCTTCTAAGAGTTTTTATAGTTTTAGCTCTTACATATAGGTCTTTATCTATTTTTAGTTAATCTTTGTAGCTATTCATTTCCCTCCTATCTCCTTTGTTAAAGAGAAAATAAAAGCTTCATGACCAAAGATTGAACACTGAGTAACAATTTTACTATTAAACTGGGAACTAGATCCAATAACAAAGGGGTGGTGGTCAGGATAAGACTCAAGGCTCAGGAGAGGGAAAGTGGTAGGTTTTTTAAGAGCTGAAACCCATGAACAATCTGTTTCATATCAGATAAGCAAAGTCTGTCTGTGCCTGATTAGATGGCATATGTGAGCTAATTGTTTAGGCATTGTGTTCCCCTGAGTTGGTGGTGGTTCTTCTGGAAAGTTGTCGTGGTGATGAACATGATTATGGTACTAGGTGAAGATGGCACTATGGTAGTTTAGTAGAAATCAGGCATGTTTCACTGTCATCAGTCTAGGTGGCTAGGTCAGGATTCATCACCTTCCTTCTGGGGTCACTTTCTTTTTTCCTATAATACATTTTTTAAGGAGTTTCTTTAATGATAATCTATTGGTGACAGAAATCTCTGTTTTTGCATTCCTGATAGATATTTTTGCTGTTTATAGCATTCTGGGATAACAGTTATTTTCTCTCACAACAATGAAAGTATCATGCTCCAGTCTTATGGCCCACACTTTTTCCTATTGACAAATTAGGCATTAGTCTAGTTGTTTCTTTTAAGGTAATCTGTTGTTCTCTCTGACTGCATTTTTTTTTTTAATTTTTAATTTTTACTTTTATTTTTTGAGACGAAGTTTCACTCTGTTGCCCAGGCTGGAGCTCAATGGTGCGATCTTGGCTCACTGCAACTTCTGCCTCCCAGGTTCAAGCGATTCTCCTGCCTCAGCCTCCCAAGTAGTTGGGATTACAGGTGTGTGCCACCACACCCAGCTAATTTTGTATTTTTGGTAGAGACAGGGTTTCACCATGTTGGTCATGCTGGTCTTGAACTCCTGACCTCAGGTGATGCGCCCACCCGGCCCTTTCAAAGTGTTGGGATTATAGGCGTGAGCCGCTGTGCCTGGCCCTCTCTGACTACATGTAAATTCTTCTCCGTTTATTTACTCTGCTTGAGATTTGTTGAGATTCTCGGCTCTGTGGATTCGTGTCTTTCATTGGTTCCTGAAGGGTTCTAAGCCATTATTTATTTAAATATTCCCTCTGCTTTCATTCTCTCTCTTCAGGATAGATATTAGGTCTTACTCTATCCTTCATGTCTCTTAATGCTCTAATGTTTTACATCTCTATGTCACTAGAAGTTTAGAAAATGTCTTTAGTTCTCTTATATAGAGTTCATTAATTCTTTTTTCAAATATTTTAAATGTGCTGTTAAATTTTGTGTTTTTAATTTCTATTATTTTCTAGGAATTCTGCTCAGACTCAATTTTGAACCACTTTTTTATTTCTTGAAGCATGTTAAACATTTATTTTATAATGTAACTGATAGTTTCAATATTGAAGTTTTTGTGGATGTCATCTACTGTATTTTATTCTTAGCTGACTCTCTTTAATGGTACCATGTTTACACACAGTGATTTTTTAAAAATGTGAGCTGTTCATTTTTCTTATACTTATGAAAATAATTTTTGTGGAAATTAGTTGCACTTTGGAATATATGTGATTCCTTCCAGGAAGAATTTGTGATTGTTTCTGCCAGGTGCCTGGGAATATCACTATTCTAGAACCATTTTCAAAGCAATTCTTGGCTTGGAGTTTTGTTTTTTTTTTACCACCAGGTGGTGTGAATTGGGGCTGCAAATCATCATGAAGACCAGCATGTGGTTGCACGTTCTTAGGAGTACCCTCCTCCCATCAGCTTCAAGGTTTTAAACAGGCAGTCCTCTTTCAGTCTCTAGGAAGGAGAGGTTGAAAAATAGTAGAATAGACAATGTTTTATTAACTAACTTTCCATTTGAGATAATTGTACATTTACTTGTAGTTTGGAGAAATAAAACAGATATCTCATGTACTCTTCACCCAGTCTACACTAATGGTAACACCTTATGGACTATAATACACTATCAGAACCAAGATATTCACGTGATATAGTCAAGATATAGAACATTTTCTTCACCACAAGGATCCCTCATGTTGCCCTTAGTAACCACACTCACTTCCCTTTCACTCCCTATTCCCTCTTTAATCCCTGGCGATCACTAATCTCTTCTCCATTTCTATACTTGGTCATTTTAAGAGTGTTGTAAAAATGGAATCACAGATTGTAGAGTCTTTTGGGGTTGGTTTTTTAAAATTTAGTATAATTTTCTGGAAGTTTTTTCAGGTTGTTACATGTATCAATAGTTGGTTCCTATTTATTGCTTAGTAGTTTTCCATGATATGGATGTACTATAATTTGTTTGACCATTTAGTTGATGAAAGACATCTGGGTTTGCAGTTTTGGGCTGTTGTAAGTAAAGCTGCTATAAGCATTCCTGTACTGGTTTTTATGTGAACATAATTATTTCATCTGTGATAAATGTTGAAAAGTGCAATTTCTAAGTTGTATGGTAATTGTATATATAGTTTTTTTTTTTAATTACTGGACTGTTTTCCAGAATAGCTGTACCATTTTACAGGAAGGCATGAGAGATTCAATTTCTCTACTTTGCCAGTATTTGATGTTGCTATTTTTTTTTTATTTTAACCATTCTGAAAACGATGTGGTAATATTTCATTTTGGTATTAATTTGCATTTATCTAATGGTTAGTATGTTGTACATCTTTTTATGTGCTTATTTGCATCTGTTTATACGCTTCATTGAAATGTCTTTTCATGATTTTTGTCTATGTGCTAATTGGATTGTTTGCTTTTTTTTGTAGGTTTTTAGAGTTCTTTATATATTCTAGATACTAATCCTTTGTTGATTATGTGGTTTGAAATATTTTCTCCCAGTCTGTAACTTTTAGTCCTTAACGGAATCTTTGCAGAGTAGGCATTTTAAATTTTGATGAAGTCCAGTTTATCAATTTTTCCTTTTATGGATTATGATTTTGGTGTCAAGGCTAAGGACTCTGCCTAGCCTGAGTACTGAGAACATTTTCTCCTATGTGTTTTCCTAAAGGTTTTATAGTTTTATGTTTTCCATTTATGTTTATGATCCACATTTATGTTAATTTTAATATAAGATGGAGAGTTAGGTTGAGAATTTTTTTTTTTTGCTTCTGGATGTCTAAATGAAATATTACAGCATCATTTTTGGAAAGACTATTTTTCTTCCATTGAGTTGCTTTTGTACCTAGTCAAAAATCAGTTGTGCATATTTGTGTAGGTCTCTATTGTGACATTGATCTATTTATCTCTCTACAAATACCACACAGTCTTGATTACTGTTGCTGTATGTTAAATCTTAAAATCAGGTAAACTGAGACCTTTCACTTTATTCCTTTTCAATATCCTTTTAGTTATTCTGATTCCTTTGCCTTTCCCTATAAATTTCAGGATAATCATCAAAATTTTCAAAAAGTCTTGCTGGGATTTTGATAGGATTTGCATCAAACTTTGCTATGGTTTGAATGCTTGCCGTCTTCAAAATTCATGTGGAAATTTAGTTTCTATTATGATAGTATTAAGAGATGTCAAATACCTTTAAGAGGTATTTAGATCATGAGCGCTCTGCCCTCATGAATGGACAGGAGTGGGTTCATTATCGTGGGAGTGGGTTCACCCTCTCTTTCACCCTCTTTTTGCTCTTGCACCATGTGATGCCTTCTGTCATGTTATGATGTAGCAGGAAAGCCCTTGCCAGATGCTGGCATCTTGATATTGGATTTCCTAGTCTCCAGAACCTTGAGCCAAAACAATTTCTGTGCTGGTAATTGGGGTATTTAGATCATTTATATTTGATGTAATAATTAATATATTAGAGCTTAAGTGTGACATTTTGTTTTTTTGTTTTCTGTTTCTTTTTTTTTTCCCCTCTGTTATCTTTTACTTGTTTTCCTGTGGGTTATTTGAACATTTGTCTATTTTGATTAATTTATAGTATTTTTATTGTTTCCTTTTATATAGCTTTCTTGGTGGCTTCTCTAGGTGTGACATAATGTAAACCAACTTATCACAGTCTACAGGTGTTATTTTACTAGTTCAAGTGAAATGTAGAAACCTTATTTCCCTTCATGTATTTTTACCCTACCCTGTTTATAATTGTGTTAAATATTTTCTTGACTTGTAACCACATCAGACAATATTTTAGTTTTTACCTCAACTGTCAAGTCTTTAATAAAAACTCAAGAGAAGGAAAATGTATTATATTTAGCTATATTTTTGCTGTCTGTATTCTTTTTTCCTGATGTTCTAAGGTTTCTTTGATGATTTCTCTTTTGTTTAAAGAACTGTCTTTAGCTATTCCTTCCTGTAGGGTAGTTCCACTGGATGCAAATTCTTTGAGTTTTCCTTCATCTGAGAATGTCTTGAATTCCACTTGATTATTAAAGCAATTCCTGGGTCGTTCTTGAAGGGCATTTCTGCTGGTTATTGGATTCTGGTTTGACGGTTATTTTTTGTAAGCACCTGAAAAATACTGTGCCACTTCCTTCTGGCCTCCGTGGTTTCTGGTAAGAAAATTATCCCGCTTTTCTGTTCTTTCTCTTTTGATTCTTTTTCCTCTCTTTGTTTTAATTTTAATAGTTTCTTGTGCTGTGTCTTAAGCATTCATTCATTCATCTACATCAGTGCTTACATTTGTTAATCCCATCCATGTTATTTATTATCTTAGATACTTATTTTTTTTCTCTTCATATGGGTCATAGTTTCCTGCTTCTTTGCATGTTTGTTTATTTCCAGTGGGATGCCAAACATTGAGAATTTTACCTTGGTGGGTCCTGGATGTTTTTTATTCCTGTAGATATTCTTGAGTTTTGTTCTTAGATGCAGATGGTTTATTTGTAAACAGTTTGATCCTTTTGAGTTTTGCTTTTAAGCTTCCTAAGGTTGGACCAGAGTAGTCTTTAGATTAGGTCTAATTTGGTCCCAGTACTAAGACAGTACCCTTTTGAGTACCCTTATCTGATGCCCTGTGCATTATGAGATTTTAAAAATTCTGGTTGGTGGGCAGCTGGGTGCAGTGGCGCACGCATGTAATCTCAGCGCTTTGGGAGGCCGAGGCGGATAGGTCATGAGGTCAAGAGATGGAGACCATCCTGGCCAACATGGTGAAACCCCGTCTCTACTAAAAAATGCAAAAATTAGCTGGGCATGGTGGTGCATGCCTGTAGTCCCAGCTACTCGGGAGGCTGAGGCAGGAGAATTGCTTGAACCCAGGAGGCAGAGCTTGCAGTGAGCTGAGATCGTGCCACTGCACTCCAGCCTGGCAACAGAGCGAAACTCCCTCTCAAAAAAAAAAAAAAAAAAAAAAAAAAAAAAAAAAAAAGAATTCTGGTTGGTGGGAACCTAAGTGAGCTCCAGGGATTCTTTTCCTGTGGTTCTTTCCCTTGCCTCAGGCACTCTCTTTACACACATATGCTGATGAGAAATCAGCCAAACACTCTAGGGGGATGCACTGTAGGTCCCTTGGAGCTTGCTGTTTGCACAGAGTGTCCAGCTTTCTTCTGCCCTGTATCCTGCCCTGCGAGTTGTAGCTCTTTCCACCCCTTGAACTCCCAACTCCTTTAACTCAGGGAGATTGCTGGACTCCACCTGCACTCTCCCTCCCTGCACTGCAGCCTAGAAGGTGGCTTACCTTTTTTGTTTCTGCTTTCACAGGGATCATTACCTGTGTTGCCTCTTGTTCAGTGTTTGAAAATCATTGTTTCATACATTGGGAGATAAGGAGCACCAACAGGATTGGAATGTTAGATAAGATGAGAGAAGGACTTGATTGAGAAATGAACTATTCTGATTATCTTTTGCTATATAACAATCTGCCCCCAGATCTAGTGACTTTTCTCGTAGATGTGCAGTTTGGGTAAGGTTAGGCTGAAACAGCTTGTTTCTGCTCTGCTAGGCATCAGCTGGGGGCAGCAGAAAGGCTAGGGGCTGGAATCGTCTGAAAGCTTCCTCACTCAACATGTAGGTGGTTGATGCTGGTTGTCTGCTGAGATCTCATTTGGGATGTGGCTGGAACATCTACACATAGTTTTTCCAGTGGCTGCTTGGCTTCCTTCCTCACAGCATGGAGGCTGGGTTCTAACAGTAAGGAGCTGAGGGCCAGGAGGAAGTTATTACACCTTTTCTAACCCAGCCTTGAAAATCATGCTGTGTATTACAGGGAGTCACTAAGTCTGGTCTATATTAAAGGGGACTGGAATTAGCCTCCTACTTTTGCTGGAGGCAAGTTAGACTCCTACTTTACGTAGGGAAGCAAGTCAAAGAATTTGTGGATATGTTTTAAAGCCCCACAGCAGTGATACTTGAGCAAAGGAGGTGAGGACATCCAGGGAAAAATATTCCAGGTACATGGTACAGATACATAAAGACCCTGAAGGATGATGGATGCCTGATAGTTTAGATTTGCTTATAGATTAGTTACCACTGCACAGCATCACCTCCTTGAGAGCAGGGTGAACAGTGTTGGGAGAACAGTGTTGAAAGATAGTTGCAGTTCAACAATTTTTTTGTGAAAGGCACCATGTATTAAAAATTCTAAAAATGCGTACATATACTTTGATCTAGTAATTCTTTCTTTGAGAAATTATCTTAAGGAAAAATTATACAAACAAGCAATGCTGTAGTGAATGTTTGGAGGGGCTTAAATGCCCATTAATAGCAGATTAGTTAAATTATGGTTTGTCTATATAATGGAACACTGCAGTTTTTAAACTGAATGTTTTGGCATACAAAAACAATGAGTATTGAGGGACAAGAAGTAGATTTCAAATACTGGTATATGAAATTGTCCTATTTGGTTAAAAGTACTCTCTCTGTATAATAAATATTATATGTGCATAGACTGGAGAAGATGAGATGAGAGCAATGGTGGCTATTTTAGAGTTGCTTTTCAGAAAACTGTATGTTGCTATTATAACAGAAATATATTTCTATTGTAAAAGTAAAAGCGCCTTTCAAGAGAATATGTTGATTTCTTTTTATTAACTGAAGAAGGGAGAATAAGACAAAATATGTACAGAAAAAGTGTAGAGTGATGTAAAATCAAGATTTTTCAAGAGATTATCTCTTGATTATAGGTTACTTTTATTTCCTTTTATATGTTTTTGTATTAATTGTAATTTAATTGTTAAACTCATAAGAAGGAGATATATATTAAAATAGTTGTGAGGGATATTGTTAAGCAGCCTTGTTTTAAGAGTAGCTGTCGTGAAAAATTCAAATTTTTAGAGACTAGCAAAATCAAGAGATCTCTTGGTTTCCTTTAGTGCAGAGAACTGCAGAATTTCTTTACTGGACACAAAATATTATGTGACTTACAACATTTGATTTACACACAATTCTTAAGCTATCATTCTTTATTAAAATGGCTATTTCCATATTTATCTTATTCTTTATCACCTCTTTATCATAGATTTTTAGTAACTTTGCACATTCATGAATAAAATTCTAGATGATGTACTAATACTTTAATTAATACATATTTTATTGCAAAAATGTTTTTAGGTTAATTGTTCTCATTTCACTGTCTTTTCCCTTTATTTTATATAAATAATTTGTAATTCATTTTGTTCTTATATACCATAGGATGTGTTTTGGAGATGCAGACAAAATATCTTTGATGAAATGAAGAAGAAATTTTTACAGGTAGACTGCTGATGTAATTGCTTTAATGTGATAATCAGCAGAGCAAGTAACAGCATGTTAGTATTTTTATTTAATATCAAGGCATGTCTTAAGTTTTATGCTTGTTTGGCTATTTTATTTCTACCCAATTTTAATAATAAAAAAGTCACCTTAAATGAATTTGTATCTGATAGTACCTTGTTTTTAACTAGTGAATGAGGGAGAAAAAACTGATAGAAAAACTAAAGAACCCTTTGTTATGATGTTGGGTATGATAGTTGCCTATTTTTCCAGATATATTTATTTTCTGAAATATTAATAATTTAGGAAATTAAATCATTTAAAAATTTACAAAGTCAAAATCCAGAAATCCTATTACTATTGATTTCCTCAGAGCCTGTGTGCACTACAGACTTAAACTTCCATGTGATGTAGCATTCTGGTCTAACCTTTACTTAATACTTGATTTTCCTTCAGTCCCTTTGCTCTGTTTTTTCCCCAGAGTTGCTCCTTTAATCTCTCTTATCCTTCCCAAGTGTGGCAACAGACCACTTAGAAAAAGATCATGTAGATAACATCAGAGTTGGCTGCAGTTTTGAGGTGGGATGAAGGGAGTATCTTAAAAATAAAGTCTCTTTTTTTAATGTAAGTTAGGACCTTCATTAATAGCCTTAGAAATGTTACTTGTTAAAATAAAAATGAAGAGTCTAAATGAAGCTGATACTTTTTTTTTTTTTTGAGACGGAGTTTTGCTCTTATTGCCTAGGCTGGAGTGCAATGGTGTGACCTCGGCTGACTGCAACCTCTGCCTCCTGGGTTCAAGCAATTCTCCTGCCTCAGCCTCCGGAGTAGCTGGGATTACAGGCATGCACCACCATGCTGGCTAATTTTTTTATTTTTCGTAGAGACAAGGTTTTGCCATGTTGGCCAGGCTGATCTTGAACTCCTGACTTCAGGTGATCCACTCACCTTGGCCTCCCAAAGTGCTGGGTTTACAGGTGTGAGCCACCGTGCCTGGCAGCTGATACGTTTTATAAATTTCAACCAACAAAAATATTCATACTATCAATTCTGTTTTAAAATCTGTGGCAATACATTAATCTTGAACTGTGGATACCCAGATGGGAATGCTCTAAGGCCTAATTACTTAGCTTGTGGCAGCTCCTGTACCAAAAGGGAGAGAAAATTGACTTATTGTGTGTGTGTGTGTGTGTGTGTGTGTGTGTGTGTGTGTGTGTGTGTGTTTAAAAGCTTGTAACCATAATACTATTATTTGCAATAACATTGAAAGGAAGAATGTCTTAGAGAGCATGGGTTAAATTTAGAGGTAAAGCGGTACCTTCATAATTTTAAAATACTTTATCTTAATTTTTTCTCTTAGAAATATTTAAATCTTGATAATTTTGAATTTTGATATTAGCTTATATTCTGTATGCTGATGCCATTCTGAACATATACGATCAATTTTAAACCTCAGTGTGTATTCTTTAATAAGAAATACATAGGAGTATTTTTTTGAAACAAAAATTATGATGTTATCAGAGAACTCAGATTTGAGCTTAAAACTATTGGGAATGTCAAGAAAAGGAGACAAGATGACTTAAGAGGCAAGCATCCCTTCAGCGGGCTCTAAAATGTCTTAGAACTATGCCAACGACTTCTAGATGTTTCTAGCAGTTAAGTGTATCTTTGGAAGAAAACTGTTTTCAGTGCTTTTTATCCCAATATGTTTCACCTTTTATAAACAAGACTATGGTTTTATTCTTTCTACTTTTTTTTTTCTTTGAGACAGAGTCTTGCTGTCGCCCAGGCTGGAGTGCAGTGGCACGATCTCAGCTCACTGCAAACTCTACCTCCCAGGTTCAAGCGATTCTCCTGCTTCTGCCTTCCAAGTAGCTGAGGTTACGGGCGTGTGCCACCACACCCAGCAAATTTTGTATTATTTGTAGAGACAGGGTTTTGCCCTGTTGGCCAGGTTGGTCTGGAACTCCTCACCTGAAGTGATCCTCCCACCTCGGCCTGCCAAAGTGCAGTGATTACAGATGTGAGCCACCTCACCTGGCCATTTTTACTTTTTTAAAAAGGATTTTTTTTCTTCAAACTTTGCTAGGAAATCTAGCTTTGTTTCTGCAATGAATGTAGCCACAGAGCACTCTATTAGCTTATACAGTAAATATAACTGCTGTTGACTTTCCCCTTAGTCTCATAAGTGTAATATTGCTATGAGTTGCCTGTAAAATAAATAGTTTCAACTTTAGGATTTATACCTTTTTTTGTACTTGGCTAGATTTTCTTTGTAGAAAACTTTGTCCTCTTCAAATAGCGCATCTAAACTACATTAAATGTTTTTCTAAATGGAACATGCTGTAGGCTTTTCTAAAATTTTACACTTGTTTTCTCTTACCTCAGGTTCATCAGAGAACTCTTGACTAAAAATTTTTGCTCCCTTCCCTAAATCATGATGTATCCTCAGATGCCTTTTCTTAATGTTGGATGTAGTACTTAAATGAAAAGTAGTACCTTTCCCTCCCTACCAACAGCACCATCATCATACTTTCCCCACTTGAACTTGGATGTGCTCGAAGGTGTTTAGCTATATTTATTTTTTATCTATTACTATGTAACAGTGGACCCTAAAGTTTAGTGACTTAATAGGGCATTTAGTTTATTTGTTCAGATTTCTGTGGGATGGGATTGGGGCCAGGGCTCACCAGCTATTCAGTTCTGCTCCAGGTGGCATCATCTAGAATTACTTGGCTCCATTAAGTTGGTGGCAGTCATTGAATGGAACGTCCAAAAGGCTTTTCTCATACATCAGGCACCTCAGTGTCTCCACCAAGTGGCTGCTTCCTCTGAATGTGGATTTCTAGGGCTTCCTCACAGCATGCTGATTGATCCCAGGGTAACTGGATTTCTTACATGGTGGCTGGGTTATAAGAGGGAATGTTTCCAAGAAATACAAAAGCAGAAACTGCTGGTTTCTTAAGGCTCTGCCTTAAGTTACACACACAGCGTGACTTCTGTCACATTCTCTTGGTCTTAGATGGTCACGTCAGATTCATGAGAAAAGGAAAAAAAAAAGAATGGCAAAGAATTTTTTGCTATCTTTAATCCACCTCAAGACGTAATTGTTTTTACCTTTGGGCATAAGTAGGATCAGTTTTGGTTAGGGCTACAAAGAAATTAAGAAAGATAGCTGCCCTAATTTCCCATTTCCAGAAAAAACCTTTTTACATTTAAATGTTTTGGAAATGTTTCCTGCATGTTTAATTTATATTGTATAGGTTTTTTTCTCTTGAAAAGCTATTTAAGAAAAAAAAAAACTATTGCCATATCTTATTGGTGGTATCTTAAAATTGCAACAACAAAAAAATTGTTTTCTTCTCAGTTCCCAAACTGGAGAGGGGAAAGGAGGAGAGAAATTTTACTTTAGTGTGATTACTGTTAGCAATGGTGATTCTAAAATTCAGATGAAGTCCACATGTTATATTAAAGTATAGGTGAAATAAGAATGGGCCCAGAAAGTTGAGTGTAAAGTAGAATTTAGCAGTGGCTAGCTTAGAGCTTTAAAGAAGAGCAGAGCTTTTTATCTGTTTAAATCATCCACAACAGAATTCAAGAGTAAAATGTAATTTGCTGAGAAATTCTATGTATAAGGATTTTAAGGAAATAAAGTATATGAAGTTTTATGTAGGTGTTCATCACAGAATTATTTGTAAAAGTATAATAAAGTCTTGGAGACAATAAAATAGAATTTATTAAGTAAATTATTATTAATCCGTATACTAACAAATACTACTTAGCTGTTAAAATGATGAGTTAGGAAAAGCTTTACAGGGAAAGATTGCATGATATAAGAAAGATGTTAGAAAACAGCATGTGTATTCTAATCCAGTGTTTGTGATTATGTAGCATGCATGCATAGCCTTTCTCTCTCTCTCTCTCTCTCTTTCTCTCTCTCTCTCTCTGTGTGTGTGTGTGTGTGTGTGTGTGTGTGTGTGTGTGTGTGTGTGTGTGTGTGCGCGCGCGCAGATAAGATATTTGGAAGGATATATGCCAGCATGCTAATAGTTATCTGTGGGTTATAGAGTTACAGATTATTTCCATTTTTTCCTTTATACTCTTAGTATTTTTAAAAAAAGCAAAATTATTTATATGTACGGAAAAGAAGGGCTATTACTAAAAAGAATATAAGCCACACATGAGATTGAATTTTGTTTTTTTCTGTATAACATATTTAGTCTTTAGATAGGATTTCATTGAGGGATAATTTTCCCACATGGAAGGAGAGGCATCTGGGGTGCTTGGACCCTGCATTCACATATTTAGGGAAAGAACCAGGAACTGCTAATGTCTGACCATATGATGTTGCCACATCACCATTCTTATGTATGATTACTATTACAGCACTTTTGATTTCTAAATTCTTAGCGTTGTCTTCCTTTGACCATCAACTCCAGCTTATTTGAAGCTTTAAAATCTGGCTACTACAGTATTTTATACCAGGAACGCTGAATCATTCAGACTTGATCTATCCCTGAAGTATACTATTGAATCTATAAAAGTGTACGTTTTGTAGTTGAAATTTATTTTGAGTCATTTACTCTTTCATCATAAACCAGCATTTTTAAAAAGATCTATTTTATGTTTTTTAGTTTAGGGTTAAAATGTGTAAAATAATCTATTAAATGTGTTAATATAACATCTAAAATATATAGGTGAAGGTTTTTTTATCTTTTTTGAAATGTATGTTAATAATGTTCTTTTGTTTCTTTTATTTCACAGAAATGTATTTTCTTTTTATTTTTTAAGTAAGTTTTTAGTAATTAAATATTTGGATGTGTCTGAATTGTAGTGCTACCCAATTTATTTTAAATATTATACTTTTATAGCAACTTACTTTTGTTCTAAACTAATTGGAGTAACTTTAATTTAAATGATCTCTTGCAAACCCAAAATTGTGTGTCACAGAAACAAATGATAATTGTATTACTTCAACAAACAAAAAACTTTGTGGCTATCCCATCTTCAGTACTAGCCAATTATAATTATTCTTATTTAAAAATGGATAATATAGAAGCAACAAAAGGTTGAAGCTGATAGTGTTATAAAAACTAAGGAAGAAATAAATTTTTGTGTACACCACCAGTTTGTAGAGATCATATTTCTGAATAGCCCATTATGGAGATGGTGAGACATCTCTCAGTTTAATGCCACACCTGACTGTCAGGGAAAGCAAGAGATTTACATCATCAGATTTGTATATCAGAAATACTATTCGGGGTTGAAGGAATATAAGATTGGAAGAAGTTAAACTTCTTAGGAAGCTGTTCCATAATTTTGTTGTAGGATATTCTTATTGCTGCAGGCAAGAATAAAGTGAAGGAGGTAGTTCAAGAGATATTCAAAAGGTAGAATTGATAGGTTTTGGAGACTATGTGAGGTAAAGAGGGAAGGACAAGGAAGATGCTCATTTCAGCTGTTTGGTTTCAGCAGCCAGGCAGATGATGGTGCCATTCATTGAGATGGCCATTATAGAAGGAGGGAAAGGAATTTCTTCCAATAAAGTATCTTTGATGTAGTCTTTTACCCCTGTGGAAAGTGGAAAAGTGGTGTCCTTTAACAGCTTGAGGGAGGGCATAGCTTATTTGAGAAAGTTTAAGCAGGAAGGATAATTTGTGACCCTAATTCCTTTCTGTATTGGTAATTGAAACTGTTTCCTTGTTTTTCCTTCCCCCTCCTCCTGGCTCATCTGTTTGGATAAGCTTGTCAGCCCCTGACACGTTAATAAATGGAGCTTTTTGGACATCTGGACTTATGAGTACAGCAGCATAAAGATCAGGAGATGTGGTAGCCTGTATCCCTTAGTTATAGATTTTTTAATCTTTAGACAATCCTTACTGCATTTTTGCACAATTCCCATTTTTTTTTAGGAGACCCAGAAATATTTGATTTGACTGTGGCTAGCATGGTAATGACACATTTTTTAAGGATCAGATTTTATAATTTTTAACTTAAAATTGCTTAAATATTACTATCTTCATGGCTTATTGACCATGGATTTACAGTCTTAAAGGTGAAAGCAAATATCTCCAAAAATGATTGTTGATTCTGAAATGTGCCTTGATTCTTCCAAAACAAACATATACGGTGCTTATATGTTTGACATATCCATTAGAATGCGTTTCAGACTACGATAAAACAGAGAAAATAGCACAGAGAAAATACTTAGTATTTCCTGAGGTCTTTTACATTTAATCATAAAATTTTATAGCTAATTATACTTTTGTTTTGCTTTAAAGATAATATATAAAGTCATATTTTTCTTAAAATTTCAGATAGAAAATGCTGCTGAAGAACCTAGAGTCTTATGTATTATACAAGATACTACTAATTCAAAGACAGTGAATGAACGGATCACTTTAAATTTACCAGCATCTACTCCAGTCAGAAAGCTCTTTGAAGATGTGGCCAACAAAGTAGGCTACATAAATGGAACCTTTGACTTGGTGTGGGGAAATGGAATCAATACTGCTGATATGGTAAAATCCTAGACTTAAGCTTCTAAAAATGTTATTATAGCCATTGTTGTTGTTGTTACTGATGATAATGTTAAATCCTGGAACTCTTAAAATCATAAACAAAAGTATAACAACTACAGTAAGAGCCTATGTGCAGCTCAGTAATTGGATCCTTCTTCTTCCTTTGCCTCCATTCTGGATTTAACATTTGCTCGTCCTAAAGTTTACATAATGTCATTTCATCAGTTTTTTCATTCATGAAAGGTGACTCTCATAATATTGTCTCAACTAAAGAAAAATTTCTATATTTACTGAACAGAATGATGATCATCTTATATTATTCCGTGAAAAAAGATTGTAAAATCATATTTTATGATCTGATTTTTGGAAAAGAAGAAAAATATTCATAGTAAGAAAAATGGAAGCATATATGCCTCATACATTACAGTGTTAACCAAGATTATCTCTAGCTGACTATTTCTTTTTATTTGTGTGTCTATGTGCATTTCTGGGCAACTTTTTTGTATGTTTATTTTTCTTTGTATGAACATGTGTAGCTTTTGACTTTTAACTCTTAAGCTTAAAAACATTTTTAACGACTGCAGTCTTGTCAGATCTCTTTGAGGGTATACTTTCTAATTTTAGTCGTCTGTTAACTGTTTCCTTAATTATTTATCCCTTATCCATTATATTTAGTTTCTCTCTTTCATGGTGTAGCATTTCTTTAAATATTTAGTGATTTTTATTTTCTGCTCATCTTTATATTTGAGAATCTCTGTTCACTTCTCTGTGAATGCTGATTAAACTTACCATATTCAGTTCTTGCTTGTTGTGGAAAAAGGGTGAGACGTGCTGCTAGGTGTGATGTGTTTATACTTGTTCTGGGATTGGCTGGCTTCTGACTCTTTAGGGTTAGGAGCTGATCAGTACCTTGTTAGACAGCACTGTGCTACCTCTCCGGTCACAGTGCCCACTCTTTACCCTGACAGGAAATAAGCACTGCTGTCTGCTACGTAGTCCAAGGAGAAAAAGAGAGGAGATACCAAACTGATCAGAATGCCTTTTCCTACTTCCTCACTTTTAGCTGTTTCCTGGCCTCTATGTCTTGACCTTAGTCTGAAGTTCCTTACTACCTTTATCTCCACAGTAGTCTTCTCTTATAGGATCTTTGGGCTGTGGTTCCCCTTAGTTTTATTTTTCCATAGATCTGATCCTGTCTGTTTTCTATTTTTTAATTTCTCAAAATTTTTGGTTTGCTAAGCATGCTCTTTTTTGACATTTTATGGACTTTAGGGGAGGATTATTGGTAGACATCTTCTTAGGTCATCATTTGACCTAATCTTGTATTAATGTTTACTACCAAAATAAACAATTGCAATTATTAAAAAAATTTCTAGGAATCCTTGATAGACATCTGTCCTTGGACCATTTTTATAAGGACACTGATTCCATTCATGAGGGCTCCATCCTTGAGACCTAATCAGCTCCTAAGGCCCCAACGCTTAATATCATTGCATTGGGGATTAGGTTTCAGCATGTGAATTTTGGGGAGACATAAACACTCAGAACATAGCAGAGGTACTGATCACTTTTGCATGGGAGTGTGGTTAAGGAAGAAGACCATTGAGTTGGATCTCATCTGCGTTATTAGAACAGTATTCTAGATAGCCTTTTTTGTTTCCTTTCTCTCTGTCCAAATTCACCCTACATAATAGTTAGAATTATTTTCAGTCATCTAAAGTTGTAGCACTTATGTCACCTTCTAGTTCAGTAACCATCAATCACTGCTCATTGCCCACTGATTAAAAATCTAAGACAAGCTATTATTGGTTCTTTAAGGCTTTATACTCTTAAATCCCAGATACTGGATTGGTTTATTTTCTTAACATAGATTTCCATATTTTTCTGTCTTAAGTTTTCCAGAAAAATACCTCTAACAGTCAGTGAAGTTGAATGTGTATCCCTATGGTATTTGGAGTACATATTTTAAGTTGGTCCCACAGGAGAATCAAAGATGTTTGATGTTGCCTGATTTGCCCTTAAAATCATATTATGCTTTTTATTCCATAATATATTTGTTTTTTTAAAAATATAGAACTAATGTTTTAAACTGAAATTAACCAGTAAAATTGGTAGTCGGACAAGACATAGAAAGATAAACAATATTTAATCTGAGACTTTGAACACTTTCTGGTACATCACCACATAATTTCCAGTGTTGTCCTTTTTCAGTTTAAAGGATAGTTGTGTACTGTCCTAGATGATATATAATATCATCTTTTACCCTTAAAAAGCCTTACTCAGTGTTTCCTCATGCCGCTTTAAAAGTAATTTTTTTCTCTTTGACCTCCTATGCCCTTTGGCTGCACCACTTATAGTTCCTTTTTGTTATAGGTGTTACTCATCTGTGTCTTTCCATTTCCAATGTCAGCATTTTCATTACAGGAACCTCGTATAAATTTCATATCCTCCATAAACATTCCTTCTAGGCATTCAAAAAGCATTTGTTAAATTATCTTCCACAATAGCTTTAAATAGCTGTATGTCAGGATTACCTGTTTCTTTCTTTTTAGCTATTACTGTACTCGAGCTCTATTTCTGTATTTTTATTTGCCTCCTGTACATTTCTACAAATATGACTACTTTCTCCTGCTTACTGCGTAGTGCTGAATGGATACTCCTCAGAAAACTAAGCCCATTTAGCTACCCACCACCTTGTATACAGACACTTACTGAGGTAAAACCCCTGTGTATTTCAGCTGTGTGATCTGATCATGTCCCACCAGTGACTTTAAGGAACCCAGCAATCCCTTTCTTCCCTCCATGTGGCTGCTTTTAGCTTCAGGTTTTCTATGTCCTGTTTTTCTTGTGGATTGATAGATGTGAGCCAAAGTTAAGAGGTAGATAATATATTCGCTGTTTTATTTACTTAACACGTCTTTTGCACTTACTGTGTTTATAGTATTCTAAGCTCTGTACAAATGTAATCTTTTTTAATCCTTATATTAATAACTACTCTATGAGGTAGATGCTACTACACCCTCATAGGTGAAGAAACTGAGTCATGGGGAAGTGAAATAACTTTCCAAAGTCACACAGATAGTAAGTAGCAGAATCTCTTACAGTTAATTTTTTTTGTCCTCAGTACCTGCACTTTTATACAACGTTAATCAGTGTTAATTTCCTAAGAAATAAAGGCATTTTCATAAAATGAGTATAAGGAGACTCTGCCCATGTCTTTGAAACATTAAAAACATTTCTTAATGTAACAAAACAGTTTTAAAGATGTTTATCTCTACTCCCTCATTTTTCTCAACAGCAGTCTGGAGTGAGTGAGTAGGGCTTGGGGCATACAGAGTTTCCTCTCTCATCCACCAGCTAGAGTATATTAGAATGACAGCTAGAGTTGAAATTGCCCTACCATATAAGTTAGGTGAAGACTTGACTCTTAGATGTTTAATTTTCAAAGGTCTGATCACAGTCACTTCCATACCCCCTGGGTCCTCTGAATCCTAGTGGTACATTTGAAATAGGTATCATTTACTGGGACAGGCTTTTCCTTAAGGAGTCTTTCTAAAGGCTATATTATATACTACATTAGTTTTATTTTTGTTACATTACATAATTATGTTACATAATTATTTTGGTTGGGTTGCTTAGTATGTTGCTTATCTGGTATTTTTCATCATATTTATATATCAAAACATTTTGGTTTTTAGTTATGTAAAATTATCTTTGGTCAATTTTCTTGAAACCCCATTAAATATCATATTGCATATATTGTATAGAACATGGAAAGAGAAATGTTTATAGATTCTTTTTATGTGTATGTAGTGCTTAACATTACCTCTTAACTTTCGCCTTTTCTCTTTTTAGTTTGTTAGATGTTGGGGAATGTGAGTCTCTGGGATACCTATCAGTGTATGCACTGTTACTGGGCTTAGCTATTCCAGTTAATGAATAAATGAGTTAATTCCAAGCCTAGATGAAGAGAATTTTACCAGATCATTACTAAAAAAATACTATTTAAATGTAGATATGTATCTATTTACAGATTACTTATTTTATGTTTCTCATAATCTGAAACATTATGTTTTATGTCCATAGGCACCACTGGATCATACCAGTGACAAGTCACTTCTCGACGCTAATTTTGAGCCAGGAAAGAAGAACTTTCTGCATTTGACAGATAAAGATGGTGAACAACCTCAAATACTGCTGGTAAGCTACTTAGAAAGCCCCATATTTATAATTTTTGTGCACTGTCACCTACTACTTGAGGATGCAGTTTCCCAAAGGAAATAAGATGTGTTTTGTAATTTGTGTAATAAATTAATATTTTTTCATTTTATGTTGGTTTGTTATAAGTGTGTAGAATAACATAGTTACACTGGACATCCACAGCAACATTATTTGTGTATACAGTCTGTTGCCGCCTTGGATTTAACATATACTGCTGTCTTCAAGACCACTGCCACACCAGGGATGGGGGTGGGTCTAGGATAAGTCAAAGTGCCACAAAGATCTCCTGTGTTTCAGTAGTGACCCTTCCTTTGTTTAAGCATTTGCTTGGTTGCTGTAAATCTTTGGTGGTTTTCATGAGGTTTTTCAGTATCTGCAAGAAGGTCATTTCCGTTCTCACTTCCTCCCCTAACCTGCCACCTTTTTTGGAATGACTGGTGTATACATTAAATGTTTCACTTCTATTCTTTTAATGTTTATCCCAATTCACATTTCAGTGGACTTTCCTGTTCAGCCCAGTTGCCTTAGAGATATCTAATGCAGTATCTCCCAATTTGAGGGCTATTCCACCAGAGATTTTTTTTTTTCTCTCAGTGCGTTGTAGAGGACATGAGTTAAAAAAGAGTAAGAGGGAGGGGCCAAGATGGCCGATTAGAAATAGCTGCGGTCCACAGTGCTCATGGAGAGGAGTGAAAGGGGAGAGTGAATACAGCACATTCAACTGAAATATCCAAGTTCTCGCACTGAGACTGATTAGGCAAACAACTCAACTCAAAAAGAATGAAGAAAAGCAGGGTGGGGCGATGGCCCACCCAGGAGAGACACAAAGCCAAAGGAATCCCCACCCCCAGCCAAGGGAAGCTGTGAATGATTGTATGACTCTGCCCAGGAAACCACGCTACTTTCATGGATCTTTGCAACCCTAAGATCAAGAGATCCCCTCAGGAGCCCACGCCACCAGGGTCTTGGGTCCAATACACAGAGCTATGTGGAATCTTGGTAGAGCAGCCACTCGGACACACATATAGACCCCAGGAGTTTTACATACTCTGACCCCAGGATCCCCAACAAGGTGGGAAGTCCATACATAAATACCCCTAGGAAGGGGGCTGAATCCAGGGATCCAAGCAGCATTGTTCTGCAGGCCCCACTTCCACAGCACCTCACAAGCTAAGACCCACTGGCTTGGAATTGGCTCCCAACGGGTTTTCAGCAACTTCCTGCAGGTGCATTCAGGCCAGCAACAGTTCAGGACCCCCTGGGACAGAGTTTCCAGAGGAAGGAGCAGGCTGCCATCTTTGCTGTTTCACAGCCTTCACTGGTGATACCTCCAGGTATGGGAAAAACTGAGGCAACTAGGGTCTGGAGTGGACCCCCAGCAAACTGCAGCAGCCCTATGGAAGAGTGGCCTGACTGTTAAAAGTAAAACAAATAAGCAGAAAATAATAACAATAATATCAACAGAAAAGACCCCACACAATCCCTATTCAAAGGTCAGCAACCTCTAAGATCAAAGGTAGATAAGCCCACAGAGATGAGAAAGAATCAACACAAAAATGTCAAAAACTCAAAAAGCCAGAATGCCTCTTCTCCAGATGACCGCAGTGCCTCTCCAGCAAGGGCACAGAACTGGGCTGAGGCTGAGATGGCTGAATTGACAGAAGGAGGTTTTAGAAGGTGGGTAATAACAAACTTTGCTGAGCTAAAGGAGCATGTTGTAACCTAATGTAAAGAAGCTAAGAATCGTGATAATACAGGAGCTGACAGCCAGAATAGCCAGTTCAGAAAGGAACATTACTGACCTGATAGAGCTGAAAAATACACTACAAGAACTTTACAGTGCAATGACAAGTATCAATAGCAGAATAGACCAAGTAGAGAAAAGAATCTTAGAGCTTGAAGACTGTCTTTCTGAAATAAGACAGGCAGACAAGAATAGAGAAAAAAGAATGAAAAGGAATGAACAAAACCTCCAAGAAATATGGGATTATGTAAAGAGACCAAACGTACAACTGATTGGGATACCTGAAGGAGACAGGAAGAATGGAACCAAGTTGGAAAATATACTTAAGGATGTCATCCAGGAGAACTTTCCTAATCTAGCAAGACAGGCCAACATTCAAATTCAGGAAATGCAGAGAACCCCAGTAAGATACACCATGAGAAGATTAACCCCAAGACAATAATCGTCAGACTCTCCAAGGTCAAAATGAAATAAAAAATGTTAAGGGTAACCAGAGAGAAAGGCCAGGTCACCTACAAACAGACAAACAGTAGACCTCTCAGTGGAAACCCTACAAGCCAGAAGAGATTAGGGACCAATATTCAACATTCTTAAAGAAAGGAATTTCCAACCCAAAATTTCATATCTGGCCAAACTAAGTTTCATGAGCAAAGGAAAAATATGATCCTTTTCAGACGAGCAAATGCTGAGAGAATTCATCACCATTAGGCCTGCCTTGCAAGAGCTCCTGAAGAAAGCACTAAATATGGGAAGGAAAAACTGTTACCAGCCAGTACAAAAATACACTGAAGTACACAGACCAGTGACACTATCAAGCAACCACATAAGCCAGGAAAATAGCCAGCTAGCATCATGATGACAGTATCAAATTTGCACATAATATTACTAACCTTAAATGTAAATGGGCTAAGTGCCTTAATTAAAAGGCACAGAATGGCAAGCTGAATAAAGAGTCAAGACTCATCAGTATGCTGTCTTCAAGAGACCCATCTCATGTGCAAAGACACACATAGGCTCAAAATAAAGGGATGGAGGAAAATTTACCAAGTGAATGGAAAACAGAAAAAAGCAGGAGTCGCAATCCTAGTTTCTGACAAAACAGAGTTTACACCAACAAAGATAAAAAAAGACAAGGGCATTACATAATAGTAAAGGGTTCAATCCAACAAGAAGAGCTAACTATCCTAAATATATATGCACTCAATACAGGAACACCCAGATTCATAAAGCAAGTTCTTAGAGACCAACAAAAGAGACTTACACTCCCACACAATAACAATGGGAGACTTTAACACCCCACTGACAGTATTAGACAGATCATCGAAACAGAAAATTAACAAAGATATTCAGTACCTAAACTCAGCTCTGGATCAAGTGGACCTGATAGATATCTACAGAACTCCCCACCCCACAACAACAGAATATACATTCTTCTCATCACCACACAGCACTTACTCTAAAACTGATCACATAATCAGAAGTAAAACACTCCTCAGCAAATGCAAAAGAACTGAAATTACAACAGACTCTCAGACCATAGCACAATCAAACTAGAACTCAAGAAATTCACTCAAAACCACATGACTACAAAATTGAACAACCTGCTCCCAAATGACTCTTGAGTAAATAATGACATTAAGGCAGAAATCAAGAAGTTCTTTGAAACTGATAAGAACAAAGAGATAACATACCAGAATTTCTGGGATGCAGCTAAAGCAGGGTTAAGAAAGAAATTTATAGCACCAAATGCCCATATCAAAAAGCTAGGAAGATGTCAAGTTAACAACCTAACATTACAACTAAAAGAACTAGAGAACCAAGAGCAAACAAACCCCAAAGCTAGCAGAAGACAAGAAATAACCAAAATCAGCACAGAAATGAAGGAGATAGATAGAGACACGAAAAACCTTTCAAAAATCAACAAATCCAGGAGTTGGTTTTTTGAAAAAATTAATAAAATAGATAAACTGCTAGTTAGACTAATAAGAAAAGAGAAGAATCAAATAAACACAATCAGAAACGATAAGGGGGATATCACCACTGACCCCACAGAAATACGAAAAACCATCAGAGAATACTATAAACATCTCTGTGCACATAAAATAGAAAATATGGATAAATTCCTGGACACATACACCGTTCCAAGACTGAACTAGGAAGAAATTGAGTCTCTAAATAGACCAATTAAAAATTCTGAAATTGAGGCAGTAATATATAGCCTACCAATCAAAAAAAGCCCAGGACCAAACAGATTTACAGCTGAATTCTACCAGAGGTACAAAGAAGAGCTGGTACCATTTCTACTGAAACTATTCCAAAAAATTGAAAAGGAAGAACTCCTCCCTAATTCTTTGTATGAGGCCAGCCTCATCCTCATACCCAAACCTGGCAGAGATACAACAAGAAAAGAAAACTTAAGGCCAGTATCCCTGATGAACATCGGTGCAAAAATCCTTAATAAAATACTGGCAAACTGAATTCAGCAGCACATCAAAAAGCTTATCCACATGATCAAGTTGGCTTCATTCCCAGGATGCAAGGTTTGTTCAACATATGCGAATCAATAAATGCGATTCATCCCATAAACAGAGCTAAAGACAAAAAACACATGATTATCTCAAAAGATGCAGAAAAGGCCATCAGTAAAATTCATTATCCCTTCATGTTAAAAACTCTGAATAAACTAGGAATTGAAGGAATATACTCAAAATAGCAAGAATCATATATGACAGGCCCACAGCCAATATCAACCTGAATGGGCAAAAGCTGGAAGCATTCCCCTTGAAAACTGGCACAAAATGAGAATGCCCTCTTTTACTACTCCTATTTGACATAGTATTGGAAGTTCTGACCTGGGCAATCAGGCAAGAAAAAGAAATAAAAGGTATTCACATAGGAAAAGAAGAAGTCAGATTATCTTTGTTTGCAGATGACATGATCCTGTATCTAGAAAACCCCATCGTCTTATGATGTATTTTCATAAAATCAGCTTAAGCTGATAAGCAACTTCAGCAAAGTCTCAGGATACAAATTCAGTGTGCAGAAATTGCTAGTATTCCTGTATACCAACAACAGGCAAGCAGAGAGCCAAATCACGAATGAACTCCCATTCACAATTGCTACAGAAAGAAAATACCCAGGAATACAGCTAACAAGGAAAGTGAAGGACACCTTCAAGGAGAACTATAAACTGCTGAAATAAATCAGAGAAGATACAAACAAATGGGAAAACATTCCATGCTTATGGATAGGAAGAATCAATATCTTGTTAATGGCCATACTGTCCAAAGTAATTTATAGATTCAATGCTATTCCCATTAAACTACCATTGACATTCTTCACATAATTAGAAAAATCTATTTTAAAATTCATATGGAACCAAAAAAGAGCCTGAATAGCCAAGACAATCCTAAACAAAAAGAACGAAGCTGAAGGCATCATGCTACCCAAGTTCAAACTATACTGCAAGGCTACAGTAATCAAAACATCATACTGCTGGTAAAAGAACAGACACATAGACCAATGGAACAGAATAGAGAACTCAGAAATAAGACCACACATCTACAACCGTCTGATCTTCAACAAACCAGACAAAAGCAACGAGGAAAGGATTCTCTATTTAATAAATGGTGCTGGGAGAACTGGTGAGCCATAGGCAGGAAATTGAAACTGGACTCCTTCCTTACACCATAAACAAAAATTAACTTAAGACAGATTAAAGACTTCAATGTAAAACCCGAAACTATACAAAACCTTAGAAAAAAATCTAGGCAATATTATTTAGGACATAGGTACAGGCACAGATTTCATGATGAAATTCCAAAAGCAATTGCAACAAAAGCAAAAATTGACAAATGGATCTAATTAAACTAAAGGGCTTCCACACAGCAAAAGAAACTATCATCAGAATGACCAGACAGCCTACAGAATGGGAGAAAATTTTTACAATCTATCCACCTGACAAAGGTCTAATATCCAGAATCTACAAGGAACTTAAATTTACGAGAAAAAAACAGACCCATTAAAAAGTAGGCAAAGGGCATGGACAGACATTTCTCAAAAGAAGGTATACATGCAGCCAACAAACATGAAAAAAAGCTTAACATTACTGATCATTAGAGAAATGCAAATCAAAACCGCAATGAGATACCATCCCACACCTGTCAGAATGGCAGTTATTAAAAAGTCAAAAAACAAAAGATGCTGGCAAGGTTGTGGAGAGTAAATTAGTTCAATCATTGTGGAAAATAATGTGGTCATTCCTCAAAGACTTAGAGGCAGAAATACCATTTGACCCAGCAGTCCCATTACTGAGTATATAGGCAAAGGAGTAGAAATCATTCTGTTATAAAGATACATGCACTCATATGTTCACTGCAGCACTATTCACAATAATAAAGACATGGAATCAACCTAAATGCCCATCAATGATAGATTGGATAAAGAAAATATGGTTCATATACACCACAGAATACTATGCATCCATAACAACTAACAAGATCATGTCCTTTGCAGGGAGATGGATGGAGCTGGAAGTCATTATTCTCAGGAAACTAACACAGGAACAGAAAACCAAACACTACATGTTCTCACTTATAAGTGGGAGCTGAATGATGAGAACACGTGGACACAGGGAGGGAACAACACACACTGGGGCATGTTGTGAGGGAGAGCATTAGGAAGAATAGCTAAGGGATACTGGACTTAATACCTAGGTGATGGGATGATCTGTGCAGCAAACAACCATGGCACACATTACCTGGGTAACAAACCACATCCTGCGCAGATACACCTGAACTTAAAAGTTGAAAAAATAATAATTTAAAAAATTAAAATGCCAAAAAAAGATTAAGAAAACCTGGTCTGATTTACCTCACTCTTTTACAGGCTGAGACTTTTTCAGAATCCTTCTGTTTAATGACGCTTTGCTCAGGAAAGATTGTTCTGTTTGATGCTTTTCATTTAGAAGTTTATTGTGATTAACAATGCCTGTCTGGATACTAGACAGTAATTAAACACAGTCCATCTGTACTGAAGCAGTAACAGAATATGCTCTCTGATCTTCATTAATTGCATCATTTAGTTTTATGACATCATGAGAAGATTTTGATTAGTCTGAGTGACATTGAAATCTAAAATAGCTATTAATTTAGGGAACTCTGGATTCACAGTTCAGGGATTCATGTTTTTAAATGCATAAGAATTCTTCAGTTCTGTTCTAATTGCTTGTGCTGCTTTTATGTCCCTTAATCCTTTTCAGCATCTTCCTTATTAAAATGAAGTTTCTTGTCAGAGACAGTAGGAAACTATCCATCTCACCAACAATAATTGTGTGTCCCCTATGTGCTAGGCCTACGTGGCCAGGATGATATAAAAATGAATGATAGACTGTCATCACGGAGTACAATGGTACTTTTCGTTTATTAGTACCAAAAATCTTCTCTCATGTAAACAGAAAATTTGAAAGAAAATTTAGAAAGTAACACTTTGGAAGGGGGCATGAGCACCTTTCCAGAGTGTTTTGTATCAGGCATCATTCAAACCTTCCTACAGGAAATGGTGAATGCTGTTGTTTCAGCAACATTTGCTATTTACTAACTATTTGAATATGTTGCATTTTAGGAGGATTCCAGTGCTGGGGAAGACAGTGTTCATGACAGGTTTATAGGTCCGCTTCCAAGAGAAGGTTCTGGGGGTTCTACCAGTGATTATGTCAGCCAAAGCTACTCCTACTCATCTATTTTGAATAAATCAGAAACTGGTAAGATTTGTTGTATTTTCATAAAATCATAGGGCATTAGATCCAAAGTAATCTTAGCGATTTGAAGCCTAATCCTCTTATTTTATGGATAAGAAAACTGAGACCTAGAGCAGGAGTACTAGCTAGCAGCCGCAAAGTTAGAAGAAGTATGTGGTTTACTTTTCCTTCAACCCACTCGTTTCTACTATATTGCTGCTGCCACTATTTAATAATAACGTAAACATTATTGAATATTATGTTTTTAAGGAAGACTTTTCTTTTCTTTTTAATTTTCTTTTTTTTTTTTTTTTTTTGAGACAGAGTCTTGTTCTGTTGCCCAAGCTGGAGCACAGAAGCTTGATAATGGCTCACTGCAGTCTTGAACTCCTGGACTCAATCAATCCTCCCACCTCAGTCCCCTGAGTAGCTGGGATTATAGGTGTACTGGGCACAGTGGCTAACACCTATAATCCCAGCACTTTGGGAAGGCCAAGGCAGGAAGATTGCTTGAGCCCGGGAGTTGGAGACCAGCCTGGGCAACCTAGCCAGACACCATCTCTACAAAAATCAAAATAAAAAAATTAGCTGGGCATGGTCGCTGTTGCTTGTAGTCCCAGCTCCTCAGGAGGCTTAGGTGGGAGGATTGCTTGAGCCCAGGAGGTCTAGGTTGCAGTGAGCCATGGTGGTGCCACTATACTCAGCTTGGGTGATTGATTGAGACCCTGTCTCAAGTAAAAAAAAAAAAAAAAGAAAAAGAAAAAAAAAATTCAAGACTTCTTTTAATAATTTTCTATTTTGACTATACTCTGAAATTTTTAAAGTGGACTTCCTCCAGAAAGGAAAGTCTGTGTTGTCTACTTTTACAGTACTTCCATTTTGAAGCACATGGGCCATGCTTATTTTATGGGTCTGTTGTGTTATCTTTTAGTTTATTCATTTTAGTGCTTGAAATGAATCATGTCATTTTGAAATTTCTTTTTTTCTCAATACGATTAAGCCTATGTTTTTTAATTTTTTCACTTTATTGAGCAAGTAAAATGGCTTTTTTATGCAAAGGTTTATTTACATACAAGATTGTTTAATCGCCTAATGAATAAATCTTGATAAATTTACATATTATTTCATCTTAAAACAAATCTTTGCAATAGATAGTATGTTTTATGTTGAAGGAAATGAAAACGGGTTCAGAGAAGCCTTTGATTGCATATGTCATTAATGGTGTTTCATGCTAAGTATGGCTTCAGAAACTTTACTCTTAGAACTTCAAAACAGGTGATTTTAAATATTACATTACAAATATCAGTGTAAAAAGAACACTATAGTGTTACATTGCAGATTGCTTATTTTTAATTTTATTATTATGTTATAGAGATTAGAGTCTTGCTTTGTCACCCAGGCTGGAGTGCAGTTGTAAGATCATAGCTCACTGCAGCCTCGAACTCCTAGGCTCAAGCGATCCTCCCACCCCAGCCTCCCAAGTAGCTAGGACTACAGGTGTGCACCACAATGCCTGTCTTTTAAATTTTTGTAGAGATGAGGTCTCACTATGTTGCCCAGGCTAGTCTTGAGTAATCTTTCTGCCTCGGCCTCCCAAGTAGCGGGGAATACAGGTGTGCATCACAACGCCTGGCTTTTAAATTTTTCTAGAGATGAGGTCTCACTGTGTTGCCCAGGCTAGTCTCAAAGTGATCTTCCTGACTCAGCCTCCCAAGTAGCTGGGATTACAGGTAGAAGCCATGGTGCCCAACTCCAGGTTTTGTTTTAATGTCATCTGTAATCTTTCGTTTACTATATTTTGTAATTAGAATTTAGAATAATTTCCTCATAGCTAGTTATTGTGCAGCTTTAATGGTTTATTTTTTCTGGAAATAATAGTAAAACCTGATTATGTTTGGTATTTAGGATTCATTTCTATCAGTAGAACTTTTTGTAGCAAACAACCACAATAAAAAAAATACAAAATTATCTTTGATTTCAGATAATAGGAGGTAATTAAACTGTTTCCCATTACACTATCTAGAGTAGTGATTCTCAGATTTTAATTTCTTTAAAATTAATTTTGGGGGTACTTGTTAAAAATGCAGGTTCCAGCCGGGCACAGTGGCTCACTGTTATAATCCCATCACTTTGGGAGGCCGAGGTGGGCAGATCACCTGAGGTCAGGGTTTGAGACCAGCCTGGCTAACATGGTGAAACCCCATCTCTACTAAAAATACAAAAATTAGCTGACCGTGGTAGCAGGTGCCTGTAATCCCAGCTACTCGGGAGGCTGAGGCAGGAGAATCGCTTGAACCCAGGAGGTGGTTGCAGTGAGCCGAAATTGAGCCACTGCACTCCAGCCTGGGCAACAGAAGGAGACTCCATCTCAAAAAACAAAAAAGAAAAATGTAGGTTCCAAGGCATTACTTCCCAAAATGCTGATATAGCTGCTCTGTAGTAGGCTGGAAGAAATTGCATTTTGTTTCTTATTATTCTGAGATAGCTACATTATTCTGAGATAGCTGAAACACTGTGAGAGAGTTCCAGATTTAACAAATCAAGATTCTTGAGATATTTGCTTTGTCTTCTGACAATTGATTCAGTCATTTTTGCACCAAGTATTTACAGAACTCCTACTGTGCTTGTACTAACTTCAACTTCCTGTGGCTCTCTGAGGCCTGTGAATTCCTTGAGACTAAGACATGCTTTTTTAAAACGCTCTTTCTTTGATTATACAAATATATTAAAATACATGTCATTGTCTTACTATAAAATAAAAAAGTGAAAATAATTTACAGTACTACTGGCACCACTTCTAGCAATTTTGCATATTTTTATCTTATCTTTCCTCTATATGTGTACTTTTCAGAAAATGGGGAATCATGAGTAGATTTTTAATTAATGTTTTTCACTTAATACTATATGAGGAGTATTTTTTAATGTTATTAAATAGTATTTTAATATGGGGCTTTAAATGGCTGAAAAATAGTTTCATTTTATAGGTTCAGATATTTAAATTGTAATTATTAATATTGCTGATATTATTATGAAAATTCTTATACATACATTTTTGTTTTCATCTCTGATTATTTCCTAAAGATAAAAATTCCCAGAAATTATATTAGTAAGTTGAAGTTTACTTAAAAAAATATTTTTAGAAGTCTTTGCTATACATTGCCATGTAATCATAGTCTTTGTTCGCATTTACTGTTCCTCACACACCTCTACTCCACTCCCTTTCCCTACCTGTACATTTTCCTCCAGGGTTCTAGGGGTCCTGCCTTCCTGAGTTACTCTATAAGCATCCAAGGTGGTTGTGTTCAGAAATTATTTTATCAGGGGTTGTGTTCAGAAATTATTGTATCAGATAAAATTATTTAATCAAACCATTGAGTTTGCATTTCCTTAAGAAATTATTATAAATTTTGGCACCATGTGTGAAATGTTCTTATTAGAAAATGCTCTCATGATTTTAACTTAGGGCTCTAGAAACACATTTCTCAGTAAAGCAATGGGTTTGGGTACTCAACATACTCTTTCCTGTCTCTTTCCTACCACTTCCCACTGGTAGCCAGCCACTGTTGATAGGAGATGGTGGGTTGGGGAGAAATAAGGAGTAGATTGAAGGCTAATGTGAACTTACAAGTGATTAGAAACTAAATCCATGATACCTGTCTTTGGCCAGTTTTTTTAACAGCCTTTTTATCTACTTCAGGAGTTGGCCTATTTGATTCCACTTCACTGGGCCTGTTTGATTTCTCCTTCTTTAGTGGTTGGTTCTGTTTAGGATTTCTTTTTGCATGTGCCCTCTACTGGATGGTATATGTTCTCATATTCTTCTTGCTTACTGACTTATACTAAAAATATTGATTCATAACTATTTCAGATGTAGAATCCACTTGATAATAGCTGCCATTTGAAGTTTGTTGATTTAGACAATGCATAATGAGAAAGGTTTCTGTTAATTCATTAGCACTTTTAATAGTGTCACCAAAATCGTCATACTTTTGGAAAATAGTACATTTATGTGACACAGTGTTCATTCTGTTTAAATATGGTGCCAAATCAAGTACAAAAGATCATAGAGTCATATGTGATTTTTATACCTGATGGTAAAATAAAGAGCTATGGCAAAAATTAATTGCCATTACTCTCTTCTTCTCTTCTCAAGCCTACCCCGAAAACATTTTTTTAAGCCCAGTAAAGGGAAACAAGGTCACAAACAAGTGATACATGATTGATGTGTATGTACACAAAGGATGATAGTAGTATTCATTTACCTTGTAAGGCTCCAAGTAGATTGGTTCTCCCCCAGACTGTTGAGGAATTGGGAGGAGGAGGACGGAGAAGAAAAGAAATCCCAGAGCAGCCTCAGCTCAGAAGAAGATACAGAACAATTGGTCTCCTGGACAAATTGCTGTTGTTTGTGGGAAAGGCTCTGTTTGTATGAACTAATGAAATAATGTTTTTTATTATTAATAATCAGCTTAGATACCATACAAACTTGTGTTACTTGTAAGTCATACACATTGCCCTCTCATGTGCATCTGCTGCTGTGCTAAGTAATAGGAGAGATAGAAGTCAGATTCAATCCCTGCTTTCACAGTCTGATGGGGGAGACATATAAGCAAATGGGTCGTTACAAAACAGTGAGATAAAGGCTCTAATACGGATTAAATATAGGATCCTATGAGAACAACTCAAGTGGGGAATAGTCTGGAATAGAAGCAGTTTAAAATAATGCAATGATGTAGATTAAGATATAAACCACCCATGCATACACGGTTCTTAAAATAAAGGTGAAAAAAATAAAAGCTTGAACCTTAGTACAAAGTGAAAAGCAGATAGCTACCATGCTTGGTCTTTTCTTGGAATCCTATAAGTACAGATGGTGTGGATACATATCACCCTTTGCACAGCATGCTGATCTATAGAATTTCATTGACAGGCTTGTTGAAACAGATGAAGTCACTCTGCATTACTTAGAGTCTCAGCTTTTGTGAGTTTGCATGTAGTGAATTTATCTCGTATGTTATTCATTCTTACAGAAATTGGCTTATAGGGCTTGATGACAGGGGTAACTGGTTCTGTATAGTCTTTCTACACTGGATGTGTGTGGTGCTGTTTAAAGTGAATATGTTTATGCTTTTCCATTATAATCTAGTTTAATATGTTTAAAAGTTTAATATGTTTAAACGTTTAGATTTTGGGGGAAAAAGTTTATGTCTATGCCAGTAACACATACTTTACTGAACATATTACTCTTAAAATGTTAATGTCATATAATCTCCATGTGTACCTCTGGACATATCTATAACAAGGTATCCTGACATTTTCTACAAAACAAAGCTTACTTAGAGCACATATTAGAAAAGGGATCTTTTCTTAGGTGCTGTTGAACAAGTTGAAATAATTTCCAAATGAGTAGTAACTTTAACCTCTGAATCTTTACTGTGAATTAAATTCTTATTATGTTTTTGTTATTTTTAATGTAAATGCTGATTAATGTACATTTGTATTTTCTCTTTAAAGGATATGTGGGACTAGTAAACCAAGCAATGACTTGCTATTTGAATAGCCTTTTGCAAACACTTTTTATGACTCCTGAATTTAGGAATGCATTATATAAGTGAGTATTCAAAAAAATTGTATACATAAAATTGATTTAAGAATGAAAATATCACTTTTAACAAAATTTATCTTCTTGCAGTTATTTTAAAGTTTGGGGCATTTCTCACACCATAAGATATAACTTCTTTCCTTACGTAATAACAAAGATCTTGTGAAAAACAGGTATATGAAAAATGTGTGCGGAGAGAGAATCAGAAGTATATAGAGAGCAAAAGGATAAAATTGATGAGATTTACATGTAGGGTAAAAAGCTTCCCTCTCTTGTAGCCTTAACACCCTTTATGAAGAAATAAATAACTGCTTTTGAGAGAATTCGAATATATAAATCCATACTCTCCTTCCACCTCTCAATTTAAGTATCCAAAGTTTTTTTTTAACTTGCAAGTTTTGTTTCTAATTAAAATATAATACTTACAGCTTGTTTCATGTGCGTGTGTGTGCGTGTGTGTGTGTGTGTTTCCTTCTAAAAGACTCCATATACATTAGATAGTTTAAAATGCTCTATGGAGGAAGTCTATGTTTAAGTAAACCCTGAAGTCAGACATTTATTTTTATGAATATCCTATTATGACACATTTAACACACCTTTGCTTTGTATATTTTCTTTAAGATAAACACATAATTTTTTAGTTTTTAAGGATACTTTTAAGTATGAGTAAACTGATTTTTTTTTCCTTTTTTGTGTTACTTTCCACTAACATCTTTAAATTACTGTAAATATGTATTTAGGTTATTTTTGGAACTTTTAATATTGCTGATTGTGTTACTCAACATTATATCACCATTAGATTAATCTGTCAGCTTGTTATCTGAACTTACAGAAGTTGATGTATTTGTCATTCTGTATGCATGTATTGCCCTGTAGTGTTTAAATGCTAGGCACTTGGTGGATAGAGAGGGAATTAGTAATAAGATCTTTGTTCTTGAGTAATTTATAAGTCTTTCTACAATAGCAATATGTATATGTTTGAAATAGTTTAAATAACATTTAAAGACAGCCAAATACCATTAGAGTTTAAAGAGAAGAAAGGTTGGTGAAACTTGGAGAAGAAAGTAAGCTTCAGGTAGGTCATGAAGCTAGATATGGTTTGGCCAGGTTGAGAAGAAAGAGAATACACTGTGCAGATAGGAGGCCTGTCAAAAGTGAAAGTGAATAATAGGAAGGGCTACCTGAGTGTTAGTCATTGTTTGTATCAGATAGTGTTCCGAGCACTTTATATATAGACTCACTTAATTCTCATAGTAACTGTATGAATTTTATGCTATTATTGTCCGCATTTTACAAAGAAGGTAACTGAAGGCACAGAGAAATATAGCTTTGCCTGAAAGCACACTGCTAGAAGTTGCACCTAGTAGATGCCAGGATTCACTACTCTGTTCTGCCTGTGCACTAGCGGATGCCAATAAGCACAGTGTGTTGCGGGGGGCTTCAGGAGATCAGCATAACCAGAGTTTTGTCAGAGTACTGGAGGATGAGGTTAATAAATAGAGTTCAGAGCCTGCTCTCAAAACTAGCACAGACCAGATCGTTGGACAATGTGCCTGTTTTAGGGAGTATGCACAGGAATGGGGATCCTGGGCACTTGTTTAACCATCTGTTTTAATACTCTGAAAGTGGACTGTAAATTTACAGCACTGTAGAGGAAATTAAGAGCATAGCCAGGGCTATTCATCAGCAAACATGTATTGGACATTTACTGTGTGCTAGGCATTCTTTTAGGTATAAGGATTAGAGTGATGAGTAAGAGAAAGTACCTCATTTAGAGCTTCCTTAGGTAAACCTATATATAAGCTCATTTCACAGAATCATGTATGCCAGGTAGAAAATAAAGCTGAGTAATGTGGAGGGAGTAATTGTCAGGAGAAGAGGAGGGGAGGGTCACAGCTTCAGGTAGTAGACAGTAAGGGCCTCCCTGAGGACATTCCAGGAACTTCACAGGAACAAGCCCTCTAAAGATTTACAGTAAGAGCATACAAGGCATAAGAAGCCAGAAGTGTAAAGGTCTTCAAAAAACAAAAGAAACTAGAAATCCGTTGTGACAATCCTGGTGAGTAAGGAAGTAGGAGACAGACATGAGGTCAAACAGAAAGGAAGGCCTTGAGATTGTGAGAATAGAGTGAAGTTTATAGCAGGTGGGGAAACAAAGCCTGAGAGCACTCATGATGTTTCTTAATGTAGAACTAAGAACCTCATTGAACTATCCACAGAGTAGTGCTAGTGGAAAAGGATAGACTATCCACAGAGTAGCGCTACCATGAAAGGATAGACTAGCCACAGAGTAGCACTAGCGTAAAAGGATAGACTATCTAGAGAGTAGCACTAGTGTAAAAGGATAGACTAGAGAGTAGAGCTAGCGTAAAAGGATTGACTATCCAGAGAGTAGCCCTAGCATAAAAGGATAAAGTATCCAGAGAGTAGTGCTAGGATAAAAGGATAGGGTTTTGTTTATTTTCTTCACTTTTTTTTTTTTTTTTTTTTTTTTGAGACGGAGTCTCGCTGTCGCCCAGGCTGGAGTGCAGTGGCGCGATCTCGGCTCACTGCAGGCTCTGCCTCCTGGGGTTCATGTTCATTCTCCTGCCTCAGCCTCCCAAGTAGCTGGGACTACAGGCGCCAGCCACCTCGCCAGGCTAATTTTTTGTATTTTTAGTAGAGATGGGGTTTCACCGTGTTAGCCAGGATGGTCTCGATCTCCTGACCTCGTGATCCGCCCGCCTTGGCCTCCCAAAGTGCTGGGATTACAGGCGTGAGCCACCGCGCCCGGCCTATTTTCTTCACTTTTTGCATAGTAGCCAACAGAGAACCTGCCACTTGATTTGGAGTCATATACGTGATGGGTTAAATACATTGTTTTAGGAAAGTTTATATAGTGCAGTGTACAGGATTGATTTGAAAGATAGAGAACCCCGGAGGAATCTGTTATTAAACCAGGCATGGATATATTAGAGTCAGAATGATGATGGTGGCAGTGGTTACATTTCAGATTGAAAACTAACATGGCTTAGTGACAAATTTTACTTAGGAGTAAAGGAAAGGAAAGAATCACATATGCACCAAAGTTTCTAACTAAGATGACTAAAGTAATGGCAAGTACCAGCAAGACTTAAAACCTTTTCAGGTATTTGTACCAGGACTAAAGGACAGGTGAGAATTCAGTCTTATTTTACAGTAATTCCTCCCTATTAGTGAATTTACCACACAAGAAATTTGAGCATTTTCTGTTTTAACCAATATTTTCTCACAGTTAACAAGAGAATTTTTGATCTCATAATGTCAGTTATAAGTACCCGCTATTGAAGATAACCAGAAAAAAGGGAGCTGGGGATTGAGAATAGAAGAGGGGAGGATTAAAGCAGAAGTAAGGTATTGAATAGAGGTGTTTGCAGGGAAGCCTTGAGAAGAAAAAGGTGAAATGTACTTCATTGACTTCTGTGAGGCGGAAGGGAGTGCCAGTGTGTAACAAAAGGAAGATGAGAACAGAGCTGTGACTTCTCAGTCCTAAAGTAAGAAAAATATTGAACACTCTAATAGAAAGCCATTCCCAAAAGAAAAGAAAAAGTCTTTTAGTATGTCTGTAAAGTGCATCAGAGAAAAATTAAAGCTCAAACCTCCTTTTGAAACTAAAAAGTGGGGAAATAGTAATCTTACTCCTAACTTAAGATGTAAAATAACATTAATATTGTTGTTACTTAATATTTTGTCTTAGGTGTATATTATGAATACAGAATTATTTTAAAGACTTTGGTGGGTACATTACCAACTTTAGTACCTCAATCTTATTTCTTTCCATGAGATCTTAAGTTCTTCAGTTGGGAATTCACTTGTTATTGAGACAGTAGCTGTAGCTAGGGCTAGACTGCTGTTTATCATAAGTTTGTGAGGGTGAAAATCTTACCTGGATTATTATTTTGTTTACTTTCTTATATTCCCTTTCAAAAGCTTTTTATTATGGAAAATTTTAAACATTCAAAAAAAGGGAAGTAGGCTGAGTGCAGTGGCTCACGCTTGTAATCCCAGCACTTTGGGAGGCAGAGGTGGGTGGATCACTTGAGGTCAGGAGTTTGAGACCAGCCTGGCCAACATGGTGAAACCCAGTCTCTACTAAAAATAGAAAAATTAGCCAGGCGTCATGGTGCATGTGTATAATCCCAGCTACTCGGGAGGCTGAGACAGGAGAATCGCTTAAAACCAGGAGGCAGAGATTGCAGTGAGCCAAGATCATCCCACTGCACTCCAGCCTGGGCAACAGAACGAGACTCTGTCTCAAAAAAAAAAAAAAAAAAGAGGGAAATAGTGTAATGAATCCCTCTTCACCAGTCATTCAGCTTTGAATATTATTAATATCAACTCATAGTCAATCTTTTTTGTCTATACCCTCCAACTTGATTGTTTGGAAGCATACCTCCATCATATCATCTGTAAATTATATCTCAGGTCAGGGCTACGATTTCCCTGATTGCGTCATTTAACAATTTGTTTAAATCAAGATCCATATGAGCTGTATATTGCAGTTGATTAATAAAATTCTTAATCTATTTAATTTGTTTATAATCCTCTTTCATCTTTTTTCATCCTTGCAATTTATTCCCTGCAAAAAATAGAAAGAAAACTGATGTCATCTATCCTGTAGTTTTCCACAGTTTGGGTTTTGATGGTTGTATGCCGTAGTATCTCACGTAATAGTATTCTTCTGTTTCCTGTATTTTTGTGAATTAATAATTAGGACAGAGGTTATGGTCAGATTCAGGTTCCACAGTTAAATGAGCTTTGCCTTCTTTTCTTGAGCACTTTTGCCTTGTTATGCCTTGTTATGCCTTTTCTTGTTAAAGTCTAAAGTTCTTCTGAATTTATGAATTAGGGAAACACTAATGTTTCATTAGATATTATTAGTTTCAATTAGCATTCAAACTCTGTATAGCTTCCAGGATTAAAATCTTACATTATTATGATTTTGATATTAATTATGCTTTTAAATAATAAAATCATTTTATAAATACTTTATTAACATTTTATTTTAATAGGTGGGAATTTGAAGAATCTGAAGAAGATCCAGTGACAAGTATTCCATACCAACTTCAAAGGCTTTTTGTTTTGTTACAAACCAGCAAAAAGAGAGCAATTGAAACCACAGATGTTACAAGGAGCTTTGGATGGGATAGTAGTGAGGGTACTAATTCTCTTGTAATGATAAGCGTTCTAATATTCAAACAAATTCTAGAAGACAATAATATTACAAACACATTACACATAATTACCTTTATCTTAAACCTTTCATTGCAAGTTTGTTGTCATATATTTTCTAACACATTTCATAACTCTACAATGAAAAATAACAAACATGACAAATATTGTAGCACCATAAAGCATATATTATTTATAGAATGCTGCAATCTATTTTCTGGCGTGTGATTTCCTTTTCATGACTGTCATGTATATTCTTATGTTCTTTTTTAAATTTGGCATTATTTAAGGTAGACTTCAATATTTCTGTCTATTTGCTTTTAAACAACAGATTGTTTCATTACATAAAGTTTATAGCTATTTCTAATTGAATTTTATCTTAAAACAGCTTGGCAGCAGCATGATGTACAAGAACTATGCAGAGTCATGTTTGATGCTTTGGAACAGAAATGGAAGCAAACAGAACAGGTAATTTATATCTCTCAAATCAAGGGGACTGTTTCCTAATAAATCACTTGTTACCCTAAATGACTTTTATTCTGTTGGAATGTTTTAAAACTTGGGCATTAGTCTCATGGTTAAAGTACCCAATGGGAAATTGAAAGTACTGAGTTCTCATTTAGCCATTAACTGAGTTATAAATACCATCATTAAACCACCCTAGACCTCAGTTTTCTCATCTTTAAGGAAATTGGGCTGTATAACCTGGAAGTTCTCTTTTAGCTCTGAAAATTATACATTTAAAAACTGTATATATGTGTTTTGGGGATGATTTTTGAACAGCATTTTCAGATAATTAGGTAAATTATATGTTTTGTAATCTGTAACACAAGTATAGTCATGAAGCATTACCTTTATTTTGACCAATGAAATATAGTCATATGTATTTGACATTTAGGATCCTCATTAATCTAACCCGATTCTTATGTAATGGAAAGAGGAGCAGGTTAGAAGTGGAAAGAACATTAGATGTTGGGATGAGGAGTAAGGCTGAATGGGATGGGGCTCAATACATGGGAGGGTTTATACTGGGTATAGTAAATGAAGGTCACAGGGATAAAAGGGGAAGAGTATATAAGGTAGCTAGAAGGGTCTGATATCTGATTGGAACTACTGTGATGGCTTGGACCAGTTTTTCCAAATGTAGATTACAATCTATTCACGGGTTATAAAATCAGTTTATTGGGCCTACAACAGCATTTTCAAAAAATGGAATAGAATAGAGCATAAGAGAACATCACATAAGAGTAAGTATTATTTTATAAAGCTCTTGTTACAGTTATATGCACTGGGTTGCAGTGTAAATTATTTTCTTATGGTGATTTGCTATTCAGTATTTGAAAAACACTGGTTTGAACCACTTCAAAAGGCCGTCCTAGGTGAAGAAGACAATCACATATGACTGACGCTGATGAATGAAGAAGGCTTCATTAAATAAGTGGTTTTAGTGTAGACAGTGACGGTCAATCCAGTTTGAAGGCTTATAAATCCTATTTGTTTGAAGAAATGTAAGTTTATGAAAGAGGCAAGATGTAGTACACTTATCCTCATGCCTGTTCTTACTTAGGAGATTATGAAAAAATTTTTAAGTTCATTTAGTGATCTAGTTTCTCTCATAGTCTTATGGGGCTGTGTTTTAGTAACTATGTAGATGGTATTGGGGGCTGTTTCTTCTTCATAGATCTGAAGTTACTCTTTTTCCTGGTTACATCCCTTTCTGTGGGTCAGCACTTCCATTAAGATCAGCTGGGGCATTCCTACTGAGTTCCCAAGTTTTGGTACAAAACTCTTTGGTCCTTACTTAGGGAGTTACCTACCGCCTTTGAGTCAGAAAAGCCCTAGTTAACTAAGTTTGGGGACTAGGTGAGAGATCCATTCTTTTAGGTGAGGATATTTTGAGAGAGGTGGATTTTAAGATTTTTTTTGAATTTCCATACATTTTAAAAAGATTATGGTGTAATATTTCTCTATAAAATTGTGTTATGTATATTACTGAAAGCTAAAAAGTTTGATTTGCATCTTGAGCTAGAGGATATGATTTATACATCAGAATATATTATTGTGAGAAGTGATATACATATGTAAGTTATAAAAACTCAACCAATTGTTTAGCTGTATAATTATTAACATGCTTAAAGTGATAGGTTAGGATTTACTCTCATCTTAATGTAAAGATAATTTGAGGCTTAATTGGTAACTGATTTCATCAAAACATTAATCGTTCGGTTTTCTCATGATGAATATTGAAATCGTTAATTTTTGCACACTGACTCAAATTAGTGTTAATCTAATTTTATTGATTTTAGGTTATTTGTGTTGTTTTGATTTTTTCTATAAAATTTTAGATAAATCTTAAATATTACATAATATATAATAATAAATATAGATAAATATTAATGTTTTCAAAGATTTTAGCTGTAAATATCAATATCCTTTTGTAAACCATTCTAAAAAGTGTAGAATGTTACATGTTTTAAAGGTTATTTTTAAGGAACACTTAAAAATGTAAATATTTTATTTTTAGGCTGATCTTATAAATGAGCTATATCAAGGCAAGCTGAAGGACTACGTGAGATGTCTGGAATGTGGTTATGAGGGCTGGCGAATCGACACATATCTTGATATTCCATTGGTCATCCGACCTTATGGGTCCAGCCAAGCATTTGCTAGTGTGGTGTGTACCTTTCACCTGACTGCTTGTGTATCCTTACACAGAATACATAATAGCACAGTGGTATAATCTCTTGTAAGGTAAGTATCATCCTAGATACACCTTCTTGGGTTGTTAGTCATTCCTGCATTTAAATTAGCAAGATCTAGAAGATTTTTGACCCTTCAGTGAGTCCTAATAGTGCATGTATTATAAGAGAGAAAGTGAATGCAAATGTACTGCCTCATGGTTCAGTGTTTTATTCTTTTGGATAGGTGATTAGATGATTTCACTTTTATCTTTTTTTTTTTTTACCTCTAAACAGTCTATTTTATAAATGCTGTTATTGTGACCACTTTTTGCACTGGAAAGTACTTTGTTTTGGGGGGATTGTTTTGATCCATACACTTTTAAAATTGGTAAAAGCACCTCTGGTTTTTATGACAAACAGTCCATATTTTTAAAAGAAGCATCCCTACTTTAAATATTTAGTTTAAAAAATATACATTGTAGTAGCACAGATAATTCAAAGAATCAAAACTGTAATCACCTTAATTATTCATATACTGAGTATCTGATTGGAGGATTAGCTAAGATTTTCTCATTCCATATGTCATCCATTTCTTAATTGCTTTTTTATAATTTTTTAATTGTATTTTATCTATACATATGTGTATTTACTTATACGACAGGAAAATAATGGAAAGACTTAAGTTGATATTTAAAATTAAAGTGCTCAGAAACATTTATTTGAACCTACCATGTGCCAGGGGAAGCTTTCAAAGCTAAATAAGATATCTTTAAACAATAGAATTTCATTATGTTTTATGTTTTGGTCTTATTTATGTTGTTATTAAACTGATGGTGGCTTGTAGCTAAAAATCAGTTTTTTAAAAGCTTTTCTATACTTCTAAGATAGTGCTACAAGTATGGTTTAGTCCTCTGGCCTCTAGGATGATTGATTCCTTTTGATTTTTTCTCCTACCTTTATATGGCTATTAGGAAATAACCAGCAATAAATTATGGAATCAGTCAATGGAGATACAAAGCAAGCATCTAAGTAAAAGACCTTTTCTGGGTAGCGTAAGATCAAGTCTCCTTTCTGCTACTGTTTTTCATAGTCGGCTTCCTGAGTATATTTGAAAAGTTTTTTAGATGTTTAGTACTACTTTTTTAAATGGCCATCTAGGTGTATTAAATGAGCTTTGGTTTGGATGGCTAGTTTTGGTTTTTATTTTTTAACCTTATTTTGCTTTAATTGGCAGTTCAAAGTAGAAATGACATACTGAAAAAATCATTGAAAAACTAACATTTGTCTTTCAATGACTGATTTCCTAACTAATTTTTAAATACTCGCATTTCTCTGACAAAATATACTAGGGAAATATTTGGTAGTCCCAAGTGATATGGACTATTTTTTATACCTTATTTATTAAAGTATTTTTATGAAAATTTTTCCATATATACATTTAATTTAGTTTTTAACATATTAATTGAATATTGAGGAAGCTAAATTTTGCTGTATTAAATCTTATATTTGAGTATTCAGCAAATATAATTGCTCAGCTAAATCTTTATGTCATTATTTATTCACCTGCTGATTTGCCACCACTCTCTTAAGTATATTAATAGACAAAGTAATGGAGTGATTTGGAGGATACTTCTGGGGATGTGAACAATATCACATTTCTAAATGGAATTCTCCAAAGGTAGTATCCTCCACTGATGATACATGGGTGGTAGTAGTGGTGGTGGTTCAGTGGGAATTGGAAGTTGCAGCTATGAAGCAGTATGTGAGCAGGTTTATAACACACATGCGCTAATAGGGCTTGCGGAAGAGAACTTAAAACTTTCTAGACTTTGCTGGAATCTCTTGAGGGAAATTACAGCAGGTGAAACTACCCAAGATAGGGGTTCTAAGGAGGATACTACCTTCGGAGAACTTTAGTTAGAGGTAAGTGATTTCTCATTATTTTCTGAATTTAAATCTATAACCTAACTCTTCTTAGTCCACAAATATCATCATACAGCATCTAAAATTGGTTATATGTCACTGCTTGCCATTTTGTATTTTGTTAACTGTGTATGTTTCAAAAAGAATTTGACATGCTTTAAAAAGAATTGGAATTATGGATTGCAAAAATCTGGTTAAAAGAGGTACCATAAAATCACTCATTGAGATTATATAAAATTGGCCTGAATTTTAACTGGACTCTCTTAAAATTATTATTCTACCTTTTTTAGTGGACTGGTATTTTTGTCTTATTTAATATATTAGATATAGACGTAGGCTGGGCATAGTGGCTCACACCTGTAATCCCAGCACTTTAGAAAGCCGAGGCGGGCAGATCACTTGAGGACAGGAGTTCGAGACCAGTCTGACAAACATGATGAAACCTCGTCTCTACTAAAAATTAGCTGGGCATTGTGGTGCATGCCTGTATTCCCAGCTACTCGGGAGGCAGAGGCAGGAGAATTGCTTGAACCCAGGAGGCAGAGGCTGCAATGAGCTGAGATCGCACCACTGCACTCCAGCCTGGGCAACTGAGCATGACTCTGTCTCAAAAAAAACAAAAAAAGATATAGATGTAGACATATACACTAGCACGTGCATGTGCACGCACATGTACACACTGATGGTTATATATTCTGTTTATTGTATGTTTTGTTTAGTGTGCCACAATATTATGGGTTTAATTTCAGATAATTAAGAGTGAGGTCTTTTAAAAATTGAAGGGTTTTTCTTTTTTTTCTCTCTCTCTTTTAAAAAATTTATTAAATATTTATTTCTTTTTTTAGAGATGGGGTCTCGCTGTGTTGACCAGGCTGGTCTCAAACTCCTGGCCTCTAGCAATCCTCCTGTCTCAGCCTCTCAAAGTGCTGGGATTTCAGGCATGAGCTACCACGCCCAGCCAGGGTTTTTCTTTTTTAAACCTTCATCTAAAATGTCCAATTTCTGGAGTTGTTTTATCTTTATGGTCAAATAAATTAACTTGCAAATAATAGGTAGGATTAAAATAGGACTGAAAGTAGCACTCATCTAACTTATTATAATATCCACAATCAATTTTTATGGGTTTTTTTTTAGTATGATAACAGGTTATTTTTATAATGAGTGCTGGGAGACTTCTGCAGTTTAAAAAATAAGCTCCCGTAAAGTAGGGAGGTCAAAAAAAGCCTTTTATTATAATAATTTCTTTTTTCAATAGATTTTTAGTTATTGTAACTGATATTTGTTAGATTTCTGATCTTCATTTTACTCATCCAAGTACGGAATCAATATTGAAAGGCTCTTCTGCCATTCTGTATATCTCAGATTGAGTTCTGTTCAATACTAGTCTGTAAAAGGATTTAGTAGATATTTTGGGGAAGGTGTCCTTGATTAAATAGATTTGGGAAACTATAACAATAATCCTCTTTGGAAATATCACAGTGCATATTATATTTTAAATGCCCCAGTGATTCCTGTAGTTGAGAAGTTTGTTTAAATGTGTTTAACCTAGCATTTTCTTTCTCTGTGGGACATCTGTTAATATCTCAAGAGACATTAGGATTCTGAGGAACATAATATGGGAAGCTCTACATTAGATTAAGGTGATTTAAGAATGTCACTACTTTGTTTATATTTGTGTCCTTGGGATGTTGAGAGGGAGTGAGAATACTAAAATATGTGTTATAATTTCCTGTTGTTTTACATATTTTTTATTAATCCTGAAAAATTAATATCAGCTGAAGAATTACTTGTAGTAATCTTTAAATAATTTTGCTCTTAATGACTTATTAGATAGTTAGAACCTTCTATGTTCACTGACTAGATCAAAGTAACTTTGACTATGCTTATTGCCAACCCCATGTGAGAATGTATTAAATAAGGAGATAGTTCTAAGTATATTCTAGTAATACATAGAAATTAGAAATATTAACTTTTTGTTTGTTAATTATGAAAGCATAATTTATAAATTAAAGAAAAACAATGTAGCCTCATGTTTGACATTATCTAAGGAAGTGCTTTTTTATTTAACAGTAAAATTTTAGACACTGTCTTTTTATTGGTGTATTTTGTCATACAACATTTATTTAGGGCCTACTCTATGGCAGACACTGTTCTAGGCCATTTTCTTTTAGGATACTTTTATTCTATTGTTCATTACGTACATTTAAATACCTGTTTATTATGACAAAAACGTGTTCAAAGTTTGATCAGGGTTTAGCTGCATAATTTCATACAGTGCCTTTGGAGAAATAAGATTATATAAAAGACTTGTTTCCTAAGTAAACATAGTTTAATGATTGTTTTAAAGTTTTGAATGGAAAATTGTGAAATTAGTAAGTGTGAAATCAAAAGCATTTCAACTATTTACACAAGTTTATATTATAAGTCTTACCCTGACATAACAGGTGGTTTGGACATTCTTACATGGGTGACTCAGCCACAGAACTCATTTGGGTGAAGCAGTGGTCCAAATTTGTCCAAATATGTAAGCATCAGTTAAAGAAAAATCTCTTCCACAGACTCTACCCTCATTTTTCCAGGAATGTGTATGGTTGGACATAGTGGGAACAAGTTTAAAAAGTGGGGACTTCTGCTTTCAGGAAGATGGAGTAGATGTACATTGCCCTATTCCTCCCACTAAAACAACTGAAAACCTTGAGCATTATATGTAAAATAAACATAAGAAGACTGAAAGGTGGAGAGAAGGCATACACACTAGGGACCTCAGCACCCAAGGAATAACACGGTGGTGAGTTCCATGGGTTTTCTTTTTGCCTAATATATCCCAGGCTTGGAACTGAAGAAGCTGGCAGCCTGGAAACAGCAATGGGTACAGACTGAAAAACCCTGTTCTCTTTAACTGAAGGACGAGGAAAAAGACAGCCTAGCAAGCCAGAAAACTTTTAGACCATAACTGCTGTGCTCTAACCAAACACCACAGAAAGAAAAGGCCTTACATCAACTTGTGCCTGCCAGTGCTGAGTGGGGAGCCTAGATTCTCTGTTCCTTCACCACCTCCCAGGGGTAAAGAGGCGAGCCCCTCCTGCTTGTGTCAGTGTTGGGGTGTAGTACTGAGATACTCCTGCCCTTTACAGCCAAGGTTATATCAGCAGAGGCCTACTGAATACCCAGAATTCCTTTCCCTGCGCAGCACTAACAAGGAGCTTCCTCCATTCAGATGTCCACATAGGCCAAGTGGGAAACCTGGACTTCTAATGCCATCTGGCACTAATATGGCAGAGCCCTTTCCCCAGATGGTACAGTGTCAAAGGAGGCATTTAAACTAGAAGGTTTAAATATGGTCCAGAATCTCATAACACCCCAAATGTCCAGGTTTCAATTAAAAAATCACAAATCTCAGTTTGAGTTAAAAAAGAAAACCAGTAGACATAAACACTGAAATGACAAAGATGTTAGAATTATTTGATAAATATTTTAAAGCAGCCATCATAGAAACACTTCAGTGAGCAGTCCTAAGCACACTGAAAACAATGAAAATTTTAGGGAATCAGTTAGAGATACAAAGAAATGAAAATTTGGAACTGAAAACTGCAATAAGCAAAATTAAAAACCCAGTGGATAGGCTGAACAGCTGAATGAAAGAGACAGTAGGTCGAATCTGTGAACTTGAAGATAGAATGATAGATATTACCCAGTCTAAACAGCAGAGAGAAGATAGACTGAAAAAAATATATATCCTCAAGGACTTATGGGACTATAACAAAAGGTTTAGCACTGTGTCATTGGAATACTGGAAGGAGAGCAAAGGTGTAACACTTGTGTCATTAAAGTCCTGAAAGGAGATTAATAAGGAAAAAGAAGGCAGGCACAAAGAAATAATGGATGAAAATGTTCCAAATTTAGCAAAAGGCATAAACCTACAGATCTGAGTAGCTGAGCAAACCCCAAACACAATAAGCCAAAATAAATCAGGAATGGCCATATTAGTGTCAGATAAAGAAGACTTTAGAGCAAAGAAAATTACCACAGACAGAGAGGGCTGTTACATTGTAATAAAAGTGTCAAACAACCGAGAAGACAACAATCCTAAATGTGTATGCAGAAAATAACACAGCTGCCAAAATACATGAAGGAAAAACTGTCATAACTAAAAGGAAAAAGACAAATCTACAATTACAGTTGCAGACTTCAGCACGCCTCCCTCTCTTACTGATAGGTAGAACAACTAGACAGAAATAGCAAAGAGGTAGAACTCAGCAACACCATCAACCAACAGATCTAATGAACATTGCTAAAGTGCTTCACCCAACAGCAGCAGAATACACATCCTTTTCAAGTATCCATTAAATATATACGAGGATAGACCATATGCTCTGGACCATAAGACCTCAAAAAATTTAAAATCATGGAATGTGTGATTTTTTTCAACAACAGTGGAATCAGATTAGCAGACAGGAATATCACAAAACACTTGGGAAATAACACTTCTAAATGATCCATGGGTCAAAGAGGAAGTCTCAAGGGAAATTTTAAAAATATTTTGAACTTAATGAAAAGTAAAACATAACGAATTTTTTTGAGGCACAACTAAAGCAATACCGAGAGGGAAACTCACAGTATTAAATGCTTATACTAAAAGACAGGAAAAGGGCCAAATCAGAAATCTAAGCTTCCACCTAACCTGAAAAAAGAAGAGCAAAAGAAACCCAAAGCAAGCGGAAGGAAGGACATAATAAAGAAAAGCCGAGAAATCAGTAACATTGAACATGAGAAAACAGTAGAGGAAGTCAACAAAACAAAGGGCTGGCTCTTTGAAAAGACAATAAAATTGACAAATAGCAAGACTGACAGAGAAAAAGGGAAGGCAAAAATTTCCAGTATCAGGAATGAAAAGGATATAACTATAGATCTTGCAGATATCAAAGGGATCACAACAAACAACTCTGCACATATAAATTTGACAACTTAGATAAAACGAACCAATTCTTTGAAAAGAACTCAATAGGAATTAGATAATTTGAATAGTCCTGTAACTGTTAAGGTAATTACATTTATAATTTAAAACCTCTTGAAAGGAAATCTCCAAATCTTGATTGTTTCACTGGATACTTGTATCAAACATTCGAAGAACAGTGAACACCAGGTCTGTACAATTTCTTTTCAAAAAAAAAGAAAGGAAGAGGAGGAAACCCATAGTCCTGTGACACTATTCTTACCTGATATTAAACCAAGACAGTTCTTAAAAAAAACAGTATCCCTTATATGTGTAGTTGGTAAAATTCTTTCCAAAATATTAGCAAATGGAATTAAGCAATTTATAAAAAGAATTATATATTGTGACTAGGATTGATTTCCGGGATTCAAGACTGGTCAGTATTTTAAAAATCAATGAGTATAATCTTCCATATTAACGAGCCAAAAAAGAAAATTCATATGATCATATCGATTTAGAAAAGGTGCTTAATAAAATTCAAAATTCACTTATAATAACTCAGATTACTAGGAATAGAGGGAAATTTCCTCAACTTGATTAAAAAACGTATCTAAAATATCTATAGCTAACATCATACTTCATTGTGAGAGACTGCTTTCTTCCTAGGGAATGGCACGCTTGTCTAGGCAAGGATGTCTGCTCCTACCACTCCTTTTCAGCATAGTCCTAGAAGTCCTAGCCAACACAGTAAGGTAAGAAGAGGAAATGAAAAGCACTACTAAAGGAAGAAATAAAATTGTCTGTATTTTTAGGTGATATGATTATCTATGTAGAAAATCCCTTGTACAAAAAAAAAAAAAAAAAAACAACACCTGAACTAATACGTGAGTTTAGCAAGGTAGCAGGATAAAAATAACATAAAAAATAAATTGTATTTCAAGATACTAACAATGAACATGTAGAAAGTGAAGTTTAAAATACAATACCATTTATAATTTTGCAAAAAGAAAAAAGATGGAAATCCAACAAAAAATGTACTGGACCTATGTGTTCAAAACTACAAAACTTTGAAAAGATTATGTTAAATAAGCTAGGACCAGAAAGACAGATATTACATGTTCTCATTTACATGTGGGAACTAAAAATAAAGCTGATCTCATGAAGGTAGAGAGTAGAATGGTAGTTACCAGAGGCTGGGAACAGTGTGTTTGAGAGAGGCGGGGATAAAGACAGGTTGGTTAATAGGTACAAACATACAGTTAGATAGAATCAGTAAGTTCTAGTGTTTGAGAGCAGATTAGAGTGACTATAGTTAACAATATATTGTGTATTTCAAAATAGCTAGAATAGAAGATTTTAAATGTTCCCAATACAAAGAAATGGTAAATGTTCAAGGTGATGGATATCCTAAATAGCTTGACTTGATTCTATGCATGTATCAAGTATCACATGTACTTCATAAATATTTACAGTATTATGTGTCAAAAAAACTTTGAAAAGAATAAATGGAGAAACATACTGTACTTATTAATTGGAAGATTCAATATAGTAAAGATAATTACATAGTCTTAATGCAGTTCCTGTCAAAGTCCAGCAAGATTTTTTGAGGACATATACAAGCTTATTCCAAAATGTATATGGAAGCCTAAGAAACTAGAATAGCTAAGAGTTTTCAAAAATAAAAATAAAGTGGAAGTTACCAGTCTACATGATTTGGAATGGAATACTACTTAGCCAAAAAGACTTATTATATGGCTATAGTAATCAAGACTATGTGATATTGGTAGAGGGGTAGGCAAATAGATCCGTGGAGTAGAATAGAAAACCCAGAAATAGATCCACACAAATATGCCTAATTATTGACTGAGACACAAAAGCAAGTCAATGGAGGAAAAATGGTGTTTCCAACAAATGGTGATGGAACAACTGGACATCCATATCACAAAAATGAACCTTGACTTAAATGACTTTATACAAAAATTAACTCAAAATGGGTCATAAACTTAAATGTAAAATGTAAGACTATGTAACTTTTAGAAAAAACATAGGAGAAAGTCTTCCAGATCTGGGCTAAGCAAAGAGTTTTTAGATTTGCTACCAAAAGTACAGTCTACAAAAGGGACAATTAGCAAACATTAAAATTAAAAATATTTACTCTCTGAAAGCCCATATGATAAAGAGAATCTCCAGACATATTTGCAAGCTGTCTATCTGACAAAGGACTCATATCTAGAATATATAAAGTACTCTCAAGACATCAGTTTAGAAAAATTCATCTAGACAATTGGCAAAAGACATAACATTTCATTAAAGAGGATATACAAATGTCAAATACAGAAAAGATACTCAACATTGCTGGCTATTAGGGAAATGCAAATTCAAACCATAATGAATATATTATTCTTTACCTGCCAGATGGCTACAAATAATGACAGCATGGAAATCTGGTGACTATGTGGAGAAACTGTATCACACATACACTGCTGGTGGGAATGTGAAATGTTATGGGTAGTTTCTTATAAAATGACACGTGCAGTTACCATAAACTCTAGCAATTGAACTATTGGTCATTTATCCCAGAAAAATTGAAATTTATGTTTACATGAAAACCTGTGCACAAATATTTATTCCATCTTTGTTTTTAATATTCAAAACTGGAATCAGCCCATATCTGCTTCAGTAAGTGAATGGTTTAACAAACTGTGGTTCATACAAACCATGAAATAGTACTTAGCAATAAAAAGGAACAAACTATTAATAAACACAAAAACTTGAAAGAATATCCAGGGAATTATTCCGAGTGAAAAAAGCCAATCTCAAAAGGTTATTACATACTTTATGATTCCATTTATGTAATACTTTTGATATGACAACCTTTTAGAACTGTGGGACAGATTAACCATTACCAGGTCTTACGGATTTGGTGGGAGCAGGGAGAGGAGAAGCAGGTGGTTGTGGCTATAAGAGGGTGGCACAAGTTATCCTTGCATAGGAACTGTTCAGTCTTTTGACGGGTGTTGAATATATGAACCTCTACAGGTGATAGAATTGTATGGAACTTAATAGACACATATACACAGGCAAATGAGTGCACTAAAGCTGGGAAAATCTGAATTAGATAGGTGTATGAATGCCAATATCATGGTTATGATATGCCATAGTTTTGCAAAATGTTTCCAGTAAACTGGGGGAAGTGTACAAGAGGTCTCTGTATGTTATTTCTTACGATTGCATATGAATTTACAATTATCTCAAAAGTTTCAATGAAAAAAAAAGTAGACAGCTTAGGTAAAAGTATATAGGCCTTTTCCTAGTTAAAAAGTAGTAATGTTAAAGTATATATTCGGGAAAGACAGTTGAATATATTTTTAAGGAAAACATCATGTTCCTGTATATCAGTAGTACCAAAATTGCTTAGTACATCAAAATCAGGAAATAATTCTCAGTGGTGGATCTACTTTCTTTTTTTGTTCATGTAAAAATTGAAGTATGGTGTTTTAACACTCATTTCTCTATTCAAAATTAAGTAGATTTTAATTGATGAATAATTCATATGTACACATAAATGGTTAAAAAAAGGATTTATAGGCAATACCATTCCTTGCATATACCTTTTGATTGCACTGTGCCTGGATTATTTGCATTAGCTCTAAAATTGGAATAACCCGTATTGTTTTTGATTGGAGAACTAAGGATGTAAGAATTCTTTATATTCTATCCTGAATTCTGAAAATTATAGTGTAAAAGGATGTGCAGGCTGGGCATGGTGGCTCACGCCTGTAATCCTAGCACTTCGGGAGGTCAAGGCAGAGGATTGCCTGAGCTTAGGAGTTTGAGACCAGCCTGGGCAACGTGGTGAGATCCTGTCTCAAATAAGTAAATAAAAAGATGTGCAGAATTACATTTTGCATAATATATGGGGAGCAGTAAGATCTAGAATATGAAACTGTTGTCACTCTGGAATTATCAACATGGTACTCTGACTGAATTAAATATTCTCAAATGAGCAGAACAAAACCTGGTATCCAAAAACTTAAGCAAAGAAATAGATTTAAAAAACAAAAACAATGCTGTAAGAAATGAAGTGGGAATTCATCAAATTCAGGAAAGAAACAGAAGAAAAAGACAAAAATATCTTAGAAGTGAAGAATAAATTAAAAAATGCTCAAGAGAAAATAGAAAGAAGATCTAATGAAGGACATTGAATGGAAATGAGATTTTTGTAAAAGTAAAAAGGATCTCAGAAAAAAAAAATTGAAAGAGAAGACCAGCAAAGGGTGTCCAACATAATTGGAGTCTGTGAAGAAGAAAAATAAAACAGTGGACCAGAACTAATAGATAAACTGTAATTCAGAGAAAGTTTCTGGGAATAAGGGAAATGTCAAGTCTACCTTTTGAAGGACCTGGAATGATAAACTCTGAGATGTATTTTAGTAAACTATTAAAGATGAATTGAGGCCAGTCACAGTGGCTCATGCCTGTAATTCCAGCATTTTGAGAGGCTGAGGCAGGAGGATCCCTTGAACCCAGGAGTTTGAGACCAGTTTGGGCAACATATTGAGACCATGTCTCTACAAAAAAATAAAAAATCAGTTATCAGTTGTGGTGGAATGTGCCTGTGGTCCTAACTATTCAGGAGGCTGAGGTAAGAGAATTGCTTGAGCCAGGGATTTCAAAGCTGCAGTGAGCCAGCACACCACTGCATTCCAGCCTGGATGACAGAGCAAGACCTCATCTGAAAAAAAAGATGAATTGGGTTGGCATCATATTTCAGAAGAACAACATGCAAATCCTGCCAACAGAGTAGCAATTTCCAGAAATTCAAGAAAGTACCAGCCAAGGATTTGATAGCCAGGCAAGTGTTTCTTAATTATGACAGCTATAAAAAGACAAGTTTGAATATTCAGGAACTCATTGGGTATTATATCCATGAGCCATTGAGGAGTTCATTAGAGGATGAGCTTAACCCAACCAAGAGATCACGGGCAGCTTCGGCAAAAGAACTGTGAGCACTTACTATATTAAATTAAGGCCTAAATACAAGGGTGGGAACACGGGAACAGCAGAGTAGTATGTAATGTTACATGTTAGACAAAGTACAAATAATACCACTTTTTAGAAGGGGGAGAGAAAGGGAGAGCAGAATAAGATCACAGACTGTTGTGTGGGTGGGGAATAAAGGAGACCATTTAAAACTGGCAGACACTGAAAGCTTAAGAAAGAGTAAACAGGGTGGGGGTGGGTGGGAAAAAAAGAGGTCCAAGGACACTAACAAAACTATAAATGCAAAAGTAACTGTAGAATAAAATTACAAACCTTGCTAAATACCAAAAGAAAATGTAAAAAATAACAAAGGAACACAATAAATATTACCTAACACACACAGTAATTACACAGTAGTGACTGAGATAGGACCAAGCATACCAGTCATATCAAATATGAGTGGGCTTAAATTGCCTATTAAAAAGATTTTCAAGTTGGTTCAGAAAGCAAACATTAAAATTTGATTTAGGCAGGAATCTGTAAGTGGATGTTAAAATCAAGGGTGGAAGATTTGGTAAGGCTCAGGATTTTTGCATGGTCTCCAAGTATCTCCTTACAGATTGCTTATTAGCCGCGAGAGTAAAAATAATAACTATATGGTAGAGAGACTGGACAATACCTTGACCAGATAATTAAAGCTAATATCACCAAAGAGAAAGTTAGGTACATCATGGCCTGTGACTATGCTACCCTTAGAAGGGCACATCTTTGCTAATGTCATAGTAGCCTAGCAAGGAATGTATAAATCTAATAATGAAGAACATCAGACAAACCCAAATTGCAGAACATTTTATAAAATAAGTGGCCTCTGTTCTTCAAAAAATATCAGTGTTATGAAAGAAAGGCAAACTCTGGAATGCCTCGAGATTAAAGGAATCTCAAGAGACCAAACAAAATCTGTGGCCTTGAGACAGATTGTGTACTAGATGGAGAGAAATACATTGTTAAGGTAATTGACAGAATTGGAATATGGCTGATGAAAGTACTTTATCAGTATTAAATTTTCCAGAGTTTGATTACTGTTTGTGTAAGAATATCTTTATTCTTAAAAAGTCATATTGAAGTTAAGAGGCAAAGCATGATGAGGTGTGAACCTACTCTCAAATGGCTAAAACAAAGATACATAATAATGTTGGGTTGGGCGAGGGAAAGCAAAATTGGCAAAAATGTTTAAAAGTTGATGAATATGAGTAAAGTATTTGAGAGTTCTCTGTTCTTTAAACTTTTCTCCAAGTTTTAATTTTTTTTAAAGATCTCTAGGTATTAACTATAAGCCGGAGACCAATACACACACACCAAAGTAGAATTTGAGTTACATAATTATCTCACTCTCCCTCTCCCCCCATCCTTTTTTGAATATTGAGTTTTTACCAGTTTAAATTACCACTATTTGGAAAGCCTGACATTTAGTATCAGTCTGTGTTAAGCTATAGATGTAATTTCTTTAAAGCTTGTTTTTCTGTTGTTTTTTATAGAACTTTCCTTTTTCCCCCAAAAATATGCCTGAGAGGGAAAAAAAATTTTTTTCTAAATGTGTCATTTGACCACCAATAAAATGCATGGTCATGTGGAAAAAAACCCAGCCGTTTGGTTTCTTCACTTGTTTCCTTGTGTTCTGAGAACAAAATAGGGGATCAGATGGGTTTAGACACCTTTGAATATCTATGTCTTTTCTTATTTTTATCTTGTTCCAAAGTGAGCTCTATCAAACAATATGTGGACAGTAGTTTTCTAAGCTTTGCCAGATATTTTGCAACTACGACCATTAAGCTCCTTTATCTTTTGAGGAACAGCTTGTCCTATATCAAAAGAAAAATATTTGAAGATACTGTCTTAATGATTCCATTTCTTTTAGTTTATGTGTAATATTATCAGTAGTTCTGCTTAGCCCATGTGTGAAGAAAAGAGAGAACATCAGATGAAATTTGAGATTATGCGTCCAATCTTATATGCTATATTAACTAATTTTTTAATCGTGAAAAACCAATTACTAAAATAAAAATTAACTTTATGCCACTGATTCTTTAACAGTATTTATATGAAGTTTCTTACTTCTGTTGTAATGCTGTATGGAGAAAAGAGAACCACGTGGTTCTACCAAATTAACAATCCAGGATCCTCATTATACATTTCCAAATGGAACAGTATCTCACACACACACAGAAGGTTGCACAGTGTTTTTCAATCTTTATAACTAGTGCAGTGGCAGATTACTGACTGATCCTAACTATGGCGATTAAGGATGCTTACATGATTTTTAAGTGTATGAAAAGTGTGAATTCTTTAGAGAACATTGATATTTACTGTACAGTTTTAAATGCTTCCTTTTATAAGAAGATTGATGCATGCAACTGCTTTTCTTAGAAGTGTGGAATTACTTTTTATCTAAGGACTGAGGATATTTTTAGAGATTATTTAGCCAAACACTGCAATGTAAAGTCAATGAAAATCAGGTTGAAATGACTGTGATACTGCAATACTAAGAAAGGCAAATCTTGTGTAGAATGAAATAATTTTTTTTGCTTAATTTTTATAGTGATAATATTATTTTACTGTTGATAATTTTCCTTGGTACATTTTGAGTTCCTAAATTTCTAACCATTCTACTTATAACTTTTAGTAATTACAGTCTTTTTTATTCAGGATTTTGTCATTAATATAATATTTTAAGTAATTATAAAACAAATTTTTTTCTAACTAGGAAGAAGCATTGCATGCATTTATTCAGCCAGAGATTCTGGATGGCCCAAATCAGTATTTTTGTGAACGTTGTAAGAAGAAGTGTGATGCACGGAAGGTAAATGCCATGTAGAGATTAATACTTAGGAATCTGAGATAATATTCCATATTCAATAGACTCTCCCCCTTTTTGTTGTTTGTTTTTTAGGGCCTTCGGTTTTTGCATTTTCCTTATCTGCTGACCTTACAGCTGAAAAGATTCGATTTTGATTATACAACCATGCATAGGATTAAACTGAATGATCGAATGACATTTCCCGAGGAACTAGATATGAGTACTTTTATTGATGTTGAAGATGAGGTAAATATTTGTTATTTTAAAGTATTTTTCATTAATCCACATTAGTCAGTCATGGTTTTGAAAGAGCTGTTTGAGGTAATAACACTGATGTCATTTGGACTGTCTTCTTGATGGAAACTTTTTCTTTCTTATTTTCTAATGTGGAATTCAATAAAATGATTTACCTTTGTATAAGCTTTTCCTGACTGCATAAATTATATTTTAAATATTCTTGTTTGATCAGAGTAACTTATGATACTCTTTGAAAAGACAATAAGGAACTCAGCTTTGGAATTATTTCTTGAAGTTGAGTGATAATCTTATATTTTATAATTTCGTCGTTATTGAAACCAGCCTGAAGGTAAGCCATACTCATGTTTCTGATCTATAATAAATGCAGACAATGCCTATGATGGAATGAATGAACCAACTGAATAGCATGGGCTTAATTTCTTGTACTTACCTACTATTTTGTATTTACTATTTGTCTGTTTTCCTTTTTTAGTTTTTTTAATTTGAAACTTTATTTAAATAATTTAAGCATGGGATTTGAAGTGACACATGATGTAATGCTTATCAATTTCTTCCCACACTTTGGCCTGCCAAAATTCTCTGGTTCTTCTATCCTTATTCAATGAAAGACTTACAATATTCCACTCTATTATTTTGGAAACTCTTCTGATTTTATTATGTGGAATACTTATAATCACTTAGGCTAATTATTTCAAAGTGATTTATTCTCAGAATTACCCTGAAGCGTTTTTTTTTTGTTTTGTTTTGTTTTGTTTTACTGGAACTGATTACTATAGTTATAAAAAATGCCTTTTCCCAGGAGTTCAAAAATAATTTTAAACATTCACTAAGTTTTATTTAGTACTATTGAGTACTATGAGGCAGTTTGGTGTAGAAGAGCACATGTTTTAGGCATAGCTAGATGTGGATTCAAATTCTTGTCCTGCTACTTGCTAGCCTCTTGACCTTGGATAATTCATAAAACCTTTTGAGCCTCATTTCCAGATGCCATAGATGAAGTAGCTGTTCATTGAATGGTAACTATGATCAATAACATTTTGAAAAGTTTAATTTAAAATAATGTCTCAGACAGTTGCGCTTAAGCTAGGAAATCTACCCAAAGTGTGCCAGACTTTGAGAGGAGACATAATCTTTGTAGGATTTCTACTCAAATAGAGATCAGTAGTAGATTGGTCTTCTGAATATGCCTAATATATTTCTCATAAAGGAAAATTTTTTCCAAAGAAGGAAAACTTATATATGAAGCTTAGTAGAAACTTCCTAGAGAATTCTAGGTTTAGTTCTTGGGACAAGAAATGTTTTGGCTCAGCTGAAGAAGTTTCAGGAATTATATCTCTTTGGACTTAGATCTATAGCTGGATTTCATCTCCATTTATCCTTGAACCTAACCTTCTTGAGAGATGAAGACTGTATATTAGATGTAGTACCTACAACAAGAGTTCCTGGCAAAAAGTTTGTGCTTATTGTATATTGCTTGGTTTCACTCAAGAACTTCTATGCAATGCCTTATACATTTCAAAAGCCTGCATCTTAGAAAATTCTCAAATTATTTAAATAAAAACATTTTTAGAGATGTATATAAAACGTTAAAGGGGGAAAGGATTGTTTGGGGGTTTCTAACAAAGAGAATTCTTCAAATTAAATTTGTGTGAATGTGGTTTAAAACCATAAAGTAGAAAAGTATAATGTGCTGTAACCATTATATTTCTACTTCCTGTAAAAAGACTATCAAGTTCTTAAGGATGAATACAATGTCTTGTTTCTCTTTCTAATTATCTGTAATACCTAACGCACTGATAAACCGAGTTGGACTTTTTGTTCAAGAAAAGAAATTATATTCTTTCCTGATTTGAGAACACCAGAAGCTCATTTTGGAGCTCAGCTTCTCTGATTTTGTGGATTTTGCTAAAAGAAATGATAATTTCAACCATTATGTTGTAACAGTAAACATAAATGAGGTTTAATAGAATTCTGAATCACTAATTTGTTGTATTAGAATTTTAAGGACATGATAGAAATGCTTTTAAAATACACTGTTGCTTGTTTAATTTTACTTAAGGTCTCAATTTTTAAGAGAAAATAAATGTACTCAAAGTAAAATATTTTTACTAATATGTTAAATTGTGTGAAAATATTAGCAGTATATAGGTACAAAGTTTTGTTGAACATATTTTCTCTGTATATGGTTTATAACTAAGATAATTATGTCTTATTAAGAAATCTCCTCAGACTGAAAGTTGCACTGACAGTGGAGCAGAAAATGAAGGTAGTTGTCACAGTGATCAGATGAGCAACGATTTCTCCAATGATGATGGTGTTGATGAAGGAATCTGTCTTGAAACCAATAGTGGAACTGAAAAGATCTCAAAATCTGGACTTGAAAAGGTACCTTTTATAGTTTGCATTTTTTAGTTGAAAGTGAGAATAATCTCTGACTTCCTATATAATTCTATAGCTGTTGTGACTGATAAAGTTATCTTTAAAAGAAACTTAATTTTTGAAAGTTAAGACTTCTCAAATATAGTTTTTTTGTACATATATATATATATATATATATATATATATATATATATATATATGACTATAATTAAACTTCAGGAAAAACTGCTTACAGGTAAGAACATTAATTTTTGGGAGACCATACTTTAAACTGTCTAAGCAAGCTGGATGGTACAGAAACGATGCCTAGTAGTCAAGAAACCAAGATTCTATTACCACCTCTGCCTTTAAGGTTGCAGCAAGTGTCTATAAATTTTGTCTGAGTTTTCCTATATAGAAAAGTAAAATGTTGGATTAGTCATTGATTTTTAAAAGTCTGGCCATGAAACACTTTATGAGACAATTAATAATAGATCTGATCTTTCTGAGTAGGGAAATGCCAAAGCCCCCTAGTCTTTCTTCCCTGTCCTGCGATAGTCCTCAAGACACTTTGAAAAATGGTATAGTTCTATGGATTATCATTTGAAAACCACAGAATTGGATAATCTCTGGGATAGGATCTTGCCCCTGTGTCAATAACTTTAAGGGTTTTTTAGACCATTTTTTTCCACATATATTCTGTTTTATTGAGGGAAAGATTATAGATAAAACGTCTTGAGCATGGTGTGAATAATAAACTCCTAATGTGAAGACTGATCACTAACTCAGGTATTACAGAGTCATTAAATATAGGGATTTTTAAGGCAATATTTAAAAATAGAGTTTTACTTTCATAAATCTGTTTTTAGACCAAGGCCATTCTTCTAATTATCACCACCACCCTTTACTTTTTAAAATTATCTGTTTCATTCAGGGCAGACAGTTGAGCAGGGATTGCTATGTAATGAATAATGTAATAAGTACATTGTAACTGAGTATAGAAACATGGCATTCTAGCAGGAGTTGGCAAACTATGGCTCAAGAGCCAAATCTGGGCCCTTGCCTGTGTTTTTACATACACTTTCATTTCATCTGCAAATAAAGACAGTATTCTTCCTTTCCCATCTGCATGCCTTTTTCTTGTCTCACTGCACTCTGTGGGACTTCCAATGCAGTGTTGAATAGAGTGGTGAGGGAGAACTTCCTTACCTTGTTTCCAATCTTCAGAGGAAAGCTTTCAGTTTCTTATCATTGAGTGTGATGTTGACTTTCAGTTTTTTATGTTCTTTTCCTACTTTGTTGAAAACTTTTATCATGAATAGGTATTGGATTTTTCCAGATTTTTTTTTCTATGTCAGTTGATATGATCATGTATGTAATTTTCTTCTTCAGCCTGAATTACATAGATTGATTTTCAAATGTTAAGCTGTCTTTGCATACCTGGAATGAATCCTGCTTTGTCATGGTGTGTGTTTCTTTTTATACTTTGTTGATTTGATTTGCTAATATTTTGCAGAGGATTTTTGCATCTGTGTTCATGAGATGCATTGATCTGTAGTTTTCCTTTCTCATAGTGTCTTTATCTGCTTTTGGTGATGTTGGGCTCATGTAATAAGTTAGGGAATGTTCCCTCTGCCTTTATTTTTGGAAGAGATTGTGGAAACTTGGTATTGTTTCTTAAATATTTGGTAGAATTCACCAGAGAAATTATCTGGGCCTGGTGCTTTCTTTTTTAGAAAGTGGTTAATTATTGATTTAATTTCTATAATAGATATAGGACTTTTCAGGTTACCTGTTTCTCCTTTGTGAGTTCTGGTGGTTTGTGATTTTTAAGAAGTTGGTCTGTTTTATCTGTGTTATCAAACTTGGGGGCATAGAGTTGTACAAAGTATTCTTTTATTGTCCTTTTAATTGTCCTTTAATGTCCTTTTAATGCAGGGATGAACCTTCTTTCATTTCGGATACTGGCAATTTGTGTCGTCTTTTTAATCTCGGTTAGCCTAATTAGAGATTTACCAATTGTATTGGGGTTTTTTTCTTCCAAAGGACCAGCTTTTGGTTTTGTTCACTTTTTCTGTTGTTTTCCTATTTTCAATATTGATAAGGATTGCATTGAACCTATAGATCACTTTGTATAGTGTGGACATTTTAACAGTATTAAGTCTTCCAGTTCATGAACAGAGGATGTCTTTCCATTTATTTGTGTCTTTAATTTCTTTCCTTGATGTTTTTTTGTTTTAGTTTTTGGTTTTTTTTTTTTTGAGACGGAGTCTCGCTCTGTCGCCCAGGCTCCAGTGAAGTGGTGTGATCTCGGCTCACTGCAAGTTCCACCTCCCAAGTTCACGCCATTCTCCTGCCTCAGCCTCCTGAGTAGCTGGAACTACAGGCACCGGCCACCACGCCCAGCTAATTTTTTTGTATTTTTAGTAGAGATGGGGTTTCACCATGTTAGCCATGATGGTCTTGATCTCCTGACCTCATGATCCACCCACCTCGGCCTCCCACTGGGATTACAGGCGTGAGCCACCGCACCCGGCCTCCTTAATGTTTTATGGTTTTTCACTGTATGAGTCTTCTGCCTCCTTGGTTAAGTTTATTCCTAAGAATTTTATTCTCTTTGACACTATTGTAAATGGAATTGTTTTCTTAATTTTCTTTTTGGATTGTTAGTGTTAGTGAAACAATAAATTGTTAGTATTTAGAAATGCAACAGATTTGTGTGTGTGTTGATTTTGTATCCTGCACTTTTTGTTGAATTTACTTGTTAGGGTTTTTTTTTTTATGCGGAATCTTTATTTTCTACATACAAGATTGTCATCAGTGAACAGAAATAATTTTTCTTCTTTCTTTCCTATTTGGATATCTTTTATTTCTTCTTGCCTGATTGCTGTGGCTAGGACTTCCAGTACTACGTTGAACAGAAGTGGTAAGAATGGGCATCTTTGCTTTGTTCCCAATCTTAGAGGGAAAGCTTTCCGTTTTTCACCATTTAATATGATGGTAGCTGTGGGGTTTTCATATAAGGCTTTCATTATGTTGAGGTAATTTCCTTCTATTCCTAGTTTGTTGAGTGTTTTTATCATGAAAGGATGTTTAATTTTGTCAGATGCTTTTTCTTTATCAATTGAAGCGATCCTGTGGTTTTTTCATTCTGTTAATGTAGTGTATTACATTGATCACTTAGTCATGATGTATAGTCCTTTAATGTGTTACTGAATTTGGTTTGCTAGTATTTTGTTAAGGATTTATGCATGAATATTCATCAAAGAGATATTGTTCTATAGTTTTTAGTATCTTTGTCTAATTTTGGTATCAAAGTCACGCTGACCATATAGAATGAGTTTGGAAGTTTTTCTCCTTTTTACTTTTTCAGAAAGTTTGAGAAGGATTCGTGTTAATTCTTCAAATGTTTGATAAAATTCTCTAGCAAAGCAACCTGGTCCTGGGGTTTTCTTTGTTGGGAGGTTTTTGATTACTGATTCAATCTCCTTACTAGTTATAGATGTGTTCAGATTTTTTATGTCTTCTTGAGTCAGCCTTCATAAGCTGTTAAACGTTTGTAGAAATTTATCCATTTCTTCTAGGGTATCCAATTTGTTGGCATATAATTTTTCAGTCTCTTATGATCCTTTTTATTTTTGTGGCTTCAGTATAATGTCTCCTCTTTCATTTCTGATTTTTGTTATTTGAGTCTTTTCTCTTTCTTAGCCTAGCTAAGGGTTTGTAAACTTTGTTGATCTTTTCAAAAAGCCAGCTCTTAGTTTCATTTTTTTTTCCTATTCTCTATTTATTTCTGCTCTAATCTTTATTTCCTTCCTTCTGCTAACTCTGAATCTAGTTTTTTTCTTCTTCTTCCTCTTTTTTTACATCCCTCCTTCCCAACTTAGTTTGTTCTTCTATTTCTGGTTCCTTGTGGTATAAAGTTAGGTTATTGATTTGAGATGTCTTCTTTTTTTTTTTAATGTAGGCACTTACATCTATAAACTTTCCTCTTTTGTTTCATTGCATAAGTTTTGGTATGTTATGTTTTTGTTTTCATTTGTCTCAAGATATTTTCTAATTTCCTTTGTGGTTTCTTCTTTGACCCATTGGTTGTTCAAGAGTGTGTTGTTTAAAACAACTTACACATATTTGTGAATTTTCCAGTTTTCCTTTTGCTATTGATTTCTAGTTTCTCTCCTTCACTTTTAAAGGATTATTTCTCTGGATATAGAATTCTAGGTTGGTGGTAATTTTTCTTTCAACATGAAATATTTCATTACACTCTTCTTGCTTGCATGGTTTATAATGATAAATGTGCTATAATTCTTATCCTTGTTCCTCTATAGGTAAGGTGTTTTTCCCCTCTGCCTCCCCTGAAGATTTTTTTGTCTTTGGTTTTGTTCAGTTTGAACATGATATGCCTAAACATGGGAGTTTTTGTTTTTTGTTGTTGTTTTGGTTTTTGGTTTATTGGGCAGGATGGGTATTTATTCTATTTGGTGTTGAGCTTCCAGGTCTGTTGCTTAGTGTTACCAGTTTTTGTAAATAAAGATTTATCAGAACACATTCACTCTGGTTGTTTACATATTATGTATGTCTGGTTTTGTACTATAATGACAGAGTTGAGTAGTTGCGACAGAAACCGTATGGCCCAGAAAGCCTAAAATACTCACTCTTTGACCCTTGCATTAGTGGGCCAAATGATCTAGATTTTAGTTCTTACTTTGCTATTAATAAACTGTATCACTTTGGACAAATCATTTAATCTGTGTGCCTTTCATTTGCTACATTTTGGAGGAATTTGGACTAGGTGCTTTCTGTTCTACGCAGATCTAGAAATTTGTAATTCTGTTTGCTAGTACCATGTTTGAAGATGTATCCCCTTTTAATTAGGAGTAATGTATTGCTTTGTTAAATAGTAGTAAAAGAGAAGAAAATGTTAGGACACGTTTTTATGTAATTTTATTTACAAATTATCATGCTACATTTGGATGAAGGCACTTTACTTTCCTTCCTACTTTTTGGCAATGTATTTGTGATTTGAAACTAAAATTATTGCAATTGGGAACCCTTACTCTGTCATGACTGTATTATCTTTGCTTTAAAATAGATATATACAATTCTAATTTGGAAGGTGATTCAGTCTTCTGAATATATCACCATTATTGTCATCTAGAAGTTGCTGCTATTAGAATTTTCCAGGAAGATAATTATGTTGGCTTTGATCATTATGATGAAACTTAAAAAATGTATAGCTGTTGGTTGGCAGACTTTTTCTGTGTTTATTTTTTTTCTAAATGGGGAGACTGCTTATGATAAGATATTCATATCATTCAGTGATATCAAAATTTTGTCTAGTGTATTTACTACATTCAAAGCATTTTAATTTAATAACATGGGGTTACCACATTTCATAAGTTGTTCAATGCTTTAAACACATTTTGGATTGCAAATAAATTCTGAAACTTCCTCCCTATCACCACTGTAATTAATTTTAGTTTTAGGAATAAAATTTGAACCACAAAACAAGTTTTCAGACATTTTCAAAATTTGTTCTAGAAATTTCACTAATTAACAATATATTGTGGTCAGTTTAAAGTTATTTTAAGATAAATTAGAATTTCTTGAAAGTTATAGAAGGCTCTACAATGCTTTTTAGGAAAAGAATAAAGAAGAGAAACCCTAGTACTTGTAGAAAAGTAAATAAAATAAAGCTTGTCTGTCATAAACTGGAAATCTTCTGATGTCAAATTGCCTTTTTAACCTCCTTCTCTGTTTCTGTCTTCCTACCTGTTCTTTTTTTGTGATAGAGTTACTGGTTTGCAGAGTCTCTAGTATCTCAAACTGTCTTAGGAGTTGTGAAGTACATGGGCTTCTGAAAGAAAAGATTGTCTTAAATATAAAAATAAGTCATTATAAATGACCTCTTTTTTTTAAACAAGTTGCCTCTTTTCTTGATTTTCTTCCACAAATACTTAAGTTTGCCTAAAATAATCTTTAGTTCCAAACTTTAAAGAATTGTTTGCAGAACAGGAAGCTAAAGAAATAATATTAATTTATTGTAGATATAGTATAATTCAGGATTCATTCTTAATATGAGAGAACAAATCAGTAGATCATGATATCACAGATAATGCATAAATACATTAGAAGATGTTCCAAATAATTATATTCCTCAGCTCTTTTGTAAAGGAAATAGAATTTGAATAAGAAACAGTATGTTACTTCGGATTTTTTTTATCGACTGTGTATTTTAGAACAGCACTGTAATTAGCATCTGCTTCTGAAATTTTAGACTATTATTTAATTTTTACATATGTAAGTTTATATTTACAGATATATATGGTTTCAAAGGTTATAGCATAATTAAAATGTGGAAGAGTGCACTGATGAAACTTGTGTAACTTCTGGTATATACAGTTGTTTGATAACTTGCCATTTTTGTTTTACCTTAGGGGAAAGTTGACCTGTAATATATAGGACAACTTACCATGTTACTTCTCTGTGTGTTAACAGAGAATAGGAAATACACAAATAAGGGTTGTGTTTTCCTTCTCCTCTGAGTTACTTTTATTTTTTCCCCTTAGAATTCCTTGATCTATGAACTTTTCTCTGTTATGGTTCATTCTGGGAGCGCTGCTGGTGGTCATTATTATGCATGTATAAAGTCATTCAGTGATGAGCAGTGGTACAGCTTCAATGATCAACATGTCAGCAGGGTAAGGAGGTGTCCTTTAAGATTATTACTCTGAAAGGTGGGAGTAAGGATGTTTCTAAACAACAGTAAAGTTTATTAAGAATGAGTGAATCTGTCTAGTGATACATCTTAAGACCCATATCAAATCTGTCTTTAATTTTTGCTTTTAGTAAAGTTCTTGCCTTTGTTTATTATTTCTTTGTTTTGCTTTGTTTTGTTTGGGGCTTGCTGAATATCTCCAGAGATAGACTACCAATTTTCCTCTGGGCCTGAACCTTCATAGGTGCTACTTGTGCTTCACGTGTGATTAGGAATACTAGAACTGGCTGGCTGGTAAGCAGCCACTGATTATGATTAAATTTTGTGAATTGGTAGCTGTGTGAGCAATCATGAAGGTCTTTGATAGCATTTAACTCTGAGGCTAAAGATTGAGTTACATATTGACGTTAATGTGATAGTGTTATAGAATTTGCAAAAAAAATCATGTAACACATTTTCAGATAACACAAGAGGACATTAAGAAAACACATGGTGGATCTTCAGGAAGCAGAGGATATTATTCTAGTGCTTTCGCAAGGTAAGCAATTTCCTAATTTTCAGTGTTTAAAAGTTAGAATTAATTATAGCTTCTCAGTGTTTTTTTATCATCAAAGATTTAACCAAGGGATTGAGGAACTACAACCCATGAGCCAAATCCAACCTGCCTCCATATTTTGGAAATAAAGTTTGAACACTGACATAGCCATTTGTTTCTATATTATGTGTTAATGCTTTTACACTATAATAACATAGTTGAGTAGTTGCAGCACAGACCATATGGCCTGCAAAGCCTGTGATTTTTACTATTTGGTCCTTGCTGGAAACAACTTGCTGGCCCCTGACTTAACTGTTGTATGTAGACATTCCAATACACAGTTTTGTTAAAGACTTTACTGTATTACCAAGAGGAGATACGGAATCTTCTCTAAATGTGATAAGAGGAAACAGATTTTCCTCTTATCTGGAATGTTTTAAATCTCAGTGTGTCTGTGAACAGTGACATGATTTTCTAATTGTTTTTTAAAAAATCACAATTTAAATATTTCATGCTTAGAAGTGGAATCTTTTTAATCTACTTTTTGTCCTTATTAATCTTTTTTATGTTTCTACTAGTTCCACAAATGCATATATGCTGATCTATAGACTGAAGGATCCAGCCAGAAATGCAAGTATGTTTACCTACAGTTATTTGATTTTAATTTGTGTTATAAACTAATTTCTTTTGTAAGTTTGCAAACCCAGATAACTACTTTTAAATGATAGGATAATTAAGTTGTTTTATGCCTGGAAGAATTATTTACAAAGACTGTTACAAAATAATACCAAATGTTAAGGACCTTGAAAAAATGTTGTTGAATTATTTTTTAATATATGAAGAGACAAAACTACATTAAATAAATTGAATGTTTATTAGTAGTAAGATTATATTATGTGCAGTCTGATGTAGGGACGATAACATTTTTGGAATTATTGCTTTTAAAATATTGCAGTGTTTGTTTTTTCTTGCTAATTCTGACTCAGGCTGTATTACAAATATCTAGGGGGGTGTGTACAGATACATATACAGGTGATGTGTTTGCTCATAGTCTTTTCATAATTAAAAAAAATATAATCACAATCTTTGATTTCAGTATATTTCCTTTGTTTAGACACTACCGTTGCTATTAGTAAATCTGTTTCAAGCATTATGTTTTTATTCACATTTTTGTAAACCCTCATTAGATGGTGAATTCAATTGGTACAAGGCTTAGGACTTACTCATCTTTTCACATAAAGTATATTCTAGGATCTGTCATATAGTAATGTTCAATAATTTACTATGGAATTATTGAAAAAATAAATGGAAATTATAGTAAGTCATTTCAGAACAGAGATTTAAGAGCAGAAGTAATCATTTGTACTGTATTATAAAGAAACTACCCCAAAGAGTAAGCTGACCCAGGTCATAGCTATCTGGAAGCAGAGCCAGTATTGTAATTCATGTCCCTCACGTGGACCCAACCTTCCAATAGTGCAATAACTCAGCCTTCTTTTACTCCCCCAACTCTAGTTTTGTTATAAAGCACCAGAGGGCGCTGTATGACATGACATGGAATATTTTTTAAATTAGAGTTCTTTCCTAGAAACAACAGCTTTTACCTTTTACGGACACATGCTGTTTTTGATAAAATTTTTTTCCCCTTTTTAATGCCAAATAATCATTGGCTTTATTAAATGGTGTCATAATTTCATATTGTCCCTTTGAATGCTTTGAGTTACATATGAAGTTGTAATTATTAAGAAAAACTTTCGTAAAAATGATTATATGTGAGTCTATAGTAATGATTTTTTGCATATACTTTATTCTTTTAACTAATTGTTTAAAAGTAGCCTCACAAATTATATCAGGCTGTCCTCGCATTGCTATAAAGAAATACCCAAAACTGAGTAATTTATAAAGAAAGATTTAATTGTCTCACAGTTCTGCAGGCTTTGCAGGAAGCATGATGCTAGCATCTGCCCAGCTTCTGATGAAGCCTCAGGGAGCTTTCAGTCATGTCAGAAGGCAATATGGGAGCAGGCATTTCACATGGCAAAAGCAGGAGCAAGCAAGTTCCGGGGTTGGGGGAGGGGTGCCACACACTTTTAAATGACCAGAACTCATGAGAACTCAGTATGGCAAAGAAAGCACCAAGCCATGAGGCTTGACCCAGACATCTCCCACCAGGCCCCACCTCCAGTATTGGGGATTCCAATTCAACATGAGATTTGGGCGAGGACAGATGTCCAAACTATATCACATAATCATCACTTTTTGTATTCAAATGAATCTTGACCATATAGAGAGGGAGAAATCCAATAGATGAAGGTGTCAGTTTTATGACTCTGCATTCTTTGGTTAGGAAGCAGCTAAAGACTGCTTTGAGAACACAGGAAAGATAATAGTAAACAAATGGGTAGTACTCAGTAGCAGCAACAGCAGCAGTATTTATTAAGTTTTATTGTATCTCAGGTAGTAACTTTATGGGGTAGATGATATTAATAAGCTGAAGAGACCTACATTTGGAGAAGTAAACTTGCCCAAGGTCACACAGTTTGATGGGGATGGCATGATTTGAAGTCAGAAATTATTTTCAAGTTGCAGAGAGCTTTTTCATTCTAAAATATTAATCCACATACTGGAGTTGTTCTGGAGCCAAGAGCCATTTTGAATAAATACATGGCTCTTTAAGATATGGACCTAACCATGTGTCCCTGTTAACTGTCTCTTAACCCTTTTCTGGACGAAGCTTGTATTCCAAGTTGAGAGAAGGATGTAATGGAGATATATCTCCATGAGTGCTACAGTAGAAGTATATACCATGAGAGCATAGTGAAGCAGGATGAATAAAGGCAGCTCAGTTTCAGTGACACTGTCTTATCCTGTTTTTATTACTAATAGAATTTCTAGAAGTGGATGAATACCCAGAACATATTAAAAACTTGGTGCAGAAAGAGAGAGAGTTGGAAGAACAAGAAAAGAGACAACGAGAAATTGAGCGCAATACATGCAAGGTTGAATTCCATCATTTTATTTTTAATTGAAAGTGCTATTTTTAAGCTCGCTTACCTGCAATTCTAATGACTAACTCATTGGGTTGATTCTGAGACAATTATGCTATCATGATCATTGAACAGTGTAACCAACTATACTATAAAGGTAAAATTTGATTTGATTTGATGTGTAAAAACCCAGTAACATGTAGTGACGGTGCTCAGTGCTGGTGAAGCCACAGTTGAGGTAGACACATTCTCTTATCCTACTAAAAGAAAATAAATCCGTAAAAACTGGATAGAAATTGAGTAGTATTTATCAAGAGCCTTAAGCAAAATCATATTTTTTAATATAATTTCTCTTATGGAATTACCTAAGGAAATAATCATAATTACTGTAATAATCTTGATTACAGGGATATTCATTATAGCATTTTCCAAATTAGGGAAAAATTGGAAACAACACAAATGTATATTGGTAGGGGAATGATTACATAAATATGATACATGCTTATAAGGAAACATGCAGTTGTTAAAATTAATGTTTTTGAATTTTTGTATGGTGTGAGACATAACTGGTGTCAATTACTAAGTGAGAAAGAATAGATAGAAGAGTGATCTCAATTATGTTCTTTTAAAAAATTGCAGTATTTTGACAATTAGGAATAAATGCTATCTACGGAAGAATTGAACTTTGGAACTGCAGAGTTGATGATGATATTTTACATTTTCTAGATAAAATTATTCTGTTTGCATCCTACAAAACAAGTAATGATGGAAAATAAATTGGAGGTTCATAAGGATAAGACATTAAAGGAAGCAGTAGAAATGGCTTATAAGGTATGTTTAATTGCATCATTGGCATTTACTTACTAATACAACAGTATTAACATAATTTCCCAAGTTTTTATAATGGATAATAGTTATATAAACACTGGCAGTAACCTTGGTAACTGGTTAATTTATCTCTTACCGAGTATATTTATACCTCTCCTTTGGAGCATAGTCAGTTGATTTTGAAAATTTTCTCCCTCTGGAAGCCATTTGAAGTTTCTAGATCCCAGAATTAAAATTAGGAACAGAATGTTTATTTGCTCTTTCTATTCATTTAACATACATTTCATGAGTGTTTACTATATGAAACATTAGAGATATTAGAGTGAATAAGATAACATGAGGTGTTAGAGATACCAAAGTGAACAAGGCGTGGTCACTGCCTTCATGGAGTTTACAATCTACTGGAAAGAACAGACAAAACGTACTTAAACATCACAGTTTGCAATTATTTTATTATTTAGATGCTATAAATACATTAGTAGTAAATTGAGAAAATTTATTTTGAAACTTTAACCATGAGAAAGGGAGACAGCGATGCAAAAAGTTGAGGAAGAATATACTGGTCCATAGTCAGATGCGTTACCCATTCCATCACTGGCCCATGCTCAAGGAAGAATATTCGAAGTAGAGTGAACAGCATGTGCAAAAGTGCTGAGGTGAGGAGATGCTTGGCACGTTTAAGAAACTGAAGAAAGGAGCCATATGTTTAGATTGTTTTGAGTGAGCACAGAGTACCATAAAATGAAATTAGAGATTTTGTGAAATAGAAGTTTACGTTTTGTTCTCTAAGAGTAGTGGAAAGTTATTAATGAGGTTTGAAAGGCAAATGGGGTCACTGCTGTTTCACCAGATCATTCTAAATGTCATTTATGATACTTAACAAATATAAGTTTTCCCCTTTCCATATAAGCAGTAACAGAATGACTGAAATTAAACAGTCATTACCTAGAGAAAAAATTGCATACTACATCATTTTGTGTATAATTATATGTGGAACCAATAACATAACTAAAAATAACACACAAGATAGCTGACATTGTTTCTGAAAGTGTGATCCAGTGCAATCTG